>NC_000008.11:113214222-114464222 GCF_000001405.40 Homo sapiens
TGTTATTTTGTTGTTTTTTAAATTTTTATTTGTGCAGATTTATGAGGTGCATGTGAAGCTTTTACCTGTCTTCCATGTGTGTTTAAAGAGGATATAATTGTGGTGTGTATAATTGAGGAGCAGATATAGGTTATTGGGTTCATTCATGCTAACTTTTTGACCAAACCTTAGTAAACTTGTAATGCATGTTCGGTTATTTGAGTATGATACTGGCATCAGTATTACACATTTATGAAGAATCTATAAGGATCACAATTTCTATTCTGGGTACAGTGTATAACAAGGATATATCTTCTGGTCTTTTGAGTTATCTGTCTTCCAATCAAGAAAACAGTTCTAGGAAGATTCATTGTTTCTTTCCTTCACTATCTTCAAACTTTTACATTCAGTAGCACTTTCTACAAATATCTACAATATCATCATTTTACTCTTTCAGTCCTATGAAACAACTTGACTCTGAAAAATTTAGAGGAATGCCTAAAAATACTATGGAGAATGGATAATTTAATAAAGATATACTCACACTAATTTGGTTGTTTTTATATATTAATGTGTCAAATACAGAGAACAATAAAATGTTATTCAACCAAAATTATAAAGATATCTTGAGTCTAGAGCACAGAGTAGATTAAATATATGGTGTTTCAGGTATTTTAAAATTAAGATTCTGAGTACCCATAGCTTTGAAATATTATCGAATTCTATATATAACAAGGTGATATCAACATGATATGAAACTAAAACGAAATTCTATGAATCAGATATTTTAAAACAATGATAGTGTAAAGAGACATATTGTAAATATTTCATAGAAACATGCTATCGTATACAGAGCCACATATAGAGAGGACAATCTCATATATTCGTAATAAAATATCATTTTTATGGCTTTAAAGATAAATAGGAGAAGCTCACTGATCTTTACTTACTGATATATTTGCTTTGCTTATAATTTTGACCACAAAATTTAAATTCTCCCTTTTGAGCTTTGAGGCAGAGGCAAAATTCTGACATGGTTTGGTTGATCAATTTCAAAATTAAGCCAAGGCAGTGGTCAACATAGGCTTCAAGAGTTTCTACTTACTACTTTCTTGTCTTATGAAAAATACACAAAAGGAAAGATAAAAAATTAATAAAAGAGACTCAAAGTGTTCCTTGGAATTTAATAGATTTGTAGATTTAACCTTTCTTAGGCTGGTGGACCATTGGTTGTTAATGATGTCAGTGAAATTGCTAATCAAACTGGAAGTGCCTTCAAATTAATTGTAGGTGACCTTGGGAAAAATCATTATCTTCTAAATGGATATTCAACCAAAGGTAAAATAATTTCAGACAGACTTTGGATCATTAACTTGTGACTGCAAATCCTCTTTTCTAAAAGTTGTTTACTCTCAAGTAAATATGCCAATGAATCAATTTCACACTAAAATTAAGTTTCCATTAAATTTGATAATGCAAGCACACATAAAACAAAAACATATAGCCTTGATAAATCTTATATGCACTTTTCTCTTCTGTATTACACATTTTTGTGGCTTCAGTATATATTAAACTAATCTATGTAACCTTTCAAATGTTCTCATTCATCTTTAGGACACTCTATACCTTTTTCTTTTTAAAAAAAAATTCACTGTACTTGAAACCACCTTTTATTTTATATCAGTCAAGCTTGGCTTTTGTGAATACTTTTTTAAAAAAAATTTGGTAGGAAAAAGATATATTAAACTTCCAAATATCTTTTGGCAAAAAGGCAGGGAGAACAGCATTCTTATACATGGTTGAGGGGAGAAAATTGCTTCCAAACTGTAATCTGGAAATATATTAAAATGTATTTTACCCTTTGACCCAGCAGTCCTACATAGAGGAACCCAACACACAGAGAAAAGCAACAAGAACAAGTTGTTTGCTGAATATGTTTTGTGATTTCAAAAATCTAAAAAAAATCCATAAGAAATAATTACATTAATTATTGCTCAGTCATACAATTAAATTGATCTATAAGTGTTGTCTAACAATGATGCAAATTATATCTTGATTAGTGATAAAAAGCCATCTATCTGTTATGTACGCACTGAGCTTATATCTTTAAAAGACAAAAAAGATAAATCCTTATCTAATTGTGTTTATTTTCATATGGGCATTGAGATATAGTAAGCAGAGTTCCATTCTATACCATTGATATTGGTGAATTTGAACAAGGTATGAGGTATGAGTGATGTTGTCAAGAGTTCTAGTAATTCTATTTCATTGTATTTTCTCAGTTGTGACAATAAACACATTTTTTTAAAATTTCAAAATTAAACAAGCTTCAAAAAATGTTAAATATGAAAAGGTAAATGGTACCAAACATATTCTCCCACCAGAAACAATTTAAAAGTGGACAAACAATATAAGTCAAGGTTTTCAGGATTGAATGACAAAGTATGTAAAATTACAATCCTTGAAGGAAGAAAATCACAAAAAGTGATACCTACTTTTATCAAAGCTTTCGTTGGCATATGGAGATGGTGCCCATGCAGAGTATCTGGCTCCTTTTGACCTGAGAAGCTTTAGACTGAAATGTGGGTTTGAGGATGTAGCTGGAATTGTGGACAGGGTACTGAAAAGAAGAGAAATGCTAGAAGGGAGGAGGAAGTCAAGAAGGGGGTCTTGAGTGTTTGCATGGGGATTTCCCTGGGAAATTAGTCAAAGCCTAAGATCCATATGTGCAGGGAAAGCGTACACAAAGCCTCTCAATAAATGGCAACTGAGGAACAAAAAACAATAAAACTTCCAGAGACCATGCAATTGTTGGAGTTCAAATCCAGTCGTAATAAATAAACTTCACCGATTCTTTTAGGAAATTGGTAGAGATCCAAGTAAGAACAAAACTTAAAAGTCAGAACCAAGCCATAACATTTCTCTTGGAAATAAAGAGAAAAGAAAAATAGAAATAACTAAGAACAAAGCAGTCTGAAGAGGTGTAAATTATGCCAGTAAAGTTTCTGATGTAAAAAAACTCAAAAATCTTTTTTTTTAAAAGACAACATAATACAAACCCACTACAACATATTATCCATAAAGCCCACCATAAAAACAAAACAAAACTACCAAAACCTTGACATACAAAGAAGCAGAAAAATGTGACCCGTGATCAGACAAAATAGGATTCAACAGAAACAAACCAAGAAATGACACAAGTATTGGAATTAATAGATAAGAATTTTAAAAGCCTAGTTATAAACATGTTAAAGGACTTAAAGGCACAGATAAACATAATTAGTTAACAAATAATGAAATTTCAGTAGAGAAATTAAAGCTATAAAAACATTAGAAATCTTAGAATTAAAATTAACTATCTGAAATGAATAATTTATTAAGAGAATTTAACAGCGTATTCAAAATTGTAGGAAAAATATAAGTGAATCTGAAAACAAAAGAACAGGAATCATTTAACCTGAAGAACAGAGAGAAACAAAGTGTTTTTAATTAGCAAAGGCTTAGTGATATGTAGAGGAATATCAAGAGGTCTAATACACGCACAACTGGAGTCTAAGAAGAAGAGAAGCAATAAAATGGAATGAAAAAACATATATAAGATATGATGGCCCAAATACTACTAAATTTGTTTAAAATAATCAATCTACAGATTCAAAAAGTTTAGTAAACCTCCAATAGGATGAAAAAAACACCCATAGGCACATCATAGGAAAGCTGTAAAGAATCAAAAATGAAAAAAAAGTAAACTCAGCTAGAAAACAAAACAAAATACATTCATAAACGTATAATAATGTAACTGCTAAATTTTTAACAGAAGCACTGAAGGTATATATATGTTTCAATATAGCACTCTGAGTTCACAGGATGCCTTCCTATCTTTCAGCACTTTAAATATGCTATTCATATATATATATATATTTTAATATTGGGGACGATATAAAGCATATTCAAGTAAGCTCTAAGTGAATTTTTTTTTTTGTTTTTTGACATGAGGCACAAAACTATAGGGAATATTAAAGAAAGTCCCTCAGGCCTAAGAAAAGTAATACTCAATGTAAACTCAGATGTAACTGAAGGAATTAAGGACAATAGAACTGGGAAATATGTGTGAACTACTATTTTAGTTCTATTAAATTATTTCATCCTGTACTATTGTTGTAGTACATTTTACATCTAAAAATATCTGAAACCACACAGTACAAAGCAATTATTTTTGTTCAGTTAATTATTTTTCATAATCTTTTAAAAAATCAGTAAAGTGCTACAAAAAAAAAAAAAAAGAATACTATGTCATGACCAATTGAACTTATCCCAGGAATAGAAGGTTGGTTTGAGATTTTAAAAGACAACCTGTAATTTGCTACATTGAAGAAAAAATAAACAGAAAAACATGAGCACTCAATAGATGCAGAAAAACATTTGACAAGTACTAATACATTTTCACAATGAGAAAAAGTTAATAACTAGTAATGGAAGGAAAATTTCTCAGTCTGATAAAGGAAATCTACATAAAAATTTATATTTAACATAACATGCATTACTGAAATACAGGTTGAGTAACCTTTATCCAAAATGCTTGGGGCCAGAAATGCTTCATATTTCAATTTTTTTTCAGATTTGGAAACATTTGCATATAAATAATGAGATATCTTGGGGATGGGATCCAAGTCTAAACACAAAATTCATTTATGATTTCTATATACCTTATACATACACATAGGCTGAAGGGAGCTACAATTCAAGATGAGATTTGGACAGGGAAACAGCCAAACCATATCACATATTTATCTCAGTAGATGCTCAAAGATGATTTGACAAAACCCAACACTCAGTTTAAAAACTCTTGGAAAAACAGGAATGGATGGATATTTCCTTAATGTAATATTGTATAAATACATCAATCTAAAATCAATATCTTATTTAAAGGAGGAAATTAAAGGAGAAAGAGCAATTTCCACTAGGGTCAGAAACAGGGCATGGGTATCTACCATTTTTGCCACTATTTAACATCATTGTAGAGCTACCAGTCAATTCAATCAGGAAAAGGAAACTGAAGAAATATGACAATAGAGAAGAGAAGTAAAACTATACCTATCCGCAAATGACATAGTAGTTTACCTGGAAAACTTTAGAGAAGCAATGATAAACCTAATTCAAAAAATAAGAATTCTGCAAATTAGCAAATAGAACACTAAATGCAAAAAAAAATACAGGCACAAATGATAATCAGTTAGAAGAAGATATAAACACTGAGAAATCTCATACCAAAGTAACAAAAAAATGTTCAGAAATATACCCAAGTATATAAAAGATCCAATACATGATAAAAGTGGTATCTCAAATTACTAGGACAAATGCGATCTTTTTAATAGATTGTGTTAGAGAAGATGGATAGCTATTTAGAAAAAGGTAAAATCATTTTCTGTTCTTCAAACAATACATCAGAATAAACCACAAGTAGATCAAAGATACATAAAATGTAAAGCTATATAATAACTGAAGAAAAATTTATTAAATTCCTCTATACTGGGTATAGGAAAAGCTATCAAAATATGCCTAAAAATCCAGCTACAATAAAATATGTATACATTTGACCACATAATAACAACAGGAAGCTTTCAAAGGAAAATACATAATAAGCCAATGATGTGACAGTCTGGAAAAATGTTTGAAATATATTACAAACAAAGTGTTCATATTCTGATTTATGAAGAACTTTTGACATTTGAGGAGAAAATGATTACAAATTCTTTAGAAAATTGGGCAAAATCATAAACACACAATTCAATATATAAAATAGCCTTAAACACGTGAAAAGATGTTTCATTTTGCTCATGGTAATAGACACACAAATTTGACTGTACTGAGATGCCATTTCTCAACAGTTTGAAAAAATTGGAAAGCTTAATAAAATACTCTGTTAGTGAGGTTGTAGGAAACAGGCACTCTTACAAACTGCAGGTGAAGATTACAGAAGTCATAGATCCGTTTGATGAAAGAGCCCAGCCACAGAGGCACCCTCACAGAAATGAGCACAACTAGTGACTAAAATTTATTCTCTTAACATTTTCTAGGGAAAGAAACGAGGGCTCCTTGGAGAAATGGCTGATTCTAGAACTAGGACAGGCCAGGAATAAGATCCTGGAATGTCTTGTTATGCTAGGAAGTTATGAAGTTTAGTTAAGACAGTCACAAGCATACAGGAGCTTGAATGGGAACCCACTGGGCTAAATCCACGGCAACCTTAGCACCAAAATATTAAATGTATTAAGCATCAAGATAACTAGTAAAGTAATAATCATAATAAAATTGAAAAAATTAATGCAAAGGCCTATACATATAAAATGATCATTTATAAATAACAACGAAGAGAGGCAGTTCTCTTGCTTATACTAGAAAGTCAAATATTGGCTGGTTGATGTGGTAATAAATCTATAATACATAATCAAGATTGGATCAGCCAAAAATTATCAGTGGATTGGAAATCTAGGAGCTTTTTAAGAGCAGTGAGATATTTGCATGGCCTGAAAATGTTTTTTAGCAGACAGTTTATTAATTGCAAAGGGGGAAGTAACTATACAGTGGGGAAAATTGACCTGTTCAAGTAATTAAAAGGAACATTGCCACTAAGGGATCTATGTACACTATATGCCTTCTGATGCGGAACACTTATAAGGACCAAACATTACCTGTGTAGTATTCCAGCTGAGAATTCATAACTTCTTTCTAATTATGAGAAACAACAGACAAACCCCAAATAATAAAAGTTATATTCTTTTAAAAGAGCAAGGAATAAGAGAAGTATGTTCTTCAGAAATATCAATGTCATAAACTAGAAAGCCTATGTAAATATTTCAGATGAAAGGAAGCTAAAATGTTATGGCGGCTAAATGCAATACCCAAATTTTGTTGGATCTTGTACTGGAGATTTAAAAAATGCAAAGAAGGGCATTATTGTGTCAATTTGCAAAATTGAAATAAAAATAGATGATAGTATTGTATTGATATTAAATCCACTGAAATTGAAAACTGTACTCTGATAATGTACGAAAATGTCCCTAAGAAAATTCATCTTGAAGAATAGGAGTAAAGAGCTGCAATGTTTGTAATTCATTCTCAAATGACTTAGGAGAAAATACACACAGACACAGTTACACACACACACACACACACACACACACACGGAGGTAAGGAGGCCAGGACAAATAAAGCAAATGGTGTAAAATGTAGATAATAGGTCAATCTGAGTAAAGGCTACATGGTTATTTTTTTCATGTTTTTATTTTTGCCATTTTTCTGTAAGTTTGAATTTATTTTTAAAAATTTAATATAAAGCAAAGTAAAGAGACCCCAGGTTATCTTGCAACTGATTTCTAAGCGCTTAATCTGTTTTGGTTCTTTTTACTACTTTATTCTACCATGCAGGTCTCCTTGCTGTTTTGCTGAGTTTTAGCAAGCAAAATACTCACCTGAGGGCCTTTACACCTGCTCTCTCTTCCTTACATATTTTGCCCCTTATTTCATTCAGTTCTGTACTAAAAGATTGTCTTATCAGAGAGACATATCCTTATTAGCTCTTCCAAAATGGCACTCACCTTCATCCATTAATATCCCTTAAACTGATTTATTTTCCTCAAAGCACTTGCTATTACTTAACATGTTATATGTTTGCTGTTTACTTTTTATCTCCCCTTAGTAGAACACTAGTCAATAAGAGCAGGGACTTTGTTTTATTCCCTACTACAACCCTGGAACATAAACAGTTCCCGGAACAACGCAGACACTCAATGCGCATTTGTTGACAAAGCAGTAAATGCTTTGAAGGTTAAGTAAATGCATGAAGGTTAAATAAGAAATATGAATTTATGAAATTCAAATAAATAATGTAGATGATGACAAAAGGATTACTGTTCCTAAAGATTTTTAAACAGTTTTCTAATTTACAAAGGCTTTGGAAATTAGGTAGACATAATTCTAAAAATTCTTATTTTCTATAATGTTTTATTAAAATCTGTTATTTTTCCTAATAAATACTTAAATTTAACCAAAAATTTTCATTGGAAATCCTAAAAATTATATTCACTAATCAGTAAAAACAGGGAAGATCTCTCTTCTTCTTTTAATCTTTAAATTTAGAAAACCTGTATAAAAAAGAAGAGTCTTTGTAAGTGCCTTTGGAATATTTCAATATCTATTGATATGTATGGGCAATAATCATGAAATATAATGAATATGTCATTTCAAGAAACCAAGTTCTGCTATAAAACATTATTTTCATAAATATAAAGAATAAGATTTTAAAAACGTAACACATTTTCAAAGTACTGTATGAGTCCAAAGAATTTTACGAGGAGAAATAACTATCATTTCTCATCACCATGTAGATAAAAATTGTACATGGTTATCTTATATGCTTGAGTTATTTTCAGACAAATTATGTATTATAAATCACTAAATGTACTCTGTATATTTGCACTTTCAAATTAAGGTTGCTTTCATATCATTTTCCCTAATGAAAACATTTCAAAACAACTCATATTGACCTTTTTATTTTAATCAAGCATAAGAGTTGTGATTGTGATTTTTATAATGATTCCCATGGCTTTATAGACAATTTGACATACTTTCAAAGAAATTGGAATTTTTGTTCGATGTTAATTCCTTTTGCATTTCTGAATTTTCACATGATATTTCGGCTTATTTTGTTTTTTGCAAGTTTGTGCAAATTGTTTGAAATTAGCTCACATTCAGGTGGTTATTTAAAAAATGAACTATTTTTGAGATCATGTTCCTCTTGTTTATTACTTCCTGAGATATACTTCATTTTGCTTATTCCTAAAAAGAGTATTAAATATTATTTATTTATTTCTATTTTTCCAACAACTTCCTTTACTAAACAGGTCATTTTAATATTTACTCAAAAGTATAACTCCATATTAATTAATAAATTAATATTATTTTTGAATGAATTAATATTTACTCAAAATATAGCTCATTTTAATATTTACTAATATTACTAATTGCTGCTTTTTTAAAGCAAGTCAGATTTTATTGTTAGCTCAATGAAATTTACTATAAATTAATTTTAATCTAGCATAATTTTTAAGATTTTTGTGTTCTGATATAAAATAATATGTCACCAAGTGCAAGCTCTATGACTTCCTTGTTTTGTGACCTTGGGACTTTTTGAAATTCTTCGTTTCCTAGTTTCTTTATTTGTAACATGAGTATGGCATTAGTACCTGCTCAGTATGGTTGCAACAAACAGAAAAGGATTAATGATTGTAAAACACTTTGAAGAGGACATGGTTCATTGCAATAATATATATTAGCCTTTATTATTTATATATATTTTTACAACACATGCTGACATGGAGAAGTTTCAAAACATTTTTGACAATTTTCAACTTGTCAAGTATACATATATATATATATATTTATCTTAAAATTATTGAACATTTAGTGTCTGTGGTTTTATTCTTTCATTATTTCATCAAATATATATCAGGCACTTTTTAAGGCAAAATCCTACTTTAAGCTGTGTGTGTTTATGTGTGTGTATGTGTGTGTGTGTGTGTGTGTCGGTAAAGTATTCATGTATCTGTGTGTTGTATATAAGGAAAAAAAAACATGTTTCTGCTACTAAAATACATATAATATTATTTCCAGCTACTAATCGGTAATGGCAGGCAAGTATACAAGTAATTCCAAGGAAAAAAAGAAACTTAAGAAAGAATTAAAATCCTGAATGTGGGCTGAAAATGAAAATGATCATCCACATTTTTTCTAGCATGTTCCTACAACATCTAATCTTCAGTTAAGACAAATGAACAATAATACCATGGATTTCCCATCAGATAGACCAGATAGATGTCCTACAATTTCACACCTTCAAAGACCTACACAAAAATTTCCCAAGAAGTCTAGGTGCTATTCGTTTTTGGTTAAATAGTATATTTTCTTTGTATTCTGTGCTTAATATTGTTTTAGGTTCTGCTTTTTAAAACCTCAACATTTTAATCTAACTTTGGGTTTTATACTAATTCCTCTTTGGTTGATTTTTATTTTGTATTTGCCCATTACTGAAACTGGTCCTCCTGTCTCTATTTTGCTTCAATAAACCCCATTCATCTATAGACATCTACAATCGAGGCTTTACATTCTCTGAAAACAACAAACATATTTTGTGAAAATATTAATGGAATTATATAATGAATTACTATCCCTAACAAACATCCATTTATGTCAATTATTATTCTCAAACTGTGTCACCTATATAAATAAATGACATTTGTATTTTCATTTAATCTACCTTCTAATTATATATAACATCTGTTTGTAGCAATATATTTTTAACTTAGAATTTTTGTGAACAGTAAATACATTAGAGGCAACTAAAATATGTTATTACATGGATATCACACTGCAATAATAATTTACCTAAATAATATTTATATAGTGGGTCCTTAAAAATAGAACATTATAATTACTATAAAATTTGTGTGTGTATTAACCACCTGTGTCTTCCAACATTCACAGAGGAGAGGCAATAGATGTGTCTTGTACAATGATTAAATTCTGGCTCTTGTGTAAATTTTTTTTTTTAATTTTTCTCCTTATCTTCTCATTTACCTTTGATTATTAAGTTCATCTAAGAGGTATGAAATGCATTGTGAAATGGGGATTCATTTGCTTATTGAAATAGAATTTCAGCATCTGTGTGCAATTACTAAAAATTTAGCTTGAAAGGTAAAATTTTCTATCTCAGCAATTTAGAGCTAAATAAATATATGTATTACTGTTTTCTTCTCTTAATCTTAATATGAATCTGATCATTTTGAGAAGTATGAAGGAGATTATTTCAGAGGTCCTGCCCATTAAATGCCATGCTCTTTTCCATTACTGAGTTAAAGGTGTTTATATTAATTGCAAAGAAAACATGGAAAGGCAGTGTTGTTACCTAACGTCCTAGGATTATCAAATTTGATTAATAATTAGGGAAAGCAGAGGAGTGACTAATTCCATTGAAGTATCATTTTGGTGCATTAATGGCAAAAATTGTAATTATTTCTGCACCGTCCTGAAAATATCCAGAAAGAACATTCAGAAAAAGTTCTCTGTTCTTCTCTTGTCCACTAGTGTTACCTTTTAGTTTAATTTATTGTTTCTGCTCTCCTTTCTACTAGTCAGATGTCCCATTTCTTTTATCTCATCAGTGAGAATTTATCTGAATATGTTAAGAAGCCAGAGCAGTTTAGCTTTTAAGGAACTGGAAGCCATTATCCTTAGCAAATTAACACAGGAACAGAAAATCAAATACCACATGTTCTTACTTATAAGTGGGGGCTAAATGACGAGAGAAAAAAAATTCTACTCTTCTTTACTTATTGGTACACTGACTAAACAAATGTGCTACATTGACAAGATATTGTTAATTACATAGACAAATTTCTTTGAGCGCACTCTGCCAAGAACAGTTGGTATGAATGTCAGATGAGTAACATACAATTCAGGGGGAAAAAAGCTAGATAATGAAAGGAAATTTTGAGTTAGAGCTGTACCTGCGAGTCTCCAGAGAATTTCTTTCTTTAATCAGGTTAGTGTTTGATATGGTCTGGTTCTATGTCCCCACCCAAATCTCATACTGAATTGTAATCCGAATTGTAATCCCCACTTGTTGAAGAACGGACCTCATGGGAAGTGAGTAGATCATGAAGGCTGTTCCCCCCTGCTGTCCTCATGATAGTGAGTGACTTCTCACGAGATCTGATGGTTTTATAAAGGGCTTTTTCCCCCTTCCCACTGCACTTCTCCTTCCTGCTGCCACGTAAAGAAGGATGTGTTTGCTTCCTCTTCCACCATGACTGTAAGTTTCCTGAGTTCTCCCCAGGCCTGTGAATCTGTGAATCAATCAAACCTCTTTTCTTTATAAATTACCCAGCCTTGGGCAGTTCTTCGTAGCAGCGGTGAGAATGGACTAATACAGTGTTATAATGTTATTATAGTGGCTCACAGTTTTTCATAGTTCTTAGTATTTTCCTCATAAGAAGGAGGAATGTGATGTAAATAAATCTTCATATTAAAAATATTACATGGATACCAACTAATGTGCCCAAACCACAAATATTAAAATCTGCTATGACTAATTAATATGGCTACAACATGGTTTATACAACTTTACATAAATGTATGTAACTACATTATATAGATATACTGCAATCCTATCCTTGCAAGTCAAAAAGCAGTTCCACAGATGGCATGTATGAGTATGTCTGAAAAAGCAGATGTTTGACCTGGAGTCATTTCTATCATGCATATGGTCCATCCCTTGGTTCGTTTTTCTGGCCATTGTTGAATGACTTGTCCAGCCAGTGTTCTGCAATGCCTTAGTGGAAATTAACTCATGCACTACTGGTTGTTAGAAACGATGAAGTTAGTGTTGCTTCTTGATTGTCAACACATATTCCACTATTTAAAATATGAATTCTAGATCCTCAGAAGAAAGCAGTGCACGGGACTAGGATTAAAAGCCTTAAAACTCTTTTCCTGCCCCTGAAGCAGGCTTCCTTGAAGCTGTTGCGGAAGTAATTTACCTTTCTGCAACTGCTTCCTTATATGAACAATAGGTATAACAATTGTCTTTCATATCCCATAAAGATATAATAAAGATAAAATTTGATATGTTTTGAAACAATTTGACAATTGTACCATGATACAGGATATTGATATTACTGACTTTCTGGGATTGCTTCTGCCTAATATTATCTACATTTACCACTCACAAAATCAGATACTTTACTAGGATTATTCTATTTTACATAGAAATGGAAATATAGTACAGATTGGGTTTTAAAATAAGCAAAAGGACTTGCTCTTGTTCTCTTCCTTTTGTACACACTTTCCACAACAATATTCTTTTACATCATTATTTTTATTCATTTATCAAAAAATGGAAAAAAGGAGAAAATGAGAACAAATAAAAATTAGAGAAATAACAGAAGCCTTGTAGAGGAGAAGCTGGAAAACTTTTATAGTAATTTCTCCTGTAAAATAATGTTAATAGCAAATTCTGATGTCAATAAAGAAAGGTTGTGGGGTCTGTCCATTCTAGGACATGTGCCTTACTTCATCAATAGCCAGAGTAGAATGGATTAAAAGAGAATGATTGGCTCTGATCTAACTCAAAAGAAATTAAGATATTGAATCTCTTAAATCTCTTAGGAAACAAATTTACTAATTAAAAAGAAATATAACTTTATAAGGATCAGGCATGAATATCATACATGATATGGTTTGAGTCTTTTTCCCCACTCAAATCTCACCTAGAATTGTAATCCCCATGTGTCAGGGGAGGTACCTGGTGGGAGGTGATTGGATCATGGAAGTGGTTTTCCCCAGAGTTTTCTCGCGATAGTGAGTTCTCATGAGATCTGATTGTTTAAAAGTGTTTGGCAGTTCCTGCCTCTCTTGTGCTCTCTCCTGCCACCTTGTGAAGAAGATGCTTGCTTTTCCTTCACGTTCCACCATAATTATGTTTTCTGAGGCCACCCCAGTCATGTGGAACTGTGAGTCAATTAAACTTCCTTTATTTATAAATTACCCCATCGCAGGTTCTTTGTAGAAGTGTGAAAATGCACCGATACAATACACAGTCTCTCTAGAAACACTCATAGAGTGCTAGTTTAATAATTACAGTAAATCAAGAGCTTAATGAAAATCTCTCCAAAATTTGTCTATCAAGATGACTAAAGATCAAGCCACCTAAGTCAAAATTAGAAGTCACATAATCTGTGTTCTTAGGTCATTTTTTTAAATTTCACCTCTCTTACAACAATAAATTGGGGTTATCATGTTATATTTTGCCTTGTTTTTTGGTATATTTTTATGTTGGTTGTTAACATAATAATATAATGTAATAACATAATAATATAAGCTATAGCTTATGGTCTTCATGTTTTTAAATAAAGAAGGTTTTCCTGTCTTCTTAAAAACTTGAAACATTTTGATTTTGCCATCATATATTTAATTTGTTTACACACCATATTTCAGGTCCACCTTCCCCTATCTCTGCCTAATTATAGGAGTAAGGTAAAGATAATAAAAGTAACAAAAGGAAACCTGAATTATGATTACATAGTGCTTTGTATTTCAAAATTTATTTCATTGTATTATCTGGACATTGGGCTCAAAATGTGTAAACTCTAATAGTTCTATGTTTATAAGGCACCT
Source organism: Homo sapiens (assembly GCF_000001405.40). Classification (NCBI taxonomy): domain Eukaryota; kingdom Metazoa; phylum Chordata; class Mammalia; order Primates; family Hominidae; genus Homo; species Homo sapiens. Next base: position 113,228,431 of record NC_000008.11, read on the forward strand.
ACTCTTAGTCTCAGATAAAAAATTCACTGGAGCTGTACAAAAATTTGGGTATTGTACATTCCCTATACTGGAAAAGATATCATACTCACAGAATGCCATGAAAAGGGATTTGAACTTCCCCTTTTAAATACATTTCATTGAGCACTTTAAAAAAAAAACAGGGCCAAACATATGGATGGTTCCATATTTATATAAACATCCTCCTCCTTCTAATCCTCCCACCTCCCACATATTCTGTTGGTTGATACACTAAACTCTGCCTTCTGATCTCTCAAGGATAGCGAAAGAGTGTGAAAATATGAAAGGAACCCCTGCTAAGTATTTCATACTTAATGATATTCAGATGTCATTTTGGAAAAACTACATCCAAACAGCATAACAAAGGGTAGGTAAATTACTTGATACTTGCTCTAGTGAGGCTGTAGAAATAACTGACGTGTATAAGGCCTCAAAGCATTTTCTTCCTACTCCATATAATTTAGTGCCCATCCATGCAAAAGTATAAGAAGATTCTCCCACCACTTAAATATCTAAGTACATAATTCACCACGTTCAAGTTCTTAATCATACCTATTCTCATCATACATGGTTCTATCTGCATTATTAATCATGTATCTCCTTACTTTAGTCTTGCATGGGGTATCTTTGAAGTGATGAAATGGGAATTATAATAGAGAATCTACAATTTGACAGACATATCAACAATTTTTCTGTTTCAATAATGTATGTGAAATTATATTGGGCATTATAGTTACATATGAAAAGCCACAGATACTCAGTACAGTGTAAAATTATGTGGTGCTGTGAAACTATCCTTTAAGTGTGTATATCTCACATGTTGTTTATAACGAACATTTTGTTCAAAGATATGTTGAAGGGATATTTCTTGTTGGTTACTTTTTAATGTTCACATATATTGTGAATTGTGGTTCTTTTTGAAAGATCAGTCACTTTGCTTAAATAAACAAGTTTCAAATTAGTTCCTTTCCATTAATGAGTAGAGTCCAATTAAAGAGAACTTTAAAAAACTTAAGTCTCTTTCACACCTTTGCCAGCAAAAAAAAAAAAAATTATATTCAGTACTTGGTATTCATTCACTTAGGAGCCCCACTATCCTAGAGACTTGGGCATATTGCCAAAGAGTAAGGCAGATGTAACCTGAGCTCACAGTTTATAAAATCGTGAATTAAGGAAATAGTAGCCACAACTTGGCAAAGTCACTGAAATTATATACAAATATAATGCTGACATAGATTTCCCTCTCTAAAACCTTGAAGGCTTTGTAAACTTGAAGTATATTACCTATGCCAACAGCCCAATTGTTCTGAAATGACACCACCCATGTTTTCTCGGCCTAAAATTTTCTGCTTCCTCCTTACTCCCAGTCTCAGATAGGTTACTTGCCCTCATCACATACTCTCTAGTGTCATATAATTTGACCTGGTAATGCTTATTTTACTTATAATTACTCTCTCTATACCTGTATTTTGGCCATTTGTCTAGACCCCATACCACGTGAAGAAAGGGCTTGTGACTGCTGTGTTTACCACTGTGTTTACCATGTCCAGTATGGAACCTGCCAGAAAGAAAAATCATCAAGAGATTGTTAAATAGAGTTAACTGTCTCCATTATAGCATGTCTGAAAGATGCTGAGATAATAGGTTCTGGGTACTTTGGTTTCTGATGTTTTAAGTTAATACATGGATAGAAATTAAGGACTAGCAAGATTGCTAGTGAAGACCTCCATTAAATAGTTTATCTCAATTGCCAGATGTTTTAAAATTGCCTTATGCAGGTGCTGGATAGACAACATAACATCTGTTGATTTAATTAGAATAAGTTTAACATCTTTGAACTTCAGTTTTTTTTCCTTGTAGAATTATGGGATTGATTGAAACACTAAGTAAATTTCCTTTCAGTTTTAGAATTCTGTAATAATTTTTATGTTGCCTTTCTGTACATAATTAAATATTCTTGTATAATACTCAAATTTTTGTACAGCTCCAGTGAGCTCTTGTCTAAGCATAGATGTCATCAGAACCAGAGAACTATTAGAGTTTACATACTTAGAGCCCAATGTCCAGAGAATTGAATTAAGGAATCTTTGAAAGTAAAAGTATAAATAGGTGATCCAAAGACCATTATACCCTCCCACTTACAGAGTACTTACTGTTTCAGTTCATTACATATTCTAAAGACAGATTTTATTTAAATGTTTAACATTACACCAAGCATCCCCTGTTATTAATGTCTTAACACTGACTCTCAGCAAGTTTGTTTCTAATTTTGCTCTTTAGTCTACTTCTAAACCCTTTTCCCATGTTGGTTTTTTATGTTTGAAAATGGATATCAGATTATCATATTTTCTATAAAATCTTCACTTATGTCCTCCAGAATAAAATTTCTCATGTAATAATACTTTTTTATATGGACATAATTTATAATAATACTAATTGTGTCCTTCAGCTTACAAATATGCCCATCACACTTGCCATTTCTGTTCATTTTCAACAATATATAAATGTCATTTAAAAACTTGAAACTAACAAATTTACATGTATCTCCTTTGTTCTATCTCAATTTTTTTTCTTTTGAATACCCACATATACACATACTTGCATGCATATATGTTCAGAATTCATGCAATACTTCTGTATTCTTCCCTTTTGATTAACATTATTTTAAAAATACTTCCTAGATTACTTATAACTATATTTTTCCCATAAATTAGACTTGATCAGTATGTAAGCTATATATTATTTAACTATTTTTCTTTATAGTTATACCTTGGTTGTCAGTTTGTGTTTTTGTTATACAGAAACAGATACTTCTGTTTCATAATTTGTTTTCTTGTATCAAATAATTAACTACTCAAGGATATTTCCTACTAGATGAAAATGTTGGGTCATGGATATATATCTTTCTAAAAGCATAACGTAAATTCAGAAGATAATAATATAGGCATAAAGTGCACTTTACTAAAATGTAGGGGCATTTAAGGGCTCACTAATACTGTTGCAAAATAGTAGCTCAAGTACACTTTTGTGGAAATATTTTTTAAAAAACAAACTAAATGAATTTTAATTTTGTTGGTTTCAACCAATGCTATAATTTATTGTGATCAATTTTAATTTTGAGTGCATTGTTAAAAAAATTATTTGTAGAGAAATTTTCTTCATTCAACTAATATTTACTGATAATCTAAGTCCTAGAGTTACAGTACAAAAAATACAAAAATACTTTTCTTCATATATTGTACTTTCTGACAGGCAGAGATAGATATTAACACATTTTATGGATAGCAAAAAGCAGTTAGAGAGTAATTCTCAAAAAATATTAGATAAATACCTTTTCCCTAAAAACAGGAGTGATATTAGAACAACTGGTATAACATGAAAAGTGAATGATCATTTAGTCATAGGCTATTAACAGTGTTTACCAGTTGACTATAAGCTCTGCCTGTATATATTTACAAATATGCATTTTAAGAGTCATTAGAAGTAATTTTTTCCCCAAAAAATGAGTAAAAATACAACACAGGGATCAAATAACTCTTTATAAGACTTTTTTTCATCATAAATTATATACAATGCAATTTAAACCACTACTTGCATCGCAATTCACAAAGAATTTATACCCTTGAAATTTTATCTCATTACTGAAAAGTTTTGAGAGGGATAAGGTTAAGGTGTGGAAGTAAATGTATTGCTGGGTACCTTCCATGTACTTTTCTCAGTATTGGCTATTTACTTGTAAAATAATGTATATTTCACAAAATTGCTTCTATAAAACTTCCTGAAAAATATTAAAGGACAAAATAATAATCACCACATTTTCACAACAGATTTAGGAAAAATAAGTTTTCAAAAATTTTTATTTTGTAATTTGATGAATGTTAAAAATGCATTCCTCTTATTTTCTCTCTTTTCCACTGTTTGGAGATGTCTTTGACTTATTCAGACCAATATTTCTCATATTTTAACGTGCACGAAAATACATTTGGGATTGTATTAAAATGTGTAATCTCACTCTGTAATTCTAAGGGGAAGCCTAATATTTTCATTGTTAATAAGTTCCATGTGATGACAATGCTGCTGGTACTATGGATTCTATTTTGAATAGCAAGTGTCAAGACAGACTGGCAATAAAAGTGAAAGCAAAAACTTTTATTTTGTAACTCTCATGTGGTTAAAAACAGTATTCATTATCAAATCAAAATCAACTTTTATAGAAGGAGTAATGTCCAGTATGTTGTAGAATAACTTTTAAGGTAATCAAATACCTTGCCTTCACTATAGCATTTGATTACCCGTAAGTGCCATTTATTGGTCCATTGGCTCTTTTATGAACTTTACTCTCATAAAAACTCAACCTAAACGAAGAAAAAAAGAGGAAACAGTCTGGTTAACTCTACTGTAAGTGTTCCTCCCACAAATGTGTTTTCAACTGCGACAGATTTAATGTTTCGTAACATTATTCTTTTATGTAGGTGGAACATTTCATTTTTATCCTTTTACTGTCTTCCCTAGTAATATTTTTAAAAGTCAGACTAAAGTTGAGTTAGACTTTGTAGGCTGAAAAAGTTAAGATATAAATTTTAACAATTGATTCTCACAATTTCTTAATTTGTTATTTCCATAATTTTTGGAAGCTTAGTTTTGCTATTTAAAAAATTAGGTATAATACCTGAAAATCAATAATAAAGTATGTTAATTAATCAATGCTAAGGTTTGAATTGAAATTATTTCCAATCGATAACTCATATTCAATTGAACTTATATGCAATTAATAATTCCTATTCAATTGATAACTGTTCATATATTTGGGCTTATATATCTCTGATTATTTCTAAACAATATCATAGTTGATGCTATTGTGTCATGCAAGTAGTGATTCTAAGATTCCTTTTAATAATGTCTTGACTGTATAATAAAAAAGTGTATTTTAAAAATACATAAAATGTTCCTAGAAATTAAAAACATGATTGTTCAGATTAAAAAATAATAAAACCTTGCATTTATAAAAAAGTAAACTAATAATTATAAAGTAGAATATTAATTATAATATGCTAATATTAATGTTAGAATATTAATTATAAAAATATTTACATGATATAATAAGAAGCTAGATATTAACTCCACTATATAGATAATTAAATGTAAACAGACTATAAACATCAATGAAAAAATAAAGACAGTCAGATAGGACAAAGAAAATCCTCAATCATAAGCTGTTTATAAGAAACACTTATATTCAAGGATTAAGAAAAGTTGAGAAGGAAAAGATAAAAAAATGCAACTTGAAAATAAAAATTAAATGCATTGTCTAATAGCAGACAATGTATATTATAAGGCAATAAGCATAATTTTTTACTAAGATTTTACTCTACTTTTAGGCTGTTAGCCACAATTTGACGGTTGCTGACAGAAGACTCCAGACTTCTGAGTTAGATAAAAAGATCAGAGTATCATCACAGCAGTAGCAGTAGCCAGAATTTCCACATTTTCATATTGACAGCTGCACATACAGTAGGTTCTATTACTACAGTAGATCTTTCCAAGCTAAGGGAACCTGATACCTTTATAATAGGCACAAGCACACATTCCCTTTGCCCCAGAGGAAGGCTATCTTCCAAAGTCTGTTACTACAAAAAATATCCTTGGAAAGATAGTTCCGAATAAAGGCAGTCAATGTTGTTGCTCAGAAGACATGCAGAAATGTGAAAAATTCATAGAGAATCTTCTTCCAATATTATCCACCCCTCATTTTCACATCTTGGCTCCTGGAAATTTTTCCCATGAATACATTGTCAAATTAATCACCAGTTAAATTAATCTTACTGACAGACACTGGCATCGAATCTTTCCAGTTTGTCTCATATAGAATTTACTTAAGCAGCTAACAACATGACTCAAAGCAGAATGATGATGTCAGCCTGCACAATAGATATCAACCCATGCCCTTTAGAAGCCCAGACTTAACCAGCTGAACAAAATTCCTTAAACGTTATGACCTTAGAAAGGAAGCTAAGTGCCAGTCTCTATAAGTTTCTGCATTGACATTTCTGCTAGGCTGGAAACATTAATTCAAGCAGAGCAAGATGTATTCATGATTACATAGCTTCTACTAGAACACAAGGAAGAATTCTAGGGCAATTCTACCACTTATAACAACCTTGGCCAATAATTTTCAGGCTGACCTGAATGCTTTTCAATTTCAGGATGATGTTTCTTTTAATAACTTGAAGATACCTTATGACCACCACTAGAAGGCAAGTCATTATCATTTGGTTAGGAAGCAAGTAATGCCTGAGTTCATACAAGTTCAGTCTCTGGGGATGCAAATGGTGTATCTATGGAATGAAAATGTTGACTCCAGTGTGACCTCAAGTTCAGCTAACACGTGTGACGATTTTCTGTCAGCTTAAAGAAACTGGGTTTCTGGGTTTTCTGGGTCTGATTCTTTTTTTAAGGAGAAATGCCTGGAGCCAAACTAAATGGTTCGACCATGCCACCAGCCAGGTGGTATTCATCTGCTCTATGGAGCGTCTAGGCAGAGAATGTATAAATGGGGTGGAAAATATATCCAGACGTGTTGACAGATGTTTTTCATGGGAGGTGCAGGAGCTGGGGACATTTCCTGCTGTTTTTGACTGACTTATCTCTACATTTAAGCGGACTTTCAAATTGTGGTGAAAGTCTTCGGCAGGGAATAGTAGATACAGCAGTCATTTAAATTAACACACTAGTAATGTTTAGTAGAGATGCATTTAGGCATGTTTCCTTCATGAAGAAAGCTCTAGGAACAGTTTAGAAAGAGAAAGACCACTAATGTCCCTCCCTACCTTCCTGTACCTGGTGGAAACTAAGTTATTTTCTCACCAGGTTCTGCATTACTGCTCTCTCTCCGCTACCTCAAAAATAGTGCACCCCATTCCAATAGCCATAACTTCATCTTTTCACCAATATTCCATAGTCATAGCCAGACCTTTTACACAGAGTCAGGTATAAGAATAATTTTTAAAAACTTACAAGGACATATTGTGTCCCCCACTTTGACCTGTATGGGCCACAGTAGGAAAAAATAGCAAGCAGTAAATTCAACTAAATGGTAATGGGCATTATGATCTAGGATGATATCTGTGATGGTTAATTTTAGGTGCAAACTTGATTGGATTAAGGAAGACAGAGAGAGCTGGTAAAGCATTACTTCTGAGTGTATGTGTGAGTGTGGTTCCAGAGGAGACTGGCATGTGAATTGGTAGATTGAATGGGGAAAATCTGCTGTCAAGGTAGGCAGCACCATCCAATTGAGTCAGGATAAATAAGGTTAGGAGGCCAAACTGGCTTGTCCCCTTGTGTGAAGCCCAGCAGGCTCTGCATCCCTTGCACCCTCATGCATGACCACCCAATTTTTTGCAAGGTTAGTAACCCTACAGGAAGGATACCGGCAGACAGCCAGATGGTTACAGGTCCCTGATACCCAGTATGGCCCAGGAAAGAACAAAAGCCCCTTATTCCTGATGTAACTTCCCCAATCACCAGTCCATCAGCACTAAAAGCCAAAGAAGGTATTAGCTACAAATTCCAACATTTGGGGGCTAGAGACTTCCCTGGGGTCCCACATGCACAGCTAGGCTCAAGGTTTAGCTTATAGTAAGCTTTTCCTCATTTGAATAGTAAAAAACACACCACTAGGTGGAGATTTTATATGCTAATGATACATATGTTACATGTTAGAGCATGTAGATGCCGAGCACATGTTCCAACTGCAGGTCCGCCTTTGCATACTTGACCTTGCCAGTATTTTATGAATATGTATATACAGCTACCATAAAAAGAGATTCCCCTTAAGGCACTAGCTGCTGTCTCTCCCTTTGAGCAGCCCACTCTTGCCTCTCAGAGTGTACTTTTGCTTTGCAGTAAACTTCTTTGCTTACTCTTACTTTGGACTTGCTCTCAAATTCTTAGGTGCAGCAAAGTCAAGAACCTGAACTGGCCTACCAGCAGCACAATAAGCTGCGGGGCTGAATAGAACAGAATGGCAGGGAAAAGACAATTTCCACTCTATAGTGCTCTCTGTCTCTCTCTATCTCTCTCTCCTGTTGATGTAACACCCTTTTTTTTTCCTGCCCTTGGACATTAGAACTCCAGTCTCTTCAGTCTTTGGACTCCAGGACTTAGACTAGGGGCTCTCCAGGTTCTCAGGCCTCTGGCCTCAGACTGAGAATTACATCATTGGCTTCCCTGGTTCTGAGACTTTTATACTTGGACTGAGACACACAATCAGCATCCCAGCTTGCAGACAGCCTGTTGTGGGACTTCTCACCCTCTATAATAGTGTGAGCCAATTCCTCTAATAACCGCCTCTCATCTATCTATCTATCTATCTCTCTATCTATCTATCTACCTACCTATTCAACTATCTATCTATTTTTCTATCTCCTATTGGTTCTGGCTCTGAAGAATTCTGACTATTACAATGCCAAACCAATAAGAGAACCCAGTGTGGCTGAACCAGAATATACTTGCACCTCCTAAGATTCTTTGTTCATCAGGTTAATAGAGAGTATAATAACAGGCCAGTCTGGGGTTCCCTTTAGGAGAACAAAAGAAACATCATGCTTGACAATATTCTGTGCAGAATCCCAAATATTCAAAATTGGTCTGTATATTATTCCCTCATCCCTTTTGTCCAAATCATTACCTAAGAAGTGATTAACATGAAATAACATTTTTAAGTGACTTTTACAATAAAGGATGCCTAAATGAAAATGTGCCACACAGCCAAGAACACAATATGGATTTGCTTCAAGGACCCTGATATCGGGGTGGGAATCAACTGATTGGATTCAAATAGCAACATCATAAATGAAAAATGGTCAACAGTGGTGAATTACTGCAAGTTACTGAGCAATGAGAGGACTTGAAGGGTTCACTGTAGTCAATCTACATTGGTATAATGCTCTGAAATTGGTATTCCTCACTAGGAAAGAAATGAGTGACTTTTGGCCAGACTCACATATCTGGCATTAAGTGGTAGCCTCTGTGACAGAAACAAAGCCATTTATTTTGCATACATTTTATAATGGCGGATGTATTGCCATGTCTAGTGCAGTAATGGATTTAGTTAGCAGTGATAGTAATTTGGGTGGTACAGGCATGATCAGCAGCTTGATTCCAGTTGGTCTCTAGATGAATTACTCAGATTGTTTAATTAACAGCCATTTGTTTCTACAGTTTACAGCTTCAGTCTTTAATCTGCTAGTTTGTAGTTTTCTAAGTGTCAGAGTAAACATCTAGGCTACTAACAACAGACCAATACTCAGTAAAAATATAACAATGTTTATCAAAGGGAGTTCTGGGCCGGGAGCGATAGCTCATGCCTGTAATCCCAGCACTTTGGGAGGCCGAGGTGGGCAGATCACGAGGTCAGGAGTTAGAGACCAGCCTGGCCAATATGGTGAAGCCCCGCCTCTACTAAAAGTACAAAAATTAGCCAGGTGTGATGGTGGGCACCTGTAATCCCAGCTACTGAGGAGGCCGAGGCAGGAGAATCACTTGAACCTAGGAGGTGGAGGTTGCAGTGAGCAGATATCACACCATTGCACTCCAGCCTGGGCAACAGAACAAGACTCCATCTCAAAAAAAAAAAAAAAAAAAGGTGGGGAGTACTGGCTAGAGTGATGAGAATGGCTCTGAATTATGCCTACTCAGTAGAGATACCACATTTGTTTTTAGTTCTGCATATTTGGTGGTAAGAATGAAAAGCTACATCAAACAAATACACACCATTGTAGGTTAGATAGCTGAACCATCAGTAATCTAGGTCAACCTTTTTAAGGGATACCTTATGAATGAAAGGTGCAGTGGGGCCAGCGGCTTTGCTTCATGTAATTGAGAAACTTTTCCCCAAGGGGAAAACATCCACTTTTTCATGTAAAGACAAAATTATATTGGGGTTAGACCAGTTGAATTTTGGACTATACCATTTCCATTTGACAAATTAGATAGATGGGGACTTCCTACCTTATTAGTTCTTGAGTCTCCATTGACTCATCCTGATAGGCAGTATCAGGCAGGAGAGTTGCAAAGCCTCTGTGGATCAAGTCTTCAGCTTCAGCAAAAGCCCAGTAGCAACCAAGTAGGTGCTTTGCAAGAAGAGTACAGGGAGCAGTCATATTAGTCAGATGTAGGATTCAAAAGTCTAAAGGACACTTCCAGCTCGATTTTGCGTCTTTTTGCTAGAGGCTTCAATTTGCAAAACTATGCCACACAAACTTGCAATTCAAAAGGTTCTTTAGATTTGTGGGGCCCAAGAGGTACTAGCACTTTTCTATATGTGATTCTTCCTAAGCAGGAGAATCCCCTCTGGCACTTATAGGATAGGGAAGTGTAAACATATAGCACATCAGCTCCTACTGTGATGATTAATTTTATTTGTCAACATGACTGGACCATGGGATTCCAAGATACTTGGTCAAACATTATTCTGTGTTCCTACGGAAGTTATTGAGAATGAGTGTAACACTGAAATTGATAGACCACACAAAGCAGGTTGCCCTCCCTAATGTGAGTAGGCCTCATCCAATCTGTTGAACACTCAAATATACCAAAAGTCTCACCTTCCCCCTAGTAACAGGGTATTTTTCTTGCCTGTCCGCCTTGAGCTGGGACACTACGCTTTTCCTGCCTTTGGACTCAAACTGAAACATTGGTTGCCTGTGAATAACCATCAGCTCTCATGGTTATCAGGACTTAAAACTCATATTGGAAGTGCACCACCAGGTCTCCTGGGTCTCCAGCTTGCCACCAACAGGTTGTGGGATTTGTTAGCCTCCATAATCATGTGAGCCAATTCCTTATGTTATCTTTATACATAAAGTATAAATATATAATGTATGCCTACTGCATAGAGACACCATGTCTATTTTTAATTTTGCATATTTGGTACTGAGGATGAAGAACTGCATCAGATGAACGTATGCCACTGTGATTTAGATATCTGAAACATCAGTAATCCAGGGTGAGAATTATAAAAATAAATTATATATGCAGTATGTAGTTTTATCTATCTATCTATCTATCTATCTATCTATCTATCATCTATCTTATCAGTTCTGTTTCTGTACAGAACCCAGAATATTACAGATTTTGGCATGAAGAAGTGGGCTGTTTCTGTAACAAGTATCTAAATATGTGTTAACATGGCTTTGGAAATGGGTAATGAGTAGGAGGGTGGAGAGGTTTGGAGTTTCGTGGTAGTAAAAGTCTAGACTGCTGTGAAGGGACTGTTCGTAGAAATATGAATTATTAGAGATGATTCTCATGAGGTCTCAGAAAGAAAAAACAATATTGGAGAGAAAGCCTCTATTTTCTTAGAAAATACATATATCCTCATGACCTAAATGTTGGTAGAAATCTGGATTTCAAAAACCTTTTATTTTAAATTCAGGGTTAAATTTGTTACATAGGTAAATGTGTGTCATGGGGGTTTGTTATGCAGGCTATTTCATCACCCATATATCAAGCCTAGTACTCATTAGTAATTTTTCCTGATCTTCTAGCTCCTCCCACCCTCCACCCCCGATAGGCCCCAGTGTGTGTTGTTCCCCTCTATGTGTCCATGTGTTCTCATCATTTAGCTCTCACTTATAAGTGAGAACATGCAGTATTTGTTTTTCTATTCCTGTGTTAGTTTGCTAAAGATAATGGCTTCCAGCTCCATCCATGTCCTCCTTTCAAAGGACATGCTCTCTTTTGGTTTTATTGCTTCATAGTATTCCATGGTGTACATGTACCACATTTTCTTTGTCCAGTCCATCATTGATGAGCATTTAGGTTGATTCCATGTCTTTGCTGTTGTGAACAGTGCTGCAATGAACATACATGTGCATGTATCTTTATAATAGAACAATTTCTTTTCCTTTGGGTATATACCCAGTGATGAGATTGCCAGGTCAAATAGCATTTCTGTCTCTAGGGCTCTGAGGAATTGTCCCATTGTCTTCCACAGTGGCTTAACTAATTTACACTCCTACCGAAAGTATGTAAGTATTCCTTTTTATCCACAACCTCACTAGGCTAAGATTGGTTATAGTGTAAACTTTCTATGACAACTTCTAAGTTTCTGCATCAGTAATTAATATAGTTTCACAAAAGAAAACCCATATGTTTATCTTGTTTCTGCTAATTACCTGTAAAATTGTATGTCATATGGTTGTATTATTAAACCAAATTCCTATATTTGAATATCTGTATCAAATGTAACCTCATTTATTTGTCCATATATTGCAACATGAACAGGTAATCTGATGAGGTATAATCTCACTTCAAAGAAATAGCTTTTCACTTCCAAATTATTCTTCCAAAGAAAAATGACATGTGAATTACAAAAAGCAGGTGCTCTGTAGTAAGATAAAATTTGTACTATTTATTTGGGATTAGTTTCTCTCTTTCTTTCTGGCTTCCAGTGAGTAACTCAGTTTCAATTTCTTCAAGTCTGTATGTCTTACACTGGATACTGGGGATAATAAGAAATATAATAAGGGATTATTACGGGAACAAGTTGGATAATAAATATGGTAGAAACATATTATCAAGATATTAGCTGATATTGTTTTGCTTTTTTTGCCACTTATTCCCACTTTTCTCTTTTCTTTATTCAAGTACTTTGTATTGCCTTTCAGGCTTCTAGGGCAGATGACTAGAATAATGTAAGAAATATTCTAAAATGCTGGGACATTTCTAATCTCAAATAAGAATAACAAGAAGAAAAATTATGGGGACTATGTTCATCCTCTGCAAAACCTAGAGAAAATATGAATAGAGAAAATAAATGTAGTTTTTGCTGTATCAATGGCAACAACAGCAGAAAAAATGTTATGTTCCATTCACGCCTGTGATTATGGAAGGAGATTCATACCTGATACATATTTAAGGCACCTAGCAGTGGGTCCCTGAAAAGATAAGAGAGAAATAACAATAGCTATGCCTACGTTGATCTATTTCATCACAAATATCTTTTCACAAAATGAATTGGTAGAATCTTAAATGTTCAGAAAAAAACATTATATTGAACACTAGATCATATATCTAATATATAATCATCCTGATGAGTTCTTCAAATGCTATTTGTAAATTCTATGTATTTGGATGCCTGTATTTTTTGCTGAAAAAAAAAAAAGAATGTCTCAGTACAAAAGACTTAGTTGCAAAATGGCAGTGTGGAAGTATAGTTTTTCAGAAAAGAAAACACTTTAAAATCTCTCAGTAATAGAGGTAACACCTAAAGTATTATGTATTAGAAATTCCAAGGAATGAAATGTCACTCCAAAAAGAAAAATAAAATTTGAGTGGGAAGATTCTATCTTGTCCTCTGACACACATCACTGACTTTTTCAGAAAAACATCCATACTGACACCAGAAAAGAGCTGCCTTTTTGTCCATGATAGGTCCTGATGTGCACTGAATGCTATATTTGGTGTGCAAGAAAACTGTTTATATAAAAAATTACTATATATATATATACACACACAATTTTAGACAGGTTTTATATCTATATACATATATACATATTTTACTAAGAATATTAATAGCATTATATTTTAAACATAAAATAGTTTGACTTTTTCCCAAGGTCGAGTAATGTCTTATAAAATTAAAATGAAAATACATTATTAAAAAATTTAATAAGGAACAATTATGAAAACTAAATGATGAATGCCAATAAAACAAAAAATTGTATGGTACTTGGATCTAAAGAAGTACAATATTTTAGAGCTAGTCTTGATTCTTAGGCACATATACCTACTCATGTACATTTTACCTTAATGAACAGAATAAAATATTAATACAATAAAGAGGAGCTTTTTTGGTTATTCTAAATGCTGTCAGATATCAACTTAGAGACTGAGAAGCCATTTAATGTTTTCAACTTATTGCAACCTAATAGGTCAATTCTGGACCATGTTTGTGACTTAAATGATAACACACAACTACTCACAATAATAGACTAAAATTGTTGTGGGCAGTGGCCAGAATGACTAAAGTTCACCAATCTGAAAATCATATATTATTGCTAACCCCATTGTAAAGACAAGTGATTAGATCATCATCAAACTGCAGTCCGCTTCTGCTTTGTCATGAACAAAAAATTCTTTATTGTGAAAACTCATCCTTTGGTAACAGAATGGACTTAAAGATCCTTTTTATTTTTTAATAGAAATTAATTGATTTTTGGTAACAAAGAAATGCACTTCAAGTATGCAATTTTTAAACATGAAATGTTAACATGTATATGTTTTCTTTATTCCAAGGTGTGAAATCCTACTGTGCTTGAAGTATATTTTTCTTTATTAAATTCAAAAATGGGGAAGACATTGAATATACCTAAAATATAGGTAAAGTTCTCACGATTCTCAATTAATATTTACTAACTTACTAGCTACAATATAATTTTCAGGAAAAATGAATGTAAAGGTTTCTGGCTTTCTATAAATTTAAAAAAAGTGCCAGGAATTTTCACAGCCTATTTAAAGTTATGATACTCTAGCACAAATAAATAAAAGAGAAATTGGTAAAACCTGACAATAGTTCTGCATAAATTTGAAGTTATTAAAGCAATTTTAACTTGTATCTTTTGATTTTCTTTGTTTTTAATTTCATTTGCATATTTCTTCATCTCTATTAATACAAGAAATAATATTTATGAAATATATATTAAGCTCCACTTAAAACTGAAAGAAAAAAACTGCATTTGGTGTAAAATTATTTATCCACACATTCTTTCTTTAAAAAAGAATGTCTTCATTGAGATGTACTAAACTTTGCCCTTTTAAAACACACAATTCAGTGACTGTTGGTACATTAAGGGAAATGTCACTGCTATCTAATTTCAGAAATATTTTATTTATTTTCATCAGTATATTTTATTTTAAAATATAGATTGTAGTCTTCTGTTTTCAGGTTTTCAAGGTTCGTGCATGTTGTAGCAAGTATCAGTGTGGTGTTCTTTTTGATTGCTAAATAATACTGCATTATATAAATATGTCAATTTATTTTTAATCCAGTCATCAGTTGATTGATATTCATCTTGTTTCCACATTTTGACTATTTACTAAATAGTGCTATGAGGAGCCATCATGTACAAGTTTTTGTTTGTATCCCTGTTTTCAATTTATTTGAATATATACCTATGACTAGAATTGCTAGATTATATGGTAACTCTGTGTTTAACTTTTTGAGTAACTGTCAAACTGTTTTCCAAAGTGGCTACAACAGCTTACATATCCATAAGCAATGCACAAGGATTCCAATTTCTCCAATCCTTGTCAACACTTACTATTGTGTATCTTCTTGATTTAACCAACTACTGGGTGTGAAGTAGTCTCATTGTGGTTTTGATTTGTATTTTCCCCATAACTAATGATGTTGAACATGTTTATGTGCTTATTGGTTATTTTAATATCTTTTTTGTAGAATGGGTATTGAAAACTTTGCCCATATTTAAACTGATTTATTTGTAATTTTATTTTTCGGTTGTAAGCATTCTTCATTATAGTATAGACTTGTATCTATCTCTAGTCTTGTATAGTATAGATTTGTATCTATCTTTCAAATTATGTATCTTCTCCAATACACAATTTGAAAATATTTTCTCCATTTCTATGGATTGTATTTTCACTTTCTTTTTGGTATTCTTTGTAGCACAAATGTTTTTAACTCTGATGAAATTCAAATTTCAACTTTTACTAATTCCTTGTGCTTTTGGTATCACAACAAATAAATCATCGCCTAATGCAAAGTCAAGGATATATATGACCTTTTCATTATGAGTTTTGTAATTTTAATCTTACATTTAAGTCTATGATATGGTTTACATTTTTTGTTTTGTTTTGTTTGAGACGGAGTCTCATGCTGTTGCCCAGGCTGGAGTGCAGTGGCGTGATCTTTGCTCACTGCTACCTCTGCCACCTGGGTTCAAGTGATTTTCCTGCCTCAGCCTCCTGAGTAGCTGGGATTACAGGCATGTGTCACCACGCCTGACTAATTTTTGTATTTTTAGTAGAGACGGGGTTTCACCATGTTAGTCAGGCTGGTCTCAAACTCCTGACCTCATGATCCGCCTGCCTCAGACTCCCAAAGTGTTGGGATTACAGGTGTGAGCCACCGCGCCTGGCCTACATTAATTTTTTATGGTGTCAGCAGTAATCAAACTTCATTCTTTGCCATGTGAATATTCAGTTATACCAGCAACATGTGGAAAATGATAAATTTTTCTTCATTGAGTTGTTTTGACCATAAATATAAGGGTTTATATCTGGACTGGTTTTTTTCTTGTGTTTTTGAGTGGAGTGTTCTGTGAATATATGAAGTCTAATTTGCTTATTATTTTATTCAAGTCTTCTATTTTCTCATTCATATTTTGCCTTGTTGTTCTATTCATTATTAAATATGAGGTGTTGAATTCACCAACTAATTTTGTTATATTGTTCCTGTTACCTTTCATTTATGTCAATTTTTGCTATTTGTAGTTTTAGTCTCTGTTGTTAGGTACATGCATGTTTACAATCACTGTATCTTTTATCATTAGAAAATGTCCCTCTTTGACAATTCAAACAGTTATCGTCTTAAAGCTTATTAAGTCTAATATTAGTATAGCCACTTGTTACTGTTGGCATGGCATATATAGTTTTTTCAGCTTATTTATGTATTTGAAATAAAAGTGTCTCTTTTGGATGGTATAGAGTTGGGTCATTTTAAACGTACATTCGGCCAATGTTTGCCTCTTGATTGAAATGTTGGAGTGTTTAATTAATTTATGTTCAATGTAAGTACCTATTAGTTAGCATGTGTATGCCATTTTTATATATCTTTATATGTTTTAAATCATTTTGTTCCCCTAGTATTCCACTACTGTTTTGTATTGTATTAAATATATGTCCTATTATATCATTTTAATTTCTTTTTTATTTTACTTTATATTGAGTTATTCTCTTAGAGCTTATCCTGTAGATTAAAACACATGCATTTAAAATAATTTATCTTGAATTAATACCAATTTATTTTCAGTAATATATAAAAAACTTTAATATATGCCATCTTCTCCAACCCCCTTTCTGCTGTTATTGTAATATAAATGACCTCTTCATACATTATATGCCCATTAACAGAGTTTCTTAATTAATGCTTTATGCAGTTGTTTTTAAAATCAGACAGAATATTTTACAAGTTAAATTACATTTATTTATACTGTATTTTACATTTCCTGATGTAGTTACATTTACTGTTCTCTATTTCTTTGTTTGGACTTGAGTTACTGTCTAATGTCATTTCCTTTCAATCTGAAGGATTTTCCTAGATATTTCTGTGAGAAAGATCTGCTGGTGATAAATTCTCTCAGTTTTGGCATACCTGGAAATGTATTAATTTATTCTTTATTTTTAAAATATTGTTTGCTACTATAAATTCTTGGTTGACAGTCTTTCAACCCTTTGGAAATGGCATACCACCACTTTTAACCTCCATAAGAAACCTCTCTTTATCTTATTGAAGATCCCTTATGTGTGATTAGTTGTTTTTCTTTTACTGCTTTCAAGTTTCTCTCTTTTAGACTTTTGATAATTTGTAATTTATCTGCTTGTCTCCTTGAGTTTATCTTACTTGAATTTATAGATTAAGATTCTTAATAGAATTCAGAAAGTTATTTTTTCTTATTATTTCTATTTTTTTTATCTTTTCTCTCTCCTCTTCTTCATCATAGAGTCCCGTTATGGTCCATGTTAATACACTTTATTGTGTACCACAAGTCTCTGAGGTTCTATTCAATCTTTTGTCTTTCAAGTTTCACAATGAATAATCTCAATTGACCCATTTGTATGTTTACTGATACTTTTTACTGCCAACTCAAACCTTCTGTTAATCTCATCTAGCAAATTTTTTATTTTAGTTGTTATACTTTTCAACTCTAGAATTTCTATGTGGTTCTTTTTTAAATGTATATCTTTTTATTGTTATCTAATATTCAGTGTGCAATCATTCTCGTTCTTCCACTTAATTCTTTAGATATAATTTCCTTTAGTTCTTTGAGCATATTTAAAACTTATTTAAAGTCTTTGTCTAGTAAGTCCAATATCTGTAATTTGGATATAATTTCTATTAACTACTTTTTTCCTATTATGGGCCATAGTTTCCTGTTTATTTCCATTATAACTTGCAGTTGAGAACTAGGTAAAATTATTTTACAAATGTAGCATGTTTTGTCTGAGAATTAGTGTCCCTTCCCCCAAGGGCTTCTTGTCACTGTTTGTTGTGGTGTTTGCCATTTATTTGTTCAGTTTAATTCTAAAAGTCACTCTTCCCTGATGCATGTGGTCAATTAAGTCTGCTTAATTATCTCAGTGCTTGACTAAGATTGAACGGAGATTTATTTAAATTCCTTGAACCAGTAAATCTTAGATACTTTGCTGGAGAGGTTTGTTTGTGTGCTGGGATACACATGCAATGCTCCAGCAATGTCAGACTCTGCCTTAGCTTCACTTCCTGCTGGTGGAGGACCAGAAGTAGTAAGGGTTTGGAGTTTTCTAAGGTATTCTCTGGGCATGTACACACTTTGCACATGTGTGCACTTTCTTATGTCTGTAGGATTATGTCAAAGGCTTTCAAAGTTTCCTATGTCTATCTCATTCTCCACAGGAGCTGTCTTTTGACTAGTCTCTTGTTTGTTCCAACCAGTATCAATGCCTCAGGCAGCCACTATGTTAAACAACTAACACTTATTTATTTATTGACAAATGCCCTGGAGATAAGGATCTTCCCACTGAGCAGTTCTGGCTCAGGTCAAAGAATGACCAACTTGGTATATGAGACTTTTCCAAGAAGTTGTCAGACAGATAAAATAGTGACAATTCTCTGAGGATGGGCCTTTTTGATGAGCTTCAAAGCTTGTCTTCCCCTTGCAGTGTTTTACAGCTACTGTGGTTGTGCACCTAATAGTTTTCAAGGGTACTATAGGTCCAGAAAGTAGGGCAAGTTAATTCATCACAATGTTTAGTGTTCTTAAATTATCAACCACTGAGATTTAATCACTTTTTGTGAATAAACACACCAGATTGTTGAAAGTCATTAATTTTCAGAGATCTGAAAAAATGAATTTTGACAATTTTTGCCAGTGTTCATGTTGCCTTTATGAGGAGTAGATTTCTGTAAGTACCATTTATTCATAATGTCTTGATTTGGTTGTCATAAATTTCAAAGTTACTACATAGAATTAATTGTTACCTTCCAGTTTAAAGACAGATTCTTAAACTGCTTAGCAATAACAGATTCTTAAGCAATGCATATTATGAATATACCTTCTGTTATTAATATAACTTAATTAAATCAATATTTAAGGGGGAGTGTTACAGTAGCTTATATTAATGATCACTGATGTAACTGACATATAATAAAACAGATAACAAAATTTCTACACTTGCAAATGACTGGAGTTTTCGTGAGCTAGGTCATATTATCTTTTGCATGTATTTGAAAATAGAAGATTAAGTCAACAAATAAGGCAGAACCATACTTTTAAAGAAGTTTAGAAAAACATTTATGAAGGGACCACACTGCATCTGACTCTCAAGAAATTCATAGAACAAAATGTCAGGAATCAAATTTATTCCACTGACATCAACTGGACTTGTGAAGTATCTGACTTTTTGAAAATGTGGGGTATTTTATGAGTGGTGATAATTTAATGAAGCATAAATTGTTCTTCTGAACTGGCTCTCGTTAGTAAGAGTGTTGAATACAATGGTTAAAAATAGAGATGAAGCATAATTTACCTATCTTACGTGTACCATTTTTCAAATATGAGAAAAGTAACTTAGATTAAAATTAAGGCTAATTTGTTTTAGTGTTTAAAAACTCTATTGTATATAACACATACAATAGAGATTTTAGTATATAATATACACTATAGAGATTATAGAGATTCTATTATATATAATATACATTTGGAGGAAATAATATGGAAATATATGTGTGTGTGTGATATATATGTATATATACATATATATACACACACACATATATTTCCATATTATATATATATGTATATACATATATATATATACACACACATGTGGAGGAAATAAATTGTTATATATAAATTGCCATGTATTTATTTATTTATTGACAAATGCCCTAGAGATAGGATCTTTCCACTGAGCAGTTCTGGGTCAGATCAAAGAATGACAAATTCTAAATGAGACTTTTCCAATAAGTTATTTAATTTATTTCCACCACACGTATAATACACATTCAATTTATTTCCTGCACATATATGATATACATGTGGAGGAAACAAATTGTTAAGCATAAGTATTTTAAATCTGGTATGATGTTCAAGAAACTTGAACTTTCTAAAAACAGCTTAATTTTTTTTAATGTAACGGCGATTGCTGAAACTGTCAACTTTCCTGACAATCTTATTTAGAAAAAAATGTTATTCATATGATATATTAAGTCATTGGTATGGTTTGGCTGTGTCCCCACTCAAATCTCACTTTGAATTGTAATAATCCCCACGTGTCAAGGGTAGGACCAGATAGACATAAATGAGTCATGGGGGTGGTTTCCTTCATACTGTTCTCAAGGTAGTGAATAAGTCTCACAAGATCTAATGGTCTTAATATGGGGAATTCCCCTGCACAACCTCTTTTGCCTGCCGCCATGTAAGACATGACTTTACTCCTCATTCACCTTCAGCCATGACTGTGAGGCCTCCCCAGCCATATGGAACTGTGAGTCAATTTTCTCTTTCCTTTATAAATTACCCAGCCTTGAGTGTGTCTTTATTAGCAGTGTGAGAGCAGACTAATACAGTTATAACCTATGAAAACAGTAAAATCTTGGACAGCTTAGCTTAAGAACAGTGGATATTCGGCATGGAAACATTTGAGACCCACGTTCTTCCAGAAATGTTTTATGTAGTATTGTGAAAGATGGTCCCAGAAACAAGTTTTAGATAGTAGTTACTTGCCTCCCCTTGAGTTTGAGGTATTTGTTACAACAGTTGTACATATTATAAGGAATCAATTTTTTATTGTGAATTTTTCTATTTTTAAATCAAATTTAAATAAGGTAAATAAATATATACTAGTACTTACCCATGATTTTCAGTGGTGTAAATCTGGTTGTACGTGTTTTGAATATGGCATATAATATTTTTGTTGGACAGAGCATAAAAAGAAATTCGACTGCCTTATGTCCTGAGTGAATTCTCTGAGCTCCCAAAACTGTTACATTGTTACATTATTTTCCTGTACCCTTAAATATTTAATGTGGCTACTCTTGCCATAAGTCTTTGTGAATCTTGTTTCCTGAAAAAGAAGAAGTAATCTATGGCAATAGTATTCAAGAAAAAAAAAAACAACAATTTAAAGACTTGTTTATAAGAAAGATGGACTGATGACCAACTGGGGAACAGTTCTATAAATCTATGTAAATATACAGAAACAGACTAATTGTAGAAGTGTGTATTTAGCTTAAAGATATAAGGGAAGTTAGTTGATAAACATAGAAAGTTGCTTATTCAATAAATAAACAAATAAATACAACAAATCACAGGTTCTTTTCTATGTCCTCTTTAAGTTACCAGGGGTAAAGAAGAAAACAAAACAGACACGAACAACAGTTTTCAGGATTTGCGTCAGGGGATCTAAGAGAATTGTAATTATAGGATATAATTACATCTAATCTTTTTTTACACATTTATTTGACATCCCCATCTGCCTTCCCACAACAGGTGATGGAGGTGGAAGAGGAATTCCCAAACTTGGTTTCTGCCTATTCATCAAATAAAGGAGTTCATATTATTAGAATTTAGTCCATTAAAAACAAAGAAGGCTATATTCTTGAAGATGCGTTTGTGAGAATGACACATCCTGATGTAGAAGGGAGTGTAGCTCTCTCAAGAAAGAGAGATGGAGGAAAAACAATAATTTCACACTAAGCAGACCTTGTGGGCGGTTCTAGGCCATCTTAAACATTTTTTGTTTTATTCGTGAAATAATAGGAAATATATTGATGCTTCAATATTGATTGTAGAAACAGATTTGCATTTTCAAAAGATTCCATTAGATGCAGAGCGGAGTTTGGATTTAAAAGAAAAGAGATTGTGTGTATGGAACAGGATGGAAGGAGATGGGGCCAAACAGACAATCTTGTGTCTGATGGATTAAATATGGTCAAAATGTAGAGTATACATTCAAAAGCTTGTTAGTAGGTAGACATAATTGATTGGATTCAGTAGATGAGGAACATAATAGTGTTAAAATAGATCTCTCAAATATTACAGAATTTAATGGGCTTGTTTACTGGGGTTAAAAACCAATAGAAGAGTGACTGTTGCTCACAGCGTCACAGCAGAAATTAAGAGACTGGTTTCTAGCCAGCGCGGAAGACAGCCATATTTATGAATAGAATTGGGCATTCAAAAAATAAATAAAGTGTAAATTACAGAAGTTTAAGTGGATGTGAAAATTGCCTTGCAGAAGGGTTACTAGGTAGAAATTAAGCTAAAAAGGAAAAAAAAAGTTTAAAAA
The DNA here is from genome assembly GCF_000001405.40 of Homo sapiens. Taxonomy (NCBI): domain Eukaryota; kingdom Metazoa; phylum Chordata; class Mammalia; order Primates; family Hominidae; genus Homo; species Homo sapiens. The sequence goes on from NC_000008.11 coordinate 113,251,024, forward strand.
TGAGTACATGAAGAGTAAATACAGAGCTTTTACATACTTTATTCTTTACAAGTTATTCAGTATCTACTATGTGCAAAATGTGAATAGTAATCAATAATGAATTAGACATGCCTCCCATTTTATGAAGCTAAGCATATTTATAAACCCATATTTGGATAATTCATCATTTTTTAATAACCGGAGTCACTAGCTCATTGATTATCAATGTCTCATTCATGATAATGGAGAAACAGAGAGAAACAGTAGGAAGCACAAAGAATTTCATACATGAAAGTAAATTTAAGAGTGGATTCAAATGAAATTAATGCTCTAGGCCTCTGTTAACAGACTGTGACCTAAATCTCATACTGATCGCACAACTAAAATTCTGAAGTCCAAGGAAAATGATGAGACACAGAGATTTTTCTCCTTAATTTTAATTTATTCTTTTTTAAAGAAAGCATGGGGGATATACTATTAAAGTTAATATCACCTTCCTTATTAAGACATAAAAAATGTCTTACTTGTAATCACTAAAAGTAAAAAAAAAATCCTTAAATCTTGATTTACTTTGGGATTTCTATTGTTTAGCTGTAAGTTAAAAAATCCATTATCTAAATACTAGTTTAAATAACTTTAATCTGGTAACCAAAAATACTTCCCTTATAGAAATTGCTAGGATATATTGGGAGCATTAATTTAAACACACTAATGTTACATGTAAGTTTTTGACCCTTGAGCCAGAGACCTGCCAGGAAAATTAAAAGGTGAAAATAACCTTAGCTTTAGTGACCTGAATTCTCCATGATCTAACACTTTTCTGATTCACTTGACAGAGTTTTTATGTTTTTATACAAAAATTAAAAAGTAAATTGTATACTTTCTTAGAAATCCCATGAATTTTAAAAGTGTATACATAAATTAATTTGGGTACAGTCAGCAAATACTTCTTCAGATAAAATTTGATGTCTAACCAGCACCTATTATGCTCAAATGTTACAGTTAAAATTTTCACAGATACCATAAGTGTAATTTACTTTTTATATTTTTCATACTGCTGCTATTATACTTGAGAGAAAAATTTCCTTAAAAAATCTGTTCATCTTTCTAGAGAATACTCCTGATTTCTCAGCAAGTCTTCTACTATTTATGAATCTTTTATCTGTTAGTGATCTTCCCTTCTCTCTCTCTACATGTCAAAATCAATAATCTCCAATTTCTCCCTGATGGAATAAATACTCATAAACTATAAACCAATGTCTGGAACATTGGTTTTCACAGCTATTGTCATTCCTAAGAGATGATACTATCTATCATCTATAACAAATGATGATCCACAGAGGCTTAAAAATTGTCCAATTTTTTTTAAAGTGCATGTGAAGTTGTAATTCACTGGGGCAAAAAATGCTATATGAATGTCAACATAGTCTTCTTTAATTCTTTCAAATTTTATGTATTTTTTTTTACCGTTTTCTTCAATCTTCTCCTTTAGAAAACTTTCAGATATCTTTCTTTCTGATACAGATAGGATACTCTGCAACTAACTCAGACTCCATAGAGCAAAGTGAGAGAAACAACCTTTTTCATTTTTCCAAGTTTTTTTGCCTTCTCTCTATGGCCTTCTCTATTATGACAAATCAATTTTTTTATATCAAACTAAAAATCTTGGGAAAAGATTTTGAAAGAAAATTATTACATTTAAAACTCCATCTTTTGCTAAAATATTAAGCTGTTTAAAACTATAAATACCACATGGAGATATTCTGCAGATGGATACATGAATTTCATAAGTAGTGGGTGGACCAAATTAAGAAAGCCCAATATCTGCATTTGACACTAGATCTCTAGATCACATCAAGATATTATGGAAGCCCCACATTGCAAAGAATCAATGCTGAGAGGTAAACAGACACTAGAAAAGGCATTATTTAAGAATGAGGGCGTAAGAACACGAGTGTTCGGCTTAAGGAGATAAGACTAGGTACAGGACAGAATTTCTCCACTCAGTAGAACAGAAACTCAGTTCTCAGAACCAGAGCACAGATCAATAATATAAATTTAAAACTAAAAGAAAAGCACAGAATCCAGATAAGAGCTAAATCCATGCAATCCCACATTTCCCAAACCAGGACTGAGATTGATCCTGGACAGTACCCAAGATAGTTCAGTTTCCCTATCTACAGGGATTGGCTGGGGACATCAGGACAAGTTAGCTGACAAAAAAAAACTGACTTTTTTTTTTAATCTTTAAGTTCTAGGATACATGTGCACAATGTGCAGGTTTGTTACATATGCATACATGTGCCATGTTGGTGTGCTGCACCCATTAACTCGTCATTTACATTAGGTGTATCTCCTAATGCTATCCCTCCCTCCTCTCCCCACCCCACGACAGGCCCCGGTGTGTGATGTTCCCCTTCCTGTGTCCAAATGTTCTCATTACAAATTGACTTTTTAAATTTAAAACTGTTTTTTTTTTCTTTCTGAATTCTGCCAATTTTTCTTTCTGCTATAGCATCCCTCCACTTCATTCAACTCCTACAAGGAACCAAAACTTGGCTGGGCGTGGTGGCTCACGCTTGTAATCCCAGCACTTTGGTAGGCCGAGGCGGGCAGATAACGAGGTCAAGAGATCAAGACCATCCTGGCCAACATAGTGAAACCCCGTCTATACTAAAAACACAAAAATTAGCTGGGCATGGTGATGTGTGCTGTAAGCCCAGCTACTTGGGAGGCTGAGGCAGGAGAATCACTTGAACTAGGGAGTTGGAGGTTGCAGTGACCCGAGATCGTGCCACTGCACTGCAGTCTGGTGACAGAGTGAGACTCCGTCTGAAAAAAAAAAAAAAAGAAAAGAAAAGAAATGAAACTTATGTCCTCGCTGTGACAGTTTATGTGCCAGTACTATATCTTATCCTAACATGTAGTTACAAGATTTTTCTTCCAGATATAACATTCCACTTCAATTTTTCCCTGTGCCTGACATGACCTGTTCCTCTACAATTAGATACTATGTCTTTCCATGTTATTTACCAATCTAGACCTGCAAACATCCAAATTGACATCACTATTTAGAACACAAAAATATTTTTAGTATCCTCCGTCTGATCTGAGTGTCTATAATTTTCTCAATGTCATGCTGTACATTTTCAACGTGTCTGTGATACAGAAGCAAAAAAGAAATTTAGGCAGTTAGTGAGGATAAGAGAGTCCTTGGTAAGGTTTCCCTTCTAATGAAAATCAGCTGTGAAATCATTTCTTTGTTAACAGAAAGCAGCCTAAAAAATTGAGCTACAGATACAGATAAGCTGGAAGCGTGCATGATTGAATGTCAGCAGCTATGCCAACAGGAAAAGGCTAACCAGGGTCCAGGCGTGTTCAGCATGGAGGCTCCATCTTTCCTTTCCTTTGTCAACCACATGCACAGTAAGGAACAGACAGCATGGTACTGGCCAGGTATAGAACCCATCTGCATAATAAAAGATTAGGGTAGGGAGGCCAGCTTCTTTGCCCATTATGTAAGGCACACATGGTCCAACAAATCTTTGGAATGTATGTAAATCAGCCATCACCTCCTTAAGCTAGTCTAAGGCTATTAAATTCTACTATGAGTTTTAAGTGTGGATTTAGGTCTTACAATATTAAGTAATGGAGTCCATCATCTGTCAAAGAAGGAGAGACATAAATGAAGTTGTATATGCCTAAAATGGAGACAACTTTCTAATTTCTTTTTAAATGAAGTATATAAAAATAAAAATTGTTGGAAATTCTGGAAATTCTGTTTTATCTGAAACTTTTAATTATTTTTTTAATTCCAACAATTTAGATTATATTTATTTTCCAGAAACACACTATATTAAGGTCATCATGAATCACACTTGGCATTCATTCAGTTATTTATCTAAGTAGATATTCAACAAAAATTTATTATAACAATTGGGTGAAAGTATTATACTAATACATTTGGAAAATAATGAGTACTTAAAAAAGGTTAGATTCTAGAAAGCAAGTAAAAGAATGGAGGACAATGCTGAAAAGGCAAGGACAAGCATTTCTTATTTCTCAATTCACATACGTTCACGCATTTAAATGGAAGTACCAAGATTTATTGGACAAGAGACATGATATAGTTTTTAGTGCTCCAAATAATAAACAATAATATTACCTTAGACTATCTAAATATAAAATTGGATGTTTAAGTTCTTCAATACATATTGAAAAAGTAAAACTAGACATTGAGACTAGGTTTTGGATGCCAGCTCTGTTACTTACATATAATAAAGACTGCCCTCATTTTTGGATCTCCGATTCTTTCCTTGTTTTTAAGTTGTTTGTTTAGTTTTGTATTAAAATTATAAAATGAAAACTTTTGCTGTACTGAAAATTAAAAGGAGCATATCTGATGATATTTCTATAAGCACATCATGACAACTATGAGGAGTTAAAAATACAAAATTTTATAGAAAAATAATGACAAAACAATGCTTTTTTCAGTTTTATATTTGAGTATATTTGATTTATCATAAGCTGAAATGTTGCAACTCTGAGTTGTACTACCCTGATCACCAACTAAAACAATTATCCTCACTGTGTATTAGCCTTGAATTGTTACTTTATGGTGATGAATAATATTAGAAGTACAATGTTCAATCCTGCTAATAAAGGGTGCCAACAAATAAAAAACAGAACATATTACACATCCATAAAATATTGAAACTACTTAGATTTTGAATCTGAAAATATACTGATATTATAATTTTTAAAAAGTGTTCATATCTACTGTTTGTCTCTAAGTGTATTTCCTATAATATTTAACTATAATAATATATAGTAATTAGTTTATAAATTAACAGTGAACCGTTTTACATCCCTTGATTTTATACTTTTGCTATTATTTTACAGTGTCAATAACAAATTAAAGGAGAAATAAAGTAATTATACATAGACTGTGTCATTATTTAAGCCTCCAATTCTTTGTCTAACATGAATGAAAATACTTACAATTTTCTATAGTAAGTACATATATCAGAAGATGCATTTACTCAAATGAAGAGAAATGTGCTACATGAGGATCCTACATGCTGGTAGTGAATCCAGGGACAAAGAGATTTCATGAGAAGCAACAGCAGAAAGAAAAAAAAAGCAAATGTAAAAATTTAATCTTAAGATTATGAAATTAATCTCTGGTTGTGTTGATAAATATCATATTTATAAAACAAGTCCATGCCCATTAAGAAGTCATTAGATAATATAGTTCAAATCTAAGCTGTTTGTTTTCTTTAAAATATATAAAACACTTAAGATACATTTTAAAAATTCATATTAAAAGATTTGGACTTGTAATAATTTAAGTACAAAGAAATACATGCTCAGCACCGACACCATTCCTTATTCCCCAGATTAAGACCTAATGGCCACTGCCAAATTAACTAAAGGAATCATTACAATTGAAGCTGGCATAGTAGACTCAGTCATTTTACAATGTGCTCACTAGGAAAAGTTATAACTGAGTTTCTTCAGAAGTAAACAATTGGAAATATTGCATAACTTTACAATTGTCAAGAATGTATTTCCTAACAACAAAAAGTGAAGCTGATGAGTGGAGTGCAGAAACCTCATTTAGAGCAGATTTCTATTTCTAACTGTAAAAAATAACTGGCATCAAATTAATCCATCCTACTTAAGGAGGAGTAGGATAGTTTGGCTGCAACAATTACAACTTTTACTGAAGCCACCAAAATATGTCTTAGTGATGATACTTTGGAATAACATGATGACCAAACAGACATTGCAAGTTTTAAGCAAAATATACAAGATTTTGCATTAAGTGGTTTGTAGTGTGTAGGATGGAAAGATTGGTATCATATTAGATTACGTAGAAATGCAGGCTCCTGAGCCCCACTCCAGATGTGTAAAATAAGAATCAGCAGTTTAGCCAGATTACCAGATAGTTCTTATAAACACTGAAGTCTGGAAAGCCCTGATTTACATGAATGTTAATAGAGGAAGGAGTGCAGGGTGTACAGAATGAGACCTTAGTTTCAATCAGCCTCTATCTACTACCATGGGCTGGTTAAGTGTTTAACAACTGGCTCTCTGGAAAAGAATAAATAAAAACAAAACGGGCCGGGCGCAGTGGCTCATGCCTGTAATCCCAGCACTTTGGGAGGCCGAGGCGGGCGGATCACGTGGTCAGGAGATCAAGACCTTCCTGGCTAACATGGTGAAACCACCTCCCTACTAAAAAAATTCAAAAAAATTAGCCAGGCATGGTGGCAGGTGCCTGTAGTCCCAGCTACATGGAAGGCTGAGGCAGGAGAATGGCGTGAACCCAGGAGGCGGAGTTTGCAGTGAGCCAAGATGGCACCACTGCACTCCAGCCTGGGCAACAGGGCAAGACTCTGTCTCAAAAACAAATAAATAAATAAAAATGACAAAACTGCCGGAGCTTCTGCATACCTGAACACATGAAGTTTCCTCAAGAGTGGCAAACCCAGAGATGCTCTGGAAGCTCTGTACCCTTTCCCTCATCCCTTGTCTAATCTATCTATTCATCTGGTGTTCATTAGTATCCTTTGTAATATCCTTTATAGGAAAGGAGAAAGGAGTAAAATACTTTCTCAAAGGAGAAATTTGAAATATTTGCAAAACATTGATGTATGTACAATGTCTAACTCTTTTCATACTCAACATCAGGAAATTAGATAATAACTTTCTGCAATGAGTCAGCTAAATATCCAGCCATTCTACTGTGGCAAATTAAAGCATCTCACACTGTATCAAGTGTAGAAACATAAATTGCTCACATCAACTTCAACAAATACACTGTTTAGTGAAACATGAGTCTTTATAAACATACTGGAATTTGAAAAAAATAACACACTAAGAAAAAAATTTTTTTTAATTTGCTGATTTATGTAAAGTAACACTGCCAACATACTTGATTTCAAGGTACTAAGATGAAAACTCTGAATGCAGCTGGAAAAAAAGGTCAACTGCACAATTTGTTCTTTTGACCACATCTGAGTTGGCTGTAGTACACTATTATCTGTAAGTCACTATCTGAAGAATTGTTTATGACAAAATAAAAAATGATATGAATTCCTCATGAAAGCTGTTAGAATAATAGTTGCTTTTATTTGTTTCTCTACCAAAATAACTATTAAAGATTTTCTGACACAAAACATAATGGCCAAAACAGGATTGGTGCTTATTGTATGTTTTGGAATACATTAATAGATAGACAGGACTGTATTCCATGCCATTTTTACTAGTAGAACGAGAGTATTTTCATCTTTATAAAAAGATAGTACACGAGAATATTTGCTGCTTGTTATTCTGACACTGTGGCAGAGACTGCCAGTTGTCTCCTATTGGTCTCTATCCCTTTCAATCATAGCAATATATTGTTTAGCGGGACATATTAACACTCAAAGACTACATTCTCCAGCAACCAATGTAACCAAGTTTCATGTGGCTATAATCTGGCCAATTGGATATAAGTAGAAGTGTCATAACACAGCTTCTAGGAATCTTCCTTAGGAAAATATTTGTCCCATCTTTCTTCCCTTCATCTTCTCTGCTGCTTGGTACACATATATTATTGCTATATTATGTTTTGGACTGGGAAGAAAAAGTTTCCCATCCTGGAGATGGAAGAGTAAATATTTAAATAAGCATATGTCTCAAAGGCTTAACGGAGCAGAGGAATATAACGGTTTTGAGTAGGGAAGCGTTAAGAGATGACTATTAGAGAAAATTCAGCAGTAAAAAGGCAAGAGAGAAAGCTAGGGAACTTGTTAGGAGTCTAGTGTAGTAGTCTAGTTTGGTCCAGGGATGAGACGATAGTAGCTAGGAGTAGAGTGTTAGTGGTAAAGACCATAAGAAGTGGTAAGATTACAAATATATGTTGATTTAATATTTTCTGATGAATTGGATATAAGCTGTTAGAATGAAAGAAAATCCCAATGTTTTTGGATGTGAACAATTAAACACATGATGCTGCCATTTATTGAAAAAGACATGGAGATGAGACAATTTGGAATTCAGGAAAGATATCTAATTGAAAAACAAGGTAGGTAGTTACAGCAAGTTGATTGCAAAAAAATGCCACCATTTCTTCATTCCATCCTGTCCTTATATGTGCCTTTGGCCATATAGCCTTGTCATGCCCTTGTGGTCTCATCCTTCTCTTGTCTGTGACTTGCTTGAGCCAATGAGAAGTTAGTAGACTGAATCAATCAGAACTTGATAAAGGGTACGTTTTCATTTTCCCATGTTTGCACTTCTGCTATAGGCATGAGAACATGCTTAAAATAATTGTACTAGTAGATGAGATATTGTCCTATAAGAGGCCAAGTGGATTAGCCTCAGGCAGAAACATGAGTGAGTCCATACAAGATCACCAGAATAACAGCCAATCCCTTCAGAAGCTTGAACAATAAGAATTTATTTTGAATGACTCTGAGGTTTTCTATGTTCATGGAGATAGCTAAATGAAATATATCCTCAGAGTTTCTATAATTATTTTAGAGACTGGTGTAGATTGCCCCATGTAGAACATGAGTGTAGGTAGAGATGACAGCCCCAAAACTGAGCACTATGCCATTCTAATATCTAGAAATAAAAAGCAGGAGGACTTACACAAGGAATTTAAAGAATAAAGATATATAAGGAGAAAATTAAAAAATGGGGCATCCTGGGAGGGAAAGCTATGAAAATGCTTTAAGGAGTGTTAAAAATGGAGAATATTTTAAAGTCTGAAAAGAGGAAGAATAATGTGAGAATTACTAAGTGGCAGTAATTATACTCAAGGGTTGTATAAGAGCAGTGATATGGTTTGGCTGTGTCCCCACCCAAATCTTATCTTCAATTGTAGTTCCCATAATCCCCATGTGTGGTGGTAGGGGCCCAGTGGGAGGTGATTGAATCATGGGGGTGGTTTCTCCCATGCTAATCTCATGATAGTAAGTTCTCACCAGATCTAATGTTTTTATCAGGGATTTCCTCCTTTACTCAGCCCTCATTCTTTCTTCTGCTGCATTGTGAAGAAGGATATGTTTCCTTCCCCTTCCACCATAATTGTAAGTTTCCAGAGCCCTCCCTAGCCCTGTGGAACTGTGAGTCAACTAAACCTCTTTCCTTTATAAGTTACCCAGTCTCAGGTATGTCCTTGTAACAGTATGAGAATGGACCAATACAGGCAGGATTGAATGAAGAAATGGTGGCCTGTTTTGCAGTCAACTTACTATAACTACCTACCTTGTTTTCTAATCCTATGCCATTCCTGAATCCAAGTTGTCTCATCACCATGTCTTTCTCAATAAATGGCAACACGTTTTGTTCAGTTATTCATGTTCAAACCTTCATAAATATAACAAATTCCAGTTCTTGGAGTTCCTCTCCTGTAAAAAGTCACTATGTGTGGGGGTATCATCAGCTCTCTACTGATTGCTTTGTGGAAATTGAGGCTCTGGGAACCCAAACAAGTTTGAAACTCTGGCTATTTCTATGGCTGTATATTAAAAAGTCCTTTGTCCTTGTCTCAGTTTTGTGCATTCTGTGACATGTTAACTTGTTAACTCTCAAGAATGATAAAATCTCCGAATCCTTTTTTTTCTTTTACTTTAAGTTCTGGGATACATGTGCAGAATGTGCAGGTTTGTTACATAGGTATCCATGTGCCATGGTAGTTTGCTGCCCCTATCAATTCGCCATCTAGATTTTAAGCCCCACTCCATAGGCCCCAGTGTGTGATGTTCCCTTCCCTGTGTCCATGTGTTCTCATTTTCAACTCCCATTTGTGAGTGAGAACATGTGGTGTTTGGTTTTCTGTTCCTGTGTTAGTTTGCTGAGAGTGATGGCTTCCAGCTTCATCCATGTCCCTGCAAAGGACCTGAACTCATTCTTTTTTATGGTTGCATAGTATTCCATGGTGTATATGTGCCACATTTTCTTTATCCAGTCTATTACTGATGGGCATTTGGGTTGGTTCCAAGTCTTTGCTATTGTAAATAGTACTTCAAGAAACATACATGTGCATGTGTCTTTACAGTGGAATGGAAATCTCTGAATCTTTACAGTTCTTGACAATAAGTGAAGTACATACAGATGGGCCGAGTTCTTGATAAAAGTATGAAGTATATACAGATTGGTCCATAGTGTCTATTTATTTGTCAATATGGAATGAAACATGGTATTTAATTAAACTTACCAAAATAATAATCTGTTATAGTTTATAACTGTTACTTTTGGTTCCAGGTATCATCTCTTATGGCCATAATGTCTGCACAAAATGTTTGTTTGCTTCAGGGACTTCATAATTATCAATAAAGTTCTTATGAATTTTTGTTTACACAATTACTTAAGGGACTCTAATTAGCATGTATTTTTCAATTAACTTCTGTGTAAGCCTTGTCATTCTTCCATTGTGACCTCTTTTTAAATGAATTGGTCTGTCTCTAGCATTGACCTTTATCTCAGAGCTGCAACTCTTCAGTGAACTACCTCCCTTAGCCTCTGTGAGGGTTTTAATTTTGCAACTGGAAGAGCTTTGCGTGTGTGGGTGCATGTGTGATAAGTGTCACTTCTTCCCTTGGTTCAAGCTGAAAATTATTTACCTCATTGGCAACATTGTGATTTCTGGGAAGCCCCAGTTAAGGGTGCCATTTCTTAAATTCTTCAGTGCAAACACATTTGCTTATTTCAACAACCCTCTAAAAAATACAAAATAAATATTAGAATATTGTTCCTTTTGACCAAATGGAGATTGAAAGACACCTCCAAACATTATAGTATACATGGGCATATTCATTATATTTAAACTATATGGTAGAACAGAAAAGATACTAGCTAACATATATGAAATGCTGCTTACATGCCAAGTATTGCTCTGTGGATGTTGTATCATTTGCTCCCCTTCCTTATCTTCAAAATAACCTTGTAGAATCATTATTATATTTTCCACTTCACATTTTGAAGAATTTACAGTATCTGAGTGATAAAGCCAGCATTAAAGGTCATGTCTTTTGACACCCTGTTAGCATATTTGTGATTCTTCTATTACCATATATGTCTTACAAAGAAGAAATATATATTTAGAAGATGCATTTATATTAAAATGTGGCCATCTTGACAAATGAAGCCATTTGAAGCATAATATATGATTATGATTGAAATGTTTGTAACCTATAAGAGGAAGTACAAAGATACACTATTTTTGCCCCCAAAATTTATTTACTAAAATAAGTTTGAGGAAAAATATGAAGAATACATTGACTATATATTTTTAGGTAAAGCAAAGTACATTATGTTGATTAATTATAAAATGCATCTTTTAATCTTCTATTCTTTGTCTTTGTACATACTTGTTTTGAATTATCATCTAAATAAGTCACTCAACATAATATAGTAGGCATAATTCCACTATTGGCTCCAAGATTTCCACTCCTTCCCCATGAGTGCAGGTGGAATTATGCAGCTAATATAATAGTTGTTCCTTTGATTAGGTAAAGCTATATTACAAAAGGTGATTGAAGAGTCACTCTTATGACTACATTATGCTGTATAAAACTCTTTTTAGCCAACTAAAGAGGGAGATAAATATAGAGATATATTCCTGCTCTGCTGAAAGAAAGCCATGTTGTGAACGGTCTTTGAGAAAGTCATGGATAGGAACCAAAGGGAGCCTCTAAAACGTAAGAAAATTTTCCAGTCAATAGCTAGCAAGAAAATAGAGTCATCAATAATACAATTGCAAGAAAATAAACTCTATCAGCAATCAGTATGGTTGAAAGAGGACCCTGAGTCTTAGACATGAATCACAGAGCTGCCAACGCCTGGACTGAAGCCTTTTAAGACCTGAGCTAAGAACCTAGCTGACTGCAGCTCAGACTTCTAACCTACAAAACTACAAGACTGTAAACTTCTGTTGTATTAATCCTCTAAATTGTGGTCGTTTGTTATGCAGCAATATAAAACCAATATACATGAGAATGATCATTTTTTAAAGATTTATTTTAATATCCCTAGGCAAATTAAATGCTATGGTCTGTCCACAGGGAAAGGCACAATATAATACTGCATAAAGGATAGTGAGTGAAGACTTGTGCTTGTCAGTTACGACCAAAAGAGCACACTGCCAGAGATCTCTTTGTAACACGTGAAATAAAGTCTTCAACTGAAAGCACAGTGAAAGAACCAAAAATATTGATAAGTGCCTTCAAAGATGACAGGCAGTCAAAGAAATTATTATAACTGCAAATGAATATAAAGAAAACAATTTAGAAGATCAATTATTTTTACTACATACTTGGAAATACCATCATTACTGTAATCATTAAATAAAAAGAACAATAACTAATCAATATTTAGTTTTCTGAATAATTCTAAAGTCCCACAACCAGTGCTTTGAGGTCAATTCACATTTCCTGACAAAAGAAAACATCATATCCTTCAAAATGTATTATTAATCACTATTGCTCAGCTTCTTGCATTCCTTTAAATTTTACATCATTGATTTCCCATTTACTTTAGCCTGTTATTATGACTTTGCAAGAACTAAAATTATACTCCCCCTCAACCTATGACCAAATGAAAACGACTTTTGGGCGCTTCTTTTTTCTGGTGTTCTATTAATTAAGATTTTGATAGCAATTTCTCACACTTGGTAGCATTAAAATTCACTTGAACATATATGATTAAAAGAACATATAAAATCTGAAGAATATTCTAGATAAAATCAACATATGATACTGTGTAAGAAATTTCTTTTTTGGTATATTGAAAACATTTTACAAACTATCTTGTCCTTTGTGATACCAGGTTAATAATTATCAGTGTTAAAGCTGATAGTTATTATTTCAAGTACTGAGAAAATGAAATTTGAGGCTATTATTTTATTCATGCTGAAAATTTTATCTAGCATAGTATAATGTATAGCCACCATATTAAAATAATTGAGACTTATTATTGCTATTGCAGTATTTGATTTGTACATTTTACTTTATTTTTTCTGATACTTAAAATGATATAGTAAAAAGAATAATTATCTTAATAAGGAAGAATTCATTTCAAGTTTATTTTTTATGATGTACCACAATATTTAGCATCAAATAATAGTATGAAATTATTTTTTATCAGTTTACTAAGTTTTGGGAAGGGGAAATTAAATTCTCATATTAATTTCTAAAGCAAGCTCATAGTGTAACTTTATACCACTATTTTTGCACTATCAATTATAACAACTATTACTCTGTATGGCCTTTGAGTGAAAAATAGCAAAATACCTTTTACATATAATTAGAATCTGAAATAATCACTCTATCAAACTTCATTCTTACATACTTATCAAAATGATAAATTATAGCAGTTGATAAGTATAACACATTCAACTATATTTATATATATATATATATGAAGGAAATTCATTGTGAAACAGGATTACATAATAAGTTTGATCACTTTATTTCTGGAGAATGAAATAAAGCCTTTTATGCCATCCCATCTTTTTCACATGAAGCACAAAGCTTATGTAGGTCATATATCACTAACTTAAGCAATTTTTCATTCTCAGCTTGTTTTTCTTTTTGTGCTACATAAGCAATTCTGTATTTTTGAAATGCTTCAAAAAGTAACCATTTAACCTAAGAAAATAAATATTTTTAAACAAAGAAATATTCATTAAAATCATAAATAATTTCGTCTATTTTTAATTATTTAAAAAATAAAAGGCTATTTTCCCTAAACCTTAATTATTTAATGTAAATATGTATGAATATCACAAATTCTAAGTGATTAAATATAGCTCATGTCTGCCTTTTAACACAAACACATTCATTGGAGTTTTAATTCCTTAACGTAGGAGATGTATTAAACCATTCCTCATTACTAATCAATTTTTTTGTTAGATGGTCTGTATATCAGCTGAGTTTAACAAGCATTTATTAAGTGCTTGGAACATGTGAGGAATATGTTGAAACCAGAGGCAGGTACACAAAATGAGTAAAACATGTTCTATACTTGTAAGCTTCTCACAGCCTACTGTGAGTGAAAAATCCAAAATGATTTTTTATACATGTTGCTAAACGTGTCATATCTGTCAAGTGCTATAATTTATCATTTTAATATGCATGCTAGAATTGTTTAATTGAGACAAGGTATGGACACATCTGAGCATAGAGAGAAAGAGCATTCAAAAATCTATGATTTTTTGAAGGTAACCAAGGCCTGCATAATGTCTGGAAAGATAAGTATGTGAGCCAATAAGTGAAGTGTGTGCAGGGTGTTCTGAGCAGAAACAAAAAAAAATAGCCTGGGTTAAGACTGGGTAATTCAAATAATACAGTATATGTATTAACAAAAGTTTGATATGCATTAATAGTGTTAATTCAATTGTTTTATAAATTGAAGTAAACCCTGGCTAGAAATGAAGCTGGAGGGATAGGTAGTTTGTACAGGTTGTGTATGCTACACTAAGCTAAAATGGGGGTGATAAAATATTACTGCTTAATGTCTAAAAGCATCTATAGTATTGCTAATCTGTTGAAACTTTCCTGTTAATACAGTAAAAGTGATTTATACCTTCCTGGATAAAATATGTAAAATGACTAGAAAATTAATAAATTATTGTTTATATCTAGCCGAATCTGAATATTCATTGTAAGTTTCTTTATTTTGAAGATTATATTTAAATAATAAACTGATTTGTGTTATTCTCTAGATTAGGATTTTGAACATTTACAACTGCTTAGAAGGTAGAGAGATACTCATGATTTAGCTAAAAAGTCACTTGTGGATTAGGGTGTTTCCATGACTAACTAGGTTGACTTTATGGGCCTCTAAAGACAAAAGATTCGAATTTGACCAAAAGACAAAGGTCAAGGTCTTTGCAGGTATGACATTTCCTCGTATTCTGTTTTTTGAAATATAGTAACTCTCATTTATTCTTAGAAGTATTTAAGAATGAAAATCCATTAACTTTTTATGAACCTAACCTAAATTTATTCCTAGCAAACTGTTTAATAAATGGAATTTTATAACATAATCTTATCTTACTAAAATCCAACTGTTTTGCCAGAAGCATAATTGACTTGATTCTAAATTGTAAGCTCTCTATTAAATTTCATGATACTGCCACTTAGATTTTTAAAGCTTAGTAGTTGAAAATAACCCCTAAACTTAAAAAAAAAAAAAAAAACTAAAGTAATTTAATGCTCTCAAGGATAAATTTCTAATAAACATGTTTGACAGAGAACTAAATAGAATGGCAAATAGTAAAACTATCCTTTTATATGTCATTATTTTAAAAAGACAAAGATTATATAAGTCATGCATAATATTTGCAAGGGTGTATTTTGCATTTTATGTTACCTATTGTTTTAATATACATTCTTGTTTAAGCAATGTTTTTTGTTCTAAATTATATTTTCTCATATCCATTTAAATCTAAGTGGAATCACAGCTAACAGTTCTAAATTAAATTTCTAAAATGTATACAGTTCTCAAATGTAAGACATTTAAATACATTTTTTATAGTAAGTGCTTCGTTAAATTATTGGTCTTTACTATTTCTCATGTAATTTTGTAGGGTGAGATAATCCATGTAAAATAGCTGTGAATGGCACATATAAATAACTTAATAAATGTTTCTTAGTAGTAGTAGTGTTATTAGCCACATTTTTATATTTCTGAATTAAAATGTGAGAATGATTTATTAGCAAATTTGCTAAATGTGAGCATTTTTTCTATAATGTTTTAATTAGTAATACACATCGACAATCATAGAATAGTAAGTACCTTGTGTTTGAAGTGGTTTTCAATGTATATTCTTTATTTGCAAATACTTCATCCAACAGTGAACTAATATGTCCAGAATACAAAACGAACTCAAACAACACAACAGGAGAAACATGAATAATTTCATGAAAACATGGGCAAAGGACACAAATAGACATTTCTCAAAAGAAGACATACAAACTGCTAACAGGTATATGAAAAAAATTTCAACATCACTAATAATCAGAGAAATACAAATGAAAATTCCAATGAGATATCACTTGTCCCAATCAGAATTATTATTGTTAAAAAGGCAAATAGTATCAGATGTGCAATGATGTGGAGAAATGGGAACTCTTATACGCTGTTGGTAGGAATGGGTACTAGTACAGCCACTATAGAAAACAGTATGGAGCTTTCTTAAAAAACTAAAAATAGAATTACCATTCCACAGAAATTCCAGTACAGAAATTTCTTTTTACAGAAAGAAAAAGAAATCAATATATCAAAGGAATTCCTGCACTAACATGGTTACTGCAGCACTATTCACAATAGCAAATATATGGAATTAACCAAAGTGTCCATCAACAGATGAACAGATAAAGAAAATACACACAATGGAATACTATTTGACCATAAAAAAGAGTTAAGTCATGCCATTTGCAGCAACATCGATGGAAGTGGAGGTCAGTATCTTAAGTGAAATAAACCAAGCACAAATAGACAAATATTGCATCTTTTTACTTATATGTGGGATCTAAGATATTTGATCAAATGAGGTAGATGGTGGGAAGATAGAAAACAGAAACTTGGAAGGGTGAATGGGGAAGAAGGGGAGGGTGAAGAGAAGTGGGTTAAAGGGTACAAACTTAAGTTAGATAGAAGGAATAAATTCAATGTTTGATAACCGAGTAGGATGAATATAGTTAACAAAGTTGTATTGTACCCAGATGATGGCCACCCTAAATATCTGACTCAATCACTACATATTTTATACAAGTTGCAAGATTTCACACGTATCTCATGAATTTGCACAAATAAAAAATAAAGAAAATGCAAAACTATACAAAAAGACTATAATTTTATTGATTATATAACTGTTCCTGATAATTATATTGTCTAACTGATACATGCCGAAATTATTTAGCTCATCCCAGATCTTAAGATAATCATTATAAATGATATATTAAATAATACATACATATAATTACATATACATATACATTCCTCTAAATGCTTGAACTATATTACCATATTTCCATAATAAATGATTCCTAAGATGGTAAGATATTCCATGGTAGGTTCTCATATACTCTTTCACCTATAAAAAGTGACTATGCATCTGTCAAAGAAAAGTTTAAAAGGATTCTATATTACAAAATAACTTTTATCAGAAACTAGAATGCATTTAGAATATTGTTTGGCAGGTCTAGAAAGACTTAAGAGCACTCCCCACCCTTTGTTCCACAGAACACATATCTCATCAATTGCACCTTGATCAAATTTTGACAAATGGTTATACGACTATTAAACTTAGTATAAGTTAATATTTTTTCAATTTTATTGTTTCTCAGAAGAACTTTTTACTCATTTGGCTCTTTATAACATTAAAACATATAAAACCTAAGTTCTGTGAAACAAACTTTGGGAAATTCAAGTGTATGGTAGAAATTCAGAAATTCAAGTGTATGGCAGACATAATAAGGAAAACTAGAGATATATGCAACTAGATATTCATTAGAAAATTTTTCTGCAGAAATTTAATAGTTCACAGATTCGACTGCAAGAAGTTTCAGAGTAAAGGGTCTCCAATACATAATTAAAGGCCCTTAAACTCTAGCAATATTTAAGAAACAGGAATATCAACTTCCACAGTTTTAAAGTAAATGGGCTAAAGAAGGCTAAAATACACTTTGAAAATGGAGAAATTCATCTCTGAAGATCCCAGACTGACTTACTTTAATTAATTGTTTATTCCACATTTGAGATATTAAGTAGAACTTCATGATAGTTCTATGCCACTAATGGAAAAAATGTGGCATATGCATAGCTTTTATAGTCAAGAGGTCACCCATTCCTTTGGATATAATTTGATCCAATAAAAAATTCAGATATATTTTATACGTGATATTATATAGGGAATCAACAGAACCCTGAATGAAAGAATAAAATAATTAGTTTTTAGGAGTTAGGGCAAAAGCTATCATGAATTTTAGTCCTTTTACTACAATTAATGCTGGAATCCAAGATAATTGCAAAATATAAATGTCAAAATGGTTTGTAAAATAAATGTGTTTAATACATATATCAAAAAGATTTTATTTAATTCTTTTGAGTAGCTTTTTAAAATTAACAATTTAATAAAATTTTTAGCACCTGTTATGATTTGCCTCTGTGTTCCCACCCAAATCACGGGTAAACTCCTATTCACATTTGCTTCAAAGAGAATAAAATACCTAGGAATCTAACTTACAAGGGACGAGAAGGACCTCTTCAAGAACAACTACAAACCACTGCTCAATGAAATAAAAGAGGATACAAACAAATTGAAGAATATTCCATGCTCATGGATAGGAAGAATCAATAGTGTGACAATGGCCATACTGCCCAAGGTAATTTATAGATTCAGCGCCATCCCCATCAAGCTACCAATGACTTTCTTCACAGAATTGGAAAAAACGACATTACAGTTCATATGGAACCAAAAAAGAGCCCTCATCACCAAGTCGATCCTAAGCCAAAAGATCAAAGCTGGAGGCATCACACTACCTGACTTCAAACTATACTACAAGGCTACAGTAACCAAAACAGCATGGTACTGGTACCAAAACAGAAATATAGACCAATGGAACAGAACAGAGCCCTCAGAAATAATACCACACATCTACAACCATCTGATCTTTGACAAACCTGACAAAAAAAAGAAGAAATGGGGAAAGGATTCCCTATTTAACAAATGGTGCTGGGAAAACTGGCTAGCCATATGTAGAAAGCTGAAACTGGATCCCTTCCTTACACCTTATACAAAAATTAATTCAATATGGATTAAAGACTTAAATGTTAGACCTAAAACCATAAAAACCCTAGAAGAAAACCTAGGCAATACCATTCAGGACATAGGCATGGGCAAGGACTTCATGTCTAAAACACCAAAAGCAATGGCAACAAAAGACAAAATTGACAAATGGGATCTAATTAAACTAAAGAGCTTCTGCACAGCAAAAGAAACTACCATCAGAGTGAACAGGCAACCTACAGAATGGGAGAAAATTTTTGCAATCTACTCATCTGACAAAGGGCTAATATCCAGAATCTACAATGAACTCAAACAAATTTACAAGAAAAAAACAACCCCATCAATAAGTGGGTGAGGGATATGAACAGACACTTCTCAAAAGAAGATATTTATGTAGCCAACAGACACATGAAAAAATGCTCATCATCACTGGCCATCAGAGAAATGCAAATCAAAACCACAATGAGATACCATCTCACACCAGTTAGAATGGCGATCATTAAAAAGTCGATCATTAAAAAGTCGGGAAACAACAGGTGCTGGAGATGATGTGAAGAAAGAGGAACACTTTTACACTGTTGGTGGGACTGTAAACTAGTTCAACCATTGTGTAAGATAGTGTGGTGATTCCTCATGGATCTAGAACTAGAAATACCATTTGACCCAGCCATCGCATTACTGGGTATATACCCAAAGGATTGTAAGTCATGCCGCTATAAAGACACATGCACACGTATGTTTATTGTGGCACTATTCACAATAGCAAAGACTTGGAACCAATCCAAATGTCCAACAATGATAGACTGGATTAAGAAAATGTGGCACATATACACCATGGAATACTATGCAGCCATAAAAAAGGATGAGTTCATGTCCTTTGTAGGGACATGGATGAAGCTGGAAACCATCACTCTCAGCAAACTATCGCAAGGACAAAATACCAAACACCGCATGTTCTCACTAATAGGTGGGAATTGAACAATGACAACACTTGGACACAGGAAGGGGGACATCACGCACCGGGGCCTGTTGTGGGGTGGGAGGAGGGGGGAGGGATAGCATTAAGAGATATACCTAATGTAAATGACAAGTTAATGGATTGCAGCACACCAACATGGCACATGTATACATATGTAACAAACTTGCACGTTGTGCACATGTACCCTAGAACTTAAAGTATAATCAAAAAGCATAAAAAAAAAAAACTGGTGGCATTGTGCACCTGCCCTAGAGATGTGTGGAACTTTGCACTTCAGAGGGATATTTTAGGGTATCTGGTAGAAGAAATTTCTAAGCAGCAAATCATCCAAGAGGTGGCTTGGGTGCTGTTAAAAGTATTCTGTTTTAAAACGGAAACAGAGCAAAAAAGTTCAGAAAATTTGCAGCCTGATGACGCAGTAGAAAACAAAAACCCATTTTTTGGGGAGAAATTCAAGCTGGCTGCAGAAATTTGCTAAGTAACAAGGCACTTAATGTTAATCCCCAAGACAATGGGGAAAATATCTCCAGGGCACGTCACAGGTCTTTATGGCAGCCCGTCCCATTACAGACCTGGAAGCCTAGGAGAAAAAAACGGTTTCTTTGACTGGGCCCAGGGTCCTCATGCTGTATGCAGCCTAGGGACTTGGTGCTCTGCGTCCCAGCTGCTCCACCTGTTGCTAAAAGGGGCCAAGGTACAGCTCGGGCCATGGTTTCAGAGGGTGCAAGCCCCAAACCTTGGCAGCTTACACGTGATGTTGAGCCTGCGGGTGAACAGAAGCCAAGAATTAAGATTTGGGGACCTCCATCTATATTTCAGAAGATGTATGGAAATGCCTGGATGCCTAGGCAAAAGTTTGCTGCAGGGGTGGGGCCCTCATGGATAACTTACGCTAGGGCAGTGTGGAAGGGAAATGTGGGATTGGAGCCCTCACACAGAGTCCCTACTGGGGCACCACTTAGTGAGCTGTGAGAAGAGGGCCACCATCATCCAGACCACAGAATGGTAGATCCACCTATAACTTGTACCATGTGCCTGGAAAAGCTGCAGACCCTCAATGCCAGCCAGTGAAAGCAACCAGAAGTGGTGCTATACCCTGCAAAGCCACAGGGTCAGAGCTGCCCAAAACTATGGCAACCTGCCTCTTTCATCAGCTTGACCTGGATGTGAGACATGGAGTCAAACGAGATCATTTTCGAACTTTCAAATTTGACTGCCCCACAGGATTTCAGACTTGCATGGGCCTTGTAACCCCTTTGTTATGGACAATTTCTCCCATTTGGAATGGCTGTATTTTTTCAATACCTGTACCCCCATTGTATCTAGGAAATAACTAGCTTGCTTTTGATTTTATGGGCTCATAGGTGCAAGCGACTTACCTTGTTTCAGATGTGACTTTGGACTGTGGACTTCTGGGTTAATGCTGAAATGAGTTAAGACTTTGGGGGATGCTTGGGAAGGCAGGATTGATTTTGAAATATGAGGATGTGAGATTCGGAGGGGCAAAGGGCAGAATGATATGGTTTGTCTCTGTGTCTTCACCCAAATCTCACCTTGAATTGTACTCCCATAATTCCCATGTATTGTGGGAGGGACCCAGTGGGGGATAATTTAAATCATGGGAGCAGTTTCCCCCATACTGTTCTTGTGGTAGTGAATAAGTCTTATGAGATTTAATGGTTTTATCAGGGGTTTCTGCTTTTGCAATTTCATTTTTCTCTTGCCAGCACCATGTAAGAAGTGTGTTTGGGGTTTCTGCTTTTGCAATTTCATTTTTCTCTTGCCAGCACCATGTAAGAAATGTGTTTTGCCTTCTGCCATGATTCTGAGGCCTCCCCAGCCATGTGGAACAACTGTAAGTCCAATTAAACCTCCTTTTTTCCCCAGTATTGGGTATGTCTTTATCAGCAGCATTAAAATGGACTAATACAGAACCTATTCAATTACATCTAAAATATTTTATTGAAATAATATCTAATACGGAACATATTTCCACAAATCTGGAACTATTTTCATTCTACTTATATATTGTAAAACATATTGAAGTAGAGAGTAGAATGATTGTTACCAGAGGCTGGGAAGGGTAGTGGGGAAGGAGGAATAAACAGGGGTTGGTTCATGGGTAAAAATGTAGTTAGACAGAAGGAATAAGATTTAATGTTCAATAGCATAATAGGGATAATATAGTTAACAATAATTTATTGTATATAAATTCTAAAATAACTAGTGAAGTGAATTTGCAATGTTTCCAACACAAAGAGAAGATAAATGTTTGAGGTGATAGATATCCCAATTACTCTTATTTGATCATTACACCTTGTATGATTGTATGAAAATACCACATATACCCTATAAATATGTATAATTATTATAAAAATTAAAATAAAACAAATTTTGTTTAAATAAAACATTTTCTTGATTATTGAGATCCCACTCATGGGATATGTGAACTTAAGTGACTTCTAACTTCACATTTTAAGTTAGTTTCCTTTGTCTAACGCTAAACATTTTGAATACATTAAAAAAAAACCTCAGCTCTAATAAAATTAGCAGGATTATGTACTATAGGGTCCCCTTGTTATCGGTGACTTTGTTTTTTGCGGTTTCAGTTACCATTGATAACCAAGATCGGAAAATATTAATTTAAAAATTCCAGAAATAAACAATTCATAGGTTTAAACTACAGGCCACACTAAGCAGCATGATAAAATCTATGAGCACTCTATTCTGTTCTGCCCCACCCATCCCTTTGCCAAGCTGTATATGCTACCTGCCTATTAGATACTTATTTGTGGTCTCAGTTATCAGACTGAGAAAACATACTACTGTATATATGGTTTGGTACTATCCACAATTTCAGGCATCCACTGGAAGCCTTGGAGTGTATCCCTCACAGATAAAGGACAATGGGACTATTCTACTGTCAATGAGTATTTAAGAAATATAGCCTACCCTGATTTAATGGATCTCATTTGTAGTGTTTTCTGATATCTGACAGAATTTCACTAAACTATTACATTGTATTATATGTTGATTAATCTTTTGTATTTAGGATAAACTATCAGGTATAGCTAATACAGAGAAATATTTCTACTTAGAAACATTCATAATGATGTTTTATATTTTAACTGAATTATTTTCCTGTCTTATAAATTGGTAGCAATTGCCTAGAGCTAAATAAAATATAAGAATAAGTGAAAGTAACAGGTTTTTGAAACTTAAGAAGCAAAAGAAATCATAGAAAATGTAAAGAATTTGATAGCGGTCTTTATTAAATATTTTTGTAATTTGACAAAATAAAAGTATACTTTACATTTCTAAATAAAGCATAAAGTTTTTACATTTTGAAAATCATAATTTCAATATAAAAATTTTAAATGTATAGAATGATTCCAAGCACACAGAATTGTTAAATTATTAATATATTGATTTTTTTGCTATTAATGGATACTATATGGAATTTAAGATGAAATATTTGCCTAAAGAATATAAATTTAATGTATCAAGGGATCTAGAAAATTAATTTTAAACAATATTTTAAATTGATCTGCACTCTAGTATGAAAGTAGAGACTGTATAACTCATTCTGGATAATTTAGCAACACTAAAGGAAAAGGTGAGAACTGGTTCGTGGACCAGTGTGCTTTGGTAAACAATTTCTTACTTGTCCACGATGAAGTATAGAAATCAAGAGTAAGCATTTAAGTACTTTCAAGCAAATTGACATCAGTGCAACATTTCCTCCATTAGCTTTTATTTTACAAAAGTATTGGTGTGCAATTACAGATACCTATTGGTCTTTCATCATAGACAGTTTGAAAAATGTAGAGAGTGAATAAGTAGAACTTCTCCTACTTTACCTTCTCCTCTGCAAGTTAAATCAATTTCAATACGCTAAATTGTCTTGAAAGATCTCATAGTAGTTACAGCACATTACCTTAACTGAGAATAATGTGTTTGTTCATTAGCTTGATGACCTTTACTCACCTAATAATGATTTTTAAAGAAATATATTTGTAACATTAAGTCATTAATCACATTCAGCTACACACACACACACACAGAGAGAAAGAGAGAGAGAAAGAAAAAAAGGAAGGAAGCAGGGAGGGAGGGAGGGAGGGAGGCAGAGAAATAAAGAGAGAGAGAGAGAATGTGTGATTACTTCAACAGCTCTTGCTAAAAGAACAGACCATAAAAATAGCCTTTTTAAAAAAGCATATTAACTCCATTATAGAAATTTGTACAAATATACTGTATGTCCCCATAGAATTGAAATGCTTATATATAAAGTACTCTTTTAATCACCATCATGATACTATCAATATTGTAATTCATATGTATAGACTGTTTATTATGTTAGATCCTATTCTAGGCACTCTATATTATTTTTTTCCTCACAACACTATGAAGTAGGGAGAATTATTATCTCAATTTTACAGATGAAGACAATGAGATTTAGATACATTAAGTATCTTCTCCAGAATAATTCTCTTTGCAGTATACCAGTTGAACAAATATCTTTCTTAGCTTTTATTATACACCAGATTAGTTTGGTCTGGTTTAGTCCTCTTTCCAGGGAGAGAAAGATAGAATTTACAATCTCAGTAGGCATAAGAATCAGTGAGTCTCTTATTACAATGCATATTCCAGGGCTCCACGGCAGAGTCTGACTCAGAATATGTAAGTGGGGCCAAGAATTCTAGATTTTAATACAGTCTCCAGATAAAGCTGATGCATGTGGTTCAGTGTTGACAATTTGAGAAACACAGATAAATGAATAACATTAGTAATAAATACGGTCTCATAAATACTAATACACAAGGACAAAGTCTTAGGAAAGTTTTTTAAAAATAGTAAATGATTATATAGAGGAGGATGAAATAAAAAGAAATGAGATTTACACATTAGGATTAGCTTGAAAAATATTTTTAAAAATACAGGTAAGAGACCAGGAGCAGTGGCTCTTGCTTGTAATCCCAGTGCTTTGAGAGATAGAGGCAGGAAAATCGCTAGAAGCCTGGGGTTTAGGACAAGCCAGGGCAACACAGTGAGACTCCTATCTCAAAAATATAAAAATTAAATTAAATTTAAAAATACAGGCATAATACTTGAGAAGATGTCCAGGTTAGTAGATCTATTTTACTGTATCATACACAGGGCAAGAGTTGTAATTTGAGGTAACTGCAGAAAAAAAACTGGATCCAAATGCAGGGGAGTGGGAGACAGATTTTGTAATTCCAAGATAAGATTTCCGAGCTTCACAATATGCCAGTTGGCCCTGGCAGTATCACTGGCTACAGTTAAATATAGAAATGCTACCAGCTACTCCCTCTGGATCATGTTACATAGACTTAAGCATGAAATTGTAGGCCAAATAATGCCCCTCTACCTCCCCAAAAATGTATCTCTGGAACTTGCACATATGTCATGTTACATGGCCAAAAAGCCTTTGAAGATATGATTAAGGTTAAGGACTTTATGATGCGGAGATTAGCATTCATTAGCCAGATGGGCCCAAGCCAATCACACGGACTTTAAAAGCTGAGAAATTTCTTCACCTGGAGTATAAGATGTGTGGAGGGAGAAAGTAGCAGACAGATACATCAGAGGGGAAATCAAAGATTCCAAGGTGAGGAGGATTCTTTTTACCAGTTGCTGGCTCTAAGGTATGAGGCCTCTACGTGAAGAGGAGAGAAAGCCTTAGGAGCTATGGGCAGCCCCAGCTGACAGCCAGAAGGAAACAGGTATCATGGTCCTACAAACTTGAAGAACTGGATCTTGCTAACAATCAGAATACGCCAGAAAGTAGATTTTCCCCAAAACCTTTGGATACAAACCCAGCCCACTGAAATTTTTATTTTAGCCTTGTGGGACTCCAAACAGAGAAATCAGCAAAGAACACCAGGACTTTTAACTTATAAAACTGAGATAGTTTTTTAAGATTATTTTAAGATGTTAAATTGAAAACTAATATGCATTGAACAAGATACTGTGAATCAATACCTGAAGATTTTGCAGTATGATAACCCATCCTTCAGTACTATCTGAATGTCAAGTATCCTATATTTTAAGTCAGCACATGCCAAACATACATTTAAATGTCAAAAATATATGAATCTATTTTACCTTAAGTGAAAAAGATGGACAGAAATTTAGTGTGGTATATGTAGAAACAATTGGGAGCTATGAAAATATTTTTTAGTATGAGTTCATGAAACCTGACAGCCAAACCAAAAAACATGCCAACCTCATAATTCACAAGTACATTTTCAATATATTTAGTACTTCCTGAAAGCTTAAACTAATCTAAAAATATCTTTATATTTTGATGAACAGAATACAGGTTTTTTATTAAGAGCGCTTAGCACAAAATAATTGCATTACTAACTTCTTCTTCAGTATTGCCAAAATTATACCTTAAAATTAAACTTTGTGGTTATAGTGTTTTAAACTATGAATTAAGTTGCCAGGATAAAGAATATTCAACTATTGTGAGAGCTCCTTAGAAAAACAACGATTATTACTATCACCGTGGAGGAAATTAAGTCTTGGAATTTATCCTCCCTTGCTACACAAAAGACAGTTCAGAAAAGTATTAGGTAGAAAATAATGTTCAAAACTGCTGCTATCTGACATTATTTAGGATATAAAACAGAGAAAGCATTTTACTAAATTATTAGCCAGAGGATTTTTTTTCTAGTGAAAAATACTGTACTAGAATTAGTGTTTAGTTTAAGACATTCCCTTACATGCAAGATGTTAACATTTATACTGAAACAATTCTATTTACTATGTGATTGTTTTCTTTAAACACATTATATTTTGAATTATTATATGGTTTAGAAATTAATTGCCCTTGCTACGGTATTTATGTATCTCTTTATGATAATGTTAGACCTGATGTGATAAATTCTGTAATATGGTCCTGGGGAGATGAATTGAAATCTGATACACTATCCCTATGGGGAAGAAAAGGACTCTTTCCTAAATTAGATGGAAATTTTATTGTCAAATCACATAGATAAGAAATGATAAGTCCATGATTTCTATCTGAAACCTTCAAGAACAAATTATTTTTGCCATCAGAATTATTTTTGCTAGCACATTTTTTAAAAAGCAAAACATGTAGATTCTGTGCCTTTAAACACTCTGAGTAGAGCCTGGGCACCATCCCATTATCAAACGATATTTTCCTAGTGATATGTATGAGTATCCACACTAAGCGTGATAAATAAAGATCATAAATGTCCTCTATTCATTTGGCATCAGGTTTTGATGCCAACTGAGTTTGTACCAAACTTCTAGGAAAAAGAAAAAACACAACCTTCAGTTTTGAGAAATATTTAGTTGTCCTCTTCCTGGTTTAAGGGATTATTGATCTTATTCCTGGAAAGGCTGTTTCAGGAGTAGATGTCAACTCTTGTCTCTTTCTGAACTTCTTCTCTTGACTCTAACTTTCAGAGAAGACAGATTACTAGTTTACTTTCTGGTAGACTGGCACAGCACAAGGGACTGTAGGGTAGGGTCTGTGATGCCTGACACACAAATCAGGTCTAGAGTCCTATTACTCTCACATTTAATTCCGTTTTGTTAATTCGTAACCCTGTAGCAATTTAATGGTCTCACATAGTGATATAAAATATTAAAACCCACTAAGTATAGCATTTTACTATACATTAATGATTAATAACAAGATAAATTTCAGGACAAGATTTGAGACAACATGATGTTGTCTCAAATGTTGATTCTTCTTTCCTACTTGAAAAATTTTGTTAGATTACATTAAGGGCAGTGGTTTGTTTGCCACTACCATCACTTACCTTCGTAATATACCTTAAATCCATGAGCACTAACTGCAAAATCACTGGTCAAACGTAGTGAGAACACAGATTTGGTACTTGTCACTGGAGGTGGCAGATGGAATCCTGTTAACCTAAAACAAAATGGAATTAATTGTTAGAGACATAATCATTTTATCTAAGAGTTTTTAAGAAGGATTAAAGTCATATTTAAAAAAAATAATAAAACAGATTTTCTCCTATAATTTCCAGAAGGAATGCTATCCAGCCAACACCTTGATTTCAGCCCAGTTAAACTCATTTTGGACTTCAGCCCTCCAGACTGCAAGATAATACATTTGTGTTGTTTAAGCTACTAAGTTTGTGGCAATTTGTTGTAGCAGGAATGGACAACTGATATACAATTCTTTCCTGGGTTTTGGAATATACATTTTTAAAATATCTAGATAAATACTAATTTATTCTATAATTGAATATGGAAGTCCTGTGAAACCTAGTGACTAAGTTACCAAGACTGCTGTTGATATTATATAAAATGAGTACATTCAGAACCTATTAAGGCAATATTTATGTAATTATGACTAAAAATCTCTCTATGAAGAGCGATAACATAGTATGAGATATTATATATATAGTATAATATGAAATTACATCCTTACATTAGAAGATACAAGAGACCGAGAAGAATTAGGCAACTAGATCAAGTTCACAGAAGAGCCAGGTCTAAGACTACAACTGTATTATTGCCTCCTATTATCAATTAAACACCCTGTTTGGCATCTGATTGTCTTTGAGACATTAATAAAATAGAAACAATAAATATTTGAACTATTAATGTGTACATTAACATCCAAATCATTTTGTATACAATTTCAAATTGGTATTCACTCAGTTGTATTAAATAATATTTGAAGCAATATTTAGAACACTTTTATCATTAAGTTACTCAAAGTAATAGAGAAGAACATTGTGAAGAATTGTTCACTTTTAGCAAAAGCTGGGTTTCTGTATATATGTTTAAATAATCAGCATGTAGTGGCATGTTGTGTAATGGGAGATTTGTTTTGTTTTTTTAATTTTAATCAATGAGAGAACAAAATGTATTTTTTAAAAGTTATTTTCATATAATAGCTGTATCATTATGAGGATTTGAGGTAACTTGTTTTACTCCTTCTTGTAATACGTTGTATAATTGATTTAAAAATAAACTCAGTTATGAGTCTAATTAGTTTTTTCTTTATAAGACTTCATTTTGTAATTTCATATTTATGTGCATAGTTATTAAACATCTTTTTCTCCTTTGGATACTATGCTTCAAGATGTCAATGTTTTTTCTGCATCTGTTGAGATGATCACGTGAATTTTGTTTTTAATTCTATTTATGTGGTGTATCACATTTATTGACTTACGTATGTTAAACCATCCCTGAATCTCTGGTGTCAAACCCACTTGATCATGGTGGGTTATCTTTTTGGTATGTTTTTGGATTCGGTTAGCTAGTATTTTGTTAATGATTTTCGCACCCATGTTCATCAAGGATATCAGTCTGTAGTTTCCTTTTTTGGTTATGTCCTTTCCTGGTTTTGGTATTAGGATGATGCTGGCTTCATAGAATGAATTAGGGAGGGTTCCTTCTTTCTCTGTCTTGTGGAATAGTGTCAAAAGGATTAGTACCAATTCTTTGAATGTCTGGTAGAATTCTGCTGTGAATCTGTCTGGTCTTGGACTTTTTTTCGTTGCTAATTTTAAAATTACCATTTCAATCTTCCTACTTGTTATTGGTCTATTCAGGGTGTCTAATTCTTCCTGATTTGAGCTAGGACGGTTGTATTTTTCCAGGAATTTATCCGTCTCTTCTAGTTTTTCTAGTTTATGTGCGTAGAGGTGTTCACAGTAGCCTTGAACGATCTTTTGCATTTTGGTTGTGTCAGTTGTAATATCTCCTGTTTCATTTCTTAGTGAGGTTATTTGGATTTCTTCTCTTTTCTTGGTTAATCTTGTGAATGGTCTATCCATTTTATCTTTTTGAAGGACCAGCTTTTTGTTTCATTTATCTTTTGTAATTTTTTTTGTTTCAATTTCATTTGGTTCTGCTCTGATCTTGGTTATTTCCTTTCTTCTACCGGCTTTGGTTTGGTTTGTTCTTGTTTCTCTAGTTCCTTGAGGTGTGACCTTAGAATGTCAGTTTGTGCTATTTCAGTCTTTTTGATGTAGGCACTTATGGCTATGAACTTTCCTCTTAGCAATGCCTTTGCTGTATCACAGAGGTTTTGATACATCGTACCATTATTGTCATTCAGTTCGAAGAATTTGTAAATTTCCATCTTGATTGCGCTTTTGACCCAATGCTCATTCAGGAGCAGATTATTTAAATTCCATGTATTTGCATGGTATTGAGGGTTCCTTTTGGAGTTGATTTCCAGTTTCATTCCACTGTGGTCTAAGACAGTGCTTGATATAATTTTAATTTTTTCTTTATTTATTGAGGCTCGTTTTTGGCCTATCATGTAGTCTATCTACTGGTCTATCTTGTAGAAAGTTTCATGCATTGTTTAATAGAATGTGTATTCTATGGTTGTTGGATAAAATGTGCTGTATATCTATCTGTTAAGTCAGTTTGTTCCAAGGTAAAGTTTAAATCCATTGTTTCTTTGTTGAGTTTCTGTCTTGACCTGTCTAGTACTGTCGGTGGAGTGTTGAAGTCCCCCACTATTATTTTGTTGCTGTCTATATCATTTCTTAAGTCTATTGGTATCTGTTTTATAAATTTGGGACCTCCAGTGTTACGTGCATGTATGTTTAGGATTGTCATATTTTCCTGTTGGACAAGGCCTTTTACCATCATATAATGTTCCTCTTTGTCTCTTTTAACTGCTGTTGCTTTAAAGTTGGTTTTCTCTAAGAACACCTACCTCTGCTTGCTTTTGGTATCCATTTGTATGAAATGTCTTTTTCCACCCCTTTAGTTTATGTGAGTCCTTATGTGTTAGGTGAGTCTCCTGAAGGCAGCAGATAGTTGGTTGGTGAGTTCTTACTCATTCTGCAGTTATGTATCTTTTAAGTGGAGCATTTAGGCCATTTACATTCAATGTTAGTATTGAAATGTGAGGTACCCTTGCATACATCGTGCACTTTGTTGCCTGTGTACTTTGTTTTTTATTTGTTTTTGGTTTTTAACTTGCATTTTTGTTTTATAGGTCCTGTATGATTTATGCTTTAAAGAGGTTCTGTTTGATGTGTTTCCAGGATTTGTTTCAAGATTTACAGCTCCTTTTTAGCAGTTCTTGTAGTGGTGGCTTGATAATGTCAAATTCTCTCAGCATTTGTTTGTCTGAAAAAGACTGTATCTTTTCTTCATATATGATGCTTAGTTTCGCTGGAAACAAAATTCTTGGCTGATAATTGTTTTGTTTGAGGAGGCTGAAGATAGGCACCAATTCCTTCTAGCTTGTAGGGTTTCTGCTGAGAAATCTGCTGTTAATTTGATAGGTTCTCCTTTATATCTTAATGTAATAAAAGCCATCTATGACAAACCCATAGCCAACATAATACTGAATGGGGAAAAGTTGAAAGCATTCCCTCTGAGAACTGGAACAAGACAAGGATGCCCAATCTCACCACTCCTCTTCAACATAGTACTGGAAGTCCTAGCCAAAGCAATCAGACAAGAGAAAGAAACAAAGGACATTCAAATTAGTAAAGAGGAAGCCAAACTGTAACTGTTTGCTGATGATATGATCGTTTACCTTGAAAACCCTAAGGACTCCTCCAGAAAGCTCCTGGAACTGATAAAAGAATTCAGCAAAGTTTCCATATACAAGATCCAAGATTAATGTACACAAATCAGTAGCTCTTCTATACACCAACAGTGACCAAGTGGAGAATCAAATCAAGAACTCAAACCCTTTTATGATAGCTGCAAAAAAAAATTAAAATACTTAGGAATAAACCTAAGCTAGGAGTCAAAAGACCTCTACAAGGAAAACTATAAAACACTGCTGAAAGAAATCATAGATGACATGGACAAATGGAAACATACCATGCACATAGATGAGGAGAATCAATGTTTTGAAAATGACCATACTGCCAAAAGCAATCTACAAATTTAATGCAATCCCCATCAAAATACCAACATCACTCTTCACAGAATTAGAAAAAAACAATTCTAAAATTCATATGGAACCAAAAAAGAGCCTGCATAACCAAAGCAAGACTAAGCAAAAGGAACAAATCTGGAGGCATCACATTACCTGATTTCAAACTGCACTATAAGGCCGTAGTCACCAAAAGAGTGTGGTGCTAACATAAAAATGGGCACATAGACCAATGGAACAGAATAGAGAACCCAGAAATAAACCCAAATACTTACAGCCAACTGATCTTTGACAAAGCAAACAAAAACATAAAGTGGGGAAAGGACACCATTTTCAGCAAATGGTGCTGAGATAATTGGCTAGCCATATGTAGAAGAATGAAACTGGATCCTCATCTTTCACCTTATAAAAAATCAACTCAAGATGGATTAAGGACGTAAATCTAAGATCTGAAACTATAAAAATTCTAGAAGATAACATTCGAAAAACTCTTGCAGACATTGGCTTAGGCAAGGATTTCATGACCAAGAACCCAAAAGCAAATGCAATAAAAACAAATATAAATAGCTGGGACCTAAATAAACTACAGAGCTTTTGCACAGCAAAAGGAACATTCACCAGAGTAAGCAGACAACCCACAGAGTGTGAGAAAATCTTCACAATCTTTACATCTGACAAAGGACTAATATCCAGAATCTGTAACCAACTCAAATCAGTAAGAAAAAAAAGAAAAAATCCCATCAAAAAGTGGGCTAAGGGCATGAATAGACAATTCTCAAAAGAAGATATACAAATGGCAACAAACGTGAAAAAATACTCAACATCACTAATGATCAGGGAAATGCAAATCAAAACTACAATGCAATACCACCTTACTCCTGCAAGAATGGCCGTAATCAAAAAATCAAAAAACCTTAGATGCTTGTGTGGATGCAGTGATCAGAGAACACGTCTACACTACTGGTGGGAATGTAATCTATTATAACTACTATGAAAAACAGTGTGGAGATTCCTTAAAGAACTGAAAGTAGAACTGCCATTTGATCCACCAATACCACCACTGGGTACCTATCCAGAGGATATCAAGTCATTATTTGAAAAGATACTTGTACATGCATGTTTATAGCAGCACAATTCACAATTGTAAAATCATGGAATCAACCCACATGTCCATCAATCAACGAGTGGATAAAGAAACTGCGATATACACATATCATATATATGATGGAATACTACTCAGCCATAAAAAGGAATGAATTAACAGCATTTGCAGTGACCTGGATGAGACTGGAGACTATTATTCTAAGCAAAGTAAGTCAGGAATGGAAAACCAACATCATGTAGTCTCACTAATATGTGGGAACTAAGCTGTGGGGACCAAAAGGCTTAAGAATGACACAATGAACTTTGGGGACTTGGGGGAGAGGGAGGTGGGCACGGGATAAAAGAACACAGATATAGTACAGTATATACTGCTTAAGTGATGGGTGCACCAAAATCTCACAAATCACCACTAAAGAACTTACTCGTGTAACCAAATACCACCTGTACCCCAATACTTATGGAAAAAAAAAGATGTCAGTGTTTGGGACTCAGAGTCTAAAACCAGTGCTTCTGTCAATGTATGTCATGGAGGAGTCTCTCAGTAAGTACTTATTAATCTAATGAGTTGAAATGGTAGGAGAATATCGATGCCATCTTAACAATTTCTTATTCACACTAAGAATTGTGTTCTTGAAACATCATAAGAATATAAATTTATTGTTATTAAGTTATTAAGAAAATTTCTATAGCTTAAGTAGAGACTCTTGTTCAGAGAAAGTAAGTTTTCCCCATGTTAACCTCAAAAGTTTAAGATAAATATCTCATGCACACTTTTTTGACATATCTTTCTAGGAACAACAATATAGTTCGAAAACTTATTTTAAGGTAAAGCTAATATGATTTGTATCTTTAAAATGTGAGCTATAAATTTATGGTATTTAAATATATTGTTTTCACTTGGACTTAACATGTTTTCTAGGTAATTTAAAAGCATACTATTTTATAGATAAGTATGCTATTTTTCCATGTAATTATTTGTACTGGTTTTGATATTTGTAAAATTTAGTTTTTTGCATATATTGCTCGTTACTACATTATCAGTTATATTCCCTCCGCGTTGATGCACGATGAAATTGCATAGTGAATGACATTTTATGTTTCTTTGAAAATTGTACCACAGTCCAGCGGTATTTTCTTTGACTCACAGTTGAAGAAATCACAGCTCAGGAATGATAAGTAAATTGTTTAAATTCATGCAGGTGGTAGGCAGGTAGTGGAGCAAAGATAAAAACAGTAACTTCAGACTTCAATCCACTAGGACTTTCCCATAAGAGAAATGATTTTTTTCTATGAAGCCAGAATAAAATTTTAATCAGTTTTGGTTTTTGCACAATGCCCATGTAGGTTTCTTAACAAGTATTTTGAATGAATAGAACATATTTCACCCACATCACAACTTTAAGTAGTTGTGGGTGGTAAGAATTATTATGAAGTCATTGAATTAAAGGTGAGTAAGGCAATGGGGAGCCATTGTCTGACTAGTTGGTGACAGCTTTTTTTTTTTTTTTTTTGACAGAGTCTAGCTCTGTTGCCCAGGCTGGAGTGCAGTGGCACGATCTCGGCTCACTGCAAGCTCCACCTCCCGGGTTCACCCCATTCTCCTGCCTTCAGCCTCCTGAGTAGCTGGGACTACAGGCGCCCGCCACCACGCCCAGCTAAGTTTTTGTTTTTTAGTAGAGACGGGGTTTCACCGTGTTAGCCAGGATGGTCTCGATCTCCTGACCTCGTGATCCGCCTGCCTCGGCCTCCCAAAGTGCTGGGATTACAGGCGTGAGCCACCCCGCCCCGCCAGTTGGTGACACCTTTATAGCGAAAACTGCACTGGTTAGCAAAGATATTTCCCGACTGGGAAAACTAAGTAAGATTAGTAAACATTTAAATATATGAGACGAACATCCTGGAATCATGCAATATAAATTTCAGGCAGATATTTTTAATATGTCAAAAATTAAGGCTGACCAATAAAGTATTAAACTGTATTCATTCTGATTATTAGTGAATATTTTGTCACATCTTGACAATAACTATGTTCTCTCACCCTAAATTTGTCTTTCAAAAATGCATGTAAACTCATACTAATGAATAATCATTTCATTTTGATACATTTAGTTTCATGAAAATTCTACAGCTTTTCCTCTATTTATTTTTTTACATTTCAACTGTTATTTGGTGAATATTTTGTCATGGACCAGGACTTGTCTATGGCAATTTTTTCAGTACATTTTCTCATCTGACAGAATGGTGCAATGTATTAGCTGGTATTTTTTTTTTCATTTTAAATTTTATGGTTTCTAATTGATAATCTCTATTCTTATTTGTCCCTACTCCCACATACACCTCCAACCCCATCTTAGCATTTTATGTTTTACTAGACAAGAAACTCATCAGAGGCTTTTGTTCCCTGTTTGAAAAATCATGCACTTAGAACATGTGATCCTGTCTCTTCTCATGTTCCCTTTTGGATGAAAACATTCTTGAAATATTTCCTCTGTAAAAACTTAGAAATGATAACGATATTTTATACTGAAATGAATAACTAGTCACAAGGAGAATTAAACAATTAACTTACAACTTTCTATCAATAACTAATATGAAAAGTACTAAAGTAATTATTTGGTAATTAATGAAAAAGTGATAGAAATTTACATTGCAAGAAATCCATTTAAAATGTCAATGAATATGTTTTTTAAATAATAAATTGTACGTTTAGAATATTTTGTAATTAATGAGAATTAACATACTGTATTTCAACTTAATGTGATGGGAATTCTTAAAGCATCAGACTTGTTAAAGCATATAAGAATCAGCATCATTCTTATAGATAAGAATGATACCTGTCTCACTATCTAACTATGTTTATTAGGTTTTAACTGTAAGATTTTATTTTTTCTGGGAGAGTTGAGAAGAACGACCACACATATACATTCTCTAAGAATGTAAAAAAAAAAGACTCTATTTATTTAAATGTAATGTGTATAACAGCTGATTACAATATTAAAATGTTATTTAAAGAATGGATGTAACAGGCATCGTTTTAAATTAAGAGGTTATTAGCATATTGCTGCTTATAATAAGATAGAAGCAAAATAGACATGGATGTAAGAGGTAAGAGAGAAAGGGAGAGAAAGGGAAGCAGGAGGAAAGGAGAGAGGACGAGGAGTAAAGAATGACTGATGAAGAAAGAAATAGGAAGAGGAGAGAGAGAGAGAGATTTATTTAAAAATAAAAGTGGTACTATTACAAACTCTCAGGATTTTGTGAATGTTAAGTAAGGTAATTCATGTGAAATGATCTAGTGTACTTTTTGGATAACAAATTGTCATTAAATATTAGTTTCTTTAGTGATGTGACTCAAACTCCATTGCCCTTTTTGCTGCACCCTGTACTGCTAATGCTAAGATATATTATATAATACGACCAGCATAAGCACAGTGATTTCACATTACTCACAGTAAGACTTTTGGATATGAATTATCTTATAATTTTTCTTTGGTTCAACAGTCCTTAAAAATGATCCAAGGATATACAGAGAATTCTCTGCTGAAACAAACTATTAGCCTATTTAATGTCACAATAAACAAGAAAACCACAGGAACAAGC
This sequence comes from Homo sapiens, assembly GCF_000001405.40. Taxonomy (NCBI): domain Eukaryota; kingdom Metazoa; phylum Chordata; class Mammalia; order Primates; family Hominidae; genus Homo; species Homo sapiens. The sequence goes on from NC_000008.11 coordinate 113,287,369, forward strand.
TGATATTTAAAGTAATGGCTGTTCTGTTAAAATAAATCATGCATATCCTATTGATATTGGAGTACATGAAGCACAGCACAATAATTCATGGTTATGTCAAGATGTCACTGGCAGTAATATTAAAGAAAAATATGGCTGTGGCAACATTTGAATAATTGTATCATTTGTTGAGAGCAAATGACCTGAAGCTTCTATCAAATATAAAATTCCAGAAAGAAACGTGTGAGAAAGGCAAATTCACCATGTTGGGAACATGTGCTGGGTATACATGTAAATATTTGTCAGTGAAGCACTTCCATAAGATTTGGAATGTGAATAAAAGTTGATGTCATGGCAGGTAGGTACGGGGACTTCAGAAAGTTTTAGAGGTGAGGTTTATGCATTGACTTAACAGAATTCTTATTAAAAACAAGCATTTGATTTTGCAAACAACTGAGCTTATCACTGGTATTTTCCTGCAATTCTGCAAATTCTTGATTACCTGAAAGTTAGTGAAGGCTATCTTTGACCATCAAAAGCCAGCCTTAAACCTAGAATTCTTATTATTAAAAGAATTCCTGCTTGAAATATTTCATTTTTTTGGTCTGAGCACTGAGAAATGCAAAAAGACTACCAGCCTATTAATGAAATTTTCCTCTCCAAATAATTTCAAAGTAGGTTATTTTCTAGTAAATTATTTTCACTCTTTTTGTTACAAAAGTGTTCCTTTGATTTCTAGCACAAGTTACAGTAATATGCAAATAATTCTTAGATAAGATGATATTGACAGTATATTCTTAACTATTTGTGTAAAACTATGCATAATTTTCATTATTTTAACTTTTGGCATTTTTTCCTCTATATAAATAAAAATGATGGCTGATATTTAAAGTAGAAAAATATAAACCACAATCTTCTAGAGAAAACTTTTTCTTCCTGCAAAAATGGATATTGATAAAAATGTAGATATTCTCAGCTCACTATATTTAAAGATACCATGTTTCCAGAAAATTTGTTTTTACCATTGACTTTAGAGTTTGATCTTCAGGATCAACATTTTCTCCAGACCCATGAAATACACTACTAAAAATTTTCTTCAAAAGTCAACCTTTCCAATTTGTTCTCTTTATGCTACAAATACTTCAAACCTTCTATAATGTCCCCCTTCTTATTTTTTCCATTGAATAACTGACGTTTAAGGTTATACATGACTGTAATTCCAAAGGCCATCTTGAATCATTGAGAAAACTAGAAATACAGGAAAATTATGTAGAGCAATTAATCAATTTAAATATATTTTACAGTTTCCCCACCTTGTATAAACTCCTGAAAATGTTAATTAGCATATTTTTCTAAGGTTTCTAAGAAGCAGTTGACTCTAGTGACTATAAGCTTGTATTTTAGAGTATACAATTGAAAAAAAAATTCATTCTGCTGCTTATTAGCAGTGTAATATTGGGCAAGCTACTTTATTCCAAAAAACTAGGGATAAGATGAGGTAAATACTAGGAATTATCCCATAGTTATGTTGGGAGATTTAATTGGGATAATGCTTGTAAAAGCTTACCACAGTTGCTGACATATGCTGAATATGATTTTTACCATAATTATTTTGATGATGAACCCACCCAAGGTTCATCTAATTATAAAAAAACTCATTCAGTGATAACTCTGGAGCTGGACTACCTGGAGTAAATCTCAGTGATTCCATTTACTGTTGTGTGACATTGGGCAGGTTACTTGCCTCTCCTGATTCCTCAGTGGCAAAATGTAGATGAAATGGTACCTTCCCTTTAAGTCCCTGTCAAGTTTAAATAAGTTAATACAAGCACATCACTTAGAACAATGCCAAGCATTTAGCAAACTAGCTACTCTTGAGAAAGATGACAGATCTGAGAATTAGAGAATTCTTTCACACACCACTCAGAGTTTTCTTCTTGACGCACTACATTATTGATAGCTATAACAAACTTGGAGTATTTGGGATAAATGTAGTATTTCTTCAAGTACATGCTATTGTGTTCTACTAGGTTGTTTATTTTTTCTGCTAAGTTTATCATTGCTATGACTTTTGATCTTTTTGGATGTAGAATTAGTAAAGACTCATCACAAGTTATTTATTTAAGGTCAATTTAAAAAAATTATGACCGAGAGAGAGGTGAGAGCATTGATGAAGATTCTCAATTAGAAGACAGACAGAGAGAGACAGAGAGAGAGAGAGAGAGAGAGAGAGAGAGAGAGAAATACATCTGTGTCTTTAGTAACTTACAATTACTGAGATTGAGTCAACTGACTTCCTCCCATAAACCCTGCCACCTTTTTTTGGTGCATTTCAAAGATATCTATCAGAAAGTATTGCACACACTTTATCATGTTAATTTTACTGTATTTCTTTACAAGTACTCTATATTCATTAAGGAAAAACTGAAACAAAACAAAAAACACGATTCTACAAATGCATGCTTTGCATTTCCCATATTGACAATTTTTTGTTTGGTCCACTTATCCAGTCCACAACAATAAGAATTTAACTCAAAATTTATGGCTCCTTCTATTTCCCAGAAAGGTAATATTAATTAGCACCCACTCTCGGTTTTAGCAAAACATGAAATTTACACAACTTTTATTATTTTTTATGCATTTAAAATGTATATATTATAATGTGGTATTTTCTTTGTCAATTTCCTCCAGTAATTAGAGGGTTTGCACATACAATCTATGCCAACAAATAATAAATAATCTTTGTGATATGTTCCATGGTAAGGATGAATCATAATTTCTTTAATCTGAAATAATTATAGAATGTTTCTGAGGATCTATTCCATTACCAGTTTTGTTGACTTAAATATTTTTAAAAAATATATTAAGAAGAGATACATTTTACATAAAATACAAAGAGCACTGCAATTGGAGATTTTGAATAAAGCCTTATGATAGTGATGATTAAAGATGTTTTGATAAAGAAACTACTATAGTTTCATCTAGACATTGTAAAATTTAGGAGTGTGGAGAACCTTTTCAGAAAAGTTTTGATTCTGTTTTTAAGTCAATATTTTATTTACAAAGCTATTAGAGACAAGTTACTGAGAATATAACAATTACTCTTACAAGATACATATAGCCATTAATTGTTTCCATTGTGCCCAATAACACTTTCTTATAAAATTATCACCACTGCCCTCTGAGATGATTATTTATTTGTGTGTATGCATGCATATATCCCAATACAACTGGTAAATAACATAACACCTCAAAATATTATTTCTAATCATTTTAGGTTAAATAAAAGTATAATCTGTCTTCATTGGAATACATCATAAAGAAAACATTAACATGAGAATGCAGTGACATGGAACGTACATGTGGTCATTTACCTAATTAATGAATTTAGACATGATTTATGGACTAATTTAGTGTTTTCAAATGATCATTATTTTCTTGTCACATGAAAAGCCATTCAGTCAATTATTATACTATTTTAAAATAATAATCATAGGCCATATTCTAACATTTAAATTGGAAAAATGGTTAAAATTAAATAATAAATTACTTGTACTGTTATAAGCTCTTTTACTCTATATGAAGTATTTTTTTAAATTACCCATTTATATAATAAATATAAAATGATAAAATTTTCTACTTCACAATATTGAAAATAATTAAGGTTAATAAATACTAGTAAACATAATTACATAATAATGTCTTCATATATTTGAATGTTCTATTTTTCAACATTCTAGGGATACTTATGTGAGATTTACTAATATGAGAAATGCCAATTTAATTATATTTTAGTAAACTCTAATAACTATATATTTTAGTTGTTGAAAACCATGGAAATATGACTTGAAGTTGCAATAAATGTTTTGCTGTCTATTATGTATCTGTTTTAAACATAAAAGTCTGCTATAATACATGTGACTTTCCCCATTATCTGTCAGCTAATATTATGGCATTAAAACAGAGTGATTAGATTAAAGTAACTCATCATAATATTTCAATCATTTAACATTTTCATGATAACTACGATAGGACTTCATTGGGGGAATTAAAATTTTCTTTTTAACACTGCATTTAAGGACAGTTATTGGAAAATTGCATGTTTCTTTGAAAAGCTAATAAAGTTTCTATGTAAGAAGGAAAGCTAAGGTATTATGGATTCTAGATGGAAGAAATAAAAAATACTGACTACTTTCGATAAGGCTAGTAGATAGACTTTTTAATTTGGGATTCCTTTGAGAGCATCTCGTTTTCAGTTACACTATGGAAATAGACAAGAAACCACCATTGTCCTGGAAACCCAAGATGTTTGTTCCCCTACGAGTAGCCACCAGTGTATCAGATACTGAAAGGTTTAATAGAGAAATATGTTATTGACTGTACACAAAGTTATATGAAATCATCAATAAAGTCAGAGAGAGGGAATAAATTTTGTTTGAACTAGGTGTGTATTCTACACAAAAAAACTAAAGGAAGTAAAATAAATATCAATAGACAAATGTCAATGAGTATTTTATAGTGAAAATAACAATAAAAGTAACTTCCTTGATAGATTTTCATTTTTCAAGGTTCTACTTCTACTTACTTCTAAGTAGAAGTTCTACTTACACATCACAGACAAGATTAGAATAATTGCATAATGTTTTTAAGCCAATATCCACTAGGTTTAGGAATTAGCATTTTACCATATTTTATAACTGTTAATGTGTCCCAGGTATTCAATTAATAATGCCTAGTTTAAAAGAATGTTTACAGTTTACTTTGTAATTATTATTTCTTTCTTTAGGGGACCCATATAACTCTGAAATTTGGGTACAATTTTGATGGAATAGAAGAATGATAGAAATAGTTTATTCTTACATGGTGTGTAGTTAGATGACAAGAATGTAAAATAAAAAATTTATAAGTTATTGAATTTCTGAAAGAGAGAATATTGGCAAGCATAATATTAAACAGTCATGTTCGTAAGTGCATAAACTAATTTATATTCAAAATATTCCAATCCTATTTTGTAAATGATAAAAATTTAAGAAAATTCAATAATATATTTTTTATCATTAGATCAACAAAAATATACATAAAACAAAAGCATATTCTTAAACTATGTACTGATGTGCATATTTGGAAACTAAATATTATGAAGAGAAAATTGTTTGTAAATGTAAATTGGACAATTATATGCAGAAGCATTATCAATTATTTTTATTAGTCTTTGGGAACAAAAAATAATAGACAATTTACACACAAAAGTATCACTGATTTTTTGGAGAATTTGAAATATGCTTGTGAATGAGACAAAAATGTAATTTTTGAGGTAACATATGAGATGGCATGCTGTTAAACATAGTAGTTATATTAACAGTTGCCAGACAATTTTAGCAAGTTACATTGGAGGTAATATTATTAGGTTGATGCAAAAGTAATTGAGGATTTGCCATTATTTTTTAAAGGTGAAAACCTCAATTACTTTTGCACCAACCTAATAAAAAATGAACTAATATGTTAAAAATATGAAAACAGAGAAGGAAAAGAAGGTGGAGTGATGGGAAAGTAGGGAGAAGAAAGATGAAAAAAAATTTTGCTAAATTTTTGTAACCTATCAACCAACCAAACAAACTGTTCCAGCAGGCATTTTGTTTTAGAGTCCCATTTTAAATTCCTTCTAAACACATTATCTTTGTGATGTTCCAATGTTAAATCATTGCAACCATGACACACCTTCACTCTAGCTATGTTATATGCACATGGGTAGAGACAAAATTTTACTATTTATACTATGTAATATAGTTCTGAACATTATAACATCTATACTCTCATAGGTGAAACATTTTTATCTTCAGATAACCTCTTACCTGACCTTTAAGTATACATATATATTTATATATATACATATATATATATGATTCCTATTTTACGTGCCCACTTGGATATCTAATCCACATCTCAGACATATGTCCAAAACCTGAATTTGGAGATTAGAAACTGAGAAGTGGAGAGAAGCTATTATTTCTCCTTTCTCTCTTCCTTTCTCTTCATTTGCTTCTGGTAGCAACTGTGGAAGTGACTGTATTGCTTTGAGGATCCCTGCTTTGGTGGCAGCAGCCCTCTCTTTGTGGTTCAGCAGTGACCATATGATTCCCCATCTATAGGGTGAGCATCTGCTGATGGTCCTCCCCCATTCCCATATCCACTATGTGCCACAGTAGTGCATGGTACATGGCACACACAGAAATCAGTTTGTTTTGTATTCTGGAAAGCCCAATCCCTCGGTCTCACTCTCTAGCCATATTTTCTTTCTTTGCTAAATAACTCCTGAATCACTTCTTTTCCTTTACCCGCTTTCATCTCTTCACTTCTTTTATAACAAGTTCCCTTTATTAAATTCTTTCTATTTGTTTTCCTAGTCATAGTTTGAAACAGAAATTAAAGAAGGTGGCTATTTATGGGTAGAAAATAATTTTCTCATTTTTCTCACCAAAGATGTAGGAAGAAAAATACATATAAGAAATAAAATTAATAGATAAATACTTTACATTTAGTTACAGTTAACTGAGTACTACCTTACTGATGATAAAATCAGATCACGGTTTAAGTGTTATTTTTCTTGAGTAAAAAATATATTTCCACAAATGATATTCTATCTCCATTGAAACCGGATTTATATCTAGGTAGTCTTAAATGAATTCTAAATACTGTTTTACATCAGAACTCACTGTACTCTCTGAGCCATTAGATATGTCTTCTTGTTACCATGTATTACATTAAGAATTACATTGCCAAATATATATGATTCACTTAATTTAATTTTAGCTAATTAGGAACATGAAACTATCTTGAAAAGGAAATTCAAGGATGCTTTTAAAATTAAATTATTTATGTTAATGTAATAATAGTTTGTCTGTTTTTATGTTAAATCAGCATAATTATTTTAACTAATGAAATAATGTTAAATGCTACCAGTTATTAAGTTTCTACTATGAATCAAACATTCAACATACATTATCTCATTATCTCCCATAACATATATGTCTATACATGACTTTATTTATATTATTCCATTTTGAAAATGAAGAAAACAAAGGCCTATGAGAATATAAATTTCTCGTTAAAGGCCACATTGTCAGCAAACGGAAAAGTCAGAAATTAGGCCACTTTCTTTTTGCTGTTCTGCGAGGACTCTCAATTAGTTTTGCTAAATTTTTAATGAGTGTATCCAAATTATTCTGATGTAAGAAGTTAACGTGAATGCTTAAAATTAATCTATGGATCTGATAATTAGAAAATCACCTTGTTCTGAGTAGCTTCAGTGAGGTGACAAATCTAACTTATTGCTTATTAATAGAAATAGGAAAAGAGGAACTATAGTAGCCCATATTGACTATCATTTTAAGCTATTTGACTGTGAAAAAAAATAAGTTACAGCGTGACTGACATTCACCTTAATAAAGGACAATCCTAATTACAGACTTGCGGAAGGAGAAAATGAGGAACAGAATCATAACATCATAAATAGTAATGCGGAGTCATAGAAGCCAAGATTTCAAGAGTATCCTCACTAATGATTATGTAAAACATCATGTGGGTGTCATGTACTGAGTTAATGTTTTACACATTTAATCCACAAAACACTGTAAAAATAGCCATGTTTTATATCCTTATTTTCCATAAAGTTTATTTTTATTTTCATTTTATTTTTAATGGGTACATAGCAGGTGCATATATTTATGGGGTACATGATGTATTTTGAAACAGGCATATAATAAGCCATAATCACATCATGGTAAATGGGACATTCATCACCCCAAGCATTTATCATTTCTTTCTGTTATAAACGTCCCAATTATACTCTTATAGTTATTTTTAAATGCACAATAAATTATTGTTGACTGTAATCACCCTGTCATGTAGAAAGGTTAAGTGGTTTGCTCAATCCTGTTTGTTTAGTGGAAGAACTATAATTCAAAAGAGGTTTTTTTTCTGACTCCAAAATTCATGTTCTTTCTACTAATTTAACACTATTGCCACCACAATTTACATATAATATGAAGGTGAAGAAAAGACAGACATTTAGAATTAAGTATTAGAAGAACAAAATGTTTTCCCATCAAAGAACATTAACATAAAAAATAATACTGTTTTAAAATATTAGCTATCTAAAGGTAGAGCAGAAAGAATGATATAAAATAAAGTTAAAAATTTAGCAATAGGCCGATTTAGTGGATTGGAAAATATGTGAGTTTAAAATAGAATAGTAGAAAACTAGGGCCAGCATGTTAGCTCACGCCTCTAATCCTCGCACTTTGCAAGGCCCAGGTGGGCGAATTGCCTAAGCTTAGGAGTTCAAGACCAGCCTGAGTTCTAGTGTGATTGCATTTTGGTCTCAGATTGTGGCAATTCCTCAGATATCTAGAACTAGAAATACCATTTGACCCAGCCATCCCATTACTGGGTATATACCCAAAGGATTATAAATCATGCTGCTATAAAGACACATGCACATGTATGTTTATTGCGGCACTATTCACAATAGCAAAGACCTGGAACCTACCCAAATGTCCAACAATCATAGACTGGATTAAGAAAATGTGGCACATATACACCATGGAATATTATGCAGCCATAAAAAAGGATAAGTTCACGTCCTTTGTAGGGACATGGATGAAGGTGGAAACCATCATTCTCAGCAAACTATCGCAAGGACAAAAAACCAAACATTGCATGTTCTCACTCATAGGTGGGAAGTGAACAATGAGAACACATGGACACAGGAAGGGGGACATCACACACTGGGGCCTGTTGTGGGGTTGGGGGAGAGGGGAGGGATAACATTAGGAGATATACCTAATGTAAATGACGAGTTAATGGGTGCAGCACACCAACATGGCACATGTATACATATGTAACAAACCTGCATATTGTGCACATGTACCCTAGAACTTAAAGTATAATAATAATAATAATAATAATAATAGAACAGCCTGGGCAACATGGTGAAACCACATCTCTACTAAAATACAAAAAATTAACTGGTTGAGGTGGCACATGCCTGTAGTCCCAGCTACTCAGGAAGCTAACACACCAGGAGAGAATTGCTTGAACCCAGGAGGCAGAGGTTGCAGTGAGTCAAGACTGTGCCACTGCACACCAGTCCAGGCAACACAGCGAGACTCTGTCTCAAAAAAAACCCAACCAAACAAACAAACAAAACAGAAAGAGAGCTTCTGAAACATCCAAATAAAATATTTGTTGAAAGTAAATGTGTGACCAGATTCTAGAAGGGATTTTCATGAGAAGAACAATAGAATTGACCCTAACAGGGCAATTAGTGTCCCATGAATGTTATGTTATCAGATATAGAGAATACCAAAAAGTTGGCAGAGAGAAACTGTCTTTCCTCCTTCTGTTTCTTGGTTAGAAAACACACGATCTCTACACGTCAGAAAACCAGCCAACATTGTCTCTAATTCGTAGTTCCAAATAGTTGCCCCATCACGAAAACCATTTTTCTGCATTCTATCAAATATAAACTTCCAGAAAACAACTAGATAAAAAATTTAGTGGCTTCAAGTTGCATCCTTGTAAACACAAGCGAAAAAATAAAGCATTTATAGAAGGTGGTAATGGGCAGATACAGGGTCATGCTACTTTCTCATAAAGTTAAACACAACATTATTTATGTTTGTCCTTTCTTGTATGCTGTAAGAAAAGTATATCAATGCTTGATCAGAAAAAGCAAAACATTTTGTTAAAATATTGTGTTATTTGTATATATTGAATTAAATTGTTTTATTAAGTTAATATATTAAACTAAAGAAAAGAATTTCCACGTAGCTATTATGAAATTAGGTGCTAGAAATATAGATAAGATACTCTATTAGGTCTCAATACCTATCATAAAACTATAGTGTTTAAGTCAGTACAGTATTTGTTAAAGGGTAAACATACTAGAATCTGGTCGCACATTAACTGTCAATACATACTGTCAGTATTATGAATGAAAATATTTTACTTGGAATTTGATGGAAACTTTGGAATTTCATGTTAGAAATTGTTCATAGAAAACATCAAAGTTAACCACGAGAACTGAAATATGAAAAATTTACCTAACAATTTGATGCAGTAGTAAATCAGATGGGAACAATAAATTACTCCAATTAATCATACCAAGAAAACATTTAGTTTAATCTGGACTAATTAGTAATCTAAAAATGCTATTTTATTTAAACTAGTAGTCATTTCTGATCCACTCATTAGGCAAATATTACAGAATATTTATATCATAATAGTATTATGTTAAGTATCAGACATACAAAGACAAATATAGCTGCTCCTAACCAAAAAGATTCATAGTCTATTCAGCCTATTCAACACCAAGAGCTGGTCATATTAATTAGTTATATATTTACTTTTTGTATATTTTTTGATAAAGAAACACATTTTAATTTCAAACAACTATAGACGTTTTACCATGATGGAAATTCAAAGTCATTGTTTTATGTAACATGCACCTGACTGACACATTTAGTTATTCCGAAATCTTGTAGAAAAATATCAAATTTCTGCTTTTATTAAAACACAAATTTAGATGTGATTAAGCAGAAGAGACAATATGTAGCAAATTAAAATTTGTTGATACACAGTAAAGCTGGATATATTTAATCAACAGGCTTTGATACAACACACAGTAAGTACAATATTAGCTGTGTGAACTTGCACAATGTCAAATAATAGAGAATAGTAAGAGCAATTAGAAGGTATAAAAATAAGGTTAATACTATAATTAAAATTTAATTTTTAAATTGGATGTGGAAGATATGATAGGAATATAGTTAGGTTGGTGTTGAAAAATAAAAATGAAGATTTTATGTGAAAAATTTTCCCCCATGATTTTTATTTATTCTGGATATTAATCCTGCTAGGTTTCTCTCAAAACATATTTTGAAAATACTTACGTATTTTAACCTAAATAAGGTTTTTTTTCTAAAATAACAAGACATTGATATGATAATAGTGGGATTCATTTTATAACATTAGCACTTCAACTGTAAATTGATATAATCATTTTCAACATTTTATTTTCATTATTGACCTCAAAATTAAGAAGCAAATTAATTTGTTAAATCTGTTTCATAATAAAATATTCCTTTTAAACTTAAAATCAGCAAGTATTTTATTGAGCATCAATTATGAATTAATCAAGAGGATAGTAGGTACTCATCATTTAATGTAATATCTTGCTTATTTTAATATTCTCTTATCATCCAAAGACAAGAGAAGAAAACCTCAAAATAACAGAGGAAGGTTTGTTTGTAGTAGCTTCTTTTTGGAAGGTGGGAAGCTGATGGAGGAGAGCTTGGAGAGACTAGTTACATGTTTGGTAAAATCCGAAGGACATAGCAGAGATGAAAAACTCACAAAGCAGAGTTCAAGGTCTGGCTAGAGATGAGGGTCACAGAAAGGATAGCAAACAGTAGAGACTGAGGAACAGGAAGGTAAGAAGGAGCGAGATCCCTAGAGCAGCGATCTGCACACAATGCCTATATCAAAACATTGTGTCCATGGATTGTTCATATTTGTTGAAGGAAGATAGGAGTAAAAAATATTTCACTGAATATTTTCTTATTGAATACATATTAATTTTTATACTGTAGTCTAACAGAGACAGAAAAATGTATTTCTTCTGGTAAAGAACTCACATGTCCCTCTGGCTCACAAGTGCATTGAGCCAATCAGTGCTGCTATAAATATTAGCCAAAAGCGTGCTCAACAATACTTTTTAGAAAGATTTGTCTGTATGATAAAGGATAAATACATAATAACCAATTTGGTTTCAACTGACTATCTCAGAGATTACTCATGGGTTTGTTCTGCATTCTTAGTAATATCTTATTTTTAATGTAGAATATTTAATAATTTGTAAATAAGATAGTGTTAATTCTAGAATTATTTTCCTTTCCTTTTTTTGCTGCTCATGCTTATTTGAAAAATATGTGTAGAATAGCTATTTGTGTTATATTGCTATAATAAAAGCATAAAATATGTTGCCCTGCCTAAGTAGTCAATGGGGGTTGAGGAAACAGATTCCATGGTCTAGAAATCAGATTGAATTCAGTTAGTAACACAATATATTTTTTGTTTGCAATAACTTTGAAGGCATATCAAAAGCATATTGAGCCTTTAATTGGAGAGAAAGTGGCTAGAAAAACCAGAATGTTAGTGGATGTGGTAAATAATAAGTACAAGCAGCCAACAAACACATGAAAAAATGCTTAACATCACCAGTCATCAGAGAAATGCAAATTAAAACCGCAATGAGATAACATCTTACACCAGTCAGAATTGCCATTTTTAAAAAGTCAAAAAACAGCTGGGCACAGTGGCTCATGCCTGTAATCCTAGAACTTTGTGAAGCTGAGGTGGATGGATCACTTGAGGCCAGGAGTTCAAGACCAGCTTGGCCAACCTGGTGAAACCCCTCTCTACTAAAAATACAAAAATTAGCTAGGTGTGTGGCACATGCCTGTATTCCCAGCTATTCGGGAGGCTGAGGCAGGAGAATCGCTTGAACCCAGAGGCAGAGGTTGCAGTGAGCCGACATCACGCCACTGCACTCCAGTCTGGGTGACAGAGCAAGCCTCCATCTCAAAAAAAAAAAAATTAGCAAAGCATGGTGGTGCATGTCTGCAGTCCCAGCTACTTGGGAGGCTGAGGCAGGAGAACTGTTTGAACCCAGGAGGCGGAGGCTGCAGTAAGCCAATGTGGCACCACTGCACTCCAGCCTGGGTGACAGAGTGAGACTCTGTCTCAAAAAAGTCAAAAAAAAAAAAAAAACAACAGATGTTGGTGTGAATGCGAAGAAAAGGGAACACATATATTTTTCATGAGAATGTAAATTAGTTCAACCTCTATGGAAAACCACGTGGAGATTTCTCAATGAACTAAATGTAGAACTACCATTCAACTCAGTAATTCCACAACTGCATATCCACTCAAAGGAAAATTCTATAAAAAATCATTCTATAAAAATGATACCTGCACATGTATGTTCACTGCAGTACTATTCCCAATAGCAAAGTCATGGAACCAACCTAAGCATGCATCAACAGTTATGTGGTTAAAGGAATTGTGATACATATCCACCCTGAAGTACTGTGCAGCCATAAGAAAGAATGAAATCATGTTCTTTGCAGCCACCTGGATACAGTTGGAGGCCATTATCCTAAGCAAATTAATGCAAGAACAGAAAACCAAATACCACATATTCTCACTTGTAAGGAAGAGTTAAACACTGAAGATGCACAGACATACAGATGGGAACAATAGATACTGGGAACTACTAGATAGGGGAAGGAGGGTGGGAATATAGGCTGAAAAACTACCTATAAGTACTATACTCAACACCTTGGTGATGGGATTATATGTATCCCAAAGCTCAGCAGCAAGCAATATACCCATGTAATGACCCTGCACATATATCCTCTGAATTCAAAAATTTAAAAAGGGCACGATATTTATTATACAAGTGTGACAAATGCATACAATTGAGTTAAAATGAGTGAAAATGAACTACAGCAATATGCCACAGCATGGATAACTCTTAGAAACATAAGGTTGAGCCAAAAAAAGCATGTCCCAGAAAACTAAATGGGATGATATATATTTTATAAATCTTACAAATTAACATAATTAAACGTGATGTTGCTTAGGGATGTTCATGTATGATTCATACATGTTCATGTATGATTAAAGTATAATTTCGAAAAAAGTTAAAAATGACCACAACATGGAGGTGCTTGTTACTGGTAGGGTGAAGTCAGAGCAAGGAGAGGATGGGATACAAATGAAACAAAATGTGAGCAGCATCCTTGTTTAGTGGTAGGCTTATTGGTGCTGATTTTAATAAAGCACTTCACAATGTGTATGTTACAGACTTATATATTATTATGAATAAATTGTATTCTTAAAATATAGTAATAGAGAATATAGAAAATTTATATGGCAAGATAAATGGATGCAATAAAGAGTTAACGCTAGTATTCTAATAAATATATTATGGCAATGAACTGTTTTATATATTTTCATTTTTTTAAATAATCACATCTCACTCAGATATAATTTGACTGTTATAGTTAGAAAACATAACCTTAAAATGAATGAAATGAGGTTGCTGATTAGTTTATGTTTTTTTTTAATTACCACAAAAATGTAGGCAGTGGCTGTGGCAAGGGTCTATATTCTATACATTTTAGTTCTTCTATCTGTCCTGCTATATATATGTGACACTTGTGATTTTTTTCTCTAAAAATATCATTTAAAAATACAACTGAAAAGCCTTTAGTATTTCTGAAAACAAACTGGGTGACTGTAAACTTAATTATATATATTTTTATGTTGATAAATTTAATTATTTTTCTGTATGGGTTCAGTATCTTTTAAATAACTTTATAACATCAAACTTGAACATCTATGAAGGAAAAGTCCCCTTTTTACATGATTATTTGATGGCACAATATCCTTCAGATGTATGTCACGTTTTAACAGAAAATAGGTCATATACATGAGATTTTTAAGTGGACCCTGATATAAATGTGACCACTTTTCTTATACCCTTTAACCTTTGTGACATTTTAATTTATATTTAGTAAAATGACTCAATGAAATAATTCAATAAATTTATCTGATTTTATGGTTGCCTGGCTTAAGTCTTCTTATTCATCACTCCAAAAATGCTATAGTTGAAAAATGCAAATAAATACAATTAATGAGCTGTGCTCGAACCTATTTATGTTCACACTTCAGTCTCTTGAAATCCTGTTTTTGATCTTGAAACAGATATCAATACTTTTGAGATTTTATTTTCTCACCTGTATATATAATATAATATAATATATAATATAATATATATTATATAAAATATATATAATATATAATTATAATATATAATATAATATAATATATATATTATATATATAATAATATAATATAATAATAAAAAATATTAGGAAGAATATCTGAAATGATGTTATGAGAATTGTATATGAATAGCCTGACAGAGTATGTATTCAGAGAATGTTAGTTTTTAACAGATACAGAGTATATGTACCTTCCTTCAGAATATCAAATATTAACACAACTAAATGAATTTGAAGAGTTAATCTAAAATGTCTTATCTAAACATTTTATTTACGAGCTCATATTAATTATGTAAAAATTTTGTTACTAAAAACATTTACATTTATGAGAACATTAATATGCTTTCTGTAAGATTATCAAATGGTCACTTCGATTATGCCATTTTACTGATGAGAAAACCACATGATTATCTCAATAGATGCAGAAAAAGCCTTTGACAAAATTCAACAACCCTTCATGCTAAAAACTCTCAATAAATTAGGTATTGATGGGACGTATTTCAAAATAATAAGAGCTATCTATGACAAACCCACAGCCAATATCATACTGAATGGGCAAAAACTGGAAGCATTCCCTTTGAAAACTGGCACAAGACAGGGATGCCCTCTCTCACCGCTCCTATTCAACATAGTGTTGGAAGTTCTGGCCAGTGCAATCAGGCAGGAGAAGGAAATAAAGGGTATTCAATTAGGAAAAGAGGAAGTCAAATTGTCCCTGTTTGCAGACGACATGATTGTTTATCTAGAAAACCCCATCATCTCAGCCCAAAATGTCCTTAAGCTGATAAGCAACTTCAGCAAAGTCTCAGGATACAAAATCAATGTACAAAAATCACAAGCATTCTTATACAACAACAACAGACAAACAGAGAGCCAAATCATGAGTGAACTCCCATCCACAATTGCTTCAAAGAGAATAAAATACCTAGGAATCCAACTTACAAGGGATGTGAAGGACCTCTTCAAGGAGAACTACAAACCACTGCTCAAGGAAATAAAAGAGGATACAAACAAATGGAAGAATATTCCATGCTCATGGGTAGGAAGAATCAATATCGTGAAAATGGCCATACTACCCAAGGTAATTTACAGATTCAATGCCGTCCCCATCAAGCTACCAATGACTTTCTTCACAGAATTGGAAAAAACTACTTTAAAGTTCATATGGAACCAAAAAAGAGCCCGCATCACCAAGTCAATCATAAGCCAAAAGAACAAAGCTGGAGGCATCATGCTACCTGACTTCAAACTATACTACAAGGCTACAGTAACCAAAACAGCATGGTACTGGTACCAAAACAGAGATATAGATCAATGGAACAGAACAGAGCCCTCAGAAATAACGCCACATACCTACAACTATCTGATCTTTGACAAACCTGAGAAAAACAAGCAATGGGGAAAGGATTCCCTATTTAATAAATGGTGCTGGGAAAACTGGCTAGCCATATGTAGAAAGCTGAAACTGGATCCCTTCCTTACACCTTATACAAAAATCAATTCAAGATGGATTAAAGATTTAAACGTTAGACCTAAAACCATAAAAACCCTAGAAGAAAACCTAGGCATTACCATTCACGACATAGGCATGGGCAAGGACTTCATGTCCAAAACACCAAAAGCAATGGCAACAAAAGACAAAATTGAAAAATGGGATCTAATTAAACTAAAGAGCTTCTGCACAGCAAAAGAAACTACCATCAGAGTGAACAGGCAACCTACAAAATGGGAGAAAATTTTGGCAACCTACTCATCTGACAAAGGGCTAATATCCCAGAATCTACAATGAACTCAAACAAATCTACAAGAAAAAAACAAACAACCCCATCAAAAAGTGGGCGAAGGACATGAACAGACACTTCTCAAAAGAAGACATTTATGCAGCCAAAAAATACATGAAAAAATGCTCATCATCACTGGCCATCAGAGAAATGCAAATCAAAACCACTATGAGATATCATCTCACACCAGTTAGAATGGCAATCATTAAAAAGTCAGGAAACAACAGGTGCTGGAGAGGATGTGGAGAAATAGGAACACTTTTACACTGTTGGTGGGACTGTAAACTAGTTCAACCATTGTGGAAGTCAGTGTGGCGATTCCTCAGGGATCTAGAACTAGAGATACCATTTGACCCAGCCATCCCATTACTGGGTATATACCCAAAGGACTATAAATCATGCTGCTATAAAGACACATGCACACGTATGTTTATTGCGGCATTATTCACAATAGCAAAGACTTGGAACCAACCCAAATGTCCAACAATGATAGACTGGATTAAGAAAATGTGGCACATATACACCATGGAATACTATGCAGCCATAAAAAATGATGAGTTCATGTCCTTTGTAGGGACATGGATGAAATTGGAAACCATCATTCTCAGTAAACTATCACAAGAACAAAAAACCAAACACCGCATATTCTCACTCATAGGTGGGAATTGAACTATGAGATCACATGGACACAGGAAGGGGAATATCACACTCTGGGGACTGTGGTGGGGTCGGGGGAGGGGGGAGGGATAGCATTGGGAGATGTACCTAATGCTAGATGACGAGTTAGTGGGTGCAGCGCACCAGCATGGCACATGTATACATATGTAACTAACCTGCACAATGTGCACATGTACCCTAAAACTTAAAGTATAATAAAAAAAAAAAAAAAAGAAAATGTGGCACATATACACCATGGAATACTATGCAGCCATAAAAAATGATGAGTTCATGTCCTTTGTAGGGACATGGATGAAATTGGAAATCATCATTCTCAGTAAACTATCGCAAGAACAAAAAACCAGACACCGCATATTCTCACTCATAGGTGGGAACTGAACAGTGAGAACACATGGACACAGGAAGGGGAACATCATACTCTGGGGACTGTTGTGGGGTTGGGGGAGGGGGGAGGGATAGCATTGGGAGATATACCTAATGATAGATGATGAGTTAGTGGGTGCAGCGCACCAGCGTGGCACATGTATACATATGTAACTAATCTGCACATTGTACACATGTACCCTAAAACTTAAAGTATAATAATAATAAATAAATTTTTAAAAAAAGAGAAAATGAATGTTTATGGAGCGTGAGTTTCACTTTACTAAATATTTTATTAAATATTTTTAGTCAATTACAACATCATGTGTAGTTTGCTTTTAGGATATCAGTGCTGTTTTACCGAAAGCAGGCTAATGGAAGTAAACCTTTCCACAGATTTACTACAAAAGATTGAATAAATATAATCTAAGGAACAAAGTGTTTAAACTTGCTTATTGTCATCTTTTGTTTGATCTTTTAACCCCAGTTTTAATGGTTTAATTTAGTCTATTTCTTCACTAAAAGCCACCTCATTTCTTTTTGGCAAAATGCCTGGTATAAACAATAAATAGTTGTGTATACTCTGGAATCCTTGCCTTAGTCAGATTTGAAAGAGCCTTTTATGTTGACCAAAAGTTTTAGAAATCCTATCTGTCCTTGAGATCTATGCAATCATTAATTTGAATGCTCCAAAGTAAGTAATGATAACTAAAGAGAATAATCATTAACTGCCTAAGATGCATCAAAATTTTAATTGGCTTTTTTTCTAATTCACTTGCATGCCCAATGCCCAATGGCAATGCAGTAAGTCTTTTGTAAATTAAAGTATTAGGTAGGGGGATACTAAACACAATATAATGGTATTTTCAAGTTTGTATATAGAAAAATGCATTTCTACACTCAGCTTCTGTTTCCTGGGGTATGTGTTTTATACAAGGCTATGACTGAGGTCATAGTTGAACCAACAGTAAGCAAAGTTCACTTTGTCACTTGGTGTGTCTCATTAATATTATAGATAAATAACAAAACTCTAGTATTGCTTTTCTTATTTATTGAGAAATAATAAATAATAACTATTATTATAGTTGTTAATATCACATATGTCATTTCAGCACACAGCTATACACGCAATCACTCTATGCCATTGAGTCAGACAGTAGAGCCTCTGCGTTTCCCAGATGTTTTATTATATAAGAGAGAGAATCAGTACACAAGGGTTGGTTCCAACTCTGAAGGGAGAAATCTTTATCGTCAGCTAATTGGATTGAGTTATATCACTCTCAATGTAATCTTTAGGAAAACTTGGAGATAGAGACATGCGAGACAATGTCATCAGGTAGAGTTAAATCACTGGAGTGCACTGACATAAAATAAAACTACCCTCTGGTCATTTGTTTCTATGACCTAAGGCATTTAGATATTTTTGGATAATTTTCATGGAAAGTCATTCTCTACCTCAACATTATGCCTACAGGAAAGGAAACAGATTATTGCATGGCATTAAAAGAGGCATCAAGTATAGTGAGGAAAGATTTTAATTGTGAGTATTAGGAAGTTCTATGGGACATTGAGGGAGCAAAGGAGAGAAGAAATACTAACCATGTAAGAAAATAAGTGTAGTGGCTGCTCAAAAACATTTATGGGGATGCTGCCAACATTTTCTGAAGGAGAAAAGGTCTACTTGTTATATGTTAATTATAAAGAACCAAAAAGAAATGGTCTAACAATTACACAAGTGGGAATTCAAGCTACAGATGGTTTATTCACTCTAATTTCTGTTCCTTAATTATGTCCATTAGGCTTTTGAATTCTATGGTTATGACAACAATCCATCAAGTTTGTATAATAAATATGAATTGTGACAGAATGTTACATATTTTAAATCCCTCAACGTATCAAGAAAAAAAAATACTGGGTAAAGAATTGATATTTAATAAAGGAATATATAAAGTTCAGATAATTTAGCCATGGTAATGAAATATATTCTAGAATAATGACCAAGAAGGTATAAAAATATTATATATAGTCACAAAGTAAAAATCCAAAGAGGGAGAAGAGTAATATTACTGTAGAAATACAGATAAAAAATAAGGCCTAGCCTTTTCTGGAAAAAACTTAGTTTATCAAGTAATACTTTTAAGAATGTACTTGAAACATGCTTTATTATAATTGTGTCCAGAGGCAGCCAGCTAGGACACATAATTTATTAAGTTGTTATTTCTAGGATTCCTTAAAATGTACACCTTAATTCTTCTTCACTTTAATGCTTAAATAGAACAAAATGAACTTAGACTCCTTCACATCTTCAAGAAGAATCACAGATCTAAATATAAAGCTAACACTCTAAACCTTCAGAAGAAAATACAGGATATCTTTCCATCTTTGGATAAGCAAATATTTATTGTACTACCAGAAAGCACTAACAAAATATAATATTAATAATTTGGACTTTGTTAAAATTAGAAACCTTAACTCATGCAAAGATAATGTAAGAAAATGAAAGAGCAAGTAACAGATTGGAAGAAAATAATTGCAATGCATGTATTTGTCAAATAAATGCTATAAAGATTGCAAAGATCCTTATAATTTGATACATCAAGACTAAGCAAACAACCCAATTAAAAAAATAGACAAAATATTTGAACAAACTCTTCATAAATAAATGGTTGATAAGCACATGCTCAATATTATTAGGCATCACAAAAGTGCAAAATAATACCACAATAAATGCTGACAACCTCAAATGTCAACAAAGGTGTGGAGCATTTAGAATTCTCATACAGTGATGGTGAAGTACAAAATGCGTACACAGCTTAGAAAAGCTATTTGGCAGTTTTTTCTTATGATATTAAATCTATATCTACCTAATAACCAAACATTTTGACTCATCTCATTTCACAGAATGAGAGCTTTAAAAAGTTCATTTTACCCATGGCTATAGAGTGTTTCTCTATTTTACAACTTTATGTGTTTTTGCAATAGACTGCAATTTTTTTAATTCTAAGTTCTGTTTCATACTTGGGGAATTTATTCTCAACATATTACAAAATTTTGCTATTATTTGCAATATAATATATTTTGTGATTTTTCTTAATGATGATTGATGAGATATTGACATGTAGCAACACATTAATTTTTCTTTTTAGTTCTATAAATATCCAGTAAATCATTTAAGTCTTTTTTTTTTTTTTTTTTTTTTTTTTTTGAGATGGAGTCTCGCTCCGTCACCCAGGCTGGAGTGCAGTGGCGCGATCTCGGCTCACTGCAAGCTCCGCCTCCCGGGTTCACGCCATTCTCCTGCCTCAGCCTCCCCAGTAGCTGGGACTACAGGCGCCCAACACCACGCCCGGCTGATTTTTTGTATTTTTAGTAAAGACGGGCTTTCACTGTGTTAGCCAGGATAGTCTCGATCTCCTAACCTCGTGATCCGCCTGCCTCGGCCTCCCAAAGTGCTGGCATTACAGGCGTGAGCCACCGCGCCCTGCCCATTTAAGCTTTCTTATGTATACAGTCATAAAATCTGTAATGAATTATAATTTGGTATATTGTTCAATATTTAGAACTCATATTTCTGTATCTGTATCGTTCTATTTTGATAATTAATTCTTTTTAATGATGTGATAGCTTATACTTCCTTTGTCTTTTATTTTAATGGCATAGAAGTTATAATTATTGTTTTCAACCCCGTATAAGTGAACTTTACCACCTGTAGACCCTCTTTAAGGAGAAGTTAAAGAGAGCCACAAAGTTTATATATGCATCTGGATGTTATTTAGTTTAAGAAATTAAGAGATAGTCTTTTATCAACCAACATATTAAAATCAGCTTTCAATTTCTTTACGGCAGATGTTTTTTGTTTTTTTGTTTTCTTTTGTTTTGTTTTTAGAGACAGGGTCTGGCTCTGTCACCCTGGCTGGAGTGCAGTGGTGCAGTCTCTGCTCACTGCAACCTCCGCTTCCTGGGTTCAAGCAATCCTCCCACCTCAGCCTCCAGAGTAGCTGGGATTACAGGCACAGGCCACCACACCCAGCTAATTTTTCTGTATTTTTTGTAGAGATGGGGTTTCACCATGTTGCCCAGGCTGGTCTCAAACTCCCGAGCTCCAGCCATTGGCCTCCCAAAGTTTTTTCTTTTTTTTAATGATTTTATTATAATTTCAACTTTTATCTTGGATTCAGAGAGTATATGTGCAGGTCCATTACATGGGTATACTGCATGATGCCAAGCCCTAGGACGTGAATGATCCTATCACCCAGATGTAAGCATAGTACATGACAGTTTTTCAGCCTATGCTTCCTTCGCTCCCTCCCCACACTATTAGTCCCCAGTGTCTATTGTTGCCATCTTTATGTCCATGAGTACCCAATGTTTAGCTCTCACTTATAAGTGAGAACATGTGATATTTACTTTTTTATTATCTGCCTCCGCCTTAAGATTTTGTGTTATGTTAACACTTACACTTACATTTGATTTTATCTTTACCTATCCATTTGTTTTTAACATTTCTAATCCATGGACGTTTATATAACTCAGGAAAGTGAAGTTTATGTTGCAGTCATTACTACACCATGACTATGACCTTGTGATAATTACTCCCTGTTTTTAAATCACAACTTTGGAAACAATTTATTTAGAAATAATATTTATTTATTTACCTATCAAAATATCCAAAAAATAAGCTTTGGATATTGTGATAGATTTTGTCAGTTGCCTGGCCCTCAGTCTTCTCCATGCTGTTTTCCACAACTGAGGTTGAAAATGAAAGCTGTTTTTCTAGAATACTGTTGACCAAGGGATGGTGATGTCAGGCTGTTCTGGCCAATGATATAGGAGAAGAATCCTTCTAAGGACTTTTGGGAAAGCTTTTGATTTACTGATGAACTGTATAATAACAAACTTCTTGTTATATAAGAAAAATAAATTTTTTGTTTAAGCTACAGTAAGTCAGGATTTCTGTTACAGCCAAACATCCAAAGTGATAGGCCATATCAAAGTAGCAATGAGGAGACCAGAGTAACATGTCAGGAGTCACACTAAATAAAAGTTTTTGTACTCAAGTCTTTTAAAAAATAACTATACTACTACGTTGGTTATTTAGAAATAATCATTCTCTTCCACTTTGAGAAAAGATTATCATTCCATAATATTTCATATGTATTAAGGTTGTACATGTTAAAAATTAGGAAAAGGAATTTAAAAATGAGAATTTATAAAACATCTAGCTCTTGACTTTGTAACATTAAAAGAAATGAAATGAATCTTTAAATAAATGGATAATATAT
Organism: Homo sapiens; assembly: GCF_000001405.40. NCBI lineage: Eukaryota > Metazoa > Chordata > Mammalia > Primates > Hominidae > Homo > Homo sapiens. The sequence continues at coordinate 113,310,364 of NC_000008.11, forward strand.
ATCATATAAAAATTTTAAAATTCTTCACTTATTTGTGCAGAAAAAACAGCTAAGATTTAACAAGCAACCAAGAAGCTGAGAAATATTTTTGTCACAAAAAGGAAATATTTACATGTTTAAGAATAAATGAATTATGTAAATCATCAAGAAAAATATTGATACATAGACAAAAAATAAATTACAGGAGAAAACCAGCATGGTTATCAAACAAGAGAATATGTTAAATATCTATAAAAATCAGATATATGTAAATAATCAAATTAAGAATAAAAGATGTAAGTCTGGGAAGACTGAGAGGTAATGAAGTATAGTTTTCTAGTTGTAATAATATTCATTGATATAAGATTCTGGAAAGCATATTAGTAATATAAAGAATATTATTTGCTTCTGACCTAGACATCCTGTTTCTACCAAGAACCAATCTAAAATATAGAAAATATATATTCATAAGGATGCTAATACGTGAATTAATTATAAAAGAAAAAACAAAAATATAATAGAATGATAATTACATAAATTATATCCACAGGATTAAATATTTGCATAAATTAATGCTTACATAAAATGATTAAATATACTTAACAAATTCAATAAATTAATGTTTACAAAGATTCTAATCACACATTAGACATGTACATTATAATGTAGAGAGATTATTAAGGACATACAATATCATATATGGAATGATCCTGGGTAAATATATCTGTCTCTGCCTCATTAAATAATAGGTGATTTTTTACTTGTTGGTATAAGTTTATTATTCGGAAAATATAATATTAATGTAAAATAAACAAGGCTTAGAATAACCTTTATGCTTCCAGCAATGTTGCCTTAAATGCATCAGCACTTGTTCTAAGATAAAATTATGATTAAGAAAGAAATTATCTAACGGTGCTTTGCCAATATCAATTCTCTTTTAATAAAAAATAACTTACAGAAAAACAAGTAATATCATTAATCATTGGAGGCTTAGAGTACAGTTTTTAAAATATGAAATTCTGATTATGAATCCCAGTGTGTTTATTTATACAAGCAAGAATGACAAGACCCACAAACCATTTTTTTTCCTACATTATTGCAAGACAAGTGTAAGAAGCCATTTTTAAAAAATCTATTGGAGCTCATGAAAAGTAAAAAAAATAAATATCAATTTCTGGAAGAAAGAGAACAGCAAACACACCATAAGGACATGCATTAAGTGAGAATATGATCCAATATGAGAGAAACAAAACCCAAGAAAACAGTGAGTCAAACAGCCAGACGCAAATATGAATCAAACTCTGCCAGCAGCAGTTTCGACTTCTAATCAAACAGCAGATTTTGTATATAAACACAGTCTGGAACGGGCTGTAGGTTACATACTAATTTTTTTCTTTCCAGTCTTGCTAACTAAAGTCAGCTATAACATTAACTACAGTACTTCTTGAAGCACAAAAACCAATAAATGTGTTAAATGTTTACAGTGAGCAAAACATTAGACTCTAAAGACTATATTATAACATAGACTACATGTTAGAATATAGTCTTGTCATTTTGCTTGTATAAATAGAGTACATGTATGAATATAGTCTATAAAATAAATAGGAAAAATAAATTTGTAGCTTACCTTTCGGTTTATATTTGTATATATTACACCTGTTTGAAAATATACCTTTTATTATTATTTCTCTTACTAAATTTGATCCAATACTGCTAAGAAAAAATAGATTTTTATTTATATATCAATACATAAACTTTGGAGATTGTGTCTAACTACATAGAATTATATATATTGAAGAGCTTCAGATCTAAACTAAACAAATCTGAATTGTAATGATAGTTCTGCCTTTTGCCACTTTCAAAAATTTTACTCGGGCAATCAATTCAAGCCTCATTTTATCAGTTGTAAAATGATGATGATAATAGTAATTATTTTACATTGTTTGGATACAGGAGAAGTTAAATACCATAATGAACACAAAATACATAGCACAGTGACAGGTGCAGAGGAATCATTCAATAAATGTTAAGGGTTAGAGTCACTGAGCTTTCATTATATTGTATTCCCCATAAAATCTCTGTGAATTAAGTGCTATTATTCCCAATTTACAGATTAGGAAAGAAAGAATGAGAACAATAAATTTATTTTCCTAACTTCGCAATTTTTTAACTTCCCAGAGGCCACAGTTGTTTAGAAAAGCAGGAAAGAGGAAAAATAAAAATGTGTTTTCTCATTTTCAAGGCAATCTAGAGAGAATAGGTACATGTACAAGCATTACTATCAGGGAATTGATACTTTGAAACTAACAGGTAATATTGAAAGAAGTATTTTTATATATTTAGGAAAATTATATCCCACAGATTGCCAGTGTAAAAAATTGTACTTCCACTTATAGGTATTATTTGCATTAACAAAAGACACCAGCTTTTAATGACAGTGGCAATGATGATCAAACAGCAGTCAGACGTGCGTACCATAATGTATATTTATAAAATAGATGATTATTGTATGAGTTACAATGTAAAAGTTTATGTATGAGTTTACAATGTAAAAGGAAAAAGAAATCAGATTTACTCGGTAAACGAGTATAGAGGAAAAAAAGAAAGAAAAATAGAATCTTAGCTGTAATCAACCTAGTAACCTTGTTTTTGCACAACAAAGTTTGTGAAATAACTCAGGCATTTTTAAGTGTCATCTGACTGGAAGCAGTTCGATGTGCTCTAATAGGATTTTGTAGACATGCAGCAGGTTCATACACATTTTCTCGTAATACCTGCAGAACAGTATAATGAGATGGCTAGAACCGGCCTTACTACCATCTCTCAGTTTAAACAGAGGTAGCGTAGATTGCTCAAAAAGCTGGTGAGCAACAAACCTAACATCCTAATGTAATAAATCTCATCTCCAGATCCACCATTTTCCCCACTACATTATGTTTTTCATTGCCAAAACTTGAGGAAAATAAACACTAATTCTTTCTTTTTTCTTTTTTTTTTGAGACGGAGTCTTGCTCTGTCACCCAGGCTGGAGTGCAGTGGCGCGATCTTGGCTCGCTGCAAGCTCCGCCTCCCGGGTTCACGCCATTCTCCTGCCTCAGCCTCCCAAGTAGCTGGGTCTACAGGCGCCCGCCCCGACACCCGGCTAATTTTTTGTATTTTTAGTAGAGACGGGGTTTCACTAAAACACTAAATTTTTACTTAAAATTGAAAAAATATAAATGCAAAGGAATATGGAAGACTGATGAAACTGTAAAAAGTTAGCACTGATAATCTGCTTCTTGTACATTAGGAAGGCAAGAACATGTTATCAACTATTAGAAAGTAACACCATCAGAGAATCATAACTCAAACATAGCCAAGTATGTAAAGAGTCTTTAATTCCTACATGTTACCTTCTTAGACTATTTTAAATTACAAGTTTAAAAAAGCTTATGGCACTTAAAGAAAAGTATACAAACACTGGCATAAATCTAGGACTAAATAAAATGTGCAATTCTTGGAATGTTGAATTTTTTAGTTGAATTATAGTTGATTTACAACTAAAATAAGTTTCTGGTAAGACCTCAAAAATACTTCTAATTTTACATAACCTCTTTGCCAAGAGAAAATTCTGAAGAACCAGAAGAACTACCTTAAAAATAGTCAGGGTGCTAGTTAATTTTTACATCTGTTTAATCAATAAGCTTCAAAAAACACTTTCATTTATAGAGGCAAAAATATAAATGACCCCATTTTTGACATGAAAGTATGTAGTTTTCAGATATTTAGATTTTATAAACTACACACATTATCAGAAATTAATTTATTCTACTATTCATGAATGCTGACTTAAGGTGTTTTTGCATAGTGTTGTATATTAAAATTGGACATATTATCACTGAAATATACCTTATATAGTATGTTTTACTTTATCAAAAGTTATATCCATAATGAATGAAACCTTGAGATAATCATTTTTAAAAACAAAATACCTTTAGCCACTATAAAGAGATCACCACTCAATATATATTCACCTTTGTGAGACATAGTATTAATGTACTAGCAATATGACATCAGAGACACCAAGCTAATTTGTTCATGGGATGATATATTTTCAAATAAATAATAATTAGATGGTGAATACAACTTTATTATAATTGCATCACAAATGTTAAGCATCTTTTGTAAAATAAACTACTTTTACCCAGGAAATATTTTCTCTCCAGTCTTCCATTCAAAACACACTAACCTTGTCCTAAAGTTTGTAGGATGAGGATGTCCATCATATAATGATAAGTAGTCGTATTCTTCTTCTAGAGCAAATGACTGAAAAACAATTTGTATTCTATTTCGTTCTTCTGCTATTATTACCCATGTGCAGTTTGCACCATTTGGATATCCATATGGAAAACCAGGGCTTTCTATAGTGCCATTAAGTCCTTTTAAAGTTCCACCACATGTATAAATAAATCCTGCAACAAAAGACAATAAACAGACATTAATATTATATAAATCAAGAACAATCCATGAGATAATATTATTTTGAAAGTCTATTGCATTTCCAAGACCAAAGTTAACAATAATTTTATAAATGGCAGTTTAAGAGCTGGGCACTATATACAAATATATATGTAAAATATAAGAAACAAAATAATAGAAGATTTATCATTTATAATACATACTGAGGTAAATAATTATAAAGCAGTTGATGAAATAAAATTATCCACATACATCTGATTCATTATCCATTACAGGTTCCTATAGACAAACACAATCCTAGAACACGGTATCTTTCTTCAAAGAGTTTTAAATCTCATTGTGGGAGCTCATAAACAACACTGACATTTTAAAGATCTTTGTATGCATTTTGGGTCCCAAAGAATTAACTCCATTTTTCTTGGCAACACATGCTAGCTTTTTTGACATATTCAGATCTCTACCCTGTAGCTCACATGCTTTAGGAAAATCTGTCTCACCCTGATTATAGAAGAGGAATTTTTTAAAGTCTATGAAATGGCTCTACCTTTCATTAAAATATTTAGTCCATGATGAACAGAATTCTAAATTAACCACATCAGAGTGAATCCGAAGGTCAGGACAAAAATACGTTAAATAAATGGATCTTGGACAACTGACAGCACCCATCTTAAGAACTTCTGTATTTGTTCCATGGAAAGTCTAAGTTACTGAGAGCATGAGTTCTGGAGATACCTAGAAAACTTACTATATTTCTTCAGCAATTTGTCTCTTCAAATATATATATATATCAGGTATATATATTAAATATATATCTCAAATATATCACAAATATATATCAAATGTATATTAAATATATATATCAAATGTATATTAAACATATATATCAAATGTATATTAAATATATATCAAATATATATATTAAATATATATTTTTTTGAGACAGAATTTTGCTCTGTCACCCAGGCTGTAGTGCAGTGGCGAGATCTCAGCTCACTGCAACCTCTGCCTCCTGGGTTCAAGTGATTCTCCAGCCTCAACCTCCCAAGTAGCTGGAATTACAGACATGCACCACCACGCCCGGCTAATTTTTGTATTTGTAGTTGAGACGGGGTTTCACCATGCTGGCCAGGCTGCTCTCGAACTCCTGACCTCAGGTGATCCACCCACCTCAGTTTCCCGAAGTGCTGAGATTACAGGCGTGAGCCACCATGCCTGGCCTCTTCAAATATATAATATTCTGTAGCATATTGTGTAATGTAAAAACCTAAGATTAATACAACCGTAAGAGAAGATGGTCCCAGTCTTTATGTAGGCTACATGCTAATAAAACTTGCATTTAGAGGCGGTTAAACAGGATCAGAAGTTCTCATGAGAAACTCTTCACCCAGATGTTATTATCTTTATCTGTGAGTCCTACAGGAAGCTGAAGTGCCAGAAGCTGTAAATCAGAGTTATCAAGCTAATCTGAGGGAGAGAAGTCGATACTACCAAAAGCATCTATGTTTGGAACTGGCATAGAAATGCAGGAAATTTGGGGCTCCTCTCTTTGAGAAGAAATGAATATATTTTATGTAAGTATGGATACTTTTTAAAAGTAAGAGGAATGCTGAATAGAAGTCCTCAGAAGCCAGAGTTGTAGATTATGGCAGATAGTGGCTGATTTGGGATGTTGTACATTTATTCCACATTCTTTTCACAATAGCACCTTGTTTTTGCCAGGGAAGCCACTTCTCTATCAAACAGCTATATACTTTTTTTTTTTTTTTTGAGACGGAATCTTGCTCTGTTGCCCAGGCTATAGTGTAGTGGCGTGATCTCGGCTCACTGCAACCTCCCCCTCCTGGGTTCAAGTGATTCTCCTGCCTCAGCCTCCTGAGTAGCTGGGATTACAGACATACGCCACCACGCCCAGCTAATTTTTGTACTTTTAGTAGAGATGGGGTTTCACCATGTTGGCAAGGCTGATTTCGAACTACTGACCTAAAGTAAACCACCCACCTCAGCCTCCAAAAATGCTGGATTACAGGAGTGAGCCACTGGCCAGGCCAAAACAGCTACATACTTTGGAGCAGCTGACTCTGCTGACTCCAGTGATGAGAAATGTGGCTCAGGGCTTGGTTGACCAATATAATCCTATCCTCTGAGCAAAATTTACTACAGGGATCTTTTCCTATATCTCACCATATGGCAAAGTCTTAAGCCTGGGATATTTGGTATGTTTATGTGCTATAAAGCATAGTTCTTGTTATCATTTTGCCTCTTTGAAAATTGACCAGGAAGTTGGATCAGGTAGAAGAGGTTTAAAAAAAATCAATATTTGTGTATATTCAGATAATTTTGCTCATGCACCAAAAGTCAAATAGGGCATTTTATGATTTTCAAAAATAAATAAATAAATAAAAGGTCTCTTTTTAAATTGCTTCTTGCAGAGCAATTACTTTGAAGCCTTAGGTTAATTAGCTATCACCCATTTCTATTAGTTTTCTGCCTGAACAGCTTCCAATTTGAACTTCATAACTAAAGGCAAGCATGAATCCCTTCAGCTACAATCTGATCTACGGGCTGTTTTATATACTCTCAAGCCCCATAACCCTGATAGTTTTAGAAAAAGGACATATGTCTTAAAATAACATGCTCAGCTTTGTCCACTCATTCTTCAAGGGCCTGCTGATTCATGGATTTCGAGTACTTTTATTTTTAGACAAATTAGGAATTACACCTATATTTAAACTTCCTTATCTGTATTCTTCTTTTTACTTTTGTTTTTGTTTATCACAAAGTTACATTAAACATAGCATTATTCTCTAGAATAAAGTACATTTTTTCCAGAAAGGAGTTTTAAATATTTTACTTTAAAAATTTGAAAATCAGAAGTAAGCATTATAAAGCAAAATATCCTCCCTCATTCATTTATGCTTCACAGGGTTGGTCATTTTTAATAGCGCAGTGTTTTTCTTACTAGGCCTTTCCTAGGCACAAGCAGATATCCATTCTATATTATTTTTCAAGTGATGTCAGTCATATTATGCCTATTTTTCTGAATTGTTATATCTATTTTAAAAAAATCACTGGCATTCTTCTGGGTACAGATGTAGACTTCTACTACATTCTTCTTTGAAAGACTTTATAGCTACACAGCATATAGTACGCCTATAGTATAATTTATTTTACCATTCTCCTAATGATAACTTCATTTTTATGGTTATAACGGTCTAATGAGCAACTGTGTAAAAACAACTCTGTACATATATCCTTGTACAAAGTATATATCTTTTGTGTACAAAGGGCATATATCCTTGTGCACTTGCTTGATACCTCCCAAGATGGAATCCCAGAAATGGGGTTGCAGAAAATTTATACAGATACAGTGAAACCATACTTAATAAATATGAAAATTTATGTTTCTGGCACCACTGTATGAAGTGTTTTTCACCCTCAATCCTAATTCTGGCAACATTAGATATTTTTGAAAGGCAAATTTTGTTTTTCATTTTTGCTTTTTAAGAAATTTTATCATGTTTATTTGAAATTTGCAACTTGATGCTGTGGAACACATACAGAGAGTAAAGTGGTTACCATAGTGAAATAGATTACTGTAGCTATCATCTCACATAGTTACTTTTTTGTTTGACAAGAGTAGCTAAAATATACTTATTTAACAAAAATCCTTACTACAATACAATTTCATTAACTGTAGTCCTAATGTTGTACATCAGGCCTCTAAACTTGTTCATCCTACATACCTGCTATATGACCTACAGCTCCCCACTTTCTCTTCCCCTTACTCCTGCTCACCCATGGAAATCACTGTTTCATTGCCTATGCGTGTGTACTTAAGCTTTTTAAAAAAAATATATTCCACATATAGGTGATATCTTCCAATACTTTTATTTTTGTGCCTGGCTTATTTCACTTAGCATAATGTCCTCTAAGTCCATCCAGGTTGTAGCACATGGTGGGATTTCCTCTTTTAAGGCTGAATAAGATGTGTGTGTGTGTGTGTGTGTGTGTGTGTGTGTGTGTAAAATATATTCCATTGTGTATATATAAAAAGGGATCTATATCCCCTTTTTAAGGCTGAATAAGATTCCATTTTGTGTGTGAGTATGTATATATACACATTTCATTTTCTTTATCAATTTATCTCTCAACGTGTATCTAGGTTGTTTCCACATTTTGACTATTATGAATAATGCTGCAAAAAACATGGGAGTGCAGATATTTTTACATGGTGGTTCTTGTATCTCATTTTGGTATATACCTGGAAGAGGAGTTGCTGGGTCATATAGTGGTTCTATGAATATAATATTTTTAATTTATTTAGGAACCTCCATACAGTTTTTTCGTAATGGCTGTACTAATCTACATTCCCGCCAATAGTGTACTAGGGTTTCCTTTTCTCCACATCCCTGACAACAATTGTTATCTCGTCTTTTTGATAATAATCATACTTACGGGAGTAAGGCAATATCTTATAGTGGTTTAAATTTGCATTTCTTTAAAGATTAATTATGTTGAGCATCTTTTCATATACCTTTTTGCCATTTTATAGCTTCTTTGGAGAAATGTCTGTTCAGGTCTTTTGCCCATTTTTAAAATCAGGTTATTGTTTTTTCTGCTATTGAGTTATAAGAATTCTTTATAATTCTGGATATATTAACCCCTTAACAAAAATGTAGTTTGAAAATATTTTTAATAGCCCATAAATTGCCTATTATTTTGTTGATTGTTTCCTTTATTGTTCCTAAGGTTTTTAGTTTAATGCTGTTCTGTTTATTTACTTTTGTTTTTGTAGTTTGAGCTTTTTGGAGTGGTATCAAAATTAATTGCCAAAGCCAATGTCAAGAAGCTAAAAGGCAAATTTTGCAAGGCAAAAAAAAGTTATCATACTATTTTCTTTTGCATTTCTCTGATAACAAGTAGTTACTCTTGTAATTGCTATTGTAATTTTGCTGATTACTGTTGAGATTACTATTGTGATTCACTTGGAATCTATATTTGCCTTTGTAAATACATTTCTAAGTGAAACAACTTTGGTTATTCTTGCTCATTGTTCTCATAAATCTACAATTCCTTATTGTTCTTTATAGTACATGTGGAACATCACCTCCTTTTTCTCTTGTCTCCTCTGATGATTGTTTTCCTATATTCTTTCATCTATTCATCACATATTTCATGCCTTACAGGTAAAATGATATAAAGAACATTGTCCAAGCTCATCTTCTGGGAGCTGACAATCTAAAACATGAGATAGCAGGACATTTAGGCCATTGCTACAAAATACAGAAAGTATTATGATTTGGGTGTGCACACTTTGCTATGAGAACACATAGAAGTAAAACTAAATATAGATTAAGTCAGTATGATGTATATGGAAAACTCCCCTCAAAAACTGGCATTGCAACTTTTTCATAGATTCGTGTTTTACAATTTCTAAATGCCTTATATTATGTTTTTCAGACCTTATCTTTTAATGTGCACTTAAAATTAACAGTGTACTTACAGTTGAAAGGTAACTAAATTTTATATGACTTAGGTCTCACTGTCATCAAGAGTTTGATTAACAATATTGATTTCAAAAAACATCATGCCCATATTTCACCTTTACTATTCAGCAAGAAATAATGCAATGACTATATGTATAGTAGTTTAATGATGTTTTAATTTTTTTGAGCGTGCTAAGGTTTCTGACAAACAACATTCACACTTGTGTTTACTTTCTCCAGCCATCTTCACAAAACACTGCAACTGAGCTTCTGTGACCAATTATGTTGACATGACTCTTGCAAAAATTACTCATGACCTTTCCATTTTCAAAATCAGTTCTTTTTTAAAAAATTGTTCTTGTCATCTTTGTGCATTTGTTACGGCTAATCGTTGTTCTTTCTTGGAAATCTTTTCTTATTGTTTCCATGATGATGCCCTGCTTTTCTAATCTCATGAACTTCTCCTAAAACCACTCCTTTACTAAATTTCTGTCTTCATCTGTCTTCTCTATTTTGCAGGCTTCTTAGCAACCACAGATATAGCTGTAAGCAATACTGGTGACCATAAAAGAGGCATATCTTCATTTATCTGTTTCCACCCTTTGCTATATATCTCCGTGTAGATGTAGCATACCATGTAGAAACTAGTCATCCATGTCCTTTGCTTATCCTCAAATCTCATTAGTTCATTCTATTAACTGTCTCTTAAATCTATCTCTAGTCCCCTCTTTGTTTTTCTATTCTAAACCCTGTGGATTTGATTCAATTCTTCCTCATCTCCTGCATCCTATCCTATTTTAAGAGCAACCAGTCTATCCTGCTAGGCTTTCTGCATTTGCCCATCTACTCAGGTCCCCACATTGCTGCTAAAGTCATTTCTACAACAAACAAACCCAATCTTGTCACTTCCTTATTCAATAGTATTATTCAGCTACTTCTTATTGTCAATATAAGGTTCATACTTCTCTCCATGTATCTTATATAATAGCTAACTGATTTTTGTTTTTATATTGCTGAGCCATATTCCATCTTTAATTTTGGAGTGCTAAACTGGATTCTTAAATTTCTTGAAGCTGACCTAGGAATAGTTCTTTGAAGTTTACTAACAACTTCTTCTTCTAGACAGAGGAAGGAGTGGGGCACACATATACACCTGCTCATCAAAGTCCTCAAAATGTTCACTTACTAGATATTAAGGTAAAGTGTCACTTGTCATTTATCTTTTGCTTTTCTTTATTGATACTTCTGTTTCTAATATTTATTATTTACAATGTAATTTTTTATGAATGTTTTTCCTAAGTCTTTCAAAAATTTGCCTTTATGCCATTGTGGTTTGAGCAAAACCTGGCATTCAGTAGAAATTCAGTAAGCACTTTTTGACTGAATAAATACTTTCCTCTACCATTTCTTTGCCCATACCAAATGACTCTCCAAACTTCCACATTGAGGAAACTCAGAGACAAATAGGGTTAGTATTATAATTTTGGGTAAATTTTTGGATAACAGATTTTTGTAAAGATTTGGGGTGAATGCATTTAACTTGTAAATTTCACATTGATTGAAATGAAAAGCTACATACTCATAAGAAGAACTTATAATACTCACTGAGGAACAATATTTCTTTGCATAATCCCAAAAGCTTTAAAATTGCAGTATTTTACATAAAAATTTGGAAATATTATCTCCTCAGAGAGGCCTTTGTTTTAAATTTTTTAATATAAACACAACAAATATACAAAATGTGCACCAAATTAATGTACATACATGAAAAATTTAATAATTACAAACTGAAAACCTATGTTACCAGTAGGTATATCCAAAACTAACACTATTACAACTCTTTATGATGCCTTCATTAGTTTTAATCACAATATCTTTCATTACTCATCAAAGTAACCATTATCGCCTCAGATTTGTGTAATTTTCTAAACTTTTACTCATAAATTTATTATATATGTATGCATTTCTATCCTCAAGTCATGATGAAATTATCCTATCTTCTCATGTTGTACTGGTTTACTTATCACATGCACATTAGGAACACATAATTTTTGGTGATGGGAGAGATGGATAGAGATTAATTTATTTTCTATTTAGATATCCAAATCACCCAGAGCCATTTATAAAAAAAGACACACTTTTTGACCCATACTTCAGTTTGTCATAAATTAAACATGGGTATTCGTGTAGGCCTGTTTTGAGATGTTCTGTTCCATTAGTTTATACCACACTATCTTAACTTGTTTCATAAGAAGCATCATTCTTTTTCTTCAAAACTGCTCCAGCTTTTTTAAAGCTTAGCATTTACATATGTATTTTAGAATCAATTTACAAAATAAACTGCTAAAATTTTGATTGGGATTATTTTGATTCTATAGATAAATTGGGGAGAGCTAACATTTTGCCATATTGACATTTTCAATGTTATGAAAATATTATTATGAAAACCTTCATTTATACTGGCTTTTTTTTATTTTTGAGATAGAGTCTCGCTTTGTGCCCAGACTGGAGTGCAGTGGTGTGATCTCAACTCACTGCAACCTCCACTTCCCGGGTTCAAGCGATTGTCGTGTCTCAGCCTCCTGAGTAGCTGGGATTACAGGTGCCCGCCACCATGCCCGGCTAATTTTTGTATTTTAAGTAGAGACAAGGTTTCACTATGCTGGCCAGGCTGGTCTCAAACTCCTGACCTCAAGTGTTCTTCACCCACCTCAGCCTCCCAAAGTGCTTGGATTACAGGCGTGAGCCACCACACCCAGCTCCTGGCTGGCTTACTTTTTTAATTTAGATGAGTGCTTTTGACCATCTTACCCCATTTCAGTAACTATTACTTTACCCTCATTCGCTTTTTGAAGCCCTAATCACTGTCTGAAATTATTAGTTTACTCGTCTGTTTTCAATGTTTTTCCCATAAGAATGTAAGTTTCATGAGATTTGAGGCCTTGCCTGTATTATTGTTATATCCTCAAGGCTTAGTATAATTCACTGTAGACATTGAACACTCTTCATTAAAAAGAATGAATAGATAAACAGTAAAATAAAATAACCAAACGGCTCAAATTACTCAATTGTTATTCAAACTATTATTATTTTACTAGTGGCCAACAAAATTACCTACTGGATTATCCAATAATATAAACTCCTCAATATATTTGCAGCTCCAAATTTGTTCAAGGCTCAACCTGATCCTGTTAGAATCAAGTTTAACGTGTGTTTTGATTAACTGAAGGACCCTAGCAGATATTTTGCCCTATAAGATTTCAAAATGACCTCATTTGCATTATTCATAAATTAACAACATGAATGTACTTATAAAAAGTATCTTTTTCACTAAACCAAAAACACTTTTCAGGGTCAAGAGAAATAGTGGGTAAAACAACATAAATTTTATTCACATGTTCTTTCATAAATGTTTATATATCAAATTATTTGGGCTACTCACATTTTAGCAGTAAAAGAAAAACCTAAGCACTGAATGTTAATTTAATTTCTATTGAATGCTTGTTTTTGTCACTAGAAAATAAATATAAAAGGTACATTTTTATATTGTAAAATTATGTATGTTCCTCCAAAAGTTTCTCCAGTAACCTTTCTTCTTTTGATCACTAACCAATATTTCTATTGTGTTTTATCAATACATGAATGAATGAATACAATACTTTACAGTTAATAAGAAGGAATCAGTCTTTGACATGGTTTGGCTGTGTCCCCACCCAAATCTCATCTTGAACTTGAGAGAGATGATTTAGGATATCTGGTGGAAGAAATTTCTAAGCAGCAAAGCATTCAAGAGGTGACTTGGGTGTTGTTAAAGGCATTCAGAAGGGGAGCAGACCATAAAAGTTCAAAAAATTTGCAGCCTGACAATGTGATAAAAAGGAAAAACCATTTTCTGAGGAGAAATTCAAGCTGGCTGCAGAAATTTGCATAAGTTACGTGGAAAGAATGTGAATCCTCAACATAGTGGGGAAAAGGTCTCCAGGGCATGTTGGAAGACTTCACGGCAGCCCCTCCCATTACAGGCCTTAAGACCTAGGAGAAAATGGTTTCATGGGCTAGGCCTAGGGTCTCTGGGCTGTGTGCAGCCTACGGACTTAGTGCTCTGTGTCCCAGCTGCTCCAGCCATGACTGAAAGGGGACAACGTAGACCTCGGTGCATGGCTTCAGAGAATGGAAGCTCCAAGCCTTGGCAGCTTCCATGTGGTGTTGAGCCTGAGAGTGCACAGAAGTAAAGAACTGGGGTTTGGGAACCTCCACCTAGAATTCAGAAGATGTATGATAACACCTGGCTGCCCAGCCAGAAGTTTTCTGCATGGGCAGGGTCTTCACGGAGAACCTCTGTTAGGGTAGTGCGGATAAGAAATGTGGTGTCGGAGTCCCCACACAGCGCTCCTACTGGGGCACCACCTACTGGAGCTGTGAGAGAGGGCCACCATCCTCCAGACCACAGAATGGTAGATCCACTGAAAGATTGCACTGTTCCCCTGGAAAAGCCACAGACACTCAATACCAGCCCATGAAAGCAGCCAGGAGGTAGGTTGTACCCTGCAAAGCCACAGGGGTGGAGCTGCCCAAGACCATGAGAACCCACCTCTTGCATCAGCATGACTCAGATGGGAGACATGGAGTCAAAGGAGATCATTTTGGAACTTTAAGATGTGACTGCCCTGCTGGATTTTGAACTTGCATGGGGCCTGCAGCCCCTTTGCTTCTGCCAATTCCTCCCATTTGGAACAGCTGTATTTACCCAAAGCCTGTACCCCCATTGTATCTAGGAAGTAACTAACTTGCTTTTGATTTTACAAGCTCACAGATGGAAAGGACTTGCCTTGTGTCAGATGAGACTTTGGACTACGGACTTCTGAGTTAATGCTGAAATGACTTAAGACTTTGGGAGACTGCTGGGAAGGCACGATTGGTTTTGAAATATGAGGACATGATATTTGGGAGGGGCCAGGGGCAGAAAAATATGATTTGGCTGTGTCCCCACCCAAATCTCATCTTGAATTCCCACATGTTGTGGGAGGTACCCAGTGAGAGATAATTGAATCATGGGGACCCATGCTGTTCTCATGATAGTGAATACATCTCAGAAGAACTAATGGTATTATATGAGGCAGTTTATCTGCATAAACTCTCTTCTCTTTGCCTGCTGCCATCCATGTAAGATGTGACTTTCTCCTCCTTGCCTTCCACCATGATTGTGAGGCCTCCCCAGCCATGTGAAACTGTAGTTCATTAAAGCTCTTTCTTTTGTAAATTGTTGAGTCTCGGGTATGTCTTTATCAGCAGGATGAAAACAGACTAATACAGCCTTACACTCAAGTTTCTCAGTCTATTCCTCATCCCGTAATTCCCCACTGATGAAAAGAGTTGTATGGTAGAAAAGAGTTCTATATGCAGTCATTGTAGAAAAAGTATTGGAATGCAGTGCCACAAGAGTTTGTTTAGGCAAACTCACCTGCTCTCTCCTAAAAGGGTCTCTCAGTCACAGAAAGTTTCCTAAGTGAATGTGTCATAATTCCAATGTAGATCTTAGCCTCAGATTATGAGAAAATGGAATAAGTGACAGAGAGTGAGGTGTCTGTCCATCAGGGTAGACTTACAATAAATAAACTCACAGAGTGTGAGATGAAAAACTACAGTGCCAATATTTCTTCCTAACATATTTCTCTATATAGCAAATCCAAATAAGAAGACATCTTAAATTATAAGATATTTATAACTAATTTAGAAAAAAGAAGTAAAAACACCTATTTTAAATAAGAGGGATTATGTGTATATTTCAAATGTTTCATAACATCTAACTTAGCTAGTTTTTCATGGTTATCTCCAGAATGCAGTGGTATTTGCCCTATGGGATATAATTACAATGAGCAATGCTAATGTTCACATCTTAGACTCCACATTTTACGGTTCAATAAGTGAAAAAGCCCCCTTGTTTCTGACAGTCTTTCTTTGAACATGTTGATAGAGTTCAGTTGATTACAAATCTTGCTAGACCAGATGCCATCTTGTCTTTTTAAAGTGACCATGTTGTTATATTAATTATATTAAGATCCCATTATTTCTAGTTTTTTTTCCTGATGATCCTCACTATAACATCTACAATAATAATAACATAGTTTTTTTTTTAAATCAGGGTAACTGATTTGTCTACAAATTAAACAACAAGAAGCAACAGCAAAAGCTGCCTCCAGAATATTCATTTATTCTAATATTTCTATTGTCAAGGAACATATATTATTTTATTAAATCTCTACAATAAGCTTGTGAAGTACATATTAGTACGCTCTACATTTTAAAGATGAAGAAATGTGTAAGTGTTTTATCTATAAAACTTATTAGTGTATGTCTCCTCATTTGGATCTCTGAATTATTAACTAATACAAATTATCTGCTACTATTAAGTAAACTGTATTTCAGACATTTATGCCACTGTGTCCTTCTGATTTTATTTTCTTATTTTCACACAAAATTAATTCTATACAGTTCAGTTAATTTTATAAAGTTTATAACCCATTCCAAATTCATAAGAATGACATTTTAAGCTTAAACCTTTTGATATTTGAGTCAATTTAGTCTTATATATTATAGGAAAAATCTAGGAATCACTCAATAAAAAGATGGCATTAACGGTAGAAATACAAATTAACTCAGAAAGTAAAAATTATTTCTTTAGGTTGTACCTAAGTTTGAAAGTTTGAGAAAGAATATAATGAATTATGTCAAACATAATTGGATAGCTTTAAGAAGTCTAAGTCCCAGCTGGATTTCCCACTGCCACCCAAGAGCTTATATAAAATACTACTGACTTTTAAAAACTAAAGTATTTCAAATTAGAGAGTAGTATTTTTCTGTGATTTTCTTTATTTTTAATTGGGCAGCTGACATCCTGCTGTTATGAGGGCTATATTAATTACACTTTCTCATTTTATGAGAATATATGCGGAATAGGAAAATTAGTGATAACATATTACTTTTTGAATAAAATGACTTGTATTTGGTGGTACTTCTGGAATGGCAGAGGGGAGGCCTCCATATAGAGTCTCATACATTAAAAGCAACAAATATACTGGCAAAAATGGTCAAAATCTATTTTTTCCAGAGCTATGGGATTTATCCCAAATCTGGAATTAATATAAGGGGTGTTTTTTTCAAGAAAAACTGCTGAACCTTACTAATAATGGCATGGAATATAGCACTGTAACTCAACTGCTCCCACTCCCCTCTTCCCAGTAGGAACCTTCAAAATCAGCAGCCTCCCATCCCTGGTAGCTGTGCAAAACAGCCTCCCAGCAATCAGGGGGAACAGACCAGATTTGGTGCTCCTCAACGCATTCCTTTCCCCTTGCCCAGAAGACTGTCGCTATTTAACCTATCTTGCATTCCCCTGGAAAACTCAATTTGCACATGTTGCTGTTATTTGGCCTGACATGGAGATTTCTCCATGGTTAGAGCCCTATCCCCAGCTCATTTGTTTAAAAAAAAAAAAAAGTTGAAACAATTGTTTAACATTGCAACTGCCTGAAGCTTCTGTGTAAATTGGAACAAGAGCCTGGTCAAAACATAAAAGGAAGGTCTGGGGAAAGACGTGCTCACAGGGGGCTTTGAAAAGCTCTACCATATTCACAAGGTTATGTGCATGTACAGGCCTGTGTGAATGCTAAGCTGAGAGAGAACCAGTCTCTCACTTACGGATGACCTGAGATCCTGCCTAAAAAATAAGTGAAAGCTAAGACAAACTTGTAAATTGTTATAATGTTGAAGTTGTGCCCAAACACACACACAGACACACACAGACACACACAGACACACACACACACACACACACCAGAGAGAAAACCTTTTGGGATAAGATGAAAGATGGGGCCGGGCGCGGTGGCTCACGCCTGTAATCCCAGCACTTTGGGAGGCCGAGGCGGGCGGATCACGAGGTCAGGAGATCGAGACCATCCCGGCTAAAACGGTGAAACCCCGTCTCTACTAAAAATACAAAAAATTAGCCGGGCGTAGTGGCGGGCGCCTGTAGTCCCAGCTACTTGGGAGGCTGAGGCAGGAGAATGGCGTGAATCCGGGAGGCGGAGCTTGCAGTGAGCCGAGATCCCGCCACTGCACTCCAGCCTGGGCGACAGAGCGAGACTCCGTCTCAAAAAAAAAAAAAAAAAAGATGAAAGATGTATTGATTTGCTTATGACATTTGAGGAAATATCTGACCTATAATTTGCTAACTGAGCAGAAGCTAGGATAGCCATGCACTAGAAAGAATACAGACTTTACAGAATTAACCTGGGAAAGTCACTAAGTGAACAAATATCAAAACAATGAAAAACAGGTACAGGCAGCAAAACCTGGAAGGGTGAGAATATGATTTCCACTGATGGTACATTCTAGTATTTAAAATACCATGTTTTCTTTTCTTTCTTTCTTTCTTTCCTTCCTTCTTTTCTTTTTTTTTTTTTTTTTTTTTTTTGATACAGGGTCTTACTGTCACCCAGGCTGGAGTACAGTGGCGTGATAACGACTCATGGCAGCCTCAACCTTCCCAGGCTCAAGCCATCCTCCCATTTCAGCCTCCCAAGTACCAGGGACTCCAGGCGTGCTCCACCATGCACAGCTAATTTTTGTATTTTTTTGTAGGGATGGAATTTCATCATGTTGCCCAGGCTAGGCTCAAATTCCTGGACTCAACTGATCCGTCCACCTCAGCCTCCCAAAATGCTGGGATTACAGCTGCGAGCCACCACTTCCTGCACTAAAATATCATGTTTTCAACAAAAATTATGACACATTTTAAGAAACTGGAAAGTATGGCTCATTTTAAAAATAAGTGGTTAGAAACTATTTTCGAAGTTCAGAAATTGGACATATATGACAAAGATTTTAAGTTAGCTACTACAAGTATGTTTAAAGAATGAAAATAAATAAATAAATAAATAAATAAATAAGGAATTAACTGAAAATGTACAAATAATGTCTCACCAAATAAATAACACTATTAATGAGAAATTAGCTTAAAATAACCAGATGGAAATTCTGCAGTTGAAAAGTTAAACAATTGAAAAAAGAAAAATTCACTAAAGGAATTAAGCAAGAAATTTGAAGTTCATGAAGAAGAATCAGTAAACTTGAAGATAATTCAATGAGATTATCCTCTCTAGGGAACATAAACAGAAAATAATGAACATGAATAAGCAAAGCCTCAGAGGCTTTTGGGACAATATTACACATACCAAGATCTGCATAATTGAAGTCCCAGAGAAGATGCAAGAGGTGAGGACAGCAAGGATATTTGGGTGGGAAAAAAGTCGTCAAATACTTTCAAATATGATTTCAAAATATTAATCTACACATCCAGGAAAAATAACATATAGAGATCCACACCCAGACACATCACAGTGAAACTGTTGAAAGACAAAGTGAGAATCTTGAAAGCAGCAAAGAGAAAAAATAAATCAAGCATATAAAAGATTAACAATGATTAAGGCCAAAAGTTGTAGAATTACATGTTTAAAGGAATGAAACAAGAGAACGTTAACAAGAAAATCTATAACCAAAAAGGCTCTCAAAAATGAAGGAGAAATAATGACATTTGAAAAAAATAAAAACTGCTAAAATGCATCACTATCTGAACTGTCTTACAAGAAAAATTAAAATGAGTCCTTTGGGCTGAAATGGAAAAGCATGATGCAGCAATTCAAATCCACATAAATAAAGAGTACCAGTAAAGCAGCTACCTAGGTGAACATGAAGAGAACCAAAAATGTACATTTTAACTGTTTTATTTTCCTATATAATTTTTAAACTGCAAAAACAGTAATTATAAGACATTTCTGAATAGTTTACAACGTATAAATATAACATTTAATAATAAAATGCTACTATAAAAATGAGGAGGGAATGAAAGCACATTGCTGCAAATATTCTGTCTGTTTTGGAAATTAAGTTAGTATTAATCTGAACTAGAATGTTGAAGTAAGAAGCTAATTGTAATCCACAGCATTACAAATAAGAAAATATCTCAAAAATATATTAAAAGAGACAACAGAGGAATTAAAATTGTACACTAGAAAGTATTTAACAAAAAAAATGAGGCAGTAATGAAAGGAAAGAACAAATATATAAGGCGTACAGCAAACAAATAGCAAAATGACAAGAATAAGTTCTGCCTTGTCAGTAATAACATCAAATATAAATGGAATAAACACTCCAATTAAATAACAGGTATTGCTAGATGGATGAAAATTATTATTCAAGAGACATATTTTAGGTACAGAGGCACAAAACAAATGAAAGTAAAATAAAAGGATGGCAAAATATATAATATGGAAGCAGTTATGAAAATTGAGCTGGAGTGGCTAACCTCATATCATACCAAATAGACAACATAAAAATTGTTACAGAGGTAAATGAATACTTTTATAGTCATATAGTAGTCCATATTAATAAAAAAATATGAAAATATTTGTACCTAACAGATTCTCAAAATACATGGAAAAAATGGCAGAATTGAAGGGATAAGTATATACTTCAAAAATAATAGTTGGAGTCTTTAATTCTCTGCTTTCAGTAATGGATATAACAACAAAGCAGCATATCAGCAAAGATATAAAATACTCGAGCAAGACCAGAAGCCAACTAAGCCTCACTAACATCTATAGAACACTGCACCCAACAAAGACCATATAAATGAAATAGAAAATACAAAGACAACAGAAAAAAGTTCTCAAAACCAAATGTTGATTCTTTGAAAAGATCAGCAAATTGACAAAACTTTATATAGACTAACCAAGAACAAAAAGAGAGAAGACAGGTTACTAAAATCAAGAATAATAGAGAGCACATAACTACCAGCCTTAACGAAATAAGGGTTATAAGGAATTCTATGAATTAAAAAGTTAGATTATTCAAATGAAATGAACAAATTCCTAGAATGACCCAAACCATAAACTGAAGAAGAATTATAAAATATGAATAGAACTACAATAAGAGATTGAATGTGTGACTAAAAAAAAAAATTGTAAAAAGAAAATCCTAGGCCCAAAAAGCTTCATTGGTGAGTTTTACTAAACACATAAAAAATTAATACCAACTTTTCACAAACTCTTTCACAAAATAAAAGAGGAAGAAACATTTCCCAACTAATTTTAAAGACCATCTTGCTCTGATATCAAAAAACAAAGACAATGCGAGATAAAAATTCCACAGACCAATATTCCTTATGAATATTGATAAAAATATCCTTGATGAAATACTAGAAAAGTGAATTCAGCAAAATAAAAAAATAATCACACATAATAACCAAATGAGATTTACCCAGGAATGCAAAGCTAAACCTAACATTCTGAAATCAATTAATGTAAAAACATATAAACGGAATAAAGGACAAAATCCACTAAGTATCCCAATAGAAAAAGAATATATATTTTACAAAATTCAACATGCTTTTTATAGTAAAACCACTCAATAAACTAAAAATAGAATGGAACACCTTCAACCTGATAAAGAACAGCTATGTTAAACTGACGACCACCATCAAATTTAATGGTGAAAGATAGGGCTTTTCCTCTAAGCTCAGGAACAGAACGAGGATATTCATTCTTGCCACTTGTATTTAACCTTATACTTGAGGTTCTAGCCAGAGAAATTAGATAAGAAAAAAATAAATAAAATGCAACCATACAGCAAAGAAAGAAATACAAATATTTGCTGACGGCAGGATCTTATATAGACATACCTCAGAGATATTGTGGGTTCAATTCCAAACCACAGTAATAAAGTAAATATTGCAACAAAGTGAGTCATGAACATTTTGGTTTTCCAGTGCATATAAAAGTTAAATTTACACTATACTATAATCTATTAAGTGTGCAATAGCATTTAGTCTAAAAAACGTGCATGCCTTAATTAAAAAAATACTTTACTGCTATAAAAATGCTAATAATGTAAGCATATACTGTTGGGAAAATGGTGCCTATCCAATTTGTCCATACAGCATTACCACAAAACTTCAATTGGTTAAAAAAAAAAAAAAAAGATATCTTCAAAGCACAATAAAGCAGAACATAATAAAATGAGGTATCCCTGTATATAGAAAACCCTAAAAAACACACTAAAAACTGTTAGAATGAAAAACAAATTCAGCAAGGTTGCAAGCTAAATATCAGTGAACAAAAAATCACTGTATTTTTATATTTTAGCAATGCACAATCCAACAAATAAAATTAGAGAATAAATTCATTCACAATAGTGCAAAGAAGAATATTTGTGCATATATTTAACGAGAGAAGCAAGACTTTTATACTAAATACTACAAAAATTGTTGAAAGACATGAAAGAATATGTAAATAAATGATAGATATCCTTTTTTTCATCAATTAGAAGGCAACATTTTCAAGAGGCAAATACACTCCAGACTGATGCACTTATTCAAGCAGTACCTTGCAAAATCGAATGTGGCTATTTTTAATTGCTAAAATTGACAAGTTGATGCCAAAAATTTATATTAACATATATGATGCAAGGGAACCAAAACAGCCAAAACAATTTGGAAAAAAAATTAGATGATACCTACTTCCTAATTTAAAGTGTATTTCAAAGCTACAGTAATTACATAGCATGGTACTGGTGGCATAAAGATGGACATAAGATTAATTGAATAAAATTGAGTCCATAAATATAGTTTTACATATATAGACATTTGATTTGAGTGTGGGGGAGTCAAGAGGGGAACTGAGCAAATTTATTGTTTTCTTCTTTTTAAAAATCTTATTTTGAGATAAGCATAAATTCACATTCAAGTATTTAAAAAAACACTTTCATCCATTTTCTAATTGGATCATTAAATTTTTTAACTGCTAAATTTGAAAGGTTGTATATATTCTAGATGCAGGTACTCTTCTCCAGTTTGTGATTTCCAAATATTATCTGATACTCAATAGCTGTTCTTTTCATATTCTTCATAGGGTGTATGACATAGCAAAAGTTTTTAATATTGATGAATTTCATGTCATCACTTTGTCCTGTTATGGATCCTGCTTTGCTATAAAGACTAATTATTGTTCACCTATTCTTAGATTTTAAACATTTTTTGTATCTATTTTTCTAAAAGTGTAATAGTTTTATGTTTCACATTTAAGTTGTGATCTGTTTATTTAATTTTTGATTATGTATCAGACTTAGGTCAACATTAATTTTGCTTTCCTGTGCATGTCCAAATGATCCAGCACTATTTAGTAAAAAATCTACATTTCCGTAAATGAAATGCTTTTATACCTTTCTCAAAATTAGTTTGGCATACTTGTTTGAGTCTATCTTTGAGGTTCTCTATTGTGTTCCAATGATCTATGTTTCTACCTCTTTGCTAATGCCAAAGTCTTGATTATTGTAACTACATAATAAGCTTTGAAATCAACCATACTAAATCTTCCCACAGTATTATTCATTTTTCAAAATTATTTATTCTAGTTCCTTTGTAGTTTGAAATAAAATTTAAAATAATGTTGTCTACGTCTACAAAAAGTCTTGTTGAAATATTGTCAAGAATGGCATTAAATTTATAAGTAAATTTGGGGATAATTGCTGTTTCACTACAAGAGACTTTCAGTCCATGAGCTCAGCATGTCTCTCCATTTATATAGATCCCCATCTTGAACTTCTTCTACTAGCTTTGTATAGTTTTCAGGATAGAAGTCCTAGACATGACTTGTTAAATTTAATCCTAAGTATTTTATATTTTCTTAATGAGTGTAAATGATAATTTAGATGTCTACATGTTCACTGCTACTATACAAAAATTACGATTTTTAACTGATATTTGCTTTGTATCTGTAACCCAGTTGAACTCACTTATGTAGAGTAGTCTTTCTGTACATCTATAAAATTTTCTACTTTCTGTCTTAATCATCTGTATTATTTTATATTATTTTAGATTCAGGGGGTACATGTACTGTATAGCCACTTACAATATCTGCAACTAGGGATAGTTTAAGTTTTTTTTTTTTTTTTTTCATTTCCAGCCTGTGTACCTGTTACATATTTCCTTGTATTGGGATGATATACTTATTTTGTATAATCTCTTAATATGGTGGATGACATTGGTTGATTCTGGAATATAGAACTATCCTTGCATTTTTGCAATAGGCCCACTTGGTCATGTTATAATTATTTTTCATATATTGTTGAGTTCTACTTGCTGATATTTTGCTTAGGGATTTATACTCTCTAGAAGTACTGATCTTCAGCTTTCTTTTATGTACTGGATTTATATGGTTTTGATATCAGGACAGTGATACCTGCTTCATGAAATGAATTGGGAAATTTCCTTGCTATTGTTTCTAGAATAAGAATGCTAGTTATTTTGAAACATTTGATAGAATTATCCAGCGAAACCATCTGGGTCAGGAGATTTCTCTTTTCTTTGCACTTTTGTAATTGTGAATTCTATTTTCTTAATAGTTATAGGGCTATTTGCAATATTTATTTCATATCAGAGGAATTGGCATATTTTTTTCTTTTAAGGAATCGGTGCATTTTGTCTTAAGTTGTCCAATTGATGTGTATAGAATTATTAATAGTGTGCCTTTCATTATGTTTTTAAAGTCTGTAGGAACTGTAGTGATATCTCTCCTTTTAGTCCTAATATTGGCCATACGGTTTGGATCTATGTCCTCACCAAATCAAATTATATCCCCAATGTTGGAGGTGGGGCCTGATGGGAGGTGATTGAATCATATGAGTGGTTTTTCATGGTTTAACACCATCCCCCTTGATACTGTCCTAGCGATAGTGAGTGAATTCTCAAGAGATCTGATTGTTTAAAAGTGCATAGCACGCCACCTCCACCCTGGCTCCTGCTCCTACCATGTAAAATATCTTGCTCCTCCATTACCTTCCACCATGATTTTAAGTTTCCTGAGGCCTCCCAGAAGCTGATGCTGCCGTACTTTCTTTCTTGTACAGTCTACAGAATCATGAGCCAATTAAAACTTTTTTCTTTATAATTACCCAGTCTCGGGTATTTCTTTATAGCAGTGCAAGAACAAACTAATACAATGGTAATCTGTGTCATCTTTTTTCTTTGTCAGCTTTACCAGCAGTATGTCAATTTTACCTATCTTTTCAAAGAAGCAAATTTTGTTTCAATAATATTTCTCTATTATTTTCTCTATTTTGTTGTTTTGTTTTCAGATGTTCAGCTCTTTTTCTATATTTACTACTCCTTGCTCTGGATTTAGCTCTCCTCCTCCTTCTTTTTTTTTTTTTTTTTTTTTTTTTGGGTATTTACATGAAACCTTAGATTGTTCCTTTGATACTTGAAAAGAATATATATTACAATGTTGTGAGTAAAGTGTTCTATAAATGTTAATTACATCCTGTTGGATATTACAATGTTGTGAGTAAAGTGTTCTATAAATGTTAATTACATCCTGTTGGATATTACAATGTTGTGAGTAAAGTGTTCTATAAGTGTTAATTACATCCTGTTGGTCAACCGTGTTGTTGAGTACTTCTGTATCTTTTATCCTTTTCACCTATAAGCGTGGAGCCCTTTTGTCTCTGGCTGCTTGTAATACTTTTTTTCGTTAGTTTTCTATTTAAGATGTGTATGCATGGATTTATTTTGGTTTATCCATTTTGGGGTATACTCAGTTTTTGCAATCTGTAGGTTTGACTCTTGCCAAATTTAGAAAATTTTTAGTCATTTTTTAAGTATGTCTTTAGTCCTGCTCTCTTTCCCTTCTCCTTTTATAATTCCAATGACACAAATTTTACATTCTTTATTTTAGTCCTACAGGTTCTTGATGCATTATCCATTTTTTTGGCCTACTTTCTTCCTGTTGTTCAGATTGAGTAATTTATTTTCTGTCTTCAGTTCTTAGATTATTTTCTTTGTTCCCTCTATTTGGCTGTTGATCCCAATAATTGAGCTTTTCATACTACTTATTATACTTTTCGTAGATTTTGATTTGGTTCCTCCTTACATGTTCTATTCTTTGCTGAAACTTTTAAATTTTTTTGCTGACACTTTCGCTTGAAAAAAAATGTATTAAGTGTGCCTGTGCTGTTTGTCGAGGCATTTTTAGCATGGCTGCTTTAAAATCTTTGTGAGATAATTTTAAAATCTCTGTCATCTAGGGTTGGCATCCAATTTGTTTTTTACTTAGTTTGATATCTTGTTGGTTTTCTGTATGACAAGTGAGTTTTTTAACTGCAATCAGGATATTTTCATATTATGCTAAGGAACTCTGGATTGTATTACATTTTCAGTGTATGAGTCTTTTTCTGAGTCTACCCCAGCAGTGGAATGGGAAGGGGAGGATTACCTCATTGCTGTCAGGTCGAAGAAGTCCATGTTTCCTAATTGGCCTCCATTAACAACCCAGGGAGTCACATTGTTGTAATTGGGTGCTGGTGACCACTCTGAACACTAGATCTCTTTTGACACCACCCCAGCAGGAAGCAGAAGAAGCACCTTGTTACTATGAAGTGGGTATGAAAGTCCAGGATCCAGTGTTTACACTGACACTGCAGTACAGGGGGTCTCATTACTGGCCAGCAGAGATGAGTATTCTAGCTCTTTCAAGCACCACCACAGTGAGGGTGTTGGAACACCTTCTTGTAGCCTGGTAAGCCTGAAAGTACCAGCTCCCCACTTAGTCTTTTTTTGCTGTGGATAAGGGTGGAAGCCACATATTTTTCTGTGTTGTTTGGCTGGTATAGGACATATATCAACTCAACGGTTTTTTGTCTTTCTGTGTTTCCATTTTCTTGGTCCTTTGGGTACAGAAGGCAGGCTGTTATTGGTGCTTTTTGTGACTGTGTCTGTCATTTCCAAGTTACTGGCTTATTTAAGCCTGAGACTGAGATACTTGAAGTAAAAGGAAATTCCAGAGAACTAGCAAAATGTTGTTCTTTAGATGTCAAGTTCACTAGTCAATCTGCCTTTTTTCCCCTACCTCTCAATATTGGCTTTATATATAACATAGAGGGTTTTTAGTTGTTTGTAGCATGAGAAATGGAGAGAAGTATGTCTATGCCATATTCCTGGAAGAGCAAGTCTGGCCACAGATTTTTAATAAGGGTGACAAGAAAATTTAATTGAGAAAATATAGTTTGTTCAACAAATGGAACTGGGACAAGTGGATACACACATGCAAAAGTATGAACACTAGCATCATAGCATACAGAAAAATTAACTCAAAAAGGACAACAGAACAAATATATAGCTAACATTATTAAAATCTTAGAAAAATACATAGAAGTAAAACTTTATGTCTTTGGTTTAGGTAATAGCTTAGATCTGACACTGAAAGCACAAGAGAAAATTTAAAAAATAGATAAATTAGATTTTATCAAAATTAAAAGCTTTGTGTGTTATAAATGATACCATAAGGAAACTGAAAGATCAGGAGTGAAGTTTTGGAGATGTTGGTAGAGGGATACAATCTTTGAGTTAGGAGAAATAAGTTCAAGAGATCTATTGTATAACATGGTGACTATAGTTAACAACAATGTATTATATTCTTGAAATTTACTAAGAAAGTAAATTATAAGTGTTTTTACCACAAAAAAAAAATGATAACTAAGGTAATGCATATGTTAATTAACTCAGTTTAGACATTCCATAATATGTATTTGAAAACATGTTGTAGGCAATAAATATATGCAATTTTTATTTTCAATAAATAACAAAAGGAAAGTGAAAGAAATAACCCACAGAATGGGAAAAAGTATTAGCAAATTATACATCTGATTAGATATTTGTATTCAAAATATATAAATAACTCTTAAAACAACAATAAAAAGAACAACAAAATGAAATAAACAAGCCAAGCATTTTAGTAGTCACCCTGGTAAAAATATATAAACAAAAGAGCACATGAAAAGATGCTTAAAAATAACTCAGGAAATGCAAATTAAAATCACAATGAGATACCACTAGATAACCATTAGAACATCTATAATTGTTGTCAAAGATATGATAGAATGAGAAATCTCAAAATGTAAGATGGTGCAGCCAATTTAGAAAATAATTTGCAAATTCCTCAATAGATTATACATAGAGTACCATCTGACCCAGAAATTCCATTCCTGGGCATATACTCATGAGAAATAAAACAGATATCCATACTCTACTTGCATACGAATGTTCATAGTAGCATTATTTATAGGAGCCAAAATAAGTTGAATCTCTATTAACTGATGAAGGGATAAACAAAATATGGTATATTCATACAATAGAATACTATTTAACAATAAAATAAAATAAAGCACTGATACTTGCAACAACATGGAACTCAAGAACATTATGCCAAGTGGAATTATTCAGTAATAAAATAAGATATATAGTGAATGGTTCCATTCATATGAAATGTCCAGAATAGGCAAATCTATGCAGACAGAAAATGATTAGTGGTTGATTAGGACTGCACAGAGGTAAGTGGCTGGGTAGGATGGAGTGTGATTGATAATAGGGTTTTTCTTTAGAATAATGTTCTTAAACTAGATCATATTGATGCTTGCACAACTCTGAATATACTGAAACTACTGAATTTGGACCTGGTTGCATTTCTCTAAAATAAATCACTGTATTTTATTTTGTATTCTCTAAAATATGACTTATTAATTAAGGTTTTCTTGTCCACACTTGTCTGTTTAATTACACTTTAAAATGTTTTTCATAATTTTATTGAAAATAACAGATTTTCAATGAGCCATTAATTGACTCTGAAGCCAGACATTCTCATTTCACAACTTAGCACTTCCTTTGTGCAAATCATTTAATCATATTATGCCTCAGATTCTTTATCCATATAACAGAATAATAAGAATAACTATTTTAAAGATTAAGCATGTTAACAACTTTCTTTCAACAATATTTTAAACATAATGAATACTATGTGTTATATTCCCTTTCTCTTCCTCCGCCTCATAGTTATACTATAATTATTATAGTTTGCCATGGAGCTCCATTACATAATATAAATGTCTCATTGTCTTTGAGTTAGAAAATACAAATTTAAATAAGTACATCAAAAATCCCAGTATCAATTTGTCTGAGAATACAAAATGCCTATGGCCTAAAGGTATCAAATATGCTGCCAAATGGATGTTTTTGAAACATGATTTCATGGCTGTATTTCAGGTTGTTACCAAAAAAATGCATTAAGTTATTTTATTTTCTTCAGAAGAGGACAATTTTGATCTTAGAACATCATACAAACGTTTACTGCTAAAGTGTCTACCTCTCTTAGGAGAAATAATATAATTTGATATTGGTGAATTTCTAGTGTAAACATAAATAATGTATATTCTTCTTTTATTGGGTGAATGTATGCCAATTGGGTCCAATTTTTTCATTGTGTTTAGATTGTTATTAGATCTACTATTTTTTCTTCTGTTTCTTTCACCTGTTACTGAGCAACTTCATTAAAAATCTTTATTGCATAGATTTTCCCTTCCTTGTTATTTCAGTTTTTGCTGTACATATTTGGACAAGTTATTAGGTGAATAGAATTAAAATTACTATATGGTCGTTATATGCTTACTTGTCTACCATTATGAAATACCCTTCTTTATATCTATCAATGCTCACACCGTAAATTATAATTTATCTGCTATTAGCATAGATTCATTCAGCTATTTGTAAATTAGTGCCTGTACTTATAATTATTAAAATACTATAATCAAGGTGTATTTCTTATAAACAACATTTAGGTTTTTTTTAGCTCATGTCATAGTCTTTACTTAACTTTGAAGTATATAACATATCTAAACTTACTATAACTATTTATATATGTGTTATGTGTTTGTTCCTCTATTATTTGTTCCTTTTATGTCATTGTTTTTGCCTTCTCTTAATCAAGTAGGTGTTTTTATTGCAAGTTTTTTATTGACTTGTAAGTTTTGTATTCTCTTAGGAAGCAAAATATGCATCCTTGATTATTAGAGTCAATTATAAATTAGTACTCTTATCACCTCCTGAACAAAAAATGAGGACATTAGACCATTTTAACTCCACATCATCAGTTGATGTTTGTACTATTGTTTCTGTGCATTTTAATTTTATATATATTATACACACCCAGAAGACATAAATACTGCTTTAACCACTCAATATTCATTTAGAGTAACCTACATACTTATTCATTAATCATTACAGTCTTTCCATGTAGACTTATATTGTGCCTGAAAAATTTCTTCCAGTATTTTAGTTCTAGCAACAAATATTTTTGTATGCTAAGTTTTAAAAGAAAAATCACAATTTTCTATCTGTTCTATCATTTCTGATGAAAGGGTTTGTTTGCCAAGCATGGTGGTGCACACTTGTAATCCCAGCACTTTGAGAGGCGAAGTAGGGTTGATCACTTGAGGCCAGGAGTTTGAGACCAGTCAGAGCAACATGAAACCCTGTCTCTACCAAAAATACAAAAAATTAGCCAGGTGCAGTAGCCCCTGTAGTCCCAGCTACTCAGGAGGCTAAGGCATGAGAATCGCTTGAGCTTGGAAGTCGGAGGTTGCAGTGAACTGAGATTGTGCCACTGCACTCCAGCGTGGGCGACAAAGCAAGACTTTGTCTCAAAAAAAAAAAAAAGGGAAATATTTGTCTACTCCACCAGTGCCAGAAGTAGAAATTGACCTGTATTGCTTTATCTTTATTTCTTATCACTTATTCTTCTTTATTCTTTGTCACAGCAACCATCCTCTTAGGATCCTCTTCAACCAACATAAATTTTGGAGGTGATTTCTGTTTTTTAACATTTATTTACTTTTATTTTTTAATTGTACATATTTCAAGGGTACAATTTGATGTTTCCATACATATATATGGACAAAACTTATACGTGTATATATATGTAAGTGCATGTATTTATGCACATATATGTACATGTATGTATATATGCATAAACATATAAGCATATGTATGTATTCAAAGCCTCTCGTAGCTATTTTTTAATATACAATACCTTGCTGTTAATCATAATCACCCTACTGTGAAAATAGAGTACTAGAGCTTACTCCTCCTAATCTTAATTGCACCTGTTGACCAGCAGCAAAGTTTTTAATTCTGAAAACCTATATCTAAACTACATTTCAATAATCAGCTGAAATAATCATTCAGGCAAAACCAATTGATAGAGTAATCAACAGTTCAAGGCAATATTTATTGAGCATGAGCTAGATGCCACACACTGTACTAGACATTAGATTTATAAAATTTGTCTAACAGTATTTCAATAGTTAAGTTCTAGAATCTAATGGCAGGAACCCATAAACAAGTAGTTTATAAATATATATATGAGACATGCTATAATAGGAGTATCTGAAAGGCTGTTTAAAATATGGAAACTGAGGGAAATAAAAAATGTTCAAATTTGATTCCCGAAGGAGTTAAACTTATTATTTGACATTTCATTTTTACTCTAGTTTTGCTACTATCATATAAATATATGCTTTAGGTGTAAAGTAAACAATGAGATTGTCCAAAGGATATTTTCTAAAGTTTATCAGTCGTATTGGTCCACCGGCATTGTCTAGACTGACGAACACTTCCAACTTTACTGCTCATATCATTCTGCATACCCAAAATATCCTTCCTTTGCTTCTTGATGGTGAAAAAATACATAGTTTTGCTTTTCTGAGCTCATTGGGCTCTTTATAATGTAACCTCTTTGTATTGATTTGTCCATTTACTCTAGAATTACCTATGATGTTCACTATTTTCCATAATAAGGAAATTACCAAACTCGTAGAATAGCCAAAATATTACCAGTTGCTTTAAAAGATTAAAAAGAAAAAAAAAACAAGAAGAAAATTTTGATAAATTAAACAGTAATGAAAGAACACGTGGACCAAATATGCCTCTTAAAAGTAGAAATAATTAAACTGTGTCGGAAAGCCTATCAATCAGACAAATGAAACTATCTGAGACAAATGTTTCACCTTCCATGTAAACACTAGACTATAACATCAAAGGGAAAGAACTGATTGTTTCCTATTGCTTCCTAGCTTCAATACACGATTCTCTAATGCGCTTTCAAAAGTATAGAAATACTATTGTAAATAGACGTTATAGCTGAAAATCCTGAAAGCTGAATTATTTCTACAGCGCTATTTGCAGACTAATAAGCAGTTCATCAGTATATTATTGTAAAGATAAAGAAAAAACTGCAATAAAATTGTATAAATGACTAAATTGATTAAATTGATCTGATTAACATAAAATATTCCAAGTATTATTTATTTAGTTAAATCTGAGACACTAGGAACCTTGCAAGTAAAATTTGTACCCTAGACGTGACTCAACTCGACTCTACTCTAGGCCTACCCCTAAAGTCAGAAGCCTAAAGACAAATTTTAACAAGATTCTCAGGCATATTAAGTTTGGCAGCTGAGTCTTGCCAAGTTACAGGCCTTGGCAAATACTTTGGGCTTTCCATAGATCTCACTCACAATGTATGACATAAAAACTACTCAATTTCCATGTGATAATAGTCCAAAATGCCTTCTAAGTCAAGAATTAGCACTCTTCTAAGGAAGATAACAGAATCCAAAGTCTGTACATACTGTTATTATATATTATTCCCAATGTCCAATGATGAATCAACATTTATGAGAAATTCAACTAAATAGAAAAATGCAACCCATAGTTGAAGAAGATAATTAAGAAGAGGAGAAGGAGGAAGAGGAAGAAGAAAAATGGAAGGAGAAGAGGGAGAGGCAGGAGGAGGAAGAAGAGTCAAAATAGGAAGAAAAGAAGGAAGAAGAGAAGAAGTCAATAAAGGAGAAGGAGGAGACTGAGGGAGCAGGAGGAAGAAAAGACTGAAGGAGGATTAAGAAACATAACTCAAGATGGCTCTGATATTGGACTTAGCAGAAATTACTCTAAAGTAGCTACTTTTAAAGCTATTTAAGAGTTTTATCCATTTAAAATCTTCTGAAGGTAATTTAAATGATTCAAAGAAAAAAATATGGTCTTAATGAGTTAATCAATAGGAAATGTTGGTACAGAAATGGGAACTATAAAAAACTTAAAGCAAAACTGTAGAACTTGGGAGATGGACTTTATATCAGATTGGAGACTAGGAAAACAAAAGAATAGTAAAATTGAAAACATATCAATACAAATTGTCCATTTGAAGATCACAGAGAAAAAAATATGTGAAACAAATAAGCAGAACTTAAGGGACTTGTAGTCCAGTGTCAAACAGTTTAAAATGAGTGTCATTGGAAAAGATAGTGCCTTTGAGACAGAAAAATACAGAAGAACTATCGTACAGGCTCAGGCTTCCCATATATTATTGAAGGCACAAACTTATAGATTTAGAAAGGTCAGAATGATAAGCAACAAGCGAACCACAGCTAGGTACATTATAGTCAACATTCTGATTCCCAAAGCTGAAGAGAAAAATATGTACGTTACTAGAGAAAAAACATATTACACATAAGGAAATGGGCCAAGAAAAAAATCATAATTTTCTCTTAAAAATAATTGCACTCAAGCCGGGTGCGGTGGCTCATGCCTGTAATCCCAGCACTTTGGGAGGCTGAGGCGGGTGGATCACGAGGTCAGGAGATTTGAGACCATCCTGACTAACGTTATAATCTATCTTATAATTCAGAAAACAAACAGAAATATAAATAATTAGTTGTAATAATGTACTATAATTTTCTACAAAAATACTGTAAATTTATATTTAAAAACAATCAAATTATCACATCCTTCATATTTTTAGGTATATAGGTATTTCTATACTAATATGCTACATTCTATATTAGTGTTTTTTCTTACATATATTAATCTAGGAGTGTGAAGAAGAACATTTCCACTGACTAAAGAAAGTTATGAACAAAACAATCTTGAAATTTAATTTTTTTTTACTCTTGAAATATCTTATGCCTATCAGTTCTAGAAGTTAGTTTAGCCTTCTTTGAATCTCAGTTAGCTCTGGTCCATTTATAACTGCTTAAAAGCCTAAAACCAAATTTTTCTAGTAATTGTGGGGTATTTTATTGCTTGCTGGTTGATTCACATCTGTTTTTTTCTTTCCAGTTAGATTTCAAAGTCTTTTGAGATAAAATTATGTTTTCAGTATCTTGTTTTGACCACAATGCAAAGATTATGAAAACATCTATTAAGCAGTTGTATGGAGCTTGAATTCTGTGAAGGAACAGAATTGGAGATGCAGGTTTGAAAGTCTTTGCTTGCTTCGAAATAATGTGAAATTTCACTTCTCTCAATTCTACTATTTTCCCACATGCACTATAACTCCCTAAACTTTATTTTACTTTTCAGAAATTTATACCTAAGTTGGCATTCACTGTAAGTATCACTTGGGCATCATACCAACAACAAGTATAGTCGATATTGTGCAATGAATACAAAAATAGGTAACATGGAAAGACACAGTTTCATATTCCAGCAACTGGTGTTCATAAATCCATAAGTGAGCCACTCATATTTTCTGTAGCTAAGTTCTCTCATCACGCAAATAAAATACAAACTTTAACATCAACCACTTAATATTAACAATCTAATGAGCTAGAAAGTGCATGTTAAAATAACTTTACCTTAAATTTTATTATCTAGTAGAATAATGATAATTATTATTGTACATCACTTTACAACTTCCAAAATTATCACTGGCTTTCACCTGCTTTTGCTGTGTTGTAGTATTATACAGATTTCATAAGTCATGTGTCTTCTTTGGACCTCACTTTCATACTGTTGCCTGTTTCTTCAACTGAAGATAGGGATTTTAGGGTTTTAAATTTTTAGGTTTTTAAAAACAATGCATATAAAGCACCCAATGTACACAGAAAGCATAATACTTACCTGAGGCAACATACTTTTATTATTTGTATTACTATTTGTAAGTACTGATAAATATTCAAACAAAGGATAAGTCTATAAACCCAACCTACTTTAATATTACATTCAAGAGATAAGTACTGTGAAAGGTTAATTGATACTACTTTCTAAAGATTCTTCAAAATTACTTCTGAAGTACAATCTTTTTATGTTAGCTAACCAAAATAATTTAATGATATCTATGGAACTGCCTTATTGCTCAAATTTGCAAGTTTTAGACATTAACATTTTTCTAAATAAATCTATATAAAATTCAATGTACTTAATATGACTGTACATGCTAAACACTATGTGTGATGTATAGGCTTGTTATTAAACTCCAAAAAACTGAATATACAAAATTTAGCAGAAGTTCTGATATTTCCATATGCTTAAGCAATGAGAAGTTCCCCTTAGAAGTCTCAAATAATTTAGATCAACCCATGTTTTAGCCTGTTTGGATTACTCAAGGTAAATTTGTCATTTACCATTTACCTTATTTGTCATTTTATAAGGAAGACAAATACCTAGTCTTGAAATTTACTTCTGTTTTTTTAAAAACATTTTACATGTAATAATTCATTTAATCATCTCAACATCCCAGTGAGGTAATTCTAAACTTATTCCTATCTTCAGTTGAAGAGACAGGCACAGTAAGAAGAATCATTGAGAGTAGTTGCCCAGGTTATACAGCTTTAAAATGGCTGAACTGGGATGGGAATTCACACACCCCGGCTCCAGAACTTAGCTGTCCACAGCTATGCTATTTGCCTGCTTCTTTGTTTTTAACCATTTCATTTTTAGTAACTCCTCCTCTCCCAAGTCTATCTCTATTGATCTTCCAGTTCTGTTGCAAACTGTAACACAGTAACAAGTTCCCCTTAGAAGTCTCACATAATTTAGATCCACCCATGTTTCAGCCCTTTTGGATTATTCAAGGTATTTTGTCATTTACCATTTAATTTATTTGTCATTTTTCTTCCACCTGGAACAAAACTGGAAGATCAATAGAGATAGACCATGGGAGAGGAGGACGTTTTCTTACTTTCCACTCTTAGTCAATAACTGGGATTTTTCTTTTTTACTTTTAGAATATCCTCAATTTAAATTTAAATATTTATTGGCCTTTCTTGATATATTAACTTTCTGAGTTTCCACCCCACTTTTCTCTTTACTTTCTTTTCTGATAAGAAATGCAAACCTAATTTTTAAAACCATAAATGTAAGATGAATGAACTTAAAAAATCTGGAATGGCAGTTCAAAAAGCAATTAAAATTGAGGAATCAAAAAGCTCCTCTGATTCTTTGTCATAATTCAAATAAAGGTATGCTTTTCTGACTGTGGTAAAAACTAGCTGACAAGTGCCAAGGAAACTAGATTTTTTTTAAAAAATGGAACTTTGTATATGTAACCACATTATTAAAACCAGGGCAAATTTTTCAGGATGTAGCTGTGTTCTTTGTATAGTTATGACTTTTGATCTCTGTATCTTTACCCTGCCTGTTTAGAATAAACTTTACACTCTATTTCCTATCTCCAGTCAAGTATTAAACTAAGAAAATATCTGAGAGAAATACACAAGAAAATAATCACAAAGCATTAAAATTATAAAATAATTTATAGTTGAATGACCATGAATAATGCTTTAATGATCTTATGCCTTATGTGATTAAGAATATAAAGATGTTTTCTTTCCTCTTTTCTTTATAGAGAATATACAGATTTGGGGTACCAATGAATAAAATACTGAGATTTTGTGGAGTCTGATATTTAAACTTGTTTTTTCATCAATTCTTCTTTATGAGAAAATGGAGATACTCCAGGCAATGAAATTCATCCAGAGTAATATATTTGGGGGTACTCTGAATTCAATCACCCTTTTCCTCACAGTTTACAAAATCCAGAAGTGTCTAACAGTCCTCCAGACATGAGCTGCCTGTCATGTCTTATTACCTGAACATGTCTATTAATAAATAAATAAATAAATAAATCTTTGCAAGAAAGTGCTGAGCTGGAAAGAG
This sequence comes from Homo sapiens, assembly GCF_000001405.40. Classification (NCBI taxonomy): domain Eukaryota; kingdom Metazoa; phylum Chordata; class Mammalia; order Primates; family Hominidae; genus Homo; species Homo sapiens. Next base: position 113,347,162 of record NC_000008.11, read on the forward strand.
CAGAGAAAATATTTCCACATCAATAAAGTAACAGAAAGGCTTTCATGGTTGTATTTTCCAACTTATCTTCCTTTGACACTTACTTTTCTTCACTGCAGAAACAATATTTTCCCTTTTTTTCTTTGTATTGTTACCCTACCCATCTTAACCTAGTGCTAATAACTGCTCTGGTTATTATCTCCTTCCACACCTCCCTGGCTCTTCCTTTAGGCCTGGAGTCACTATTTACTTTAGAAGGAATAATACATTGAAAGGCGTGTAAAGGTGAAAATCAGGCGGTTTTGTAATTCCCAAGAGTGGAGGTTACAGCCTTTGGCACATCAGCAAACAAATCACAAGGACTGCTGAATTCCCTTGCAGGCTTTTTTTCTTTCATGGTTTGGAGAGCAAGAGTGGGAGCGACAGCTAAGATGACATTGCCATTTGGGGGACACAATTCTGCAGGTGATGTTGTGCAGGGGAATAAAGGAGGTGAAAGATAAATTGTCACTGAATTGGCTTTCACACAGCTGTAGGTGTATTTTAGTTTAACGGCAGTGACAGTCCAGCTCCCACCTGCTGACAGACGGCTGCTAGCAAGAAGATATATTTGAGACTTACTGTCAAGATACAAGCTTTCATGTTAAACAAATAACGTTTTTTAAAAGAGTATTTCAAAGGATGATGAAAATGAAGAGAAATGATACTTAACATATACAACATAAAGAGAGTATCTGAGAGCCCAAAGCTGGGCTAAAGTTGGCAAAGGCGAGATAATTATATTTTCCAGGAGTGAATACCTCCAAGAAAAAAATAAATCATTAAAAAATGGGGTTGGTGTTGAACTTGGACATTGCATGGCTAAGAGTTCCTAGTAAAAATAGCAAAGGTTTCCATATAAGTACAACTGAGAAAGGCAGTCACCTCTTACTCTCTAACCAGAAAATAAGAAAAGAAGATGAGAGAAATTTTAATATGCCAGACCATAATATGCGTTTAGCATACTATTGTTATCTCCACTAGAATCTTCAATTATCATCAATGAGATTAAGGTCCGTTATTAATGTATTCGTGTGCCTGTTGCTCTTCTAAATTGTTTGACATGCATTGTCTTCATAAGTAGTTTTTATCACAGCACTGTGAGGTACCTGTTACTGTACAGAAAGGAAAAATGGAAGCACAGGGCATTTATGTAATTTCTCAAGATCATACAGCTTTATACATGGTAGTAGAGCCATGTACCAAACAAAGACAACCTGGTGATGAACTCATGTCCTTTGCTGTTAAATATTTAGTACAGCTTCTTGTATAAGATGAAAACCATTCCAAATGCAAAGATGCCTCTCTTTACTAGGAAACCCAGCTTTGAGAAGCAGGGATGAAGCAGGGAGGAAGATGCAAAAAGATGTATTGATTATCAGGAGTAACAAATCAATCCTGGAGATCAAGGAAGCAGGTATGCATGTGGGAGGGACAGGTGGGGGCTACATCGAGATTGTGTTCATATTCAGTTAAAAATGTTTTTAGTCCTCTGAATACAGAAGGTAAATGAACAGAAGGAATGCTCAAAGACACAGTTCTTATTGTTGTTTTGGGGTTTTTTTATTTGTTTTATTTTTATTAGGGCTTAGATTTACTAAAATTTGTCCTCTTCTATTTTAGGCTTACGTGTATCATACAGAATATTTAGTGTGTGTATAAATTAAAATGTATTCATTTTAGACCTTTACACAATATGCAAAAACTCTGTATAATTCTGCTTCTTTCAAATAGATGCTTTTTTGTTCACTTTTCAAATATAATCATTAATTTTACGTACTGAATAATGTTACTGGTTTACTATTTGGTATATGTATATACATACATATATAGGTTTTATAATGTTGATTAGTGTAACTAGTTTACTATTTGGTTTTATTCATAATCATTATTTATTTTTATATGTATATACCATCCTCTGAGCCTCACAGCTAAAAACTGTTGTCTGTGGTGGAGAGAATTCCTTAGTGCCCTTACCAAATCAATGAGTCTTCATTTTTCATCATTTATTTTATTTACTCCATCTACCAGTTTCTAACACTGACCAACACTTGTGCCAAAGGGACATATAAACCACCCCTTTTAATGTTTGTAACTGCAAAATACTAGGCTCTGAGGAGATTTTTCTCACTGTTTGAGATGGCTATAAAGTTTATGTCTTACAGCAAAAGAATTGCTAGCTCATGAAATTTTATCATCACTATTGAATGTGAAGATGTGCTAAATGGCATAGATGCTTAATGCATTTATACAGACATCTAAACTATATGCCTCAAGAATATCTTACAGGAATACAAAAAGAAAAAATTTTAAAGCTCTAGGCTGGGCACAGTGGCTCATACCTGTAAACTCAGCACTTTGGGAGATTGAGGCAGGAGGATCGCTTCAGGCCAGGAGTTTGACACTAGCTTGGGCAACACAGTGAGAACCCATCTCTTTTTAAAAAAATAATTAATTTTAATCCTTATATATCTATATTAAATTGTCTTTCTGAGGAATAACCTCTTTTATAAACATCTACGTGTTATCATGTGCCCTTAAATTGATATTATATAAGAAAGGAGAATATCTACTTTCAGAAACAATCTGCAAAATCGGTAACTTCCAACGATGTAGTATGGTAGATTGTCTTCAAATAATTCCTCTCTTCCCTGAATACTCATGTCACTCCCCCCGTTAAGATATGAAATCTATTTCCCCTTCTTGAATCTGGATGGTCTGTATGACTTGCTTTTTCCAATAGAATGCAACAGAAGCAAGTCTGTGTCCATTCTGGGTCTACCTCTTGAGAAGCCTGGCAGTTTCCAATTATGGTCTTAAGAGTCTAGAGTCCGAGGCTACCATGTCAGAAGTCTAACTACTTGGTACAGAAAGGCACAACCAACCACAACCATTCCCGCTACCCTAGAAAAGGTCCAGGTCATTTGAGTAAAGCTATGTTGGATGTTTCAGTCCAAGCAGAGGTCATAGATAAAGGCATGAGTGACCCCCGACAACATCATACGGAGGAGAAGATCCACCCAGCTAAGCCCAGACAGCCCAGAGAATGGTAAGACAGAATGAATCGTTGTTTTTAAGTCATTAATTTGTGGAAATAATTTCTTGCCTTGCATTAGATAACTGACATATATAAGGAACTACCGTAAAATAGTTGAGTCTAAAGAGTTAACTTCAAACTCTTTTCAGGGATTCCAGGACCTAAAATAAAGATATTTCTCCAATCGTGGTAAGAACTGTTATGGTGAATTAAAAAGAACTCTAATTAAGGAGCAAACAAGTACTATACAAATGAACTTAAACAACTCTCTTGAATTTATTGAGAAGTAAAATCCAACTGGATATCAAGTATAAACTGGTCACTTTCTTAATGTCACTTAAAATGATTCCCTTCTTTTCAACCTCCCTAATACGGGAAAGATCAAACCATTCCAATTTCTCTGAAGGATTACCCAAGAGGTCTTTCTACCCTACCTCCTAGGTAGCTCTTCTCTAGTTTATTTCTCATTTCTAAGTTGCTGCATTCTAAAATGTAGATAGAATCAAGTCACAGCCTACCTAATATTCTTTGTGCATTTTCCATTAGTTAAGAATTAAGTCCATGTCGGACAGCATGATGTTCCAGTTCTCTGTGATTTGACTTCTGATTTGTTTCTCACCCTCAGTGCATGCCACTTTTCTCCTTTAAACACAGACTCCAGTTATTCAGTCTCTATGCCTTTACAACTGCTGGTACTTCTCCCTAGATACCCCTTATGTTCTTTAGATCTAATTTCCATGTACATTAAAAAAAAAACTGATTCCCATGCCCTTTAGGTTCACAATGCCCTGAACTCAAGTCTGAATGCATCCTGCCTTTAAATTACCATAGCACTGGCATGCACACACTCACTGTAGCCTTCACCACACTCCATTAGTGTGCTTCCTAAGTACCAGGCAATAGCTTTTAGTTCTTTATCACAGCACTCACCTTGGTGTCAGGAAAACCAGAAAACTGAGTGTTTGTTGGATAAGTGGATAAATGATAGATGAAATGGAAACTGCATGTGAAAGCACTTCATCAAGTTAAAAGTGCTTGAAAATATTATTCTGATGACTCCTTCATAACAAGTTGTAAAGATAGTTCCTATAAAGGTAGACTAAAACCCCAAACAGTTAAATGAATATATCTTGGAAAAAGGCAAAGCGATTACAAATATGTACAATAAAAGCAGGATTGCCCTCACCTATAAAATAGATAATTCTAAACTGTTATTTAATGATACTAAGGAATAATGAAAAGAATAATTCAATTATTTACAACTTGATCATGATAGCTTTTAAAGTATCTGAGAAAAATGGAGATAGAGTGAAATAAATTAAATATATTAAATAAAATAAGATGCATGCATTTAAATTATATTTAGTAATATTTCCTTTAGTCCTGAAATTGAATGTATTCACTATGGAAATCAGTACATATTAAGATGCAGCTGCTGAGTGTTTCTTAAACACCAGGCATTCGCTAAGTGCTTTGCAGATATTATCTAGTTTAAGTCTTAGAAAAACCTATGAGATAAAGATTAGCATCTTCTTTATAAAAGTGGTAATTAAAGTTTGCCTATGTTGAAATAATTAATAACTGACAAAGCCATTCCTAGATTTCTGGTTTAAAGCCTTGTTTTCTTGTCATCAATGAAACTGTAAGACAGATTGGAATTTCCTGCATAGAAGAATCTTTCAGAAAAGAGAGTTACCATTTGTCTTCAATTGCTTAATGATTTTTTTTTATTAAAGCAGCACCAAACCTCTTACCACTATGGTATTACTTTACCTTGAACTTCCATGAATGTCTGTCTCATCTAGAGTTTCCTTCCTGGGAAATAACAGATGTTCCTCACATATTTCAGGATTATTTCTTGTCATTTAATTGCTACACAATATCACTTGCAGAAGGTTGAATAATGGCCATTCTGAGATCTACTTAGAACCCCAAAAGGTAACCTTATTTGGAATTAGTTTATTTTCAGATATAATTATAGTAAGGATCTTTTGAATAGACCATCCTGCATTGGGATGGTCCCTGAAACCTATGATGCGTATGCCTGTAAGAAACGGAAAAAGAGAAGACACACAGAGATACAAGAGAGAAAGCCATGTGAAGAGGGTAGAGACTGGTATTATTCTGTCACAAACCAAGCAACTTCTGACACCATCAGAAGCTGGAAGAAGCAAGGCAGGATTCTCCCCGAGAACCTTCAGAAGGAGCACGCCCTTGCTAACATCTTGACTTCAGACTTGGCCTCCAGAACTGTGAGAATAAACTTCCAAAATTTTAAACCACCAAGTCTTTAGTAATTTGTTACTCTAAGAAACAACCTAGTTCTCATTTCTGCACACCTGCTAAGGACAGTGCTATGTCTAGAGCACAAAAGCAGGTGACCTCCTTAGCTGTTTACAGTAATTAACAATGGCTCTCTTTAGGAGATGACATTTTAAGATTATACCAGGAGTGAGTCAAGCACACTGGAACAGACAAGACAAAGACTGAAAAGAAAACAGCTTAAGTTTGCAAGAGAGAAAGGAAACCAGGATGGCTAAAGAGCAGTAGTTGGTGGATCACAGGAATCAAGTGGTTCATAAAGAAGCAAAAAAGAATCACATCACATAGGTCTTTGTACAGCTTATCAAGGTGTTTGAATTGCACTTTTCAATTTAACAAAAAGCCACGCATTAATATTTGGGTGAATTGGTACAGGGACACAAGAGCAGAAGAATACACAATTTCAGTTTGTGTTTTAAAAGAGGTGATACTAATTACTGCCATGGGGAACACAAATTGCAAGCTAAAATGATGGAAGGAATAAGACAAGGAAATAGGCTTTTGAACTGTTGAGGAGAGGTGAGTTTCAAAGTAGTGCCAGTGATGATGGAGGAATGACTTCCTTATGATGAATTTTGTGGCAGTATCACTTGACATTCTGATGGATTGGATGTGAAGAGGAAAGGAAAATGATACATCAAATCTCTGCAATAAAATACTAAAGGACATAGGAGGAGTAGAAAAAGCGAGTAACTTGGGATTGTAGAATTAAGAAAAGTCCCTCAGAGGAAGAGATTCTCACACATATGAATAATAGTGGCCTACTCATATTTTTTTAAAAAATTTTGCATATGAATGATAGGAACAAGAGGCTGTAGAGAGAATGGTAGATAAAGGATTTTTGTACTAAATATTCTAACAAGACCAATTTGCAGTTGAGCTGTTTATATCCCTTTGACTATAAAGAGCAGTAATTATATACAACACTGAAACACTAAATTATTCAATTGCCTCAAATTTGTTAGCCTCACATTCTTTTACTATGTTCCTGTTTTAGGTCCATCCTCTGCATTGAGACATTTTTAGATTTGTTTTAAATCTGGTATTATTCTATTCAAAGTGAATTTATTCAAAACTATTTCTACTTGATTCTGGGAAATATTTTTGCCTTTCTCACGAGTTCTGCACAGTGACCTTTTATGAGTCCTGTTAAAGTGGATTCACTCTTCAGACAAGGTTTCTTATCAGTTTTTCACACTTACTGAAGAGGACTTTTTTCCCCCCAAATCATGTAAGGTTAGCTCTATAAATAGTATTTTGTGATTTTGAATTTTATGCTATTCTATTTTGAAAAAATCACTGGCTGAAGTGCATCTTTTAAGAATTACTTCATTTCTTAAAAAAAGATATTGCATCTTTTCTGCTTGTCTCAGTGACCTACTTAGCTTTTTAAAGCTCTCCACTGACATCCTTTTTGTCTCCTACTTTTCTCATATTATCTGTTTTCCTTTTAGCAAAAGTCTATTTTGTTGTTATTTTTAATAAAAGTGTACAAAGTTATAAATATGCATAGACTATTCTTTGCACTTAGGTGAATCACCTCTTTAAATTAATGAATGACCGACCATTGCATGTTTCTCAAAGGAGAGGCCAGGTAAAGTCAGGACTTACTGTGTCAAAGAGAGAGAAAGTGTGCCCTTGACTTCTACTTTTTATGTAATACTCTCATTCTCAGAACATAAAATGATTTCAACAGGGCAGTGTTCATAATTGGTCAACTTAACTTAGTTTTGTACTCCTGAATTTGAATACCTGAATAAATAACTCTTAAAAGTATATAAAAAGTCAGTTACAGGAAAGACAGAAATTTAGCTAAAGTTTATTTGCTCTATCTTAGGGGAACCTCCTTGAAATTAAAGGAAGAACGTTTGAGGTATATAAAAGAAAATACAAATCATAAAATTATTTTCCTGAAAAAGGAGTACAGACTAAGGATGGAATCCAATTATAAAGAACTTATATAAATTAATGAGTGATATAAAATGATCTTGCTAAACATGAATGTTCTAAGAAACATTTCAATTGGGGAGCTATTCAGCAATGTCAAATGGGGATCCCCAAAGTAACATAACATAGAAATTTGTTATTGTTGTTGTTTTGTTTTTGTTTGTTTTTTCTTGAAACGGAGTCCAACTCTGTTGCCCAGGCTGGAGTGTAATGGCATGATGTTGGCTTCCTGCAGCCTCAACTTCCTGGGCTCAAGCCATCCTCCCACCTCAGCCTCCCAAATAATTGGGACTACAAGCGTGTGTTACCATGCCCGACTATTTTTTTTTTCTTTGTAGACACGAGGATTCACCATGTTGCCAAAGCTGGTTTTGAACTCCTGGGCCCAAGCACTCCACCGACCTGGGCCTTCCAAAATGCTGGGATTACAGGCATGAGCCACCACGCCCAACCAACAGAGACAAATGTTGATAGTCCCCATTTTACTCTCAAATTTCAAGTATCTTGTCAAGTCTTCTCCATCTCAATAAACATCAATATTATTTTCAGCATTTCACAAGCCAAAACTTTACAAATTTTATGAAATATGAAATTAGGTTAAAAACAATACTTCAAAACACTTTAAAATTAATTCATATATGAACTTATGTATTATACAGTTTTAAGTGTATGTGTAACATAAACAAGTATCATATTTAACAACTTGAAAATTCTATCTATATTCCTAATGTGGGTATATATATAAACATGTATGTGTAGGTGTGTATGTGTGTGTACATATATAACACACACACACATATATATATATACACTTTGGCTCACAGGTTTTCTTAGTCAGTTCTGGCTGCTACAACAAAATACCATGGAATGTGTGTCTTAAACAGCAAAGGTTTACTCTCACAGTTCTGAAGGCAAGGCAGTCCAAGATCAAGGTATCAAGATGCCAGAAAATTCAGTGTCTGGTGAGGGCCACTTTCTTGCTGTATCCTTACATGGTGGAGAGAGAGATCACCTCTTCTTTTTGTAAGGGCAATTATATTACCACAAGGTTCCTACCCTTGTAACCTAATCTAACCCTAACTGTCTCCCAAAGGCCGCGCTTCCTGGTACCATCACATTGAGGAATAGAACTTCAACATACGAATTTTAGGGGGACACAAACATTCAGTCCATAGCACAAATATAAATATACATATATTTGAATGCCTGAATAAATAACTCTTAAAAGTTTTATTTTTATATATATATATATATATATATATATACACACACACACACACACGGGGTGTGTGTGTGTGTGTGTGTGTGTTTGTCAACTATACATTTATCTATCAACCAAAAAAATTATAGGAGCAGTTTTTCATCTTTTGTGAAGATCATCTTACACTTGGGCAACTATAGCTGTAATAGTTGTACATAATATTAGTTGAATCTGAGTAGAAGTGGAATTGTATACTTAAAAATGTATGAGTAAACCTTAAAATCATGTTAGAATTAACATGATTTTAGCAAGTCTAAACATAAATATCTTTACTCTAAAACTTAAATAACATTATCTAATACATTTTACAACATTTGTTACACCCTCCCATGCATGGTCCAATACTCTTCATCCCCTTTGCATGTTTTATATTTCCATTCATGCATATACCACTTAAAAAAACTATAGAACTATTCATGTAGTTTGTTTAAAAATCTGCCTTTCTCCACCAAAATTTGAGCATTAGGAAACACACATGTTCTGCTCATTAGTTTACCCCCAGTTTTAGTGCATATTCAGCAAATTCTTAAATTAATGCATAAAATGACCACAGAGGAGGAAAAAAATTGGCTGCCCAGACAAAGGAACTGAAATTCCTATAACTGTGAGAGAACTATGTTCATCAAACCTGAGAAGTCTGGATACTTAGTGAAGAAAAAATTGGTCAGCTTTTTTTGTGGTTAAAGTATAAATATGAACAAAAAAACAAGGAAGATTTCTACCTTTACAGGGAAGGCCAGAGAGATTCAAACAATTCTCATTTTCACACTCCTTTTCCAAGATTTCATGAGAGAAAGTAAGCACTCAATAAAAATGTATTGAATGAATAAAATAAATGAAATTTACTTGAACTGATGAACAAATTACATGTGATACTTATTCTCACTAAGAACACAACAAATGTCAAAAAAATAGAAAGCATAGTCAATGTAAATATTTTATCTAAAGGGTACTACGTTTTATTCTATCAAATATATGGAATATAACCAAGGTACACTTCCATTCAGAAAACTTCTAAAACACATCTTGTGAGTGAAAGCTAATGACATCTACTTAGGAGTTACCTAAATGATGCAGTTACATCTGTGAGCATTCTAAAAATGCAAGCAAAAGAAATTATTTATATGTTCCTTAAGTAATACATATGATTTACAACATAAAAATATTTTTTTCTGAAAAAAATGTTATATTGTTAGCTCTACAGCTCATTTTTAAAGTCCTGGATATTATTAATAAAATAGGCAAATATGAATCTAGAACAGAGAGATACTTAAAAACTCCTTAGACCTCCCAGAAATGAAAAAAATATATATACATACATATATTTATGTGTTTGTGTTGTATTTACATCAATGCCAAAAGCAAATTATTAAACCATCTTGTTTGCACAGATTTATATAGCAGTTGTTAAATAATGTCACTTCTTTAGCAATGTATAATGGAAATCATGTTTCAAAACCTGCAATAAGCATTTGCTTTGGATTATATTGTTTAGCCCTTTCAAAACTTCTGTGAGCTGGTTGTGTTATTTCACTCTCGTTTCCAGATGGAGAAACTAAAGCTTAGAAAATGAAGTAATTTTCTCCCAATCACATTGAGAAAATAGGAAAACTGGACATTGAATCCAGACATGATCTAAACCAGTTGCTGCACAGTATGGTAACCACTAGCTACATGTCATTATTCAGTACTTGAAATGTGACTGGTGTGACAGGGGAAATTTATTTTAATTGTGTTTAATTTAAATCAATTTAAATTTAAAAATGAAAGAAGTATAAAATAATTTAATTCAATAAACACAACGTTGTTGTATTGGTAGCACTATATTTAGCTTCAAACATTGATTGTTTTATATATTATTGTCTTCTTGGAGTATGATATGGTTTGGCTTGTGCCCCCACCCAAATCTCATGTTGAAATTATAATTCCCAATTAAAATTACAATTGGGGGAGGGACCTAGTAGAAGATGACTGGATCATGGGGGCAGATTTCCCTCTTGCTGTTGTCATGATAGCAAGTGAGTTCTCACAAGATCTGGGTGTTTAAAGGTGTATAGCACTTCCCCCTTTCCTCTCTGTCTCCTGCTGGCCATGTGAAGATGTGTTTGCTTTCCCTTTGCCTTCTGCCATGATTGTAAGTTTACTGAGGCCTCCCCAGCCTTGCTTCCTGCACAGCCTGCGGAACTGTGAGCCAATTAAACCTCTTTTCTTTATAAATTACCCAGTCTCAGGTAGTTCTTTATAGCAATATGAGAACAGACTAATACCGAGTATGCATATTAAGTGTCTAAACTGTTTCTAGTATTCCACATAAAAACATCACAAATCTAGTTAATGTCAATGGATGGATATTTTGCACAATGTAAGCACCAATATAATATTGTAATGTGTTTATTTGGATATTATATGCAAATAGCACAATACCTAAATGAATTGTAAGTGGAAATTAAGTTGAAACACTTATTAAATTGTAATACAACTAAATTATTTCTCTAGCTTAAAAACAAGTGTAGAAAATTTCTGGATTTAAAACAAAGAAATACTACATATGCAGAATCAAGTGAAAATGCAAAAGCTGTACTGCACACATAGTAGTGTTTTTAAAAATAGGAAACTTTTTTTTTGAGATGTAGTCTTGCTCTGTTGCTCAGGCTGGAGTGCAGTGGCATGATCTCAGCTAACTGCAACCTCCACCTCCCAGGTTCAAGCTATTTTCCTGCCTCAGCCTCCCAAGTAGCTGGGATTACAGGCGTATGCCACCACGCTTAGCTAATTTTTGTATATTTAGTACAGACCAGGTTTCACCATAATGATTAGGCTGGTCTCGATAAAAATAGAAAACTTTTTTAAAGGAAACTTACAATCATGGCAGAAGGCAAAGGGGAGTATGTTGGAGTATGATATGGAGAGAAAAAGAGAAACTGTTAGAAGGTATGTAGCAAATTTCTCAATGATTAATGATGGCAATTTCGTGCCACATAGCAAAATAGAAAAAAAGCATACTGTATAATGCTTCTAAAGAAGCATCTCTGGGATGGTCGTGGATGGGGCAGAGATAGTCAAAACTCATAGAGGCAGTCAAGCATCAGTGATAAGAGTAGTAGCTCTGGATTCAATTTCATGCCACATAGCAAAATAAAAAGGCTATGTAGCAAATTTCTCAATGATTGATGATGGCAATTTTGTGCCACATAGCAAAATAAAAAAGCTGCTCGGTTAAAAAATATATATAGTAAAGTTGATAATATTAAAGATATTTTAGCAAAAAGTAAATTTGATAAGCAATTTCCTCTCAATAGTAAAAAAAAAATCTGTGAATATAGTCCCCTGAAATCAGAAAAAAATACCAAAATAATCCCACAAATTTTAAAAAATAATTTGGGATTGCCTCTAAGTTTGTACGTTTGACCAACTATGATTCTGGCACAAGGTACTGGCGAAGCAAATCAAATGTTCCATGACGTATTTACTTCTCATCTCACAGGATCCCTTTATTTAATTGGAAAACAACAAGTCATAACTCTCAGAAGTAGTCATTACATCCCAAGTAGGCTTCAAGTTTTTCATCTGAAAAGTACTCAAGAGTCTCTGGAGAGACTGCCAAAATCATAGGCAAGTAGGTGGGTGGTTTAATTGTGTAGTAAAAGAAGAATTAAGTAAACTTTTCCCTAAAGTGCCTGAGAACCTACCAGATGTCTGCTGAGGAAACAGAGCGGGGGCAAATTCTGGGCCCAGCTAAGATGGAATGGGAAATGGATTGGTTCTCTAGGACCTGGAGGCAGCTACAGCTTCAGCTCATGCAAGATTGGCAATCTAGAAAGAGGGCAGGAACTAAAGAGAACAGCAAACATTCTTCTAGCCATTGGCAGTATCCACATAAAAGAAAAGAGTTTGTCTTTCCAGTCTTTGCTTCTGAGCCATAATATCCTTTCTCATAATGCGTATTGGTTGTTGCAAGCAATTATTTGCCTTAACATTAAAAGTTTATACTCTTGAAAAGAACTGAAAGACTTTAATTTTACATTCTGTATTATATACCAGACTGAGGCTTGCTAGATGTAATCTGAATTAAAGAAAACAGTGGAGATGGTGGGATACAACCTACTTATAAATATAGAAAGTATTCAGACTTAAAATTTTGAAATCAAACATGTGCAGCTTCAACATGGGTAGGCTGCTGTGGACTAGCTTATATATACCCACTGCTCTGTGGGGAATGAAGTTCTGAAGTCCAGGCAAAAGGTACAAGGTGATGTTTACACACACATTGAGGAGAGGGTTTTATTACAAAGTTTACAGGTTTCTGTAAAATTTGCCTCTAGAAATTCAATTTTCATTGGTCTTGTTTTTAACACTTTTACTGTATATAGTGTCTGTTTTATTTTTATAATATGTATAATGCTTCTAAACAAGCATCTTTGGGATGGTGGTGGGATGAGACAGAGATGGTCAAAACTCATAGAGGCAGTCAAGTACCAGTGACAAGAGTAGCTCTGGATTCAGACAGACCAGGTTTTATACCCTACTTCAGCCCTCTAGAGCTATAGGACTTTGAGCTTGTTCCCTAGCCTCTATAACACTATATTTTATCAAGTATAAGGAAGGGGTATAATAGTAATAATTTGCAGATAAATTAGGACATATCAAGAAACTTGCACAGGGTTTACATACATTGATTTATTTTGTTTATCTCATATGCTAAAATACACATTTTGTGCTTCAAAGGACACATCAATTTACACTGGGACACATGTAAAAGTGATGACACTATAAACTTAAGTATTTATTACTTCAATATCTAAGCACTGACAAGTGACTTCAGTCTTTTTTTTTTTTTTTTTTTTTGAGACGGAGTCTCGCTCTGTCGCCCAGGCTGGAGTGCAGTGGCGAGATCTCGGCTCACTGCAAGCTCCGCCTCCCGGGTTCACGCCATTCTCCTGCCTCAGCCTCCCGAGTAGCTGGGACTACAGGCGCCCGCTACCACGCCCGGCTAATTTTTTGTATTTTTAGTAGAGACGGGGTTTCACCTTGTTAGCCAGGATGGTCTCGATCTCCTGACCTCGTGATCCGCCCGCCTCGGCCTCCCAAAGTGCTGGGATTACAGGCGTGAGCCACCGCGCCCGGCCGTGACTTCAGTCTTAATGAAATTTCCTTGTCTAGCAATGGGATGCTAATGGATTCAAAGAAATGGAAACATTTATAAGTATTCAAATATCATTTCACTGAAAATAAACAATTTTTTACAAGTAGTGACTGAATAGTTTTAAGCAGAAAAAAAAGGAACATTTAAGGACTTTAAATTGACTCTATTTTATTTTAGATGGCATCTTTAAGTAAAGATTATGTAACAGCAACTGAAAAGCTCCATCTGCTGGCTTTTGATTTCACTGGAAATGCATTATGATCATGTTCTTTTCTGATTTGATTCCCCTCCCCCTAATAGTTAATGTACTTATAATTGCTTCTTTATTGACTAAAAACTTAGCACTGATGTTACACTTTTGCATTTTAAATTCAGTGCTCATACATTAATTTTAAAAATGGCTAAGAGAAAAAGGCTTGTACCATGAAATAAACCCATATTTTGAACCAGTTGCACTCTTGTAATTAGGTATGAAAGCAGTAAAATTATTTATGTCGATGGAAAAAGACATTATAATATATAAATTTCCTTAAATATTCTTAACAAAAGTATTTTCTTATAATATTTCCTGAATGTCTTCATTATCTTTGAATATTTGTCTTTGCTATGGTAAACATAATAATAATTTGACATATAAAACTCACTTCATTGAAATCATATGTTTCCAATGGTCATAAAAAGTTAGACAAGACAGTGTATCATTATTATATCATAAAAAGTTAGATAAGCCAATGTACTGTTATTTTATCACATGGATTTAAAAAATAATTAAAAACAAATATAACCTTAATAACATCATTGGTCATCGAAAATTTATACATGTGAAATTGTAATTTTTAGGCAACTGAGCATTTATGACATTTATAGGAACCATATCAATTTGTAAGCTATAAAGCACAATTTATAATATAAATCATATGGGCAGAAAACAATATCCCTGCCTCATTAGCAATAGGAAATATAGTCCTAATGCAAGCAAATTTTAATATTTCATTGACCAATTTAGCTTATACTCAATGTTATTTCCTATTTTGCATGAACATGTCTATTAAGGATTAGTCCAATCTCAAAAGAAAAATGAGGCAGATTTTAATAAATAGATCTATAAGCTCTGATTGGCCTCCATCTATATTAATAAGTTATTCACAAGAGTATGTATTTCTCTAAATCATCTGGGAAAATAGCATTTGTAGCTAAAGTTGATAAGGATTTATTTGAAGTTGAACTTGCATTGAACATACAAGTCCAGCTGGTCAAATATTTTGATTCAAAAAAATTACTGAACACAAACTCTGTGTTAGAAATTCTGTTAGGTTTGGAAGATACAAAGATAAATAAACTATAACTCACAGATTAGACATTAGATTATTTGCCCAAGGGAAAAAGAAGAAAAATACAATATCATAATAACAGCAACAGAAGTTGGCATTGAGTTATATATAGAAGAGTCAGAAAGGAAAATTGAGAATATTTCCGGTTGGGGAACCTCCAAGATCAAAAGTAAGTATATTACATTTGATCTTCAAATGACACTTTCTGGTATACTTCTCAGTAATAAAAAGTATCTGCATAAAAAGTGAGACCATTTCTCCTTAACTAGAAAGTCACCATCCTTGGTGCCCTGTAGGTAACAAGACTATTGCAGTGTGAAACAGCATTATGTAATATTTTAATGAAAACTTTTAAGCCCGAGGCAAATTAAATAAGTAGGCAAAACAGCTCTTTCCCACTCAGTATTTCCACCCTGTTCCCTTTTCTCAGTTTTGTGGGATGCACCTCTTGTGTACTCTTGAGATTTTGTCTGTTTGTTTCAGTGGTAAAAGATAACTGTCCCCACTCAATATCACACTTTAGTTTGAAGGAGAAAAGCAGTAACTTAATCCAGTGTGTTTAGAAGAAGAAACTGGATTTTCATAAGAACTTCTTCCTCCCCATATTCTTCTTGGGATTTAGTTACCCTATTCCTGCCTGACAAAAATGGTAAAGGCAGTATTTGCCTCTGGAACCCAAGAAGCCTGAAGTTTGGGAGGGTTTAACTTTGAACACCAATGCTGAGGAGATAAAAATATTGAATCTGTATTCCTTAAAAAATACTGCTCAGCCCAGCCAGAATACTGACCTTCTGCTACCATTTTCCTCACAGATAATTTCTGTAATAAAACCCTCTCCTCAATGTGTGTGTAAACATCACCTTGTACCTTTTGCCTGGACTTCAGAACTTCATTAAGTTACATTGACTCTCATAAGGTTAAGCCTATACTATATCACATTGATCATTGTGAACCAGTATGGTATGGATCACAACTCCTGAAGTTCATAAGAAAATTACACAAAATAATTTCTTAGATACGACAAAACATCAAAAGCTTCTCTTATTTATAGTTAATTGCTTACACGCGTGTTTGTATATTTCAAAGTCCTTTATCAGATATGTTTTGTAAATAATTTCTCTCATTCCATGGCTTGTGCTTTAATTCTTTTAATGGTATCTTTCACAGAGTGTATTAGTTTCTGGTTGCAGCTGTAGCAAATTACCACAAAGTTGATAGCTTAAAACAATAAAATTCTGCTCTTTCCCTGTTCTGGAGACCAGAAATTTAACACCAATTTGACTAGGATGTATTTCAGAAGGGCCTTGTTCCCGGAGGCTCTAGTGAAGGAGTTCCCTAACTCTTCTAGTTTCTGGTGGCTGCTGGCTTGCTTTCGTGGCTGCTTCGCCCCAATGCCTGTTTCCATTTTCACATCACCTTCTCCTCTTGTGTGAGTCTAATTTTCCTCCACCTCTCACTAATAAGAACTGAATTTGGATACCACTCAGAGAATCCAGGGTAATCTCTTCATGTTAAGACGCTTAACTTAATCATATCTACAAAGATCTTTTTTTTCTTACAAGTTCACATTCACAGGTTCCAAGAATTAGGACCTGGTATCTCTGACTATACATTTTCAGCCTACTATATAGATCAGAATGTTTTTAATTTTAATAATGTCTAACTTATCAATTATTGAATTTCATGGATTTTTCTTTGGGGATTGTATCTAAAAGTTATTATCAAACCTGAAGTTACACAGATTTTCTCCTATGTGTTCTAGAAGTCTTACAGATTTGTGTTTCACATTTAGTTCTATGATCTTTTTTGAGTTAATTTCTATGAAATATGTAAGGTCTATGTCTAAATTTATTTTTAATATGGATGTTCAATTGTTTCAGCAACATTTGTTAAAGAATTCTTATGTGTTTTTATGACTATAATTGTTCTGGAGCCATTGGCTTACTTATCCTTACCAGAGTTGGCTTTTAAAAAGAGCTGTTAGAGTGTGATGTAGGGCAATCTCCTAAAGGAATTAGACTAAATTTTTTTTTTTTTTAAAAAGGATCTGATACAGAAAATGTATAAAGCATGGGGACAGGAACAGGGATGGATGTAATCACTCTATGTATAGTTGAGGAGAATATTATTATCATACTGCTTTACCTTTACATTTGTATTCTTTAAGCTATCATCTTTAAAAAGAACACTTGAAAAGAAAAAAAATTTGAATGTGGAAATGAAATGCTAGCCTAAAAATATTTTACTAAAACATGTACTTCGATTTCAACAAGTTCTAGTTTTTTGAAGGAAAATAGCCAAATTAAATTCTGACAATGGACATATATAAAAGGATTAAAAAGAAAATAAAATATTTGGATTTAAATGAATCTCTAAACGATACCAGTTATACTTGAAGATTTCTTGCTGCAGTAATTTAAGTGTGAGTTTTTTTCCTTATTGTTATATGTTCTCCAAAATATACATGAGATCTAAAATTTACCATGTCATGGAAATTTGGAAAATGACACAATTCAATGTAAGGCTTTGTTGTGGCTGCGTTACTCATTCTGTGCTAAAACTATATTTCTTTAAAAAGTATTAGCCTAGAAAGATACCAAAACATGTTACATCACAAAAAAAGATTCTGAATTCAAATACTATTGAGAAGACTTATAAAAATTAAAAGGTTTCTGGACCACAAATATCTTAAAGAATTTAGCTATTTACTCTGTTATATTCATTTTAAAGTGAGAATGTATAGTACACCAGATTGATCAAACAAACCGTCCTTGGAATTCTTTTCTTTTTCATGGAGCATCCCTTAATATCTCTCAGGAGACCAATGTTCTGTAGAATACATTTATGTGAAATGTTGAACTATAACAATGCCCAAGGCAGGTACCTAATGAGCTTTCCTTAAGGAAAATGAGCAAGAGTTTATGACTTTTCATGGAAATTAGAGTGAAGGTAAGCAGAAGGAAATTTTAAATAACTCATTTTAACATGGAAGAAAAAAATCAACCAAAAAAGCTGAAAACTAAACTGCTATTAAGGATTCAAAAGCATCAGATTCTTGAATAGATCAACAGCTTTTGAGAAAAGTTACCTTAAACATAACTCATAAAATAGCTATATCTAAAATAATATATTTTCATAGTTCAGGAGTAAAAATAAAAGTGTTATTACAATAAGTTGAATTTGCAAACCACTCAAAGGATGAAATGTATAATCCTTTAGAGACAGAGCTTTATATTAAAATTTCAGTTTTACCTCATTCCATGTAACTTTGGTCAGAATGAAACTCAGAACTTAAACTAATATGTTGTAACAGCATCACAAAAAAATGATGTCTTATGTTGTATTTTTAAACTAAAAATAGATTATGTACATTTTAATTCAATATTTATAAATCATAGACGTTGGCTGAGCTGTTGTCAGTATCATACGATGATGTTACAAGATAAATGATATTCACTGCCAGCAAACAAAAATCGGACCTGAACATGGGTTTCTATCTGACATATATGTGCCTGTCCCACTGTGTCTGTATAGGTGAGTTTTGTCAATAAAATAATGAGAGTGTCGTTCTGTTATAATCATGAGTCTCAATGTATCAGCATATTTCCATCAATCCATATAATCTGTCATTTTTATATGTATCACTTTTTAAACAGTAACTGAATTTTTCAAGTTGAATGCAACAACAAATGACCCAAAAACCCACCAAATTATATAATTTTCCTTATAATTTATAACATATCCAGTTTAATCAATACATTTAAAAATATTTAGCCAAGAATACTTTTATTCACATGCTAGACAGTTGGCATTTTCACCATACCAAGTACTCCTAAGACTGCATCTGTTTCACCAAAAAAGGTGGGGGCAAGAATACTCTAGGATTTGATGCCAAAATATATCAGTATTTTAGGCAACATTACCCTGCTTGTTGTCCTTGCTGCCCCAGGTTTTATTTTTATTTTGTATTGTTTGCTTCTATTTTTGCAGGAGACAGAATCTCTTTGTGCAGATTTCTGCTTCCATACCTCACCAAAGAGCCCTCTGAGGGTTTATTCACAGAGATATTCTTTATAGGACACAAGGATAAATCTGGAGGAGAGACACTGATTTCTAATACATTCATTTTGCTTCTATAGAGTACCTCAACGCTCCCCCATTAAATTTCCATGTTGATAAATAAAAATACCAGAAATATCATGAGGAAAACCAAACCAAATACCTTACTAAGAACTGTATTTGATTTAAAAGGTTGTTTTATACAATAATTTTAATTTATAATCTGCAATAGTGAAAACAAGCATGGCCCTCCATCTTCCAACACCGCCAGTGATTTAAAATGCAAATTTTCTTCATTTTGTCTTGTATCAGAATTGAGAAGAGCTAATCGTTTTATGCATATTTGAATGCAATTCTTGTTTCCAAAATGATGTCTTGAGAAAACTAGAAGTTTGAGCGTATACCATGTGTGTTTATAACACTGACAAAATCAGTTTGCTCATTTACATGATTTACAATATAGAAGTAAAGCTGGAAAATTTTTATAAACTTTTCTAAATGTAACCTATTGTATCTTAATATCAACTGTATCTTGGGATAATGTGTTAACCATGAACAAATTATGCTTGCACAATGATTATACAAGACAAAAACTAGAGTTACGGAAATCATTGGTGTTAAAGATGTTCTCTTTTCTCTATAGTATTTAAATATACAACAAAATCATATTTATTGAAATTAGGTTATTCCCTTTAAACTAAGTTTTTAAAACAGCTTTCAAAATATGTTGAAATGAGTACTTTTTTTAAGGTTGAGAGCAAATATTCTAGATAAATGTGTGATTGAGTCAATTAAATCAGATTTACAATATACTTCCGGGGAATAATTAGTCAAGTTAGTATTTCCCTAAATTGAATGAATGCTTTTGGATAATACCTACTATTATAAAATATAATTACTTATGCTATCAAATTTCCAACACATATTCCTGTTTAGAAACAACAGGACATTATCCATGTTTTCTTCATTAGCTATACTTATTTCATTCAACTTGAGTTCTGGAATAACATATTCTTTTTTATAGGTTTAATTTTTTCATGAAGATTTTAAACCTATTATGAAGAAAGTAAAATAAATCCCCATCAGAATTTTGCCAAATTTACTTCATTTTTTAATATTTTAAGTATTTATAAGTTATAAATTTATCCATTACATTATTTCAAAGACCAGATATTGCTTTACAATGTCTTGTACATAAATTTACCTATTATAACTTAAATTACAATTATGATTCTTCCAAAATTCAGAAGCCGTCTTACTGAAATTGGAATATTATCTGAACTCTTTACCATGATCTAAAAAGACATTTCAAAATTTGGTTCCCACATATCTTAGTAACTTCGTTTTACACCATACGCCTTCTTGCTCTCTTCTTGCGTCTGGCTTCCTTTATATTTCTCAAACAAGCCAAGCTCTTCCATTCAGGGCCTTTGCACTTGTTATTTTCTGTGTTTGGAACAGTCTAATCTCCTGAATGCTGTATGACTGTATTTTTTCATAATTCAAGCCTCAACCCAAACCATATTTCTTTAAATAGACTTCCCTGGCCCACCACCTCTAAAGTGTCTTTGCCTCTTCCCTGGATGCTGTCTAGTACAGCCCTTGTTTATTTTCTTCATGATAATTGCAATCTAAATTATTTTATTTATTTATTTACATGTGTGTTGTCTATTTCCACGAATGAAGTGGAAACATCATGGGGGCTGAGTCCTATTGCTACCTGCTGATTTGCTACTGACTGCATCATTATTTGGTACATAAATATTTGTTGAATAAAGAATGAAAAAATTAACTACACTTCCTATTTGTCCTCCTTAGGAAGCCAAATGAAAATTTTCTTTTCTCACATAATTTTGGCTCAAAATGGCATAATTGGCCAACTGCCAGACTACCAAACTTCTAAAGCAATACTTTCCCCTTTTGACTAATACTAACTCACCTTCCCAGCTGTGTTACCAAAGAACCTTTTCATTTGGTTGACTCCCATGCGATGTCAACCTCAGGAGCGATGTCTCAAGTTCCAAAGCCAGATGGCCATTTCCAGGAATTTAACAGATATGCTGGCTCTTGTCATGGATAAGTTTGAATTACTAGACTTATCACTGGTCTTCAGTCCCCAGAACTTTACACTTAGCAACACTTAAGCAATATTACAATGTATATCTCTATGAGTGTGTACGTCTTCTATAAATGAGAACTTTCTTTTGCAGTAAGTTTCCTAGAGGAATATGGATAAATATGTTTCTTTATATAAAGATGTTAATGTGTTACCTTTCCTTATATATCACATTATCTTCCTAAAAACTCAAGTTCAACACAAAATCCAAGTGATCAAAATGTTTAACCCTTTTATCCGCAGTTATAAGGTTGAGCAGCAATAACATTGGCAAAGCAAGTGATGCCCTGATGACACGTCAATAATCTTGGCTTTTAAAACTGTATTATGAAGACCGATTCTGTGTCCTAACAACTGAATAATATTTACATATCATTTATAATTTTCTGTCAATGCACACCATATCTAAATTCATATCTAGTCCTACTTTTATTATCCCTTAATCTTAGGTATTTTCCAATGAAGGTAATGTTTTCTGGGGAAAATATCTGCAATTGCTGAGAATAGTGAAGCATTACAGTGAATCACCAAGGAACGGTGGGTTTGTGTTTCTAAAAACTAACCCTCAAATAGAAACAACTGCATTGAAATATAATTTAATGAAAAGTGTCCAATAAAAGTTATTCATAAATATAATTTAATGTGTGCTTAATGGTGGCAAGTGAGGCAAACAAAAGGAGAATACTACTCATTTTCATTCCTGAGATCAGCATATCTTTATTATAGTAAATCTCTATCAATTTCTCACCATATTTTTCAGAAAAATGATGATTCAGGTAGAAAATAATTTCACCCACATTTTAGTTAATCAATGCACAGCAGTCCCAAGGACTGTGTGATGATAATAATAATAAAATAAAATTTGAGGATCCAAATTATTAGATAAATTCTTACTATCTATATTTATCTTGAATCTGTTTTTGTTGGCTTGAGAAAAAAAGAACTTTCTCCTCTGATAAGATATGACCTCACTCCTGTTAGAATGGCTATCATAAAAAAGATAAAAGATGATTTCTGGTAAGGATGTGAAAAAAAAGGAAACTGTTGTACATTGTTGGTGTGGACGTAAGTCAGTACAAATATTATGGAAAACAGTATGAAGTTTCCTCATAAAATTAAAATTAGAACTACTGTATGATCTAGCAATCCCACTGCTGGGTATATATCAAAATGAAATTAAATCAGTATGTCAAAGAGATATCTGAATTCCCATATTTAATGCAGTGCTATTGACAATAGCCAAGATATGGAATCAACCTAAGTGTCCATCAACAGACAAATAGATAAAGAAAATGTGGTATATATACACAATGGAATATTATTAAGACACTACTAAAGAATGAAATCCTATCATTTACAACAACATAGATGAACATGGAGGACATTATGTTAAGCGAAATAAGTCAGTCACAGAAAGACAAATACAACATTCTCTCTCTCACATGTAGAATCAAAAAAAGTTAATCTCATAGAAATAGAGAGTAGAATGGTGATTACTAGAGGCTGAGGCAGTGACAGTGGGGGATTGGGAGATGTTGGTAAAAGGATACAAAATTACCCTTACATAGGAGGAATAACTTCAAGAGATCTATTGTATTGTACATGATGACTATAGTCAATGATGATATACTGCATTCTTGAAAAATGCTAAAGAGAGTAAATGTTCTCATCACAAAACTGCTAACTATATGAGGTAATGTATATATTAATTAGCTAAATTTCATAATTACACAATGTATATATACTTCAAAATATCATGTTGTACATAATAAATACATATAATTTCATATATTAATTAAAATAAATATTTAAATAAATTTAAAAAAACACATAAAAGGATTGCTCACAAAAGGAAAAAGATAGCTGGCAGAGTAAAAAACAATGTTTACACACAGAATAGCATAACAAACTAGAGTGGCAAGTTGTTGAATATGACTGGAACATAAACTTGTGATGTATCTTCCAGCCTTTTACTTAAAAGATAGAATCTAAATGACCTTGTCAAATTGTGATTAGGTTTTTTTTTTTTATCTTGTAGACAACTGTAGGATCAACGAATTGTTACTGAAGCTTAACTTCACAAAAAGGCATATTGTGAAAGATCATTACAAATCATTTATTGAATGCATGTATAAATTTTCTCAAAATTAAGCCATTCACAAACACATTCATCCTATCTTTCAAGATATATCCCCTGCACCCACTCTAGGTTATTGGTTCATTATATGCATTCATTTCTCAGTTATTTTACTTCTCTGGCAATTTTACTATTTACTATTAAATGTTTACTATTCATTTCTCAGTTATTTTACTTCTCTGGCAATAAATCTCTTCCATCCCTATTGAT
This sequence comes from Homo sapiens, assembly GCF_000001405.40. NCBI lineage: Eukaryota > Metazoa > Chordata > Mammalia > Primates > Hominidae > Homo > Homo sapiens. Next base: position 113,370,743 of record NC_000008.11, read on the forward strand.
ATTCTTACCCTATTACACCAACATGCCATGTTTACTGAGCTATTCTCAGGTCTTCTCTAATTCTCCATAAAGTTTATATTTTGCCTGTTAAAAAAAATCTGCAGCTCTGAAGAGTTTGGTTGTATCATGAAGTTACATGCAATAAAGTCATTGTAAGATTAATAACAAATTATCTTTATTCTAGAGATCTGTCTCAGCGTAATCTGTGGGAGGAGAAGAGTAATTTCAAATATAAATGAAACAAGCTTGGCCATGAAGTTACAATTGTCTTACCTTCGTTATAGGTATGCGGAACTTAATCATATTATACTCTCTACTTTTGCATATATTTGAAATTGTCCATAGTTTTTGAAGAGTAATTTTCACAAAATGTATGTTATTTCACAATTTAGATGATTTTGAAATAGATATGCCATTTTTCTATTATAATGAGTTGCTTACATATTTGTCTTCTCAGTCGTATTACTTAACTACTTCCTTTTTGAGGATAAAGCCAGTATTCTATTATTTCTAAATATTTTTAAAAAAACATTTATAAGGTAGCTACTTAATAAACTTTAAGTGGAATATTGGGAATATCAGTATGTTTTATACCTTTAATTTTTGGTCATATATATTTGTAAATTACAAATAGTAAATATTAAATACATATGCAACTGTGCAGTACCTGTACATATGGCAGGTTCTAAGTTGCCTCTGACAATTCCCTGAATGACAACAGAGGTACAATTATTATACATTTTTGCTTGTTCTCTCAACTTTATATTTTATCCAAATTAAGTTTATTCTTATTCATCTTTTTATTATTTGCTTTTGCACTGCTCAGATGGCAATTGCCTTGGAACTCGGTGACAGTGTTTATAATCTTAATGTGAGTCAATAACAGTGGAAGGTTATCACAATAAATCATAGTGGGATGCAGGCAACGAATCACAGATCAATTACATCTAAGAATTACAGACTGTGTCTTTAAGCAGGGAAGAATAGTGTCAGCCACTCAATTTGGAAAGGGAAATAAACACACTCAGATTCCTAAGAGATCTACAAACGCACTAAACAACTGTGAAATAGGCTCTGTGAAGAATGGTTGAGTGAATAGTGGTTTTTAGCTTGTAAAGCAAAAAGCCAACAAGGAACTTAAGACTTTTCACATATATGAACAGGTATTGCTCATATGGGAGTATTTCAATGAGAACAATATTATAGCAAGTAGAATTTAAAAAAAAGATTTTAGACTTACATGAGTATTAGGAAAATGCTAGTGATAGCCTACAGTTCCACACTAGTTAAAAAAAATTAAGTTGAGGTCAAGATTATTTAATCCATTGATTAACTGTTCACTCAGGATTTGTGACTCTGCAAGGCCAGGTGCAATTTTTATCTTATATTTTAAATATTTGGGAGGTCAATTTTTTATATCAGAAAACAAGCTAGTTCCCCAAGGTATTTTGTAATTTAAAAATTGTATGAAGTACCATAACAATATTATTTTGAAAAAGTTCATTTCACATTTGCACAAAGTCCATAGTTAGTATCCTTTGTTATCTTATTATTCTTAATGGTTACCATATTAGGTTGGTAAACTTAGTTGGCCCCAGGTAATTAGATGATTGAAGCTACAGGGGATAAATATGAGTTTTAATCCATTAATATTTTGGGCTTTGATTTCTACATACATAAGATGAGAAGCGGATTGGAGGATCTTAACTTACTCTTCTGCTAAATTTCTAGTGTTTCCTGAGTTTTTTATGTCCTGATTTTGATGCAAATGAAGCAGGCATGCAGCCAGTAGGGGGAGTCCTGATCTTATCCCCCAAATTATACAACCTCATATAAGTTGGCACACAACTGTAAGTAATCTGATTGCTTTATTTTATACCATTCCAAAAGCATAGAAAAGACACATTTAGGCCGGGCGCGGTGGCTCACGCCTGTAATCCCAGCACTTTGGGAGGCCGAGGCGGGTGGATCATGAGGTCAGGAGATCGAGACCATCCTGGCTAACAAGGTGAAACCCCGTCTCTAACTAAAAATACAAAAAATTAGCCGGGCGTGGTGGCGGGCGCCTGTAGTCCCAGCTACTCGGGAGGCTGAGGCAGGAGAACGGCGTGAACCCGGGAAGCGGAGCTTGCAGTGAGCCGAGATTGCGCCACTGCAGTCCGCAGTCCGGCCTGGGCGACAGAGCGAGACTCCGTCTCAAAAAAAAAAAAAAAGAAAGAAAAGACACATTTATACACAGTTTTTAAAAAGTAAAAAATTTAGAAATGTATTATGCTGTAAAATATATCTATCTAATGGTATAAAATAATACTGTTTAAAATTAGCGTTTTCATTTAATCTTCAACGGGATTAGCTGCTAGTACCAACGCCACTCTGAAGCAGAATCCAATTCTCTAATCTGTAAACAACAGTAAAGGAAAAAATTTTGGCTAAAATTAGACACACACAGATGGTATTCCTATATTCTGTGCTTTCATATGTAACACCTGCTTCAATCTGTACTCAAAACCACTCAGGAAAAAATAAAATCTCTGCATTTATTTACTCGAAAAAATAATTTTTCTATTGACTTATTTAAAAATAAAATAATTGGTGATGTTATATTTGATTTTATGGACACACACACACAAAGCCTTTTTTATTTTGATCCCTGTTTTACTCCACTGGTACTACACAGGCTCGCTCACAATATTTTTCCATTTTAATTTCATTTATGTATTAAAAATTGCTTAAATACGTATATGTATATAAATGCACACAGCCCAACACTTTCAGCTTACATTATATGTGTATATATATTTATATAAATACACATATATACATTTACATATGAAATAAAGATGTTTATTAATTAACTTTACTGGTATTTTGAAATTTTGTCTACCTTTTTGGGTTAATAATTTTCCTTCAATGTTACTAACATGAAAAATGGGAAAGGACCTTAGAATTTGTCACTTTTGAGTCATTAAAAGATACAAAAACCTAGGGTATTTATCACATATTTAAAGCATCACATGAAGTTGCTAAAAGAGCTGAAACTATGCCTAGGTCACCTGACTCACAGACTAATTGATATGCACTATGATATATTGTTCCCTGTAATCTATACTACTCCTTTGGGGAGAGTTGTCCATATTCTTTATATCTCAATTTCAGTAAATGTATATGAAAGAACTACATGACATCTCACTTCTGTGAAGCCACAATGGGAGTTGGTGAATTAACATTTAACTGAATATCTCTCTAAAATTCAGGTCCAATTAAATATTTTTCTATTAGGAGGAATATCTCCAAATTTCTCTCTCTCTCTCCACATATATCTAGCTATATAATATCTAGATATGGGTGCATTTAACTCAATATCATATCTATCCATATTTACATTATAATATACTTATGTAAAGTAAATAATGCAGAGAACAATCATATATATACACACTTTGGCATATGAGTATAGACACAGAAACACATGTATTTGAAAAACATTACAGTCTGATAATTAGATTATGAAAGATATTAAGAAAAATATACATGGCAATGTTAAGATTTAAAATAAAAATTTTAAACCTATATGAAGAATACATTGGCATATATTCCTTGCATGTTTTTGAAATATTATTTTAACGAATGAGACAAGTTTGAATTCTTATTCAGACCACAGCACTCTTACCCCCAGCTTCCTTAAATTTTTTCTAGAGATAAGAAGGTTGGTGCTAGGAAATACTGAAAAATACAGAAGTTCAAATTTGTATTCCTCATCTGTCACCCTACTTTCACATACACTAATATTTAATAAATGTGAATAAACACATTAAAAGAAGGCATATCAGACAAGTGAAATCTAGTGAAATACACATTTTTGGAGTAAGACATTTTCACATTGTTTTTCAAATCCAACATCGATATTACTTATAATATTTTGAGCTCAGCTGTGGAGGAATTGAGGGCATTTGAAAGCATTCCTAATATAACTCAGCAACAGTTGTCGCTTTAATTATCTAACTCTCCTTTTGATCTTACTACTTATTCAATTATTCTTTGTGTACACTGCCATATGCACCTTGTTGTTAAAAAGTAAAAAAAAAAAAAAAAAAAAAAAAAAAAACCAATAAAATGAACACCATAATACCATGAGGATCTAGCATGAGTGTAAGATTAATGCTGCCTATACCTTTATCCGTGGCCAAGCACTTATCATTGTAAGTGTTTGTTTTTACAGTTGGAAGACAGCGTTCTACAAGATGGCATATAAAACAACTTTTTATTTGAAAGTTGTGACCATCACTTTACCCAGTATAACAAAAGAGTAGAATTTTATGTTATATACAGAAGTTTACCAAAATTTCTCTATGGCTTTTCCTCACCTACAAAATCAATCTCAAGATAATGGTGAAAAACGATGTCATTCTAAGAATGGAGCATCACTGAATAATGGGACAACATAACAGGTATTCTGCCTAAGGAAATCCTCATTTGCTCCCCAAATCATTGCTAATGTAGCTCACAAAATACAGAGTTGTTACACCAGAAAAGAGACTTAATAACATATAATGATGTCCATATTGCTATCAGTCAGTTAACAAACAGATACCGAATATCTACTTTGTGCTAATGTCTGCCAAGAGCATATGTCTAATAAGTAAAATTCGCTTTGAGTTTAGACTATAATTTAGAAGTTATTTCTCCCCTTTCCACTGAAACGAGTAGGCAAAGTTCAGAGGCAGCCAGTAGAAAACACTTCAAGATGGATTCAAAGCCAAAGACTATTTAATACACACACACACACACACACACACACACACACGTGTCATGCCGAGGAAAATAAGAAACTATCAATACTTTACGAACAGCATTGAAATATGGAACCCTCCTTAGGAATGAAGCTAAGAGGGACCGTTGAAAAATGATTATTCCCCAGAACAATTTGCTAATTGCTGAAGAGTCAGCAATTAGTATTAGCGGGATTTGATTTTTTAAAATTCTGCCAACATAAAATCGGAGTAGCTTATGTAAGACTAAAATATGAGAGAAATGACCGACATAAAAATTAGAAGAACAGAGAAATGAAGTAAGAGCAAGCCAGGATAATTTGGAACTAGAATAATGGTTTTTATAATTACTTAAAGAAAACTTAAAATAAGTATCAGAAGTCTTATACAATTAATTTTGTGTATGATATTTTAATTTTTTACCAAAATTTTAGTCAAAAATGGTGCTGTGTTCTTTTAATGTCATACTGGAGCCCTGTCTAAGACGCTCACTCAAGGTTGATTTAATTATCTATATGAATGTAACTTTTATTTTGTCAATTGGCAAATTCTTATTTAAGATGAACTCAAGCTCATTGTTTTAATGAGATGACTCAATGTCTTTCATGAATCTGGACATTTATAAATTTGTTCATTTGAACATAGAAGATAAAATTTAATTACTTTTAAAGGCAGGATATATATATTTAAAAAGTAGGTTCCTGAAGTAGACAAATACTTCCAAATAGCCTTTGAGGCATAAAAGTTATTTGATTGATGTACAAATTTCTAATAATTATTTTTTCTTTAATATGAAATGTTAAAACATCTTTAATAATTTGGTATGTTTCTTATATGAGGGTATTTAAAAGTAAATACATGTTCAAGAACTGTTTGTTTAGTAATTCATATTTTGATTCAAATAATAATAACAAAAAATATATTTTGTAGAAAATTTGTCATTTCATTCAAAAACTGGGAGGTGAGGGGTTGGAATGTACAAGACACTTAAGAGTAGGTGGCAAATTCTGTCTTCTGTCTTTTCTGTATTATTTATGCGTTTGTTGTCCAAAATAAACTAATATATAAAAAAATTGATATCCAATTTTTTTTAATCCTCATCAAAAGAAAGTTTACCACTCTCTCTTTCCAGACCTGGCCAGGCAGGAGGCGCCATCATGGGAGTTGACACCCGCCACAAGGACCGAAAGGTTCGGCGCAAGGAGCCTAAGAGCCAGGATATCTACCTGAGGCTGTCTGTCGGTCAAGCTGTACAGGTTTCCAGCAAAGGAACCAACTCCACATTCAACCGGGTTGTGCTGAAGAGGTTGTTTATGAGTCGCAACAACCGGCCACCTCTGCCCCTTTCCCGGATGATCTGGAAGATGAAGCTTCCTGGCCGGGAAAACAAAACAGCCGTGGTTGTGGGGGCCATAACGGATGACGTGCGGGTTCAGGAGGTGCCCAAACTAAAGGTGTGTGCGCTGCGCATGACCAGCCGGGCCCGCAGCCACATCTTCTAGGGAGTGGGGTGGGGTGGGGGTGGGGCGGAGCGGAGCGGGGCGCGGGGCAAGAGCCTCACTTTTCGCCAGCTGGCGCTGGACTCCCCCAAGGGCTGCGGCGTCGTCCGGCTCTCCGGTCCTCCAAAGGGCCGAGGGGTGTACGCCCCGGAAACCCTGCAAACCCTACATCCGCTCCAATGGCCGGAAGTTCGAGCGCGCGAGAGACCGAAGGGCCAGCCGAGGATACAAAAACAAACCGTGGAGCCTACCCTCTTATTAAAAATATTTTGGATGCTGAAATAAAGAAGTTTACCTTCATTAACATCATTTTCTTTTTAAAATACAGAAAAGAATAAATTATTTCAGTATACACATGAAGTATTCCAGTTGTAAAATAATATCTGAAAGTGATTTATCTATTTCTTATCAATTTTTGGAGATGCTGATAAGTCAAAAGTGAAATCTAGAGAACTAACATTACAGTGCAAATTGGGAGCTTTCCTAGGATTTTGTCTTATGTGCCAGCTATCTGAAAGCTGAGTTTTAGTTCATTTGAGCTATATTTTTAATCCAAAGAAGGTACACATTTCAATTTTTCTACGAGTTTGTGTTAGACGGTATTTATAAAACTTGCAAATATTTATTTTTACAAACAATAGAAACTCTAATTTTAGCAAAGCACCACACTTGGAGTTGGACCATCTGCAATTCAGTTCAATCATGCTAACTGGCTTTGAGATCTGTATTGGGGTTCAATACCATTAAGCCTAAAAATAAGCTTTCAACCCAAAATTATTATAGCAGATTGTGTTGAGTAATGATTTATCTGCCAAAAGTTATTTATTCAATACTTTCAAAGTAGCACCTGGATGAAAAAATATTAAAATATATTTTCTAAAAAATAAACGAGGAGCACGCCTGAAAATGGTGTGCTTGCTTTTTTGGAAGATTTTCAAAATGGTCATATAAGTTTGGATTTAAATGGATAAACTACTGAGGGAATACAATAAATACACAAATAAATAAGGCTGATACAATGATTACAGCTCTTTAAATAGATTTTTCTGGCTTCTCCAAAAGTTCCATTATGAGATTAATAATAATAATATAACATAGACAGAAAACATCATTTTCTACTATAGGCATAACCCTTAGAACGGCATTTATTCTTGGTATGACAATTTTGCTAAGCACAGTGAGTCATTTGTGAACTTCTGAATATGGTGTAATGTGAAGATCCTGTATTATGAATAGGAAATTCAACTCAAATTAGCATTCACTTACTCAAAAAATACGTATCCAATGCCTCCTCAGTGTCAGTCCTGTGCCAAGACCTGAATATACGATAATGAAACAAACTTATGCAAATGGTGAACCAAACTGACATTCCTTGTTTAGAGATATAGTCTAGTTGAGGAGGTAAATATTATATAAGTAAACATTTTAATTATATATTGTGGTAAGTTATATAAAGAAAAGAATAGTATTTAATCCTCAGAGGATAGGGTAGATAGTAGTTTTACGTTATAGTGGACAAGAAAGGCATTTTAGAATAAGAGATGTGTTTTTGAAATTTATAGAAAGAGAAGAAGGCAGCCATGCAGCGAACCTAAAAAGAGCCTTGTTTGTAGAGGAAATTTGTATGAGAATGTCTACGTGCAAGAATGTTTGCTGCTTTAATGCAGTGGATTTCAGCTAGGGGAGATATTGCCACTCCCCACCATGGGAAATTTGGCAATGGCTGAAAACAATTTTGATTGTCACACTGAAGTGTGTGTGTGTGTGTGTGTGTGTGTGTGATTAATACTGGCATCTAGTGGATAGAGGCTAGAAATACTGCTAAACATTCTTCAGTGCAGAAGACAGCTCTTCATAAGAAGCTAAACTTGAGAAACCCTACTTTAAAGAAATTGAAAGAAGTGCAATGTGCCCCAAAGCACAATGTTACAAAATGAAATTGAGGAGGTAGAAAGGGATCATGAAGGAGCTTGTAGTCCATGACAAGAAGTTTGGATTCCATTCTGTGAAAAACTGTGTATTATCATTAGGTTTTAAGTGAGATACTAATAACACTTCATTTACATTTTAAAAATCATTACTCTGGGAAATAGTGGGTTAATGAAAAGGGGTCTTTTATTTTCTACAGTAGGAATATTTTAGTGTAGTCAAAAGGAGAAGTAAATTATAATGAACATGAACCCATTTGGGTAAACAAACCATGCTATTATTGTCTTTTGCATGGAATTTTAAAAAAACTTGCATATTAACTCTTGCTAAAAAGGGATTTTTCTGAGAATTAAAAAAAACACACACACACATTCTGAGTATTTTGTGGATAACATAATAGTATAAAATAAAACTAAATACAACAGTTCCAGTAAGGAAGATATAATAATATTCCACAAGGCATATAACCATTGCAAATTTATTTGTTCTAGGAAGAAGGCAATAAAAATGAAGTGAACTGGTTGAAACAGACAGTGGAGGCAGACCATGAAGACTAAGTGATAGGTTGGATGTGTAGCCTAAGAAGAAGGACTGGTCAGTAATACCTCACAGATTTTTAGCTCTAGCACCTAAGCAGATAAGGTATCAGTAATAAAAATAGAAAGAAAGTGGCTATAAAAGAATGTGGCTGCAATGGATCTCATATCTTCAGCTTCTCCAGCCCCCTTTGTAATTCAATTACATTTTATTTTACTTGGAAATTAATCTAATAATATAATATCTGTGTACTTTTTAATCTTTGAACAAAGTTGAGATTTATTTTATAGCTACAAAACAGAAAACAATGACTATATTTCAGTAGCCTTATATATGCAGGAAAATCTATAAATATGCATCATTAAATAGAAACTATACATTGTTTTTGCACTAGAGTACACCCTTCCTGTTTATCAGATTCCTGTTTTATGAAAGCTATCTTACAGCTCTGCAAGTTGTGGAAAATTGATAGCAATGCAAACTAATTCCTGTCTTGTCACATGCAAATTTGATCTTGTCCAGTAGATGTTTATTTAATTCACTTCCCACCTCACTGTTGAAAAAGGCAAACTTGCCCCCATTTGCATATTCATTTCAATATTCATGATCCGTACTGTGTCTGCTCTTTGAAAGGTTCTTTTTTTTAACCAGCTATAACATCCGTGGGGTTCCCTCATTAATTAATGAGTAAATAAACTGTTTAACATGTTCATTTTGATATTTCCATTAGAGTTGTAATTTTACCTTTTGTTGAAAATTTTGCTTTCACAGGTTTATCTTATAACATTCTAATTTAACAGGACACTTCTTTTCAATTAACTTCAAGTTGCTTATCATCACATCATGAAATTTTTCAAACTAAGGTATGAATAAAACAATAGTCGAAAACTCCCTATCTCTGAACGATATTTTCCTGAATATATTACCAGAATATTTACATATAAAAGCTGCATGTGTGTTTCCTTTTTTCAAATTTAGAAAAAAAAGAAAGAATTAGAAAAATATGAACTACTGTAAATGCCCTTTATTGAAATGGATCTGAATATAGACTAATGTTTCCACAACTTGCAGATAAATAAATAACTATTGCCACTTTCCCAAAGACTGACAATGAACATCAACCACAATTTACTAACACATCCAAACTCAAAACCAAACTGCTTGAACAATAACCTTCCATAATAACACAAAAATGACTTTAAACTATGCCTATATTCTGTTTCTCAAGCAAATAGATATTTAAAGCAATTAATTTTTGACTTATGTCGTCACCAAATGAAGGTTCCCTTTTGCCCAAGGAATGCTTTATAGTCTCCTGCTGTCTTTGATATGTGCCACTCGGAGACCAGATGCTTTTCAGAATATGTGATGTGGCCAGAAAACCATGTCCTGATGTGCTGCAGTCTGAAGGAAAACAAATAAACCAAAAGAAAAAAAAATGAATAAAAAGAAAAGAAAGAGAAAAAGGCAAACCTCAGAAGACTGCTTCTCACTTCTTCCCTCAGGCCTTTTCCAGGCAGTCAGCTCTTTCAGCTAGGAATAGATCCAAATCCCGTCTCCATATATAAATGCCAAGCTCGCACAATGTTTCTTGACTTCAAAAATAGATGTTTCTCTTCAATAAAGTTGTCGAATTATTTTAGAAGATTTTTTTCTTTATTTGACAAAACTGGTATGAATTTATCACTACAGGTAAGCTAAAGTAGTTTCCCAGGTGCAAGTGGAAAGAGAAACACAAATTAAATGATTTTCATAGAATAATTAAAGTGTGAGGGAAATAATTTATATAACATATTTGGGGATTACAAGGGGTTCTGCAAAATGAAGCATTTATATATGAAGAAGAAATTAATGAAAATGAAGACTATCCAAGAAGCAGAAACAGATCTAGGTTTTTAAAGGCCTGAAGTTTATTCTTTTGGGGATCTAACTCTAAGAAAAAGAATGCAAAATTGAAAAAAGAAGATTACTAATGTCCATTCAGAGTTTTTGAAGGGCTTGAGCAAATGCAAGGCTCCAAAGCTTAAACTTCATTAGAATAAATCTACCTCTTTTGAAGAAAAAAACCTCATTTTAATGCGCTGTCCAATTTTTTATTTATTAAGCAAACATTCAAAACACTTTAATGCCCATGGTATGGTAGTTTCTAGGGATACGGTGATGAAGAAAACAAAAGGTACATGTCCCTTGCATGGCCTTGGAGGGTAAGAAACACATTAATAAGATAATCAAATGGCCAATTCAATAAAGGAGGTAAAATATGATTTTATAAAAGAGGCCATAAGTAAAAAATTTAGGAAATACAGTATACAAAGCATAAAGAAAATAACTCATAATCCCACCATACAGAGATAACCTATGCTACTATTTTAAAATACTCATTTCTATTTTAGTTTTGCCCATTCACAAATAGATAACTTTGGAATTCTTATGACTATATCATGTATTCAGATTTATATTTGTTTATTTTATTTACATTAGCATCTCTAAAAATTAATGTTTAATATCTAATTACAGTTAATTGAACAAAATTTGTTTAAATATCTCAATATTGCTTGAGAATTTCTGCTTAAAACATTTACTCTTATAGATATTACCATAAAAAACATTTTGGGCTGCATATCTGAACATCTGCTTAGAGTCCTAGATGTGGAATTGTTTTTACAAAATTATAATTCTTTAAAGTATATAAAGATATTTTGTATGCATTGATAAATTATTCTTTAAAAACGTTGTGCTTACTAAGATTCTAAGAATAATTAAGACAATGTTAATTTCACAGCATCCTCATTAGCATTAGTTGTTATGATTTTTAAATACTTAAAACTTGATAATCAAAAATCTTATTACAGTTTTGCTTTACCAACATTTACTTAATTTGAGTTCACAATAAGTGATGAGTCAGTCTTTTTTATTTTTAGTTTTTTGTACTTCTTTAGTAGTTATCCATTTTAGTCCTTTATCATTTTGGTGGGTGATTTTTCTCTTTTTCATTTTTGTAATACTTTTGTAAAAAATAACTAAGTGGATTATAGCATAATTAAGGTACTTTAACTTAGTAATTTTCTTCTGAACATTAATACCATCTACCAAAATGCAGAATCAGAGAGTAATCTTGAATGAGGAAATCCTGTGAGTCTATATTAGAAGTCTCATAAACTTTGTGATTCTATTAAGCATATGGTTACTAGTCACTTCCGCACAAGAATTTTAAAACAGTTGGCCAGGCGTGGTGGCTCATGCCTGTAATCCCAGCACTTTGGGAGGCTGAGGTGAGAGGATCACTTGAGGTCAGGAGTTCCACACCAGGCCTGGACAACATGATGAAACCCCGTCTCTACTAAAAATACAAAAATTAGCCAGATGTGGTGGACCAGTCCTGTAATCCCAGCTACTTGGGAGGCTGAGGCAGGAGAATCCCTTGAACATGGCAAGTGGAGGTTGCAGTGAGCTGAGATCGTGCCACTGCACTCCAGCCTGGGAAACAGAACAAGACTCTGTCTCAAAATAAATAAATAAATAAAAGTAATAAATAAACAGTTGTTAAACACTCTAGAATTTCACAGAGGATAGATTTTTAAGGAAATGAGAAAATCTGTTAAAGCATGGGTTAAGATGAGGAGGAGGAATGGACACTGCAGAGAGGGAATAGCACTTAGGCACAGAGGGAGAAATGAAAGAACGTAAGTCTTAAGGAGTTCAAGTAGCTGTGTACTGCAAAAGAGTAGGGGAATTAGGAAAGTTGATGCATAAAAGTGGAGAGATGGGCAGGGATGGGATCAGTTTAAATAATAAGAGGATTAAGCAAGGTAGTTACCTGTGCAAATCTGTGCTGTAGAATGATATATTTCATAGTATCAAAGAGAGTTTTAACAAAGAAACATAAAGGGACACACATATTTCTACTAACATAGTCCTTATTACAGCTGTAGACTCTAACACAGGCATCACTAGTAGAAGTGGAAATGGAGAGATGCACATTTGAAAAAGACAGTTGAGGAGCCTGGTTGAGTGGAAAGAGGCAAAAAGCAGACACATCTGGTCTATAAAGATAGGAGCACAATTCAGAAAGATAAGGGCTCTGAGAATATAAAGTTTGGAGAGACACAATGAGGTTCATTTTGATGATGTCGATTTTCAGTGCCTGCAGATCATCCAGGTAGTAATATGCACTAAGTAGTGATTTTAGGGTTTTCAGAAAATTGGCTTCTGGTAATTGACTTTTGAATTATTTATTACAGTTCAGCAAGCTTCTCGAAATTAAATTGTTTGCACCACAGGGGCAGTTTTTCACAGGCTGATCACTCCTGTGTTTTATTATCAGTAATTCTGGATCTGTATCCTTTTTATTCCAACTCTGGTTTCCTTTATTCAAATGCTGCTTGTCTCCACCAGCTGGGTGACCACACCTTCTCACTTGGTCCCTCTGATTTCAAGTGCACCCCCTACCAAAACATTCTCCAACTGTGGCTAAAGCAACTTATCTAATGCATACGATTTAAGATTAACTACATTATTATTTCTTACGGACTTTAGAAAACAACCTGGAATACACAAATTTATAGGGTGTGTTCATCTTACCTCTTAATATTCATCTTTTACCCCAAATTCCCACCATACTTAAAAACCTGTCTTGATACTTTAGCTCATGTCCCCTCCTTAAAGCTGAAATACGAATCTTTTGTCATAGTCTATAATAATTATTGACTTCTCTCTCTTCTCTACTAACTGAAGTATTCTCAAGAAAATATCTTGTTTATCTTAACACTTAGAAACCCTAGCACCTAACTCTGTGTCTGACATTTGGAGGGCACTCAAAATATGTTTAATAAATGAATTCTGTTTCCTCTAAGAGAAAGCACTATTCATTATTGAAGAAGATTTCTGATGGAAATCTATATAGTGTATCAGTCAGGATCCAGACAGGAAGACAAAAAACATACTAAGTGTTTCAATAGAAAGAACGTATGTTTAGAAGCTGCTAAAGGATAAATAAAGTGAAACACTGAGGTGTCAGATAGGAAATAACAGCAGCTTCCATCTCTAGAGCTGGAGAAACAAAGGCAAACGTTTGGGTCTATAGAAGGCATAGGTTCGCTGAAAGGATCCCAAAGATCTGAGACCCAGTTCTCAAAAAACAGGGAATCACTCATCTCATTGTAGTACATCTGAGAAGGCATAAGGAGGCTGTTTTGAAAAGTGCTACAAGAATCTGGAGAATTGAATAAAAATCCACACTGGAGCTTCACTGCCAGTAAAAACAAAGCAAGAATACAGGAACACAGGAAAATGCCAGGGTTTTCTCTCCTCCTTTTTCTTTCTGTCTGCTTTCTACCACCCCTTACTTGTGGAACCCAGTGGAAAGTCACCTGACAAAGAATAAATTGAGTTTGCAGAGTCCCAGCCTGGGCACCCAAAACAGAGTCTAAATTTGTTTTGTTTTGTTAGTCCCTAAAATCAAAATAGATGGATACATTTGAAGTTTAGTGAATAGCTTAATAACCAGAATATGCATAATGATAATGCAATATGATAATGAAAGACAGGAGTTATCAGCCTGTGAAAAACTGCTCATCTGGTTCAAACAATTTAATTTTGGGAAACTTGTTGAACTCTAATACATAATTCAAAAGTCAATTACCAGGAGTCAATTTTCTGAAAACCCTAAAATCCTAAAACCCTAACATCACTACTTAGTACATATTCCTGCCTGAATGATCTGCAGGCACTGAAAGTAGACATGATCAAAATGAACCTCATTGTGTCTCTTCAAACTTTGTATTCTCAGAGCCTTAAAACTTTACCCTAATACCCTAATAAGAAAAATAAATGAGCATTCCGGACAAATAAAAACCACAATCATTCACAATAAAATAAACACAAAAATGAAACGATTTACCAATGTCCTAAAACATTAAAGACAGATCTTGCTTATGTCTAGTCATTATGATGTAATGTGTCAAAGAAAAATGAGCTCACTGAATCCATACATGCACCTTGAATGGTGTGCCAGGTCTCAACACTGATTGGGAATACATTACCAAGTAGAGGTGCTGAATAAACCTTGCGCTGATTTCACATAATGGCTTTGACTAACATTTTTTGGCATTGACTCTTCTTGTGGGAACAAAAGTGTCAAATATAAGTCTGCACCCCAGGGAATATGTCAGAGCTGGGGATTGAATTTGTGGATTCTTCAACATTTATGTAAAACTATGGAAGAGGGTAAAATCTCCTAAGGGAATTCGTAAGAAAAGATAAAATACCCAAGGTGGTACTTGAGAAGCAATAATATTTAAAGTTTATGGCAGGGATGGAGAGAGAAAAGAAGAAATTGGAAAACACTAAGACACAATTCAGAAAAGATGCTATCACATTGTGGTTTTAATTTGCTTTTTATTAAAATTCAATTGAACATTTTCCTCATCTTTAGAGGTCATTTTTATATGAAAATTATCTATTTACGTGCATTAAATTTTATTTGGGGACATTCATGTTTTTCTTTTAGACATTTGTATGAACCATTAAATATAAAGTTGAGATAGTCAAATAGTAGAAAATCTTTAGTGACATCATTCTTACTGTTCCTCTGAAACAGCCTTGAATTTTAGTTGCAGTTTAAGAAATATTGTGCCAAAAATACAAAATGTTTTGGAAAAGCCCAAATATATGGAAATGCAGGAGAAGATGTGCCAGTGTTCTCTTTAGCTCTTCCCTCCCTTGCCTTTTTTATTTTGGTAGGCAGAATCCAAATATAGTGTTTAAGAGTGGGGGTAGTAGATGTCTGTAAAGATGACTTCCTGGATTTCAATCTCATTTTGACCATTTACAAGCTGTGGGCTCCTGAGCAAATTATGTGTTTTCTCTGTGACTCACTTTCCTTTTCTCTAAAATGAAGACGAAAATATATGTCACTAAGTAAGGTGATTTTGAATATGAATTAGTTGATGCATAAAGACAATTTAGATCACTACATGCACATAGGAAACATCTAATAAATAAGAACTTTTACATTTAGTCATCCCTGCACTCTTTTTGACTAGCACAATACTGGCATATTCTGTTAGAATTGATCTCTCTCTCTCTCTCTGTCAGTGTATTTTTAAAAAATCATATTTCACAAGCAAGAAAGCCAAAGCCTAAAGATACTGATATTTTAACCCCCAAAGCAACAAATGGGGACTCAATGGCAATCATAGCAATTAGACTACATTCACCAATCTTCTTAAAAATGTGATCCACAGACCACTACATCAGAATAAACTGCAGTGGTTATTAAATAAGATTACTGAGCCTCACTTAGTTTTACCGAAAACAATCAATTTGGATTAAGCCCAAAAATTTCATTGCAAACTATTACTTCAAATGTTTCTCAAGCACACTAAATCAGAAAGTCATTGTGCCGAAGAAAATATGATCCAAAATTTACACGAAAGAGTGGCATGAAAGAAGAGAGCTTCCCGCAATGGCAATATAAAGCATATACATTATAAAGCATTTCAGATTTTTAAAACTAAACCTGGGAAAATGATCTTTTTGAGCAAGAAAGCCAAGGAACATTTTGAATTGGCAGTGTTCCTATATATAAGACCATCCTGTTGCCTCTTAAAAAAGATTAAAAACAAATGAAATGATGGTTTAGATTGTGAAATTCAAATTATTTTTTAATCATTAATTGCATACATACTTGCTGGTTTCATTGTTAAGGATCCAACAGTGTTGGAGGAATGAAGACAGAAATTTCTTCCATCATTTTAGTATAGTTACATCACAATAAGTGACCTCATATGAATGAGACTGGAATGAGATAATGTCTGTAAAACTTTTTGTAAACTGTAAAATGTAATAGGCTGATAAATGACTTTTACGAATACAGCAGTAATTCTATATCACTTGTCCAATTTATACAAGCCTTTAATAATCAGCATATACATTAGGAAGCTACTGTCTTTCAAGTACCACATGAGGCAATGAAGGAACAAAGATAAATAAGATAAAATCCATACTTTCGAAGTATTCATAATAAATTTTATGATTGCAGTGAAGAACAGAAACAAGGGGACTTTAAATCCTCTTAGAGGAAGTAAAATATGTATGGGAGGTTGGAGAGGACCTCAAAATGCAAATGTAGACAGACTTTAAAAGGAGAATCCAGAAGAAGCAGAAGAAGGAATTTAAAAGGAGGATCCAGAAAGAAAAAGAACATGACAATGATTGGCAGAAAAGGGGGATGAGGAACAAGAAGGGAAAAAGAAGAGGAAGTAAAAAGGAAGAGAAAGATAATGAAACAAAGCAAAAGCATTTGGATTAGCAACAATATAGATGCAGCTGCTAACATGTAGTTCTTACTAAGTGTGGAAAACTAATCTAAATGTATTACTGTCATTTTCTCATGTTATCCCCACATCTCATCTAAATACTCTTAATTTGACACCTAATACTGTAGTTGAACAATTGAATGGGAAACTGGACAGAAGAACAGTATCAGGGAGAAGAACCAGAAGCATATTATATTGTGGCATATTCATCTAGTCCTGTTGAACCAGATATCCCGCTATGTTTTGGGGAGGGTTAAAGATAAGCCTGAATAGGCCAGAAAGGGATGCATTAATTTATTCATTCCACCAGTATTTGATTATCTTTATATGCTATGCTAAGGTATATAGGTAACACAGAGCTAAAATATAAGATTTTTCATAGCGGACATCCCATAATCAGATTTGTATTTCATGTGCAGGATTAAGATGAGGCAAGAGACAAACATAATAGTTCCCATGAAAAATAGTATCAGCATGAAGTAAAAAGTGGCAATGGAATATAATGGAGATATAGGATATTAATTAATTCAAGGGAGAAAATGAGGAAGAGAAACCAGATATTTAGAGTAGATGAATGAATAATACATTGTGGTACTATCTCCTGAAAAAAAAATTTAAAACAGAAGATAATTAATTTGCTTTTTACCTTTGACCATCTGATTTGTCACGTAGCCCATTAAATTGGAGTTATTTAGTACCTTTTTTAGCCATTTGATTGAATTTGACCAACATCTTTAATTTTTAAAAAATTTTTGTTTGCAGCAATTAAACCAACGTCTGGCACTTAGTTGGTCACCACACATGGTAGTTATATTGAACTGAATATTTGTACTATATTTCTTACAAGAGACCACCAAGCTAAAAAATTCCCATAAAAAATTCAATCTAAAGAAAAACATTTACATTGTTACAGTTGCTAAGGTTCTTAATTTACCAGCATACATTCCTTTAAGAAAAGATATCTTCAGCTATTTGAATTGCGCTTTTCACAATTTTAGCTTTACTGATTTCTATTTCAAAAATATTTTTAGCAAACAGATATTAGCTACTGAGTCAAATTTGGTAATCAAATAAAATACCTGCTTATCATGAGCCTCTAAAGCACCATGGGAATAATTAAAACATGAGTGTAAGAGCGCTGGAAGTTTTTGAGTTACAGATGCTTTTGAGGACATAGCAAATACTCTTTCTCTTCTCTTTTTCTACCTCTACCTCATTACTGGGTAATATTTGTAAAAATAAGATGTAAAATGACATCTTACAACAAAGTTTTTAATAAAATATAAAATGTCTACTGGGATTCATAGTCAGTTTGTGTGACTCAGTATGATGAAAATCTACTCACCTGTGGCTAATTCCCACTGTTAACAGCATGGAATAGACCAAGAACACATATTCAGGACAAAAGGAATATTCTCTTGCACTTTAAATTGAATACTTTAAACACAAACTTTATTATTTCTCATAAGGAAATTTATCCTCTTTATGTTCTTCCTAAATTAGTAAAATTACAATCCAATCTCTAAAGCTAAAAACAATAAAAACAACAAAAACAAAACCACAAAAAACTTGGGCCCTCAGTTTGCTCTCTTTATTCCCCACCATCAGTTTATCCTCTTATCTTTCCCACAAAATATTAATGTAAAAATAGAGCAATTACAAAAAAAGTGGCTAATGTATTGAAGACTTTTGATGTGCCATATATTGACCTAAGCATTTCTATGCATATCATTTTATTGTCATCATTAAAACAATCTCTGGGGTAGAAATTTACACTGTCTTTACTCTGCCCTTGAAGAAACTAAATTGTAAAAAGTTTATGTAACTTGCCCAAGGACACACATGTTTTCAAAGTCAAATTGTCTGAATTTAAATTCAGGCTGATTCACCATATGCTAGCTGTTTGATCCTGGAAGAATTACTTAATCAATTTAAGACCTAGAGTGACAAACTATCTCAGTTTATACAGGACTGAGGGGTTTCCCCAAACAGGATTTTTAATGCTAAAATTGAGATGGTCCTGGGACAAATGATTACCCTTCCCTCTTTGAAAAGTGAGCACAGTAAAAGTGCCCACCTTTAAGGATTCTTATGAATATTAAATGATACTATATAGCATTTAGCATAGTGACTGACTCAGTATTTAATAACTGAATTCTTTCTGACATTATTGCTATTATTTTCTGTTTCATTTTCTTTATCCTAGACTCCATTGTTATACTGCATTGTGTGTATTATTGCCCAGGTTATTTTATAAAACCCAGACTGATAGTGTCACACTTGCTAAAAATGTGATGACTCCACATTGTCAATTTAACAAAGTATTTACTATGGAATATAAGATTCTCTCCATTCTTTCCACTTATAGTGAACTTTTTTGAGACAATACATGAGGTGGACACAGGGCAAGTTCCCTGGGCTTATTTATTTCTATCCTCTGAATCTTACATCTGCTTTTTCTTTCAAATCTGTTACTGTCCCCAGCCTGTACACCCAACATATCAATGCCAAAACAATCTCCATGCAGTATTTCACTGACCCAGGAGATTTCCTTTCTGTAGAATTTTCTCTCCTAACTTCTTAAATTGAAGAAATATTTTTATACTTTAGGACCCAGGTATACATTTCCTCTGTGGAACATTTTCTAAAATTTGAAAATAAATTTACTGGACTTCCTGATTATCTTCATTACAGAGTACATCACATTTTTAATTAATTAATTAATTAGTTTATTCTATTTCTTCCATCACTAGGTTGTGAACTCCTTCAGAAGTTTTCATGATATTTTGTAATTACAGAAAATATCACTCCTCTAAAGATCAGTAAAATCAATAGATTAACAAGGGAACGCTTTGTCTTATTATCTTTTATATTTACAGCTGTTCAGCCAAGGGTCTAACACTTAAAAAGGAACTGACAATTCTTCAAGAATAAGTGACTAAATGAAGGAATGAATGATGTGTTTAAATAGGCACTGTATTTTGGCATTGTTCTCTGATGAGTTTACACATTTATTCTAATCATACTTTTATTTCTCAAAATGTATCATGGAAAGTATCTGGAACCTATTTCAGACCCTACATCTTGAAAACCTTAGAAGAAATCAGCTTATGCCTGCAAAATAACATTTCTAACTGTTATCTCAATATGAAAACCTCATATTTGGAGAGGCAGAAGAAAGATGCTTCATGTTGTCAACAGCACTGGGAAAGCACCTTGATTTATCAGAAGTCGACAAGGCACTGGAGAAATAGAAACTGCAAATGGGTGCAAAGAATACTGGCAAAGAAATGCTGGCAAACTCTCGCATATCCCATTAGAATTATATGAAGTGAATTTAGTATGTACATGGTTACATAGATTCACCAAAAATATCTTCAAATATTAAGATTAAGAAACTAGGTAGGAAAGATCCATGTTCAAGTGAAACAAAAGTTGACCTAGATGGAGGAACTAAGAATAGGCACTACTTACACACATTTCAAGTAGTCAGATACTCTAAGTGTTTCTCAAATTGGTTTAGTATAATAAAACATTGTAGTAATTAGAAAAGCAAATCAAATATGTGTAGATGCTCCTGTTGGTTTCCCATGGTGGTAACATGGGATAATTAGTTTGTATATGAGATTTTGAATACATTTCTAACAAAGTTCCGTGGGTTTAGAAGTAATTATTTGTATTAGAACAGCAATGTCATAACTGTGACAATGCATAGCATTAAGAAATTATGGAAAGTTATACCTAGTTTTGGGGATGTTTTAATTAGTAAATAGATCTCTTGATTAAATCTGAAGTTTTATTTAATAAAAACATAAAATACTGCGTAATGGTCCTGGAATTATAAAATAAGGACCTACTATGAATGTCAGATGTGAGAATGAATAGAGAATTAAATATGTGTGAGAAGATGCAATTGACAGAACTGGATGTGGAGTTTAAGCAAGAGAAATAATTTAAAAGGAGGATCTAGAAAGAAAAAGAACATGGCAATGATTGCTAGAAGAAGGGGATGAAGAACTAGAGGGGCTAGAAGGGAAAAAGAAGAGGAAGTAAAAAGGAAGAGAAAGATAATGAAACAAAGCAAAAGCATTCTGATTAGCAGCAATATAGATGCAGCTGCTAACATGTAGTGTGCTTACTAAGTGTGGAAAGCTAGTCTACATGCATTACTGTAATTTTCTCATGTTATCCCCACATCTCACCTAAATACTCTTAATTTGACCCTTATAGTAGAAAATAGACTCAGAGGAATCACATGCTTAATGATTGACAAAACCAGTACTCAAAGTCTTTCTTGAAACCACTGTAAAAACAACAAATTATCATTAGTTTTGAGAGTAAATTACAAAGAATTTTTGTTTAAGGTGCTGTTGGTCCACATTATAGAATAAAGTATTGGATCCTGATCCACAGACAATACATAATTGTATAAATTATAATTATTAAATAGGTAAATGTTTCTTACACCAAATCAATAAAGTGTGCTGATGCATTTCCCCTCTGTTGCTTAGGAGTTGACAGGAGAGTGGGCACAGGACAAGAAGAAGGAATAGACAGATGTATGTGCCCTAAATAATTATGGGGAAGTGGCTACGATTCAGACACAATTTAGCCTGATGCCTGTGCAGTGGCTATGGGAGTTCTCTCTGATACCACATATATTAATTTATTTAATCTTATCAACCACTGTATCAGATATTCATTACTATTATCTTCACTTTATAGATGGGGAAATGAGCAAAGAAAGCCTAAATAACTTAACCAAGGTCAAAGCTAGGAGAGAAGATTTGGCTCTGAATTCCTCATCATTAATCTGAATAATACACTGATTCTAGAATAATATGGATATTAGATTCTCAACTATTAGAGAATGAGTACAAAACACATTAATTCAATCTTATCACTGTAATGATTTATTTTTTCAACAAATATTTAGGAAATGATTCAAGAGTGATGAATCTAATATTTTATGTTATAATTTATGAAGAACTTTCATATATATTATCTTCAATGGTCATCACTAAGAACCAACAGTCAAAAGCAAGGAGACAGCAACTGAGGAAGAAAATTGCTTATAGTTTCATGAATTGATGAGGACTTTATACTCCTTCCAATGCACACTAAATATACTCTTCTCTCTGCATGTGTCTATATATATATATATGTGTGTGTGTGTGTGTGTATATACATATGTATATATATATATACACATGTGTTTTTTTACATATATATAAAACCATGTATGTTTGTATATTTTCTGATTTATGGCACAATTTACTCTTTTGTTGTTATAACATATAATGCTCACATAAGCATGCTTCAAAACTACTCCTCTTTCCTTTCCATCTAGAGTGAGAAAAAGCCTCATGTCCTATACTTTATTACTGTACACCATAAAATATAAAGAGAATGTTATATTTGGTAGATACTGTGGATAATTTGAAATTTTTGGCAACCAACATTTTGAAAGCTAATTAGATAAGGTCTTTTGATCTCCTGTTTACTGCAAAACACTCAAGAAGCCATTGAGGCTCAAAAACTGCACAGAAAATGAATTCTGAAGATATAAAAGTAACTTATTAGAAGGAAACAAATAAACATTTTTTAAAAACTTAACCCACTCTTTAGACTGAAAGAAGCACTTAACCTGAAAACAAAATGGAGCTGGAGAAGTCATGATGAACATATTTCATGATAAGGTACCTGCCATTTCCACTTCAATACAGTGGAAATAAATTGAAGTGCAGTCTTCTCAAAGTTACAATGGACAAACGGTGCTACTAACAAATCACCAATTCTCGTTAAGTTACTGGAGAAGGAAAATGAGAAAGGTGCACACTAGTTTCACCGGTGGTACAATTTTGTGTAGTTCCAAGGTTAACAAACACAACTTGGAAGCATGCATACATTATAACAGATAACAAAAATAGTTTTATTTGTGTTAACTCTTCTACACATGGACATTGGAAGGAACTCATGGTTGGAGACTCTTCATGGTCAGGAAATCTATCATTTTGCTCCTTAATTTTATTTTTTATAAAAATCCTGTAATATAAAATTTAACTTTTGGGAAGCCTTTTTCTCTGTATCTATGTGAAAAAAAGAGAAGAATTTATAGGATCCCACATTTGTAGGATAAAATAAAATAATATATCTTTAAGTATGTTATAAAACACCTATATGCTTAATTTTATAAAGTGAGGTTTAGTATAATGATGGATACTTGCAGCTTAAAGTAGACTGAGAACGTATAGAGTCTGCATTCTGAAGTTTATTTTGCCCCCAAATAGCTTGTTGGCAAGTACAAGTATAGTCTAGCATTTTTATAACTGGGTACTAAAAAAACTCTAATAATTTGTTGAATTACACACACACACACACACACACACACACACACAAGGGGTTTAATGGTAAACATACTTGGGAAATTCTGAGTTAAAGTTAAACAGGATTACTGTTTCCAGTAATGTTTGGAATCTCTAATATATGTACATGCACTGTGAATTTCCAAAGAGAAGGGAAATATTATATCGAATGTTTCTAAAATATATTTTTCATAGAAATTCTTTTTTACTGAATACATATTAACTTTCTATACCTTAGAACAAAATTTAGAAAATACCAAGTTTGTCATTTAACCCATCCAGGTTGATTTTATACATTTTAAATGAAAATATGGCCTGAAGGGGAAATTTCCTAAAAATGCTGGATCACATACCAAAGTATCTTCCACTTTAAAAAATTCTAGTGCTATATTTCTAAATTTTCATGAAAATTTTTACCTCTTCACAATGTGTTTTCCATTTTAGTGCATCAAAGGAAAATTATAAGACAATTCTACAAAATAGTTTATAAAACTTTGATCTTTGATGCTTTTGGACTATTCAAGTTAAGGAGCATTTATTTGCCTACCAAGTGAAAAGAATTTTGCTAGATGACATCAACATGTACATGAAAGACATAGACTCTGCATTCAAGAAATTGAATGTATTGAAAGAAAATTTAAAAAAAAAATTTAACTATGTTAAGCACTATAATCAAGGTGTTAATAAGGTACTAGGAAGGATTTTGGGGAGGTTTAGCCTAAGATGTGATTTTGAGTTTTGTCCTAGAGGACGACTGAGAATTTGAAGGTGAGAAGAGGAAGTGTTACAACAAATAGAGAAAAATCAAGACCCAAGACATAGGGGCATGAAATATCATGGTATTCTTTTAAAAATGCCATAAATTACAAGGTAGTCATATACATTTCCTTTGAATATATCCAACGTGATACTGTTTTAGTGACTATTTTTTTTTCCAGAAATCATTATGGCTTATGCAAATAAATTAAATTTGAAATCTAGTACAAACATAAGGAACAGTTAGCATTTTAAGAGACTAACCATTTAGTTTATGAATCTTTTTCTTTCCACATTTATAATTAATAACTTTAATGAAACAGTAATGCTTCCATAATGAGATAGTGATGCTTAGGCTATCAATGCTAGTTTGACTGCCTAATCTCAAAATTTAAAAATTGGAAATCTAAGGCCGGACGCGGTGGCTCACGCCTGTAATCCCAGCACTTTGGGAGGCTGAGGCGGGCGGATCATGAGGTCAGGAGATTGAGACCCATCCTGGCTAACACAGTGAAACCCCGTCTCTACTAAAAAATGCAAAAAATTAGCGGGGCGTGGTGGCGGGCGTCTGTAGTCCCAGCTATTCGGGAGGCTGAGGCAGGATAATGGCGTGAACCCGGGAGGCGGAGCTTGCAGTGAGCTGAGATCGCGCCACTGCACTCCAGCCTGGGTAACCGAGTGAGACTCCGTCTCAAAAAAAAAAAAAAAAAAATTGGAAATCTAAAATTTGAAAGCATAAAATGATATATGAAGGAAAGTATTTTATTGTTTTAGCAACTATTTCTGTGTAACCATTATAGATGTTAAATTTCCTGGCATTTAACTTTCTCTAATTACAGAGCCTTCTGCCATCGTTGCTGCTCCCTGATCTTGTACCTTTGCTAAATAAACGTTTACTTTCTGTTGTTTTATTTGAAATTACCTTAAATTAGTAATTATTTCTTTTAACCATGTTCTAATACTATGAAGATCCTTTTCTTTTCTAAGAAAATTCAGTGGTAACTGATTCCTGAGAAAGAAGCCAGCTTTGATATCATCCATTCCTTCTCTCCTGCCAACAGTAACAATTGATTTTCTTCCTCCCAAATTGAAATCAGTGAGGAGAGGAGCTCCAAATGACAATCGATGTCCATTTCACTAACCATGTCATAGTTAATTAAATTAACTATGCTATATTTACTTCCTCTAAAAAAACTCTCTAAGGAATGACTTGAGAAAGGATTTAATTATGCTTTAAATGCACCTCATAGTGCTCAGATTTTGTAGCAAAATATGATTCCCATTGGGGATCATTTATTAAGTAATGACATAATATTATGAAGTTCTTAGGTGAACCAGAAGACTTGTATTCTACATGAGAACTGTGGATAATACATGTAACTGAGTGGTAAACTGTGTACAATGAAAACATACTTAACCACTTCAGTTAGTATTTCTAAGTGTCCCAAAGCAATCTCAAAGTTTTAATAAGGCATTTACTGGAGTACAACTAATAAGGGTAAGTGTTTCTCCATGTTCCAAGGTACCAGTCCTATTAAATGTAGATTTGAGTTTTGACTTCCACTCTAGTATAGAGGATGTTAACTTACATTCCATTTATTCAGCAACTTTTTGTCATCTGAAGTATATAAAAATTGACTAGTGAATAAATTTGGGGGTAATTTGTCTTTTTTTTACATAGACTGAAAAATCCTCAAGTGCTAAGATATTGTATGTCTTTATATCTCAGTACTTTTGAGTAAATGTTTTAAACAGTTGATTAATTCGTACCAAAGTAGAATATCCAAAGAAATAGTCTCTCTTTAAGGGAGCAACACAGAAGATTCCTGTAACTGTGGTATAAATTGTCTAACACATAAAACATAAGTTCCATAATTCCTGTATAATCACAGTTTATTCATTTATAACACATCACTACCAGATATATTATTTATTTATTACTTATTTATTTTCTGCCTATCTCTGCAACCTAAAATACAAGCTATATAACAGGGATTTTGTCTTCTTCACTATTTTATTCCCAGCACATAGAACAGTACCTGACACATAAAAGGTACTGTTGAAGTTGAAAGAATATTTGTTGAAATATTTTGAAAGAATATTTATTTTAAGTATAAACGAATGAATGTTGGAAAGAAGATAATGCCTATTTTAAGTTTCTATAGGAACTGGAAAATTTTCCCTCCAAAATGTTAAATTAATTTATACCCTTGTCAATTTGGTATGATAACACACTATGCCTTACAAACTAGCCTAATGGTAGATTTTACCAATTTCGTTAAATTTTGTTAATCTGAATGGTAAAAGGTATCTCCATCTTTAAATTTGTTTTTTTCCAGACTGTTAATAAAATGGAGCAACTTTTCATGTGTTATGTAAACATTTACGTTTCTTCTTTATGGTCTCTTTAAATTCATTATCTATTTTCCTATTGAGCTGTTGGTATTTGTCTAATGTTTTTGTCTTAATCTTATTAATTTATAGGAATTCCTTCTAGCCCACTTGTGCGTTACAGTGTTACAAAGGTTTTCCTTCAATATGGCTTTTAAAATTTAATATATGTTATATTTTGAATCTCTAATACTTCTGGAAATAAGGTGTTGGGAAAAGAACAAAGACTGTGGGCCGGGCGCGGTGGCTCAGGCTAATCCCAGCACTTTGGGAGGCCGAGGCGGGGGAACACGAGGTCAGGAGATCAAGACCATCCTGGCTAACACGGTGAAACCCCGTCTCTAGTAAAAATACAAAAAAAATTAGCCGGACATCGTGGCGGGCTCCTGTAGTCCCAGCTACTCGGGAGGCTGAGGCAGGAGAATGGCGTGAACCCGGTAGGCGGAGCTTGCAGTGAGCTGAGATCACCCTACTGCACTCCAGCCTGGACGCGAAGGAGCGAGAGTCCGTCTCAAAAATAAATAAATAAATAAATAAATAAATAAATAAATAAATAAATAAAGAACACAGACTCTGGAAATAAATAGACAGCTGAGTTCAAACAGCAGGTTTTGCTTGAATATTATGTGGCCCTAAGCAAGCTAGTTAATTGTGCCTCCATTTTTTCATCTGTATAATGGGAATAATTTTAGAACTTTCACAAATAAAGTTGTGAACATTAAGTGAGTTTGAGCAGTGTAGGTACATAGTGAATGCTCGATAGCGTTAACCATTGTTATCTATTAATCCAGGAGTTGATATATTGGAAACTCTCCCCATCCCCAAGATTGTAAAATGTTTTTCTGTATTTTCTTGTAGTAATTTTATACTTTTATTCTTCACATTTGGCTTATTAATCCATCTGAAATTTATTTTGCTTAAGGTATGAAATAATTATATTAATTTTCTTTTCCCAAGTGGATATCCAATTGTCCCAAAGCTATTTAATGACGTACCAGTCTTTCTCCACTGACAGGAAATGACACCTCACAGGTGTATATCTGGATTCTCTATTCTGTTTCACTGTCCTATGTATCATTATTGCATCAGTGACACAGTTTAATTACTGTAACACTATAGTGTAATATCTGGAAAAGCAAATCCCTAGTTTATTTTTACTTTTCAGAATATTCCTGCCAACACATGAAAGTTGATCCTCCAAAAGAATTGTCGACATCCCAAAAAATCCCATTGCTATTTTTATTGATATGCCATTACATTTATAGATGAGTTGGGAAGAAATGGCACTTTTCCACTAATGTTATTTTCATCTAGGACATCATGTACTGCTTCACTCATTCTGCATTACTTTACTGTTCTTCTAAAATTGTGCTTATTATTAGCATTGTTCAATACAGTAATTTTCAGTATGCAAACCACTAACTTTGTGTCCCTACAGCACTTCAGATATGTGGGAATATAGAACTCACTATTTTCCAGCCATGATTGCTTCAGCTGGGTCAAATTTAGATAAAAATATTTTCTGATCCTAAAAGAATTGCATAAATTTAAGCTTGGAAGCCATGAAGAGTAAGTGGAAAAATGGTGATGAAACTGAGTGATGCTGGGGGATGAGAGGAAGTTGAGGGACAAGGCCTGTGTTTGAACCTTAAAGATGATCTCAAAAATTGTCTTGTGCATATTCCTCTTTGTTGCAGGAAAAAAAGGAGGAAGTTTTGCATCATTAGTAATTAGGGAAGGTAAAATCAAAACCATACCCACAAGGATAGTTCATATATATATATATATATATATATATATACACACACACACACACACTATATATGTGTGTGTATATATACAGTAATTTTCATATATATATATACCTATATATAAAACAAGTATTGGCAAGAATGTGGAGGGATTATTCCCCATGTTTATTGCTAAGAGGAATGTAAATTGGTAAAGCCAGTTTGACAATTCCTCAAAAAGTTAATCATAAAGCTACTCTATGACAAACAATTCAACTCCTAACTATAGATCCCAGAGAAATAAAAATATACATTCACAGAAAACCTCGTATGCAAACTTCTTAACAGCACTGTTATAACAGCCAAAAAGTAGAACCATCCAAATGTTCATTAACTGACAAATGTCTAAATAAATGTTATTTGCCACAAGAAGATCCCAAAGTACTGATATATGCTGCAACATGGTTGAACCTGGAAAACGGTTTGCTAAATGAAAAAAAAAAAGTTACAAAAGATTATATATTTTATGTGTCTCTACAAAAATTTTCAGAATAGACAACATATAGAGATAAAAAAATAGAATAGCAGCTTCCTGGGGCTGGAAGAGGGTGAGGGGAGGATCGTGAGTGAATTCTAATAGATACAGAGTTTCTTTGATGTGTGTGTTGTGGGGGAGAATACAAAATGTTTTAAAATTAGATTGTGGAGATGACTGTACAACCCCTCCATATACTCAGATACTGAATTGTGCATTTTAAAGGTTTGCATTGAATGGTATGTGAATTATACTTTAATCTGTTTTTTTAAAATTAAGGATTCATATTTTAGATACAATGAAAAGTGATTTATACTCCTTTCCATATATTGTTGATTATTTGTATTGGCTAGAATTATATTTACCTCTATTCTGTGTATATATATATATATGTATACATATATATCACTTTTGGTTAGATTTTAAATAACAACTTATGGGAATGTTATGAAAGGCAATGGTGACAGAGTCTTAGCTTTGTTTAAAATTTGCAGCAATATCCCTATTTAGATTAGCCAAGTTTGTATGCAATATTAACTTTCCAGATTTAAAAATGTTCATTAGTAAATAAATTGCATAAAAAGTAAAAGTTTTAGCCAGTTCATTCACAAAAAATGAAATTTCCCATTTCAAATGGTATCCAGCTATAAAGTTGTGATCTGGCTCCTTCATATTACTTGTAAATCCCAGAAAAACATAAAATTCACAAAAACAATTCTGATATTGATGATCAGCATCTTTAAATGTTCCAGAATTTAACAGTCTCCACCTCCCCCTGCCCCATCCCTCGTGGCTAATACTAGGGACGCAGAATAAATCTGCTAAGCTAAAAGGAGGACATTACATTTTTCCCCCATTGTTTTTTGCACTAATCTAAAAAATGGAGTGATTATATTTAAAAACTGCTATGATACTTTTAATATATTTTGGACACTACTTTTTAAAGCAGCCTGAGTGCTACAGACGTTCTTCAATGTTTTCACCATATATATTTTCAGATTTCAGCTACAGGGGGAAAAAATAATTAACATGGCCAAAAAGAAGAGATGTGAATGGATTGGATAGCAATAGCTATCCAATTATTTCATGAGGATATTGTCTCTGTAAGTTAAGCATTGATATGAGTACAAACATGGAAATAAATCAAATAGAAGGAAATGTTGAGTTTTAGAGCTTTACCACATATTTAAGCGTGGTACAAACCCAGGAATTACAGGCTCAAAATGGTTAAATAGAGCTCCCCTAAACAATTACTTTGTATATCCTGAAAATTGGGTAGAGTTATATCATCTTTTATTTATTGGTTGGAGAGTATTTATAATTATTAAGTTTGATTGGAACAAGTTTAATCCTACATGTTCTGTCAGTTAAAAGGTAACAAATGTTAACATATTTCAAGTAATTGAGAGATAAAGAAACTAAATAGTGTAGGCTCTATGTAACACATTGTAAAACAGTAGAAATATAATGTTACCCTAACCATTTAGAGAAGAGCAGACAATGAAGATAAAAAGAAAAAATACATACAAACATCCTGACATCTCAATTAAGATAGAAGCCAAGGAACACTGTTAGAAATATTAACAGAAGGCATGCCTGATTTGGATGGAGCATTGAAATAAACATCTGCTTAGATCTTTTTCAATTCTCAAATATCATAATTCTATGAAAGGTATTTCCTTTATAATACATGGTTAACAATTTGGGTTGAGCAGATTCCAAGAGATAAATTAAAGAAAGAACAGATAACTCGCTATAAAAATAAGTTTATTCCAAAGTGTCCAGTATTTATTTTTGATTAAACTTTTAAAATGTGTTGGTTTTATTTAAATTTTATAGTCATTGATGATAAAATTTAGGTAAAGGGCATTTAAATTGTACACGCTTTTAGGGAAAAAAGAGATTTCCCATCAATATACATAAGTGGGTAGTTCGCCTACATTTCACATATTGTCACTATGTTAAGTGATCCAAATGCCAATGCCAACTTTTTTATAGTTTCTGTATTTAAAAATAAAATTTCAATCTATGTATTTTTAAGATATTTACTTTTATGCTTCCAAAGTTCTAGTAAAATAAAATTTTTAGATGTAGTTAAAGTTAACATAGACAGCATTTTAAAATACTTTGTTATACAATCATGGACTGCATAACAATATTTCTATCAATGACCACATATATACCTGTAGTCACATGTTATTATAATGTCATATTTTTCTGTACCTTTTCTATGTATAAATATGTTTAGATACACAAATACTTATGTGTTACAATTGCCTGTAGTGTTCAGTACATGCTGTACAAGTTTTTGGCCTAGAAACAGTAGGCTACACCACACAGTATAGATGTAGAGTATAATATCTAGGTTTGTGTAATTATATTCCATGATGTTCACACAATGAATAAATCATCAAAAACACATTTCTCTGAATGTGTCCCCATCTTTAAATGGTGCATGACTGTATATGTAAATTCCTGTAAAGGTTTTTACTAAACACATCACAGACCATTAGGAAAGAATTGTCTTTGCTTCAGGGAGCTAGCTCCTTGTGATTTCATCCCTTTATAACATCTTTTGAGTCACTATCTTAAATTTTTCTTTTATCTTAAATTTTTTATCTTTTATCTTAAATTTTTTCATTTGACAGCTGTTTTCATCACCAAGGATTATTAATTTTCATCATCAAATTTGACTCAAAATTTACTGCCACAGTAAGATGATACTAATTTGAGTTTGACTGTCTTGAGCATTGAGAGACTAGTTTCTGAAGCAACCTGAATCTCTTGGCAAAATATGTTATACTTTGATTTATAAATAAATAAATCAAACTACTTTCTTTAAAATGCAGATCTTCATAACACCAAGGTTTATGTACCAAGCAATGATGTTGCACAAAAATCCCCAAAGGGTATATCTGTACCTTCTGTGAGTATGGCAAGTTAGGTGTTTAGGATATAATGTCCCCGAATTTAAAAATCTATTGAGGAAATGCATTAATACAAGTGTAAACTTCTGGCCTAATCTTATTTAATATCATCATCATCATGATTATTATTCTCAATATTGTCAGTTTTCTCTCTTATAGGGGAGCTTAAAGGAAATATATTTTTCAAAGTTTTCTCATTTTGACTCTGAAAAGCTTTGACATCTCTCAGATGCACACATGCATTATTAATATTAAAATATAAGTAACTTTAAAGAAGAAAGGTAAGATATTAGTATAAGGAGTTAAGCATATTATTTCAATAGTAAATAATTTATTAGGAAACAAAATAACAAGAGTATGCCGTAGTAAAATATTTCTCTTAAGTAGATGATTTATTTTTTATAGTGTACCTTTTTCAGGGAACATGTTTTGGTTCTGAACATTAAGTTATAAATCAAGTGCACTATTGGCTTCAAGACAGAATAGAGTAACTGTCCAAGCATCAAATACAATTGCACCCTCTGAATGTAAAGACCAATTTTTCAGTCCTTACTCTGACAAAACTATCTTTAGAATCAGTGGGAGTTCCTACTAAACTAGAAATGAATTGGATTTAATAAATCCACAGCTGTGTCCGTTTTAGCATTACTTTTTCCTAGGATTCATCGTAGTTTTTTATATATATTTTAACTAATGAAAAACTGCTTCATATTACAAATATGATGAATAATTAAACAACAAGTGACTGATTTTGACAACTGTATTTCTGAAACTCCTCTTGAAAAGATAATATTACTATAGCAATACAGAACAAGGGTTTGTTTCAAAATCTAATATTTTAAAGTAGGTTTTCTTTCTGTTCCTGTGGTACCATTTTATGAGTGACTTTTGGATGCAAATAAAAAGAACCTCTAGTCTAAGAAATATATTTCAACTAAATTGTTGTTAAAATGCAGAAATTTTGAAAAGGAAAATATATATAGAAAATCTGTCAGTAACACCAGGGTGAGGTTTGGACTCTTCCCATTTTCTCCTCTTCTTCCCTTTTTAGAGTACATTAAAAAGAAAAAGCAGTAATAAAGCATGATTGCTTTCTGTGATTATGAAATTCTAAAGGGAAAGCAATTTTTGCATTAGTACTGTGAAACTCCTTATAAAATATCCAGTAACAGCTGTTTTAAATCCATCCATAGCAAATGTAAAAGTAAATACTTCTTTTGAAATTATGGTGATAAAAGTTCATCTCACCAATCAGGCTACATTTCCCTTCTGCAAACATTTGTGTGTGGCTAAAATTAGAAGGCCTTTTTCAACTCTGCATGATAGAATCACATTGGCTTCGATACAGAGATGTAAAATAAAGTAGTTGATGTTTCATGTATGGCCAAATCGTATTTTATGAGTCACTCAAATGTAAAGTTTTAGTTTCACTCAAGAAGGAGTGAAAAATTCAACCACCAAAATGATTCCAAAAACCAACTTAACAAAATACATATGTGGATTTGAAACATTAATAACTTCCTTGAAATGTTACTTTTTATTAATTTCCTAATTAAAAATGCTTTCTGTAGAATCTCTACAGCGAATCTGGCATATAGCACATTTCTTCTGAAATGTAAAAAAGTGGGCTTAGAAAATTGATCTGCCTTTTAAAAATCCATAGCTCTATTTGTATGTACTATATGAATAATAAAAAGTAAAGGCTGAATACATACAGTTTATTCCTAATAAAATTAATGAAATGCATAATATGATATAAAATAATGCATTACTGTTCACTATGGCTTGATGTATAACAGGAATAAATTAGACATGCTTTAAGTTGTTTAAAACAACTTAATAAGCAAAGAATAAACTAAATTCATAAGCATAAACATACAATGAATAAATGGTAGGAATTTTATCCAGTTACAAGAGAATTCGACTTTAAATTCCTTGAAGTTAGGATATGTCTTTTTCTCTCTCTGCCTAGCACCTAATTCAGTGACTAGGATTCAGCAAGTCCTCAATCCATATCTTTTGTTATATAGAGAGAGATTATATAGAATAAAAGGGGAACAGCTGTATTATAATATAATTTTAAAGTGAAACCCTGATATTGTCTGAGCAGGATATATGTTCATTCACTCATCTATTCAGCAAACATTTTTTTCTTCTACACACCTGCTCCTACAAATGTGTGCCATTTATACTATATGTACACAGATGTACACTCCTGTGTATCTGAGAATTAAAATATGGCATAACCATTTTAAGGGGGAAAAAGATAAAGGAACACAAAACTGGAATAGCATGGCATACTACTGATAGCCAGAGTATAATTCAATTAAGAAATTATTTTCCTACTGCAGATTAAAAACCAAAGAAACAAAGTGACACTTGTTTCATCCCTTAAAAAATATAAATTATGTATGTGTTATGTGCAAGACATGGAACTACTAGGTCGTAGTTATATAATTAAAACAAAATAATTCTAGGTCAAATTAAGTCTATGTTGCCAAAGAGGAACTTAATTTGTCTAGATATGCTAGGATTTTCAGTGAGTAAATGATCATCACTTAATACATGGATGAAAATTTCTTTCATTAACAATTTCATAAAGCTATGAAGGAGGCTTTCTTTGTGTTTAATCCCAGTAACTTTGAAAGGAATATTGAGTATTGTCATATATGTATCCTGATTGCTAGAAAAATAGTTTGCATAATATTAAGGCTAAATTATATGCTTCTGACATTTGCAATCAAAGATACAATTTTGTATCAGGATATTTTTGAGTTTTCACAAGAGGAAAAACTAGATTTGAATGACATCTCTGTCATTTGAGAAGTAGGCAGACATGGACAAATTTCCTAACAGTATGTCTTATTTGCTAACCAATAAAATGTGAATCATAATGTCTATCAGCCTAAATGATGTTTGAAAGTACTTATATACTGCAAAGTGATGTTTTATGTCATTTTCATTCATTGTAATAAGTGAAATAAGGGAGGGGTGATTCTATAGAAGTGTTTTAAAAACCTGGAAATTATAACAACAAATTATAGTAATGAGAGGAAAAAAGAAAACTAAGTCAGTTTCACAGGAAGCATCACATGAAAGTTTACCTGTAAACGGAGGGAAGAAAGTAATTTCAAGAGTGAAGTGAAATGAAGGTGGCAAAACCTGTGTGTATGATCAATATCATGCAGATGAAAATGTAGGATCACCTATGGATGAGCAAATTATAAGCAAAGGAGAAACAACAACAATAAAATACTTCTTAAAAGTTATATTCAAAGCTGGCAAATGAGAAAGGAAATTTTCAGCCTATGATCTAGGGTATATAGTATAATGTAAATGCATGCTTCCATATTTTTTATTAGAAACATTGTAGAATATTCATGATTAAAAGGAACTTGAAGTTCAGCAGTAATGAGAGGATTATTTAGAGGATATCAAGCTGTTTTACGAGTTGCATTGAACTATGTCCCTTGGTAATGTAACAACTTGCAGACATGATCTTGCAATCATTGTCATCACCTGATAAATCATAAGGATAAGAGGTGGTGTCAGAAGCTGTATATGACAAAATTGTCAAATTTCAAAATAAGGAAGAAAACAGATTTCAGAAATACTGTGAAAAAAGTGTTTTACATATAACAGCGACACAATTTTAGAGCAGACCTATTAATTCTGGTTTGCAAATATTTATTGGACATCTACCATTATAAAGAATTGTGTTCAGTTCTGATACTTAATGATAAAATGTGCACTTTTGAAGTACCCTGGATCATGGATAATAGACATGTGATAAGGGCTGTGATAGATTTGGGGGAACCATGAGAGGTAACACTAATTTTATCTAGAAAAGTGACAGTAGACATGATACAGGAGTAATTTTTAAATCTGAATGTTAATGAGATTAGTTAGAATTTTAGAGGCAGAGGCATAAACCCTTTGGTGCATGTGAAAAAAGAAGTAAGTTACTGCACTAACAATAGGTTACTAAGAACAAATAATGTAAATAATGGCATAGCAGGAAAACGAACCTGGAGTAAAGCAATGTGGGTTGTAGTCTAAATAGTAAGCTCCAAAAGTTCAATCTAGTTATTTCATATGTGTGTATGTGCATACATAATCTAGTTTTTCTATATATAAAATGAGGGTGTGCAGAGAATTGTTATTTTTTCTGTCATTTTTTTCTGATCTATTGTAATCTATGGGGAGAGGAGAACTCTACAGAGTATATGTCCTAATTTAAACAACAAATTTATTAATTATGATTATTTGAAACAATTGTAGCTGTCATTTATTAAGAGCTTATATTTAGTAAGCTATAATATTTTATCACAGATGAATAATTTGTGGATATATGCACTGTAGAGTGGAGAACTGCAAGTGTTTCAAAAACTCCATCTACTGTAGTTTATTGTTAAATTTATGGTAGCCTGCATAATGGTCTCTGATGTAACACAATACTCTTCTTGGTTGGTAGTGGCATTAAACATATTTAGCAAATTTGTATACAGTAGGACACATGTTGTGTTTACCAAATTAGTAGACTACAAAAGTTAGAAGAGGTAGCTACATAAAAATTTAGTAAGAACTATACAAGCTGAAATCATGAGCTGTTACTAAAAATCAGATTTGAAAATAAGGCAAATATGAAGTCTTCCACTTATGTTAGAAACTATAATCAATAATGTTTTATATAAATAAACTATGGAAGTTTCATCTGATCACAAAAGAATTTGATGTTAAATTCCTCAAAGGTAGGAAATATGTCTTTTGCTCACTATGTAAAACTTAGTTTTCAAAGACTGGCAAGTAATAAGTCATCAACACATGTCTTTTGAACTGTACTTCACTGAATTTTAAGTGAGCCACCATGTACAATAACTTTACAGCATTTCAGTTATAACCTGATTAAACTAAATTGGTACCCATGATGAGGTACATAATGTCTGGACATCTTTGCACTGCATAGACTCAATTTGCAGTATCAAGGTAGAATTCAATGAGCTACATCTAAAAGATTCATTGACAATGACTTTAATATTGGAGATACATACATACACACACACATATATATGTGTGTGTGTGTGTTTGTGTGTGTATGAGGTTAGGGGGGTTGCCCTGGTTTGTAGCACGGCCAATTTGACAGTGTGAACATTTCCACTGTGGAAATATCAATGTGAAAATACCAGTTGACTCTCTGAAGCAGGTACAAGCTGGTTCTAAGACAACACAGACCATCGTAGGTAGGTTATGATGACACAGAGTTTATGCTCAAAAGATGCTTATTAAATTAATCAATCTGAGATTGTAAGGAACATTCAGGATATATTGGTAACTATCCTAGAAAAGAAGTAACATGTCAGTAATTTCTAAATTGCTGCATGTTTTCTCATGGACAAACAGTTACATCTATTTTAAGTAGCTTTTTGAAGTACGCCTAGGACCGTAGTTTAAAGTTATAGAAAAAAAATCTCAAACTCAGTATAGAAATGTGTTTTTAAACAATCAACCAGAGCTACTTTTTTAAATAGTTAAAAATTTTTTTAAACCTTTAAACAAACAGAAAATTAACCACCTGTCTTTAGAAATCCCATAGAGATTCTATACTGAGTTTAAAGAGTTGGATTGTCTAACTCTATTTTTTTTCAAATTTCACTGTGTACCAGAATATGGGCAACAACATTTCCTAACAGTTCCCCATGTGGTTCTAATACATAGGAATCAAAATCATTAAGTGATGAAGTTGCTCTATGAGTCCATGTTCACTATTGTTATAATGTTACAGTTACAGACAATCATAATGAAAAAATACAATCTACAAACTTGGAATTGTTTCAATGATTGGAAATCATGGTAAGACTTTTTTCATGAATTTGAAAATTGAAGAAATAAAATTTGCAACACTAAGTGAAGGAAATTGGTGAATCCAACAGGGTTAATGAAAGGCTAAAACAAAAAGAGACTAAGGACGTTTTTCAATTAAGTAATATAAATGCAATTCTAAACAAGTGGAGCTCGATTCTATAGTTTTTGCATAAGTGAAGATATTGTCTGATCTAAAAAGAAAATAAAGGTATTGACTAAGATATAAATAATAAAAAGGTGCAGGCAAAGAAGCATGCGCACAGTTACAATAGTTACATTTCCACGTGACAAGGAGTTTTTTTTTTTTTTTTGAAACAGAGTCTTGCTCGCTCTGTTGTTCAGGTTGGCGTGCAGGGGCGAAATCTTGGCTCACTGCAACCTCTCCCTCCTGGGTTCAAGGTTCAAGCGATTCTTCTGTCTCAGCCTCCCGAGTAGCTGGGACTACAGGCGTGTGCCACCACACCCAACTAATTTTTGTATTTTTAGTAGAGATGGCATCTCGCCATGTTGACCAGGCTGCTCTCGAACTCCTGACCTCAAATTATCCACCTGGCTTTGATCTCCCAAAGTGCTCCGTATAGGCCGGGCTTGATGGCTAATGCCCAGCCTATACAGAAAATTTTTATAATAAAATTTCAAGAGTTTCTCGGCCCATAGCCAACAGTGCTTTATTTCTGAAACCATTCCCACAATAAGACTTTTTCTTCTTCTTCTTCTTCTTTTTTTTTTTTTTTTTTTTTTGAGATGGAGTCTCACTCTGTCTCTCAGCCTGGAGTGCAGTGGTGGGATCTCAGCTCACTGCAACCTCCGCCTCCGGGTTCAAGCAATTCTCTTGCCTCAGCTTCCTGAGTAGCTGGGATTACAGGTGCATACCAGCATGCCTGGCTAATTTTTGTATTTTTTTAGTAGAGACAGGGTTTCACCATGTTGGTCAGGGTGGTCTCGAACTCCTGACCTCGTGAAGCACCCCTCTCGGCCTCCCAAAGTGCTGGGATTACAGGCCTGAGCCACCGCGCCCGGCCAATAAGACATTTTACTACATTGTCAAGGTTTCTTTAGTTCCTATCTCTTTTCACTTTAGGCATGCCTTTATTCTCCATGAAGCTTGACTGCAAGGAGAGACGCATTGTAAACTCCACAATGGTATGCCTTGACCGGCACTGTATATTCATGCCTAGCACAGCTCCAGCAAATAACACAAATGTAAATAGATTTATTTTAATCAAGGAATGATTAAACAGATAGCGGCATTTCTGGATTTTCATTACACTCTTAATTCTCAATGGGAATTATTCGGTTGAAGTTCTTTTATCAGCCTTAATATTGACGGCAGTTACTTAAGCCATTTGGTCACTTCCGCTAACAGAGAAGCTGTGCAAAGTTACACATTATATTGACCTATTTGTGTTCTGGATCATTGAATGCATCTGCTGAGGAAGATACTGACTGGCTACAACAAAAAGAATGCTTTGGATTCTTTGGTATGTGCATTCATATACTCCATTAAAGTAAAACAGCTTTGTAGAAAAAAAAAAAAAGTGACTCTCTAGACCTGGGTGGAGGGACCAGATACAACCAGGCTTATCCCCAAGTAAACACTTTGAGTTTTTATATCTAAAATAATTATGCTTATTTTGTTTTTCCATAGACGAATACCTTTTATTTATTCATTTACTTACTGCCTTATATTCACTGTCATCACAGATGATATTTTCTTCTAGTCCATGTATGATAAATAAATTATCTCTCACACAAACAGATATAAACACTCATACTTGTAAGTTTGTTTTTGTTTGTTTGTTGTGTGTGTGTTTTATTTTGTAATTAATATTATGTATTTAAGATATATTCTAACTACCAGACCTCGGGCAATTCCTGTCCTATTTACCCCTCCAACAGTCATATTGTAGACTCATTAAGAAGACTGTGTGTCTACCTTTTCTTATCACCTACTATCTCCTTAATTCCTTGCTAATTGATTTATGCTTCCACTATTCTACTGAGACAGCTCATTAAAGAGTTATTTATCCAGGACCAAAATCCAATAATCTTTTCTAAGTCCTATTTTTCCTTTAACTTTTAATGCCTTTGGTGTTGTACATCTTCCCCTCCTGCTTGAATATGCTTGTCTTCTATACAGTGAACTCCCATGGTTCTCTTCCAACTTCCATCAATTGTTCTTTCTCTGTTTCTTTAATTAGATTCCCATCTACTTGCCACTTTTAGAAATGAGTGGTCCCCAAGTTCTATCTTTGGAACTTTACTATTATTTTCATGTTTTTTATACACCTGTAATCCCAGCACTTTGGTAGGCTGAGGTGGGAGGATTGCTTGAGCACAGGAGTTCCAAATAAGCCTTAGTGAGACCTCATCTGTACTGGAAAAAAAAAAAAAAAATGCCAGGCAGGCTGGCATGTGCCTGTAGACTCAGCTACTATGGGAGGCTTAGGTGGAGGATCGCTTAAGTTTTGTAAGTTGAGGCTACAGTGAACTATGATCATGCTACTGTACTCCAGCCTTGTGACAGAGCAAAACCCTGTGAAAGAAAGAAAGAAAGAAAGAAAGAAAGAAAGAAAGAAAGAAAGAAAGAAAGAGAAGGGAGGGAGGGAGGAAGAAAGGAAGGAAGGAAAAGAAAGAAAGAAAGAAAAGAAAGAAAAATAAAGAAAGAAAAAGAGAAAGAAGAGGAGAAAGATAGGAAGGAAGGAAGGAAGGATGGAAGGAAGGAAGAGAGGGAGACCAAAATGCTGTGAAGGGGAAAGAAAGCTATTTGTCAAATAGCCTCTCATTGAACAGTTACACGTGTAATCATTTTTTGTCAGGAAAATATTATGTGAGCTTATGAGATATCACTGATTATCAAGCAGAGGATAGTGCTTTCTGGCTGCCTCTCCATATACCTAGAGTCAGTTAGTATTCTACCAAAGCCTCAACCTCCAGAGACACTAAGGCCAATGTAACTTTAGTTAGGAAACTCTTAAGTTAGGACTTCAGTTACTCCACTAAATACTCCATGCTGCAAATTCTTTTCTGACTTGTGTTCCCGTTCAAACAACTGGATCTTCTTTAAAATGGAAACACCCTCATTTGAAAAGAAAATTGTATGTTTCTTGAACTCAGTAAATAAAAATACATATTATTACATGTATTCATTCTGGGTTATGATGACATTCTTTC
The DNA here is from genome assembly GCF_000001405.40 of Homo sapiens. Lineage (NCBI taxonomy): Eukaryota > Metazoa > Chordata > Mammalia > Primates > Hominidae > Homo > Homo sapiens. The sequence continues at coordinate 113,411,535 of NC_000008.11, forward strand.
AAAGCTGCAAACTTCAATAAGTTTTTTGGTTTATAAGATTGACTCAGTTGAGCTAGATTTTCTCAAAATGAGGACCCAATCCTTATTAAATCCATTAAAGTCTAAAAGTAGATTTTCATTTCATGTGCTTACAGAATTTATAGCACTCTAAAACAAAAGAAATGCAAAACCCATATATCCAAATTAGCCACATTACTTTAAATATGAAAGATGATATTGGGTTGCTGAACTAATTCTTCATTGGCAATGGGAATATGCTACCTACAGTTTTAGTGAAAAACTCTTTTAGCACATCATGGTAGTTTCATGATGGAAAAATCTTCTTTTTAAAAAAAATTCCAACAACTGCAAAATTTTCTTATCTTCAGCACAGTAGTTAAGAATATGGGTTTTAGAAGCCAAAATACGTGAGTTGAAATCTTGTTTCTCACAGTTACTAGCTGTGTACCCAGGCAGGACGGTTAATGTCTTTTTGCTCTAGTTTTTTACTTATAAAATGGGATGATAATACATACACAACAGTGTCGCTATCATGATTAAATGAGCTTATAGAAGTAAAACCTGTAGAGTGTTTGATGTTATTACAGCTTTATACAAGAGAGGAGAAATCACTTGGCCGGAAATGTTTATTAAGTCAATCTCTGTACATTTTTCACTAGCCAGGAGTCATTAAGGAAAAACAACTGTGAGTCATATCAATCATATGCAAGCAGAAACTAAGACATTACTATCTTTTGGCAGTGTCTATAAATAAGATGGGATCATTCCTCAGAGTTGTGTGTCTTCAATTTTGTCTTGTCTTCTCTACATGGGACTCGTATTACTTGAACTGGGTGGACTTGCAGAGTAAAGAAGTTGAGAAAACCAAGGTTAATTGAATTTCCCCCCAAAAACAACAACACGTAGGCAAGGCTGCTTTTATAAAATGCAATAAACTCTTTATGTGAAACTGTTAATCTGTTGATGACCTGGACTTTTTATAAATTGAAACATCCAAGCTCAAGGGTAAGCCAATGAATGATAAAAGATGATATATCAACTTCATGTTGAAATATATGTGCTGGGGAGGGTTATTCTTTCTAATAGAAGGCTGCTGTATTTTTCACCTGATTCCACTGAAAACTATAGTATAAAAGCATTTCATAATATTGTATCAATCTCCATACCTATCCTGTTTTCCTTCGTTGCACTGAAGTATTGTGTTAGCAGACATTTTTGCCTGCATGAACGATTGTTTTTAATCCTTACCCCAATCTAGAAGACAATGTTACAGGTAAAAAAAAACAAACCAAAGCACGGATGCATTAAATATCTTATAAAGCCAGGGAATCTGAAACAAGACCTCCATGCCTGGCCAGGTTATCTCCCAAATACACACATAATCATGCACACGGACACTAGAGTAATCACAAATACGAGTGAAGAAACAGCAGTTCCTATTAGATATATATATAATTAACAGGACATGATAAATTAGCTATCTCCAAATAAATAATCTGTATCTATCTTGCAACTATATTTATTCAATTGGTATCTAATGTTCGTTTAATTACAAATAGATCTTTGGCCAACTTTCAGTTTAGAAATTAAGTTTTAATGATACTACAATAACTTTCCATTATATAGCAAGGTCACTGGCTTGAAAATACATTTTAAATTGCTTCATAAGGATTATATTTTAGTTGAAATTATTTCTCTTTTAAAATTAACATAATATAAATTAACTATGTTTTTATTGTATTATTTTAAATGGTCTCATTTAACATTTTACCTAACACAGATTGATTTCATTCTATACAAATAACTTGAGAAAAGTCACTGGATCTAGTGGCTGCTATGATGGAAAATCTTTTATTATTGTATTCTAACTATTGCAAATTTGTTTAAACTGCAGCATAAAGAAAGTCAAGGTATTTAAAATCCATGGTTACACTGTCAACTAAGCTTCACTGTGAATTTACTTTGTTCCAGATCTAATGGGAAACCTGGGATTTTATTACAAACAGAAAAATTAACACAGTCCCCACCCTCACAGAACTCAGGGTTTTGTGAAATGATGATTATCCGAAATGACTATAAATTAAATAATACTATACAAAAGAAGGCAAAGAGTAATGTGGGAGTATGGATAATTAGTTCTCAACCTGTGGGATGTATTATATTTTGAAGAAAACATACTTGCTATGCATTTTGTATAGTGACAATGAAATACAAGTTAACTTTTTTTCCAGTGAAAAACTGGTAAGTGATGTAACATGTACAGGGAAGTAATGGAAGATTTTTTATTCACTCTTTCTTCCAAAAGTTTTTATTTACCTTCTTGTATGAATATTGATCGAAAGTGTTCGAATGTCCTCAGAAGGTTATTTGGAAACTGAATGTTTTTCAAGTGAAAGGAGAATGAAAATGATTTTTACCCTTTAAAGATCTTACCTTTAAAAGAAATGTGCTTGAAAATAGGAAACAGAAGACGAAATAGGAGACAGTAACAAAAGCCACATGAACATATAGAATCAAGACATTGGAGCTGAGGACGGAAGTGAGAGCATTGCTTTGGGAAATATTTAGGATGGATAGATAACTGAGAGGATAAGATCTAGCTGTGCTTTCCAATATGGTAGCCACTGGCCACATGTAGCTATTGAGTATGTAAAATGTGGTGTGGCTTTTATGACTGAGGAATTGAATTGTTAATTCTGTTTAATGTTAATAATTTAACTTTAGACTATATTTAAAAACAAATATTCTTTCTGTTAAATACAACTTTATTATTTTGGTAAGAATAGCTTTCACTTTGCTTTATCATATAAGATACTATTGTTATATCATAGTACACTTCTCAAGTGTTCACATCACTTCTAGCACCATGGATAAACTTATGATTGATCTAGTCATTCTCAATGGAACGATACAGCCTGAATTATTTTTCTCCTATGCACCCTTATAACATTTTAATGTATTTATTTGAACATTTTAGTAGGCAGAAAGTACAAATAACAGTGGTGCTCATGAAAACTCTCTTTGGTGTAATAAAATTGAAATACTTATTATTTGAACATATTATATTTTTTCTTCTCACTTATAGATATGAGCACATTTTCAAATGTGCCCAAATACAAAAAAAAAAAAAAAAAAAAAAGTACTGGGAGGGCACAGTGGCTCATGCCTGTAATCCCAGAACTTTGGGAGACCAAGGTAGGTGGACAGCTTGAGCTCAGGCATTCAAGACCAGCCTGAGCAACATGGTGAAACTCTTTCTCTACAAATAATACAAAACAAATAATTAGCTGGGCGTGGTGGCATGCACTTGTAGTCCAGCTACTTGGGAGGCTGAGGCAGGAGAATCACTTCAGCCCAGGAGGCAGAGGTTGGAGTCAGCTGAGATTGTGCCACTGCGCTCCAGCCTGGGTGACAGAGGCAGTATGTAAAAAAACAAAAAACGAAAAACAAAAAATAACAACAACAAAATCCTACTGATTACTGATGTACTCATGCAGAATTAACTAGTGAAAAGTAAGTTAATACGACTTTGGAAATTAAAAAAATACCGAAGAAGCTATGTTGCAATTTGGATCATGAAGGCAATTGTAATTTGCTGCCTCTGAGCAAAATAGAGAAAATACGGCAGATTCTGGATGCAGGTAGGTAGAAATAAAATGTTACCCTCAGTGTTCATTGAGTTTCAAATGTCTTAAGGACAGTTTATTGAACTGGAAATATGTATGTATGGAACTCAAAAGAAACATTGTAAACAAAGACAAAAGTCTGGTCCTCCTCAGTGAGTAGAACTGCACAGCTGAGAGAAGAGAAGAGAGGTAGAATGAAATTCAGAATAATCTACAAAAGTTAAAGACCAGGCCTGTACAAAGAAGGCTATGATGAACACTAAAAAGAATAAAGCATCAACGTAGAAAAAAACGCAAAGCAGATTTCTCCCTAAAAGGTAAAATCTTCCACGACTATGAACAGAGTGTTTAATTTTTATTTAAAGTTAGGTTTTCAGATGCTGTAAAAATAAATGACAGACTTTTAGAATTTTCTACAGATTATTAAAAATTTGGTGGATGTTGGCATAATTTTCCTAGCAAAATTTTGACCTTAACAGGGAAGGTATATTAGAAATATAACACATTTCTATTTTAAAATAATGCTTAGTATTGAAAGACAGAATGATCCCTAATTCTCCAAAACCCATTAAACAATTTTATTTTCACTTTGGGTAGGGTTGTCATATGCAGCAGCTGCTTCTCTATGAACAAATTTTCTCCATAATTTTAACATATGACATTGAATATGTAGTGAGAATATTAATAATAGTAAACTCTTTAAGCTGCCAAATAACATAATCAAATCAGTTTTCAATATTAATGTATATATGGCCTACCGTATTTACATTAACTGCTATATGCTATACACTCTTCATGTTTGCCAGTATATACATGTATCCTAGAATAGCAGATGTATGTTCCTATCACATTTCACAGGATTTTAAAAATTAAAATGTAAATCAATACATAGGATTTGTTTGAATATTTTTTCTTTTCTATGTCCTTAGCATAGCCTTTGTTATCCTGGAACTTCAAGTGTGATGCATAAATTTAAATCATCAGAATATTTCAATTTTTATAATTAAATAAATCTTACTATGTCAATTTTCAGGTATTAAAGCAAAGTGACAATCTGGGATTTTAAAATAGGATAGACTACTGTGTGAAAAATTTTCTCTTCTCCCTTTTGTTGTTGGTCGTAGTTGTTCTACAAAACTACAGAATTTTGCTTCCTATGTGTCATAATTCTTATAGCTATATTATCTTGCTTGCCAATAACATTACAATGTAACAGCAGTTTTCACTAGGTAGTCTTACACAATCTATTAAATTTTTAAAGTCGAAAACTTGGCATTGGAAATTATTGCCTCTCTAAAACAGAATGTCAGATTCATCCATGATGTGGAAACTATTACAATTCCATTTATATAAAGGATGCCAGTTTTGGAAATAATCACCCACCTGTTACCTCCATGCAGGTATTGAATACTAGTTTTAGAATCTTAACATTCCCAGTGCTCTTGAAGCAACAGGAGTAGAATACATTTGCTGGAGTGTACCATTTCTATCACCTTCTGCGTCCTTCCCACTTAACCAAGAAGTAAGTCAAAGCAAGGCAAGTGAAGAATGTTCTACTAAATTATTAGTGAATTATAAAGCTTTCACTTGGTTGTGGTCCTATTATTTTTACTAAAGACTACTTTTATGGCAAAAGAGTCAGGTTAAAAAACATAACTAAAAATATATTTTGGTTAATTTCCTCTTTAGCAATCTTTGATTCAAGAGTAGAGAGGAAAGCCGTCATAAACTGACATAGATATCAAACAGGCAAAACTGATGTTTACTGTATGAATACTGTGAGGAAGGGAATGATTGTTTTAATAGTTGGCTCTTTCTAAACATATGCCTCAACATATAAATATAAGAACATAATATAAAATAATAAACTTCTTTGATAATAATTAATTATTGGATGCCTAGAGACAAAAATAAAATATTAGTGAAGAAACTTTAGACAGATATCAAAGTAAGTAACAGGCAATGGTGCCTCTAAGAGTAAAGCATGTCGCACTATAACTAGTCCTCCAAAAGAATCTCATGCCCAAGAAAAAAGATTTAAAGAAGAAATATAAAAACATCCTTACATATGTAAAGTTGAAGAGAACAATTCATGCAATAAATATTGCAACCAGGAAGGAACAATTTTTGAGTCAAACAATGATGTAGAAAAGCTAGTTCCCAAAATGCATGGGATTTAAATATATGCTCCAACTCTCACAATTTAAATATAATACAATAGAGACAAAGGAGAAAATAAAACTAGTACAAAAGTTATGATGGTAAAAAACAAAGTCTGTTTTTGTGAAAGATAATTTTATATAGTAAAAAATTATTATATTAATATTTTGGAAGCAAACCTCAATGATATCTTGAACACTTCTCATTGTTTTATGCCCCGAAGAAAACTGTGAGTTTGTGAAGATAGGAGTTTATGTATGAATTGTGGTGACATACCTTGAGGAGGTGAAAATGCTTAGGAGAAATAAATGTAACAGAATTGTACACTATAGGCTGTCTTATTTTTTTCTTCCTTTTTGAAAGTAAGAGACCTGAAACAATGCATCCATGAATTTTCAGAAATACAAGCAAGTCTTCAAGATACATTTCAAATTCTAAGACAGATTTTAAAAGGACAAGCTAAAGGAAATTAGAACATTAACATAGGACAGGTTTAATGCCACAAAATTAAATCAAATGATAAATTGGAGAATATCATGGGAGAACTAGAACTCAATGTATTATAAGAAAAGATTACAGGAGGATAAAAAAGAGATAAAATTTAAGACATTAATGATTTACCTAATAAAAATAAAATAATATACCAAATAATGTTTTAAATGTGAGAAAATATTAGGTCAATTAATATTCTATTGTAAATCCATCTAATTTAAAACAGCCAACATTTATTAAGTTTCTACCCCTAGAATGCACTACATAAGATTCAACGGAGATATAGAATTGCTAAGAACACAGACATTGACCTTTCATATTTCTCTGTTACATGAGGGAGATCGAATATGCATAAATTACTTGAATACAAAGCAGGTTATGTCAAGAATTATAATTCATATACAAATGAAATTTAATGTAGGTGTGAGGAAGGGAGAGTTTAATTTTAACTAGAGAGCATTTAGATTATCTAGAGAGGAGAGGTAGTATTTTTGCAAGATGAATATTCTGCACATATCTTTTAAACTAGGAACAGTTTAGTGCAAACCAATGAATATTTGAGAAATGTAAGGAATCTTCTAATAAGACTGAGCCGTGATTTTTGCAGCGTGGCAGTAAAATATATAGTTGGAGTGGGTAGTAAGAGTCCAACTGTGACGTGTATTGAATACCAGAAAGATGTGGTTAAGTCAAAAAAGAACCTAAAGTCTATTTCAGGAATAGCATAAATAGAATAAGAAAGCAAAATAAACGGGCATACACATACATGCAATAACAATGATAAAAATACGGGAGATGAAAAATACCCACATTCTATCATAACTTATAAATTCTAATGTGTTCAGAATCACTGGTTCCTCCACATGCTGTCTGTACTACTGAGCCACTACGTAGTCTAAGATTATATATCGGAAGCAGTTTCCTCTGCAGACTAACATCAGCCCCCAGAAATTATTAGCAGATTTAGACTTGTTTCAAGAACAATAACAGGAGTGAAACAGAGGTAAAAATGTATCAATGGTCAAAGAAGAATGACAGTAATTTTAAATAGAACTTTTCGGTTAATATTAAATACATCTGAAACTTTCCAACAGGGGACAAACTTAACTGGAGAAATTTAGCCAATTCTAGACTTACAGAGAATCACAGTAGTACCATAGCTTCTGCACCTGCAAGAGATTTGGGGCCATCGTGATAAATATGGAGTTCATTGGATGGGAGGTAAAACAGAATTTATGTATATTAATACATAATATTTGTACATATTTAAAGGGTATATGTGATATTTGTATACACTTGTTTTTTTTGGTTTGTTTTTTTTTTTTTTTGACAGGGTCTCACTGTCGCCAAGGCTGGAGTGCAGTGGCGTGATCTTGGCTCACTGCAAACTCCGCCTCCTGGATTCAATTGATTCTCCTGCCTCAGCCTCTGAGTAGATGGGATTACAGGCACTCACCACCACGCCTGGATAATTTTTGTATTTTTAGTAGAGACAGGCTTTCACCATGTCGGCCAAGCTGGTCTCAAACTCCTGGCCTCAGGTAATCTACCTGCCTTGGCCTCCCAAAGTGCTGGGATTACAGGCGTGAACCACTGTGCCCGGCCTACACTTGTCTTTTTAGTTTACTACACGGAGGCATAATATATATTTACTCCAACATCATCTGGTGATTTTTGAAGGACTAGTCTGCATAAAAAGCTCTGCTTGGTGTTGGGGGCAGATTTAGAAAGGGCTATTGATAAAAAGATGGTGCATATTAGAGTCCTTGGGTCTGGAGTGCAGCTTTTCCTCATGCTCTCAATTCTTTACTTGGGAAGCACCAGTACACTATTCAAATCATAATTTTATCAGGAATTCAATCTATTCTTTCTCAGAGAAGTTCACCATTGTTGTCTAATTCCCATAGTGCCTTTTATCTCCTTTATAATAGTGTTTATGAGAATATATTAGAATTATTTTTTTGCCAACTTTTTTTTTTAACCATTAGAATGAATTCTGAATTCTTTGATGGCATGTAGAGATCATCATTTAACTATTTATAACTCATTCAATCACACTAATCTAATGGTAGCCTTAAAAAGCAGAGGCTCTTTAAATGGTTATTGAAGTAAAAATGTCACAAATATCTAATTAAAACTTAAAATTTACATTCTTATATTTCAAACAACATCCAAAGAAAGTAATTTGAAACTAACAAAAGCAGTAGTGATTAAGAAGTAAAGTATAAATTGAAGATCTCAAATAATATTATGAAACATAAAATACAAAAATTATCAAGACAGGAGTTTGCAACAAATGGGCAATATTAAAATAGCTCTCAACTTACATAAACATTTTTTAAAAACATTTACATACTGGGTGATGTAGATATACTTAGTAAATGAAAAGCCTTGCCCCACATCATATCAAACAAAACACAATGTTTTCAAATTAGAAATAACAAAAAATATATAATTGTCAAATAAAATGAATTCTCATATGCACTTACTAAATGAAGGAGGAGATTCAGAACCAAAACAAAAATGATTATATAATTTTTCAACATGCTGAATTAATAATATTTTCTCAATGAGTACTTAAAAAAAATGTTATACATACGATAGTAAGACAGATAAAAAAATACAAACACAGTGGAATGCCCCTCCTTAAATTTTGGAAGGCAGCAAAGGAAACAAAATAGAAGTAGTAAAACTAAATAGAAATAAAATTAGAAAAAATGCTTAATATTTATGTCTACAATTTTATTCCTAGAAAAAACATTAAAATAATTCTTAGACTATGGGTTAAAACAAAAATAAAATACGTCTATATACATATATGTATATGTAATATAAAGTAAGAAATATTAATTAGGCCAGGCGGGGTGGCTCATGCCTGTAATCCCAGCATTTCGGGAGGCGGAGGCGGATGGATCACCTGAGGTCAGGAGTTGAGGACCACCCTGGCCAACATGGTGAAACCTCATCTCTACTAAAAAATAAAAAAATTAGCAGGGCTTGGTGTCAGGCACCTGCAATTACAGCTGCTTGGGAGGCTGAGACAGGGAGAAGTTCCTGAACCCAGCAGGCGGAGGTTGTAGTAGCTGAGATCGCCCCATTGCACTCCAATGAGATTCCGTTTAAAAAAAAAAAAGAAATGTAAATTATAATACGATGATGACTTGTATAAATATTAGCAAATCATTCAAAGAAATACTACTGATAGAAATAAATATAACTGACATTATAAAACCTAAACCTGATGCAGAAAATAATTAGAAAAAAACACGAAGAATACATAAGAAGATAATTTAAACAAATATGCTTTTCATATTCCAAATTTCTGAGACCAAAAGGAAAAAAAATTACAATGAATCCAGAGTTAAAATGATCAAAATATTGGCAAATAGAACACAATCACATATGAAAGGAATTGCCAACCAGGGTTAAGCAGGGTTTGTCCCAAGATAATTGCACTGTGATTGGGGTGACAATGAATATTAGTTTCTTTTCCTGCCCTGAAGATGAGCAAAGAAATGAAGAAGCAGACAAATTAAAAATGCCTAATGACTTTTCTTATGGACAAAAGTGTTTTCACAAGCTCTTTGAAGAAAAATTAACTATAATAAAAGTTGAAACAATAGATAGGGCACAGATTTTATAAATTAGAAATATCTGTGCTTAAAAATCCAACTAATAAGAATGCATATACTTCATGTTTACATTGTATTTATTCACTTTATAAAATTTTGTCAACTGTGTTTTTTTGGGACTCAGAAAACGATACCCTGAAAGTTTGGCACTTTGGTATACTGAATACTTTGAACTGAAATAGGTAGGCCTCAGAAATAGGATTCGGAACCAAGGTCTCCTTCTGCCCTTCCCATCCTCCTCTTCCCCTAGCCATCCTCTATTTTTCACCAAGCACAAGGAAGGACTTTTTCTGGAATTTTCTTATCTGACTAATAAAATTTCTTTCCAAAAGGAATGCAACTGATGTAATACCCAGGAAACAGCCAGGAAAGATCTATCAAATACCATGGAAAGATTAACCACTAATGAAGACAAGAGAATAAAAACCACACTCTGATAGAATTTTATCCATTTGCCCAAGGACAGGTTTGAGTGATTACTGGGAAACATTATCTGAATAATAAGACAACTTTATTTTACAGCAAAGTTCTGTCCCTCACCTTGCTACCACCTCCCCAAGAGCTCAGAGGAAATTTCTCCCAGGTCATTGTATTCTGGAACTCACTTATCTCCCCCTGTAAATCGTTTACTAATCCTAAAATTAACTACTGCCACTGTCCCCCTTCTCATTTCCCTGTCCTCTATGAAGAGGGTATTTAAGCCTCAACCATCTGGCTTTTCTTTGAGTCTCTTTTTGTGGTGCTTCCTTCATGTCCATATGCACAGTAGAAAATTCTACGCGTTTTTCCTCTGTTAATCTCTTTATTGACAGTCATTTCAGAGCACCTTCAAAGAGGAAGGAAGAAAAGCTTTCCCTCTGCTCCTACACATTAAATTTGGGGTTTAAAAAGTACATGATGCATGTGTAGCAAATCTGCCGCTTTTATCTCAACATTCTTCTTAGAGAGCTTGCTGATCTCGCAAAGATCACTTGATTCAAACTTGACCTCATTTGTTTGTATCTTACAGTTATTTAAGTGAAAGTCAATCAATATGGTATTCCTCTGTAAGTCTGAAATAAAACAAACAGAGACTGTGTGTTGCAGTAAAGTTTTGGGGCCATGTAGAATTTCATGGAAAGGTAGTACCATGGAGGCAACACAATATCACCCTCAAGTTAAGGTAGTGATGGGGTAGAAACAAGACCCTATCCTAGGGAGCTGGCTTGTAGATGTGAAAGACGAAAACATGCAAAACAAACAAAGAAACAAACAACAAAACCACTGGAAAAGTGACAGTGTGACCCACAGAGTGTAAGAGAGAGACGAAAAAAAATGTTTTTTGGCTTCTTAGGCTATTTTTTCACCTTAAATTGAGTTTTTAATTATTTGTTTTAAACTTGACAGATAACATTGTATTTAGGTATCAGCTACAACATGATACTTTAAAGTGTAGATTATCCCTTATTCAAACTGCTTGGAATGAGAAGTGTTTTAGATCTCAAATTTTTTAAAAAATTTTGAATATGTGCATATACACAATGAAATATCTTGGGGAAGGAACCCAAGTCTAAACAAAAAATGTACTTATGTTTCATATACATAATATATAAATAGCCTGAATATAATTGTTTAATATATATAGCCTGAATGTAATTTTATATATGTTTTTAATAATTTGGTTTATGAAAATAATTTTTGACTGCATTTCGACTGTAATTCATCACATAAGGTCAGATATGAAATTTTCCACTTGTGGAATCATGTCAGACCTCAAAAAGTGTCACATTCTTGAGTATTTTGAATTTCAAATTTTCACAGGGTTGCTCAACCTGATATACACATTACAGAATGATGAAATCTAACTAATTAACAATTGCCTAACCTCACATATTATCATTCTTGGCTGGTGTACCTCTTATAGATAGCTTCTCTGAGATTCTCTTTTGTGCTAACAGTAAACAAGCTGACTTGACAGCCTCTCCACTGCATTTTAGGCAAGCAGTCCATGTTATGATATTGCTGTTATATGTAAATTGTCAGTGATACTTTGAAATTGAGTTGTAATTTAAGGAGGAAAAACAAAGTGAGTTGAAAGGCAGCACAGAGATATATTGTTTATGGTTGTTTCTTTGTATAATATAGCTTTGTCAAGTGTAAAAAGACCACTTTCTTCTTTGTTATGTCAAATACATAAAAAAAGAAGAATCTTAAATGCTGATGTTGGGATATTGATGAAACCAAATCAGCATGTAATGCAAATTACCTCACATGAATTAGTATAAGATTTAAATAGGTCGTCTTTATGTTATGTGTTATGGAGATTGTTGAAAATTCACCCTGAAACACTTGGAAGTGCTTTCCTTTAGTTGTATAAAGTTAAGTAAATCAATGCATGTTACTCAAAGCCATTTTTTCTCCAGCTTCAAAATGTACTAATTTCATTGAAATTATCAAAGCAGAAAAAATAGAAATTCACATAGATATGGAAGTGCATAGTTCTGATCTTACATTAACAGTCAAGATTTTGAGATTTAGTAATAGGAAAAAAACCTTTACTATTTGTTGTGTTAATAGACATTAAATCTGGTTTCTTACACAATAAGTAATTATTAGCTCACCAAGAAATGTGACTTACAGAATGTGAAAGGGAATAAGGAGGTACTTTTGTAGTTCTGAAGTAATCTGTTGGTACAAATATCAGAATAACATGAATCATCAAAATAATATACTTGGCAGGAATGAGAAAAATGTGAAATACGTGATGATATTTGATGACTTTCCAAACTTTGTAAGGATAGATCATTCTACCAAACTCCTATGTAGCAAAATTAGCATTGATGAAATGACAGTATTTTCCCCATTATGTCTTCATTTATGACTCTTAACCTCACAGATTAAAATCATAACAAAACATAATGTACTTATTGAAAAACTATACTTCATCAACACACATCTCCAGTAAAGATAACAATAACAAATGGAAAAAATTACTAAATCTGTTATATTTATATTTAGCTAATTTTCTTGCTTTTTTTAGGTGTTGACCTTGATAAGTTAGCTCAGTCTTCTTTCATGTGAATCATGAAATAAGGGACAGAGATTTGAATTTAAATTGAAAGTATTAAGAAGCCAAGGAGGAGTTCTGAGACAAGAGCAAACATTAAAAAAAAAAGTGTAAGAGCACAGTTTGGTGATCACAAATGATTATATTATTGTACAAACACTATTAAAGAAATACATGTGGGATCTTCATTAATACTGGATAAACTAGTTAATATCAGTTGGCTGAACAGATGGGAGTCAATAAACATTTTAATTGGAAATTACAAGAGAAAATTACATTAGGTTAAATTGCAAAAATGATGCCTTTCATTGGAAAGTTACAAACAGCATCTGTAGAATGTTATATTTACCTGTGATAAGGTAATGATACAATATATATGATATATAAATAAAGGTGGTGTCAACTACACTGATATTTACACGGGAAGAAAATCCCATTGAAGAGCTAAACAATTTTACAATAATCAGATTATTTTGGTATTATATACACAGAAAGCCTGCTTCAAATAGATGATGACTTCCTGTAGGATAGGCACTAGAGCTTCATCCCTATATTCTCAAAGTCTAGGCAAGAGTCTGATACATACTGGTTCTCAATAAATAATTGATAGCTGAAGGAATGTCTCAAAGAGTTCTAGAACTGATAAGTAACCCACTGGTTGTTTTGCAGAAATAAAACTTACTGATCACTGTATCCTTCACAACTTAAATTATGTCAATCCCATAATATTCACTTCAAAATAATACTATTCTAATACATAAAGCATAATATTCTAAATTTTACTTTAATCAAAAGAAAATTATATAAAAAATTAATTTGATATTTACATGAAATAGCAAATGATAAACTTAATATGTCTAACATCTTCCAATTTCTTTTTAGGCCTTTGTGAAATTGCTTTTGAAAGCATTACATAATTAGAATATAAAGTCTTTCTAAAATAGGAAATTTTTAATAATTTTTGTGAAGATGGGGAAAATAGGTAGTAATCTTCAAATTATTGAAAAATGGCTAATTTCTAAGAACTCACAAATTGGCAATATATAAAAAATAAGGTCAAAATGTCATTTCTGATATCTACTTGTTAATATATTAATGAAGACCCTCAAGCTAACACAGATATTAAAGGTTTTCTAGCACTTTTCTAGAAAATGGATCTTAAAAGTTTCTGTCTGACCTCCTTTAAAAAGATTAAACAAATAAAAGAGTACTCAAGTACTAGCAGGATTTAAAGACGAAAGTTTTTTAAAAGGCTGTAAAAAGAGCGTTGAACATGAATTCAATACAGGTAATTATGAGCCTGTCAGCATTTCTATTACAAACTTCATTTAGAGGTTTTATCATTTCCATAATCTTAAAAACTAGGAAGCCGAAAGTTGGCACACAAATTAGCAGCCTGGATGCAAATTTATTTACACAAAACATTTGAATCAGTTCAGCTGTTTTGATTTATGCATCAGCCAAAATATCTTAACTCCAGATTTCTCCATATATGTGAACACTGAGTAAATATTTTGTCTAGAGTACATAGTTAGGTCACTTAGAGTATGGAATCAATAAATTCAAGGTAGAGTATGTATCGTCTCCAAAAGAGTCAGCTGTATTTTTTTTGCCAGTTTTTCTAACTTTGATCCCTTATCTTGCATATGCAGCCTTTAGCAACACAGAGTTCAATATTAGAAAATGCAGGTAGCTCAGCATAAATTCATTACTAACATTTAGTTGAGATTAAAATTATACTTCTGATAATGGATTCAGAGAAGCCATTTCTGCATAATGAAAATATAGTTTAAAGATGAAAACTAAATCACTTCTAAAAATTACAAATTAGCTTAATTTAAAGCTTATATTTTTAAAATTATTGACTAAGTGGATAAACTTCATTGTGGGTGTATCCATTATGTGGTACATTATGTGTTATTTTAAGAGAAAATAAAATAAGAATATATTTTCCTCAAATATCCTTCAAATAAGATAACTCCCATAATGTAAACAAGCAAAAAAGATAAGAAGATTAAAAAAACAAAACAGCCCCATAGAAAGCTAAAATATATATTTGAGAAATTATAATAATATCAAATAACAAAACACAGCTGTAAGTTTTATTAAGTAGCTATCAAAGAAGAAACAAATGGCTAATAGGAATGTGAACTAGTTTGGGAAAAGTTGTTTTGATTATCTACCTCTCCCTAAGATCATGAAAATGAAATGTCAAGTGAATTTGTGATTTTAAATCTCAATAAAATCAAATAAATACTAACAACAATTGGATGCATTCTAAAATGGAAAACCTGGCTGATGGCTGATCATAAGTTTTCAACAATAAATAAAATTTTGGAATGAACAATTGTAGAAAACAGACTTGGAGACAAATCGTAAATGTACCTTTATCTGGGACTTGACCAACCTTGGAGAAATCTACATCTACCTGTTGTAAGATCATATATCAAAACTATTTAAAATAAGAATGGCCTATGAAGAAGTATTAAATGCAATAAGTATATCCTATGACTAATACAAATGAGGACATTATTAGGATAACTTATCTTTAAAATTAAAAAGACAGGTTAAAATAAAATTTCTGAAAATATAACAACAAATAAAGCTTTAATAATGCATGTAGAAAAAGGCTAGTTTATATTGGGAGAGTCTATAAAGTTTAGAAATGACAAAAGTAATATAGTTACATATGAAAATATATTTTATCATATACACAAGAAAATGTAATGCTAAATTTGAGCACTTAAGTATAATTTAATAAAAACATTTTTTCTTTCATAGACTGATGTATATCTATATTCCCCCCAGTTAATCCTTAAGTTAATCTTTAGATTGCATGTGAAGTTTCCCATTTGCCTATATTAATATACTCATGTATCTGTGTCTCCTTACACAATTACTTCAAAAAGTCTAGTCTTAATTCTGATCAGGATTTTGGGGTAGGCACAGTGGTCTCTCCATTCAATGAGCTTTACTCTCATAAACCAATTATGTCTAAAAAAAAAAAAAAGAGGCTCATAAAATAGTATCAAATACAAGAAAAGTACACTGGACAGGTAAAGACTGGTTTTCACTCTCTAGCTTGGCAAGTCATTTCATTTCTCTGGCCTGTCCCCTCTTTTATGTGAAGATACACAGCTACCCCTGTATTTTTAACTAAAGGACACTTATGGACTGAAATAGACTTTGTGAATGGAACTTGGATATGCATATTTTAATTTTGAAAAATATGTATTTGCCCCTACAAATAAATCTAATGCACATTTCCTGCCTAGTAAACACTAGATTGGGGACACTCTGAGAACTTCCATATCCTTTAAATTCTGTAGAGCTGAGTGGAAGGTTAAGATACCAAGTAAAACAATTTTATTTTTCAATGCTTATGATACAATTTTATCATTTTATATGTGAAGTTCATAAATTTATCTGCATTCACAAATTTTAAATTTTACTCAAGAGCCTCCATTAGGAGCTAAGGGTTATAATGTTTACCTCTGTTTTATCTTACTTAATGTGCTAGTTTTATATTTTATAGTGTCATATTTAACATATGTATTACCTGTGCATTTACTTTGCTTACTATCGCTTATAAAAGTAGAAAGTATCTTTTATATCTATTGTACAGACCATTTAGAGAACAAAATTAGTCAAGTTAAGTGAAAGATGTTGAAAATTACAAAACCAATTAAGTTATGTGTTACTCCAACTGTGGGATATCTATCTATCTATCTATCTATCTATCTATCTATCTATCTATCTATCTATCTATCTTTCTGTCTAATCACGACTATTGATCTTAAGCTTTCTTCTAAATTAAATTTTCAGGGCCTCAATGTTTCTCTTAAAAATGAAGAGGTTTAATTGGTAACTTAGTCATTTACATTTTTCTTTTAGATTTTGGTAAGTCTATGGCTTATGAATCTATTATCCTTTCAGATTTCACTTAACCACTAGCTAACTGTATGATCCTGGCAAATCATTGAACTCTGGACTCAGAAAAATGTGTATTACTCGAAAATGGAGATAACAATCTCTATATAGGAGTTAATAGCTATCTCAAAGATACTTATTAGAATTCAATACAGGAAGAAAAGGGAGAAAAGAACTGTTTGAGATGTAAAGGACACTTTAGTTAAGGGCTTATCATAAAGCATCACACATGAAAAGACACAACAAAGAATTTTATCCCGGTACCATTTCCCAAAACATAAGAATGTCTCGTATCCTCTCTACATAGTAAATAACTCTGATCATTCTGGAGTCAATCAGATAAACTTGTATAACAGAAAACTATGGCAAAAGCCCTTGCTTTTTTAGTTATTTGGGATAAAATAAGTCTACTTTTATAGAGTCTGTTTCCATTTACAAACTTCCTCTCAAAGTGGTATTTAATCATATTTTTTAATGTCATAGTTAAAAAATCCTCCCTATTATTTTAAACTCATGATCATTAACATTCCTTTAAAAATTGCTAACATCAAGCAAAGAAAATCTTCATAATCTTAAACATTATGAACTTAGCTTTTTAAGGGAATCACTCATGACTATTTATATATTTCAATCATTTTCTGAACATTTCAACTCCTCAAAGAGTAGAATTTCTTAACTTTGCAAATTTTACTCCCATATCATAAAATGACTTTAAAACATTTCAACTATCACTAAAATTGATAACGTATGGATGTTCTTATACCATTAATATTTATAAAATGTATTATTGTTTCTTATAGAATTTTGAATAATTGTCTTATATATATATATCATGTGAAAAAATATGCAGATGAAAATGTAACTAGAGAGAATACATAAATCTCATGTAAATATGACTTAAACATAATAAAACCCATGAAAAAAAGAAACATTTCTCTAGATTTAAAAGCTTTTAAGTAAGAAATTGTCTACAGATTATAAGAAATAAATAAAAATTTGATGTTAAGTACTGCCCCTCAATGCTCTTTTGAGACATGAAAAAGTCAACACACTGATTTTATTTACAGACTTGTAATGTCAAGAAATAAACTTTACTGAAGAT
This sequence comes from Homo sapiens, assembly GCF_000001405.40. Taxonomy (NCBI): domain Eukaryota; kingdom Metazoa; phylum Chordata; class Mammalia; order Primates; family Hominidae; genus Homo; species Homo sapiens. Next base: position 113,429,523 of record NC_000008.11, read on the forward strand.
ACAATTAGTTTATTTGAAGTACACATTATATCAGAAAAGTTTTTCACTCCATAATTATCTCCTTTTGTCTTCTACCAAATAAGTAATTATCATTTTTAAAATTTTACCACAAGCATATAATTACTAATACTAATTGATATATAGTACTGAAATATTAATTTTTCTGATTGACTATCTTCATTGGTGCCATCTGAGCTAACTTTCTAATAAAATTGATAAGGTAAAGTAGAAAAAGAATTGAACATGAGCTTGAATGCCCTGTCATCTAGTCTGAGTTCTGGAATTAATGGTCTTTGAAAACTACCAAAAATTACTTATCCTTTCTTGGCATTTGCGCTTATTGTAAAATACATGAGCAGTGAACTAGCTGATATTTAAGGACCTATGAATGTCATGATTTGTGACAAGATGAATGAACAAATTCATGTTAGTACATTAATCAATCCCTATTAAAAGAAATCAATATCAGAATGCAGGGGATGAAATCAGCACAGGAGGAGAGGTAGCATTTTTTTCTTTTTAGCTGTGAGTCTGCCCCTTATTCATATAGCCAGCACCAGAAGTGAATGTGTAAAAGTGATAAGCAGCAGTTTCACAGTGTTTCTCAGCTGTATAATGGCCTGGGAACTTAGCCAAAGTGAAATAATAGCTAGTGAGAAGAGGCTACACTTTTTATTTACTGCTATGGAAAAGTGAAGGTGGTGGTGTTAGAGATAAAGTGCGAGTTCATACAGGCTTTGCATGTGCATGTTTATTTGAATAATATTGGCAATAGCTACTAGTGCCAAGCACTGGGCTAGGTACGTAATTTATGTCATCTCCCTATAAACCCCCGATATTGTCATGTATTTTTTTTTTTACAGATAATAAAACTGAAGCTTAGGAAAGTTGAATTGCTAGTCCAAAGATAATTGTTGCCAAAAATCATTATTTGACCTTCAGTGGCTCCAGAGCCCTTGCTCTTTCCACTTTACTGTAGGGTCGCTCAAATTTTAGAGTGCAATCTGGACTTACCTGGATGACTTGTTTAAACCATCAGTGTCTGTGCCCAACTCCCAAAGCATCTGATTCAACAGACCTTATCTGGGAAACTGAGGTATTTTTATTGCTAAAAAGTTTTTAGAGGATGCTGGTACTACTTGTTGGAGAACACTTTGAAAATCACTGTAGTCCAAACATTTAAGGGCCTGAACTGAATAATGTGATGATATCTAATGCCACATAATCACCATTGTTATTTTCCGTCCAAGCACAGGTATATAATACATATGTTAATGTAAATTTAGACATTTTAAAGATTTCAAATTAGGTTGCCGGCAACGAATTATCACTATATAGAAAATATTAATCATTAGGATTCCTTAACCAGCACCAAACAACAGCTTAGCAAAGCAACTTAAGACATGAAATATATTTGATGGCTGCAAGTCTGGGGCCTTAAGAGAAGGAAAGGTGATCATCAGCATTGTGGCTGTGAATACCAGCAGGTCTTCAACAAATTGATTTTTCTCTGTGATACTTTTAAAAGCGATGTCCCTGAAGAGAATAAGAGCCTCACAAGGGGCCCAATTCTGAGAAAACCTTGCAGGCATGGAGGTAGGTATACCTGGAAATACCGTGAATCACCCACCTGCTCACTCTGAGAGCAGAAAGATGAATTTGGCAACCGCAGTGTCTGTAATGGCACCATTCTCATACTCATCCAAAGTCCAAATCAATATTTCCACTGTATTCTAAATTATATACTCCTTTGGATGATGAGTAAAGGGAACAGAAGAAAGAGATAGGGAAAAATAGCTAAAGCTATGTTTTAATGTACATGTAAATAAACTAAAGTGTTCTTAGATTTTACTTGTATCTTACACATTTTTTCTTAATCTGTCATTTACAACCATTTTATTTCTAATTTCCCAAATCTTGGAATTCAAAGTACAAGATGGCGTATTTTCTCAAAAGGTCATGTTGCCTAAAGGTACTGGTGCCTTACCAGGCGTATGCTTGGTGCTTTAAAATAGACAAAATATTGAAGGTATTTTATATCCTTAAGCCATTTCGGAAGCCCCTGATAAGTAAGTAGAAGAGAAACACCCTTTGGAACACATGAAGAAGTATATTTGGAGGCTAAGGAAGTAAACTTTAGTTCCCTCCACTTTTTTGCATTTGAGATCTTAGAAAAGCGTTTTAAGGTCAGAGTTTTTTTTTTTCCGCACATGAGTACAAAGGCATTATTAACTGCACACCTCTCCTACTTTTTTTGTTTATCAGCTTTCACTTATGATAGAGTTTTACTGTACTTAGAATCATGCACAGATGACATTTGGTGTCTATTTGTTATTTCACTGTTTTGTAGACACCAAATTTTGTGTTTAGGGAAAAGACGCGTATACTCCAAATTAATTCAGCTACCCTACAAATAGAAATGCTAATTAATATCATGAAGGGTAATAACTACTGGAACGAAGCCTTTGCTCCTGGAGTACTTAATTTATTGAGTAATTCTACTCTTTTTCTCCTTGAAGGATCTCAAGGGAGCTGGCATCAGGTTTTCAAGATGCCGAAACCTTCTCCTTAATTATTTCTGCTCACATACTCTTCCAATGAGGGCGTGATGCAGCACCCGCCTCCTCCCCAACCAGATGATTCCGGAAAGTACGGTGCTGCAAAAGGACATTTCAGAGCGCTTTCAACAAGCTAACTGTCCAGTGAAGTTCAGCTCCGAATTCTGGTAACCGTTCAAGCCCTGTCAGTCCGGTAAATTGGGTTAACTTAGCAACTCGGTGGTGCAAAGCCTCCCCAAAGACAAGACCGCATTCAGGGAGAAGAGAACCAGCCTCATGCCTGAGCCGATCTTTCTTCCTTTGGTTGTCCTCCTTCATTATTATTCTGCAATGCGCAGCAATCCCTGTGCGTGCCCCTGTGTCAGCCCCTTAGCTGGTCACTCCAGCGGGGCTGGGAGAAGACCACTTTGGCTACTCAGATGGCACTATGCTGTTTAATTTCTTCTGCTCTCTCCCTCAGAGTCTAACTAAGCCCTTGCAGCACTTGAGCCGGGGGCTGCCCTCCTGCTGGCCTTTCCGTCGTCGTTGAACGGATCTGGGGGACGGGGACGTTGCAGAGGAGCCACAATCCCCACTCGTTGTTTCCCCAATGTGCTTTCCGAACTCCCCGAGTGCGTCTTAGATAAGTTATTTGAGTGAGGACAGCGCTGCGGTCCGCCTGGAGAAAGGGAGCTTCCTCCGCACTTCTACTTCATCGTGACAGCAGTGGTCGCAGCGCCACTGGCCATCTGGAGTCCTGGGAACATTAAAGCGCTGTTACCCGCCAGGCGTTTCCGCCTAGGACACACTCACACCCACCCTCGGAGACTCCTAAAGGTTTCTCCGTGTCAATTCATGTGTCCTCCTCCCAGCAGCACACACGCACACACGCACATCAACAGCCAAGTCAGCCACCCAGTTTCAACTTCGGGTTGTCCATGAAAATTCAGGGAGGCTGATCTTCTTGAAGAAATTAATGAGTATTCCCACAGGAAATAGATGTAAGGGAGGGGCGCCTGTCCAAACTACAGCAGGAGGGGGCCCTGACTCAAATACAAAGGTTACCTTTCAGTGGGTTTCTCAGTCTTGCTAGTGTTGGGGGAAGGGTTTTGATAATGGTTTTGTCTAGGTGGGTTTTTGTTTGCTGTTATTATTTTGAAAAGACATTGATTTCCCTTCCCTCAGCCCCCTTTGTAAAGCTCTCTCAAGCTGAGACAGATATTTTCCTGATGTGTTGGGAAAGACTGTCGCCTTATGGGCGAGGACTGTGGGTGTCAGTCCCCGGGACACACGCGGGGCTGAAAGCTCCGGACATGGCCACCTGGGCGGGCGTCTGTAAAAGGTGCTAATGAGTGCCTCTGGCAGCTCTTCCCCCTCATAAGACACCCGCGCCCCTCTCCAGTAGCAACTAACTGCGGGAGAGGATGCGATTTCCACTTTTCCAAAAGACCTCTGTGGCAGGAGTAGTATCTCCTTGGAGTCTCAGAGCACGCAGAAACGTGGATCCTTCGCGAAGTCGCTCTGGCGAGAATCCCTGGAAAGACGCTCTGGCGTGGGGTGCGCGACGCCGCACCCGGTCTCCCACCTGCTGCCTACCCAGAGATCTGTGCCTTCGCGGTACCTTCGCTGCACGGTGTGTGTTCCCCTGGGATCCACTGACAAGCAGCGTGGGAAAACATCCCATGGATGTCTCTTTACATGGGCGGGACGCTTAAGCACGACTTGGAGATTCACAGTTTCTATCTGGGTGAGACCTAAACAGACACGCTGCAGCTGGAGGCATTTCAGAAACCTCTGCCTGTGTGTGTGTGTGCGTGTGTACCTGTGTGGGGGGTGCGGGGGAGGGGAGTTCAGTTTGAAATAGGCATGGATCAAGTCTAGGCAGCACCTGCCCTGTCCCACGCCTCAGTTTGGTGCTCTCCACAGCCTTTTATTTCACATGACAGTGGAAATGAAATGCCAAGGAAAGGTTGTTTTCCTTTTCAGCCCCACCCGAGTGGTTCAGGCCTACCTAAGACCACTTTATCTTACACTCCGAGGCGTTTCCTCCCACTAAGCCTCTTTGTCATTGCTGTTGAACGCAAAGGTGAGATGGTGGAGGGATGAAAACTGTAGGCAGATGGTGTAATTCTCGTGGCTAGAGCTGTTCACGTGGAAAACTGCCTGCCTCGGACTTCCTGGACCCTCACGCTAGTCTAGATTAGAACCTGCAAAATCCTTACAACGGCTCCCCAGTCTGAGGTTTTTCATGGACCTCACATTCCAGAAGAAAGTGTAGAAGACAAAAGCGAGCATAGACATTGGGGCAAACAATGTTTAAGGCATTGCATCAATCTTGGCTTTAGGAAAGCCTTGAGACAGGTGAAATTAAAATAAAATGAGGAAAGGGAGAGTAAAAAGCAACTATCAAAATTGGCATCATTCGGAGATTGACAGCAGGTCTAAAACATAAAACCTATGCAAATTTCTCAGAATTTGGGGACAGTATTCCAAGTCGTAAAATGTAGGAGATGCCTTCCAAGTGCCCGATGAGTGACAATAACTTTATTGACATTGAAAAAAAATGTTTTTTACGTATAGTCTGTAGAATATTGATTTTGCACAGGATCAAAGAAGGCTATGACATACTCTTCCTTCTCAATATCTCCAAAGCTAAACCGATTATATCAGTCCAAAGTAAATTAACGCGCCTTTCCTTTCTATCGGCGCATCTCATTCGGAAAATACGGTAGGTGCGGGCAGCCGGGGCTCTAATTGCAGGCGGCGCGGATCAGCGTTAGTCAGGCTGTAATGCTCGCCCCGCTTCGGAGACTTCCCTCCCCCTCATCTGCCCCCGAATGTGTTTTGGCTCAACAGGTATCACATGAAAACTCGCACTTAAACCCTGGTCATCTTCTCACAGGAGCCACCCTTACATTTTTCTGCCAGGGCTGCTGCTGGCTATTCGCGCCTCCCCCACGCGAAGCGCGCGTCTAGCAGGCAGCCCCAGGGCCATCCATTAACCACCAACTCCCAGTGGCAGGCGAACTAAGCATAAATGTGTGGCTCCTCACCCGTCGAGCCAGCGACAAAGAAACCTTGTAAGCAACCTGAGCCGTGCTTTGTACATTTGGCAGTGTAGTTGTGCCACTTAGGACAAGCTTTTCGGCTCAGAGCTGCTCTGAGGCCCCAGAGAGAAAAGAAAAATCAAGCTTCAAGGAGCAGGTTGGGATTACAAGGCAGTTGCTGCCACAGAGACCGGGGCGACTGACTTCCTGGCATTTTGGGATGTAAATTAAAATTCTAGACATGCCACCCATCATTGGTTATAGTAGAGGGAAAGGTAACCTCTCCAGCTCCCTCCTCCCAAAACATGAATTATCATTTCCACTGAATGCAAATGAGCTGCCTTCCGTGGGGGGACAGCCAGCTGCAAGCTGGACAATAAACTGTTTCATAGAGACGCGGCCCGATTGCAGTTCAGAGAGGCACTCCTTTACAAAGGAAGAAGCGTCCAGTTTGTGTTGACAGCCCTGGCGCGCCTGGGCCAAAACAGCACCCCCTTTCCCGCGATCCCCCGCCCCCCCGCGACACACAGACACCCGGGATTTGAAACTAGCTTCACTGAAAGCGGCATCCATAGCGTCTATTCGAGCTGCCATGAGTATGGAGAGGTGATTGTTCAAAAAATGATGGCATGAGTCATAAACACCTCCTGAGTATTCTTTGCAGCAATTAATGGGCAGCAGGGTGCCGGAGAAGTTGTGGAAGAGAGCTATGGATCTATTTTCTCCCTAAGGACAGCTCTTTTTCCCATGATCCTGACTGTCCCTTGCCTTCCTGCTTGGGAATACATTTTTACATCCCACCTACCCCCTCCCCTATCTGTGCATGTGACACTCACTCTACCTGTCTGAACGCTGAGACTTGCTGGGGATTTTCTTTTGGTCGTCAGCTAATGACTTTCCTCCTACCTCATTCATCCCTTAAGGTGGTTCTTTACACTTCATGGCATTTCAGACCCTTCGAAAGCCTCATTTTTTGCCAAACCTCTACCACAGGTCCTAGGGAAGCTCCCCTACATTTAACATTGCATAGAAGCCCAATTTACATACATATGCATGCAGACATTCATGTTGATGTGGCAGTGCTTGGAAGATCCCTGTGCCCTAATGCATTTAAAATCAACACATTCCTAGCACGTCGATAACTTTCTTCCCTGAAAGGGTTAAAAAGCATTTAGACCAGCGTCTTTAATATATATATTCCACCCAAAGCCTCAAGCCCTAGTGATCTGACAAGAAATCAAGGTAATCCTCACCACTAAGAAAAGTCTTGCAGAGGAATTCTGCCTGGATATCCACTAGTTAGAGGCTATACTAACCAACTCACGTATTCGTTTGAGCATACTGCAAGAATATTTATTGAGCACAAGCTCAATCACCGCATTGAACGCCAAATCTGGCAAGCAAAATGCATTTCCTATCTGAGGGGGGGAGAACGAGCTGTGAATCAACTCCTTTAGTATTATCAGATTATTTTATCGGTGCAAATTGCAAAGTAAGCTGCCAGCCTCTCTCCATCTACAAGTCAGCCCACCTCCATCCAAAGCGGAGGGGACCCCCAAAGCAGACCTACCTTTCACACAAGACACCGTCAATAAAAAGACGAGGTTCCAAAACGTAAATCCACTTTTAATCCCCATTTTCTTCATCAGGATGAAGTCTAGGCGGCCACATTTAGCGCATCTTCGCTTGCCAGGCTCCCAGGGTTTGGATTCCTTTGCTCGGCTTTCCCCTTTGCGGATCCCTTTCATATTATTCGCGAGCTCCTAATTCCTGCTCCTCAGCCCGGCGCAGTGGAGTTGTTGCTGTTGTTGGTGCGCGGTCACAGCTCGGAGTGAATGGTGTTTCTGGGATACCACAGCAACCTTGACGAGGACTCAACCATCTCTCCAACGGGGGCACAAAGTCTCCGCTACTCTGGATTCTGTCTTTTCTTGTGCGTTTTTTCCCCTCCACCAAAATCTACCCCAATTCTGGCTCGTTATAGCAACCACCAGAAACCACTAGTGAGCCTCTTAAAGCCCACCTCTGCTCTCTGATAAACTCCACACAATATTTGAAATTAAGGGGCTTGCTTTTTTTCCCCGAATAGATCAATTCTGCCTGTAAAAGCAGCCCAAGAAATAATGTTAGTGAGCTCTCCGTTGCAGGCTGCGAATACAGAAGCATGTCAAAGGAATATTTTAATCGGAGGATCTGTGTTGCTTTTGGGGAAACCGTGACGATAATGAATCGGGCTCCATCGATGCCCACGTCGTTATAATGGGACATGTGTTACTACTGTAGTTGCAGTATATTTCAGGCAGGCTTCTCCCATTTATTATCCTGTGATTTAATTGAAAAAGGAAATCACAGAGAATTTTCTCAATAAATTCTGCCTTCACACGGAAAAGAATGTATTTGAACACATGTATTTACATACTCAAATAACTACGTGTAAACCCTTCACCGGGTTTTTATGATTCGGGAAACGGATTTCATCCGTGGCCTGGGCGGGGGTGGGGTGGGGAGGGAAGTCAATGTCGTTTCCTCAAATAGTTCTCCCTTTCATCCTCCCAACCCCCTTTTCAGTTTGTGTGTGCCGCAGTTAAACTACTTTATCTGTGGTAGTTATCTAGAACAAACCCATTTGTCTTAATTCTGAATCGGTACCAAATATGTAAATAGGAGGTTTCTTTCAAAACGAAAAATGTATGTATCTATACATCTGGATCTGCTTCCCCCATGCACCACGCAAGGGTTAAGATTGCACAAGGGAAGAGTTCTTGCGCCATCTACTGGCCGTCTCCGAGCCGCCCGTTCTTCCTTCGCATGTATAAGGGACCCTGTTTTTGCCATCCCTTGGTGTCAGGGGAGCTGTGTCCCCGGGACCAGTATGTCGTGCTCCTTGATTTTTTTCGACCACGGTCCTGGCCCAAATCTTTCAATGAACAAGTTCCTTAGATTAGGCAACTGATTGGTGATCTGACCTTTTCGGGAATCTGGTCCCCTCTCAGCAGTGGGGAGTGCCACAGCGCTAGTTCTGAAACAGGATATTGCTGTTGCGTGTGGCTCCATTTAACTGCCTCAGGCTATCATGGGCGTGAGCGTCTATCAACAAGGCTTAGTCTAGAGGACTGCCCAACTTGAGTTTGCAGCTCCCTGCACTGTGCACAAATAATGGGTTTGGTCCCGTGCACCACAGCATTACCCTGGCCAGCTTTGTCCCTTGGCTCGCGTTGGAGCTGCCCGCTCAGCAGAGGAAGGCGTTAGAATCTGGAAGGAGTTCCGCTCTGGGAAGTGGGCACACTGCGAGTGTCCATAGGTTTGAGTGGCGAGTGAGTTCAATCTGCAGGCGTAGGAAGGCTTCTGATCTCTCGGGGTACGTGGCATTGTGTGTGGGCCTGTGATTCTCCCAGTTCGTGTGTGTGTGTGTGTGTGTGTGTGTGTGTCTGCGCGCGCGAGAGCATAAACGCGCTGTAGTGAGAGGTAAGTGTGCGTGTTTATGAAAGATACAAAGAGTGATTTGCCATGCGTAGGTGTTTTCCCAAGTGTATTTTTGCAGTACATATGCGTGTGCACGCCTGTGTGTGTTTGTGTGTTAGAGAGGGATTTCTGTCCTGGGTAGGGAGCTGTAGCAAAAGGTAAAAGCTGTAGACGCCCAGCTGACCTCATTAAATTCAGAGAGATACTTTAAGAGCCCTCAGGCAGAACATTGTCCCTTCTTTTCAGTGCTCTCTTTCATTGTCTGCATATGCAGGTTTCGAAGGGGAGTGGGCAACAAGGTAGGGACTAGACAGAGACTGGGAGGATCAACATGGAAAACGACATTAGCCTGCTAAGCCACCTTGGCAGCTGCTCTGGCATTGATTTCAGTCAAGATGTCAGCGTGTGGTGTTGCTGCTGTTGCCTTTGCTGGGCTGGACAACCAGTTAGAGATGTAAACAGGCCCTTGGACTTAATGAGGATGCTCAGCAAAAATCCTCCTTACCAAGTGTGCAGAGGTTAGTCACCTCAACTGAATTTACTTCTTATTAAAAGAAACAAAAATATTGGGTTTTATGCAATCTATTTGAACACATAACACATGGCTATACATCCAGACAGGAGGACTTCATGCCAAAAAAGCAAACAAACAAACCCCCCCGCAAAAAACCCTTTCTCAAAAGACAGGGTATTTTAACAGTAATTATTGTGCACAAAGTAAGTAAATTTTGATTAAAAGACCATAAAGATTACTAGTAAGATACCAATTTCTGATATTTATTTTCAAACACATGGCTAATCCTGTAATCCAATTATCTTTCCCTAAATGAATCCTGCCTATCATTTCATGTGAGATTGTTAAAAGATTTATCTGGAATCTCATAATATATTGAACAATACTATAATATCTAGTTTCTACAGCTCACAATAAATCACAAACCATTTTCACCTGTGTCTTCCAGCTTCTGAGACAGGATGGAAAATAATATTTCACAGACGGAAAAAGTTAAGGCATGAGGAGCTAAAGAGGTTTATCCAAAGTCACTATCAGGAACTTTGGTGTTTAGTCCAATGTGTTTAGGGCTAGATCTCACTAGTCTTTCTTGATGAACAGTATCCTCTTTAAGGAAAGATTTCCAAAGGTATTCCAGAAACACAAAATTTTCAGCCACAATCCTGGGTGAGAATCCTTTAGTTTCTCCAGAAGGGGTGGGGGCGGGGGAGGGAACATAGTGTCTACATTTGGGAGAAAGAAATTATCTCTTGTTGCTAATCTGTAGGAAAGCAACACAGCTATACATTCATTTGTGTGAGACTATTAGAAAGAGATTATGGAAAAATAGCTAACATAATAGCAAACTTCAGGTGCTTATTGTACATTAGGCATTGTGCTATGTTTACATAAGATATATTATTCAATCCTCACTACTTTCTGAGACAAGCTCTACAGCTTTCTGAGACAAGCATAACAACTATCCTAGTTTTACAGATGAAAAAAAAATTGATACACATAGAAGTTAACTGTCTTGCCTTGCCTGAAGTAACACATGTAAGAAGTATGAACCTATGGCACCTGATTTCAGAGTTAATATGCTTCCCTAATGTCCTATATTTTATGCTAGCTCCTACAGATGCTTGTTTTGAAATAGTCTAGTAACAAAAAGAATGAATCATTTTTACAGTACACATGATACATAATTATAGAAAAGCAATAATTTATAGTTTATAAGTGATAAAATTTTAGAATATATATGTACACATATAAATAAAAAACTTTTGTCCTTTTTATACTTATCAGTTACGAAAATTCCTCCTCTTTTTAAAAATTTTTATTTACTTCTTGCAGCCTATTGATCTTCCTACATATAGGTCGTGGTAAAACGTGACTTGGCAAGGATCATCAAGACACAATGATTAAGTACCCTTAAGAGCTTTTAAAAAGAGGTTAAATCAGAAATGCACAAGCTCTTTAAACTAGAAGTACTAGATTTCCATTCCTTTCCAGTTCCTTCCCCAAATACCTATGGAATACAATTAACTTTGATCTTAAAACAGGGCTGAATTGCACTAAAAAAGATAAAATAAGCCCCTCTCCAAAAATTGCCCAGTATTAGACTAGCCCCTTCAACATGTATTTACTATGTTTTGTCACCACAGGAGCAATATCAAAGATAAATGAACAAAATAATCAAAACAAAATGAGTACACTGAGAAAACACAACACAAAAATGTGGGAAGTGCGTTACCTTTAACTTTGGAAAGAAGCATATACTTTTGACAGCTATAAACTTAGTGTTTTTTTTTAATTTATATAATGGATATAAAGGTTTACATGGGGATTCTTGCTCAAGTGAAGTAATTTTTTTATAGAAATGTTCCTGCCTATTAAAACTAAATGTTCATTGACTGTAGACACACACACAGACACACAGACACACACACACACACACACACACACATTCTCACATGTATTTAATTAAAAGGCTGAAAATCAAATCTGTGGGTCTGTGGGAAAAAACTAGTTAGAGTAAGATAAAATGTTAATGATTACAAATAACCAAGCAGACATTTTCCTGCTCATTTGCAGTTTTTACATATAATTCACTGCCAGGAGAGTAGGGGGAAAAGAGGAATTCATTTTTCTCATTTTTCAATAAATGCTCATTCTTGGATCTGTCATGTCTGATCTCTCCAACTCCTGCGAAATAAAATATTTGAATTTAAATGTTGAATCTAGAATAATGAGGGGATTCTAATTTAAGTATATGCATTACCTTGATTTATAAATGTCCTTATTTGTTGAGGAAAAAGGAAAGTAAGAGACCTAGTATTCATGTTAAAGTAATTTTCTTTAAAACAGCAATATTTAAGAAGATAAATTATCAAGCCGATAGAAGGATCTGTCCTTCCTGTTGTAAATCAGGAACCATTGTAGAGAGGTGGAGACAGGCCTGTTGGAAGAGTCCTAAGTGTGCTTTCCTAGGAATTCATTTTTCTTATGTCCTGACTCCTCTTGCAATTTCATTAATACTGAAGCTTAACAGGCATTTCAATGTTTTTAAGCTTATAACAACATTAAGAACATCAGACTGAAGTTTATATGTCAAATAAAGGTAGTAACGTTGTATTACAAGAGAACAGAAAAGCCTTAAAACTGGACACAGAATCTATTGCTCTATCCATACAGACGAACTGTATTAACTGACTACAAAAAACACTTATTTTTATGTGAGCCACAAATATAATAATTTTGCCCACTTTCAAATTTTCTCAACTGCTTCATTCTTAAACATGGAAAATTTAAAATTACATATATTAAATAGTTTAAGATGAACCATATATGAGCTCTGTTTCCTGAAAGGAGGGAATCATGGTAAATAATTGGGGGGCATTTGGGTAATTACCCTGAAAGAGAGCAGATAAGAAGAATAGAGAGATTCTTTAAAGATTTCTCTGTTTGTCTTGAGTGTGTTTCACTCTCTTGCTCACCTGGGACTGATATTAAGTAACCTGTCTTTGCATAGAAGAACAAAAATAAAGAGTTAAGCAAAAGGTAGCTTTGCTAAATAATCAAGATAATTCGGGTCTCTGTGTTTCATCAGTAATAAAGTTGTGTCATTGACATTATCTGAATAAACCTCAATTCCTGGTATAGCAGATCTTTTTTTCATCATTCTTTAAACTCACATACACTGTATAGTTATGTAGTATCAGTTTCAAATGTCCTTAAGAATACATAAATAGCCAAGTGCAGTGGCTCACGCCTGTAATCCCAATACATTGGGAGGCCGAGGCAGGCAGATCACCTGAGGTCAGGAATTCAAGACTAGCCTGGCCAACACGGTGAAACCCCATCTATACTAAAAATACGAAAATTACCCGGTGTGGTGGCACACACTTGAAATCCCAGCTACTCTGGAGGCTGAGGCAGGAGAATCGCTTGAACCTGGAGGCAGATGTGGTGGTGAGCCGAGATCTGAGCAACAGAGTGAGATCCCGTCTCAAAACAAAACAAAACAAAACAAACCCCATGAATACTTAGAGAATATAAATCAAAAATGTTGATTTTATAAGATATAAAATATATCAAGATTATTATCAAAATGTAGTATATATTTGATTTCATATCCAGAGGTTATTCATATCCATCCAATTAGTTCATTATTATCTTTTAACAATTTGGTACTGTCTTTATTATCTACATATTCTCTGCTAATCTTTAAAATTAATGAAAAATTTTTTAGATAAATGCATATTTTTAAATATGCACAATAAAACCATTAATACTTTTTATTCTGTAGATTTTTAGTCCATTCTAAATTAGGTAGTATGTGTAGGACCTTCTTTCTATTTTGTTTCATTTATCCACTTAAGAATCAGTTTTTTGTAATTTTGTTAACTGAGAAATCTAAATATCTGCAATAAACAATTTACAACTGAAAGTCAATTCTAGAAACATGCAAGCTTAGTTCTTAAATTATATTTGATCATAATCCCAGAGCCCCAACATAGCAAAACACAGCCCACAGGTAGAAGGCAAGAACATTTCACCTGTGCTTGCAATCTCCTTTCACTCATAGTAGACTGCTTTGCTGGTGATAAAGCAGAATTCACTAACTTTTTGTAACTTTTAATTGTGATGTTAATTTTCCTAAATGTTTACAAACTCTTGAATGAAAGGAACCATTGAAAATAATTTGGTTGGATGCTTCACAAATTTAAAGATTTTTATTCACATACATGTGTATTGTACTTGGTTAAAAGCACTGACTATTCATATTTATTACTGTATAATTTGATCTAATTTTTAAGCTTCCCAAATGATCACTGTTATTTCATTTTTTAAAATTTATCTTAAAATTAATAAATGTTGAAATATTTCCTAGGATAAGAACACAGGAAGCCAAACAAAATAAGCATCCTTTTTTCAGATAGGACGATAACAGTGACGTTGACTTAAAATGATCATTTTGGCCACCAAAGGAAAGAAAATCAATGCAGCTGATTTTAGTTTGGCTACACATAATCCAATTTGGATTGCAAGTACAAATATGTGTCCCATCTGGACAGGGATCAATTTCATCTTTACTATTTGTGTAGCAGGTATTATTTTCATCTGAGTATTCTTTCATTTATTTAAGAAATCATTTTGAGCTCCTGTTGCAAGGAAACAAAAACAAGAAATACATGTTACTCTACCATCAAGAAACTTTCAATGTAATAGAAAGCATAGAATATATTCTCAAGTAACAAGAGTGAATGTCAGTAAAGTATAACCACTTTTTGAGACATGCTTGTAAAATACCAAGATGGTGGAAAATTATTTATAGCTAGGGAATTGGAGAAAACTACATGGAAATGATAAACATTTGAGTCATTGTAGAATCATCTAAGAATGCTTAACAGGAAAAATCTTGAAGAAAAGGTTGTTTTCTAGAAATATTGTGAATAAAATTAGGAGAGCTATGTACACATTTAAGATTTAGTCAATTGGGCGGTTATACTTTTAAAAAAGAATGATAGATGAGGCTAGAAAGCTAAGAGCAGCCAGGGAGATGTGGAGATTGGGAAACAATGACAGACCTTGCCAATCCCCTTCCCTTCCCTTCCCTTCCCTTCCCTTCCCTTCCCTTCCCTTCCCTTCCCTTCCCTCCCCTCCCCTCCCCACCCCTCCCCTCCCCTCCCCACCCCTCCCCTCCCCTCCTCACCCCTCCCCTCCCCTCCTCTGCTCCCACCCCCTCCCCTCCACTTCCCTTTCCTTCCTTCCCTCTTTCTTTGTTTCTTTCTTTGTTTCTTTCTTTGTTTGTTTCTTTCTTTCTTTCTTTCTTTCTTTCTTTCTTTCTTTCTTTTTTTTTCTTTCTTTCCTTCTTTTCTTTTCTTTTTTCTTTTTCAGTACATAGACCATAATGATTGGTCAATTCACATAAACCTTCAGTATTACATTTTTAAAAAACTCAATCAATGAATTTTTTCATTGAATAAGCAAATCAATTTGTTTGGAATTTTTATGCAGTGGTTTATAAAAAGATTCCATTAAACCCTTCAAGTTGATTGAAGTCATCAGACATTTATTATAAAGATATTTAATAAGTAAAAATATATTACGTGATTACATATCAATAGTTATATTTAGAATGTTTTTCCTCTAGTTATTGAAAGTGACACTATAAATACATGCTATATTTACAAAGGCATCCAGAATTTACCTATCTGGTATATGAATATCAATCTGAATTTTGGGAAATTTCATTTGTGTAGAGTAGGTTTGAATTATCCTAGAGTGGTATCCAATGCATGACATAGATTTTTATGTGGATACGCTAACACAGCATCTCTAAGGAGGTTAAACTATCCAACAATTACCATGTGGTCATCACTCAATTTGACTAATTTTTTAAAGTATGCCTCTCCTGAGACCAAAAGAATCCTGATCCTCATTTTTCACAATGAACTTTTCCGTTCTCTGAATCACAAAACAAACAAGTGCAATATAATAAAATCAAAGAGTAATGACAAAACAAACAACAACAAACAAAAAACTATATGCTGGGCGTGGTGGCTCACACCTGTAATCTCAGCACTTTGGGAGGCTGAGGCGGGTGGATCACCTGAGGTCAGGAGTTCAAGACCAGCCTGACCAACAAGGCGAAACCCCTTCTCTACTACAAATACAAAAAGTAGCCAGGTGTGGTGGCAGGCGCCTGTAGTCCCAGCTACTCTCAAGGCTGAGACAGGAGAATTTATTGAACCCGGGAGGCGGAGGTTGCAGTGAGCCGAGATCACACCACTGCACTCCAACCTGGGAGATGGAGTGAAAATCCGTCTCAAAAAAAACAAAACAAAAAACGAACAAACAAAAAAACCCAAAAAAACTCTATACCTGATCAGAAAACTTGCACACCTAATGGTTACAAGAGAATGAGGAAAAAGTAAGATTGGCTGAACACAAAGTCATCTTTTCCATAGTAAATATAATAGAATAAATGCCTTTCTGGGTCAGGGTCACCATGCAGTGATACTTTTAAAATAACATAAATACTGAGATCAAAAATGTTTTTAGGGTAAGAAAGCTGTCACATCTTAATAACAGTATGACAATACACATGTCACATTGACGTGACTTCCCTGAGCCTTAATTTTTTCATCTGTAAAATGGGAATAACTGATTTCCTCACAGAGTTTCTATTACTCCTTTAAAAAAGGTGTGAGATTATAAATTATCTTATAACCTTAACACTCCATACCATTTTCATAGTACTTCTAGCAGTTTGAAGAGTGGCCCCTCATGAGCTATTTCTAAGTCCTAACACCTGGAACGCATGAATATCACCTTGTTCTAAAAAAGTGCTAAGTTTGTGAGGTGATAGCCATGTAAATTAGTCTGATTCTATCATTCCTCATGTATCAAAATATCACATTGTTTCTTATAAATACATACAGTTATTTGTCAATTAAAAATTAATTTTTTTAAAAGAGTCTTTGCAGATGTAACTATGTTAAGGATGTTGAGATTCGATCATCCTGAATTTAGGGTGGACCCTAAATCCATGGCAAGTGTCCTTGTAAAAAAAGGCAAAGAGAGACTTGAGACACAGTGAAACAGAAGAGAAGGTGGTATGAAAAAGGAAGCAGAAATTGACATGATGGGTTTACAAGCCAAGGAATGCCAAAGATTTTTGGCAGTCACCAGAAACTAGGAGAGGGGCATAAAGTGAATTTGCCCCCAGAGCCTCCAGAAAGAATCAGTCCTGCTAACATCTTGACTTCAAACTCTGCGAAAATAAATTTCTGTTGTTTTAAGGCACACAATTTCTGGATATTTGTTGTGGTATACCTGGGAAATTAATATGGTACCTGAGACTGCCAAGGACACTGCTCTTACGAATGTCACTACTGGATTTTAACTGGATCTCTCATAGCTCTCTCCTCCCCCACTAATGGATTATTTTTCCTATTTCCACCCTGAATGGGATTATTCTTTACAGGAGCATTTTGAGGTCTTTACACATTTTCACTAATATTCTTTTATTTAAAAACGTGTATGTATTCTTATGATTATATCCTCTTCTGGGATGAATTTTACATAAATCTCTGTCTGATCTAGTATTATCAAGCCCTACCTTGAGTCTTGCCATGCACATTTTGTTCTCATTCTAACATCTCAAACTCAATGAAGCAAAGTTGCATTCATTCAAATCCATATGCTCCTTCCTTCTTCAATTGGCTTCTTCTGATTGACCTCTATGTAATCACTGCCCTTATTGTTCCAACTTCTCAGAGTCAAAATCTAATTTTTATACCTCTCTCTTCCTTATATTTGCATTAGAGTCAAACACTAATATATAAGAATATCTCTTTGTATAAGACTCCACCGTCCTTTTCTATCTATTCTACTGTCATCATCTGAGCCCAGATAATAGTTATTTCATGCACGTGCTATTGCAAAAACCTCATGGTTACCTTGACTGTCTCCAGGCTTTCTGCTTCTGCTCCGTTTTATGAAGCACAATGTGTAGTCATGTCATCATGGCTATCTTCTCCAGTCTTCATAGCTTCCCAATATCATTTAGCTTCAGGATACACGTGTGCACTTAAATCTCACAGTTAAGAGCTTCATGGTTGTTTCCTCCATCTAGTGAGTCCATGATGATAAATGCAAGCCCTGACTATATTTGCATTTCTGCATTAGAGCCCTTTTAAATATTGTTCCCTTGACCTTTAATACTTGCATATCTTCCATTAGCCCATCCAAATTTCCTATTTCAACTTTGGGTTCACCTCTAATTTTTCCAGGTTTGCTGTATTTGTCCATTCCAATGGACTTTAAGCATACTTTAAAAAAGATTATCTTGTAATAGTTGTACTCCTTTGCTTTACTCTTGCTTTGTTACTTACGGTTAATGTATTTATAAATAGACTGAAATATCTTAGAATCCATTTAAAAAATGTATCTTCAAAATGTTCATAGTAAGCTCTTTTTATACTACCTGTATTTACTTAGTGTATATATGCTGAATGCCTGAATGCCTAGAAATCTGCATTTTAACAAATTAATTATTTGAATTTATTCT
Organism: Homo sapiens; assembly: GCF_000001405.40. Taxonomy (NCBI): domain Eukaryota; kingdom Metazoa; phylum Chordata; class Mammalia; order Primates; family Hominidae; genus Homo; species Homo sapiens. Next base: position 113,447,640 of record NC_000008.11, read on the forward strand.
TTACTTAATTGATGCAAATATTGCTGTGTATATGTTATATATGTGTGTATATGCTTATTTGAGTTAAAGAGAAAGAGAAACAGTGAAAGAGATTGAGAGAGAGAGACAGAGAGAGAATGTACATAGTGCAAAGAAAGCAGAGAGAAGAAAGAAGGTTTGTGTCCACTAACATTAATTATAATAAAAGGTTTGATAATTAATGCCAGAAAGACTACTCTCAGATTTCTTCCTTGGCTCTGAGACACTCCAATTTCACATGCAAAAGCAGTTCTGTCTAACTGTTTGGCAGATTGTTTGAGCTGGAATTAAATGTGCACAGCTGGTACCATCTGCTGCAAATTCTTTAATTCTTGTTATCTCTTAAACAGCTTTTGGTTTTGTCTTATTCATAATTCATTTATGGAGGATGAGGAAGACCTATAGGAGTCTTAATATTATTTAATGGATGCATCCCTGATTTTCAGATTAATAAACCATAGTAGACTCCGGTTTATTAATATTGGCTAAGTGTCAACCTAGCTTTACTGATGACCAGACTGATTTTTTAACTAAAACCAAGGTCAGTTTTGGGTAGCCAAATGGAGTAGCTTCTTAAGATTACGTATTGTGACAACAATAGTATTTCAAATATATCTCCTTGTATTTTATCAGTTTTCTTTCATTTATTTTCTTAATTATTTTACAGTGGTAGTCTAAGACTTTTGAATCATAATTTCCTATCCAAGAGCCAAAGCCAGAAACCCATATCTGAGTTATACCTGATTCTTCTCTTTCCCTCATCTTTTTCTTCCATTTTCTTAATGTCTCCCAAATCATTGTCCTTCTAAGAATCTCATTAACACTGACTTTGTGCAGACCCTCAACACTACATCTCCAGCCCAATTCAGTGCACTCTTTACTCAGGAGTGATCCCTATAAAACATAATTCTGATCATTTTACTCTCCTACTTAAAATTGCCCAATGTCTTTACGCTTCCTTTGAAACATATTGGAAAAATCTGTGTATTGCTATTAGGTACTGCTGCTTCCTTTTTCTGACATTTGTCCCTTCACTTCTACTTCCACCGTGCCTGGAAAATTCCAGAATAGGCTTCAACCCCAAATTCAGGTAACTTTGTTTCTTCCTTTTGCAAAGTGTATTTGTTATCCTTTCTGGTCTGAGAAAAATGACCTTGTTCTGTGTTTCTGTAGGAACTTGTGCATAATCCTTTCAGAATATTTATCATAACATACTGTCGTTTTTGTCTCTTTAGTCTTTGTATTAATATTTCAAGTACTAGTGGGCAGAAAGTATCTTTTTTATCTCCCAAACTGCACATGCCAGTCCTATGTTCCATAATATTAGACATTTAATACATTATTAAATGAATGAAAAATTAATTCTGTAGTGAAAAATTGTCGGGAAAGAATTGAATCCATCACTATGGAGATTCCATTGTAAATGAAGGCAAAAATTATTTTTTATATCTGGTAACATGAATACACAATAAAAACAACTTTTTCTCGTTTTGTTTTGAAATTATTTTCAATTAATTTGACCCTAATCAATTAAAGGTCTTAAACACATTTAATCAATGGAAATCAGGGCAACCAAGGCAGCCATTTGGGCTGCTTGTACCTAAATTTAGTTTAGTATTGACAGAAGTCATGGTTGTTGGTTATTTTCACTTGCTACTTTGTACAGAGATGAGCAGCTGGCTTTTCCTTTAATCTGACATTTGTCTGATCTGGCATGGATAAGACATATTACGTTCACTATGTCCTGCTTAAGTGCAAAAAAATAAATAAAAATGAGGAGGCTTGGTCAAGGCAATAAAAACTGTTAAGTTTCTATTCAAAATATTTAAGAAGATAGAACATGTAATGAAAAAAATACACAGGAAAATACAACTGGTTTTCTGATACTGTAGAAATCATTTTGAAATTCTTCCTATTTACGGTGTGCTGACATCCCTGCTGGTCATTCTGCAAAATATTAGAGAGAGACGTTATAACAGTATCACTATTTTCTGGAAGGTCAACATTTTGCTTTATTCAAATTCTAATATTGTTGAAAGGTTTTCTCTCTGGCAGTAGGAAATACATTTTGCTGTGCCATGAATAAGTGAAATTTTAAGACTTGCTGTCCATCAAAATGACCTAATGAGCTCATATTACCAGACACCCAGGCCACATCCCAAGCCTATTTAATAAAAAAAAAATGGGAGCAAGGCCTCTACATTTTTAATATTCTTCTTTATAGTAGAAATTAAAAGAGTACACATGAATTTCCATCTTTCTGGAAAGACATGAGGCATCCTTCAGGTCTACCCAAGCAAATTTCTGGTTCTGGTATAAAAAAAATTAAACCTAATAAAATCCTACCTGCTGTTATAATTAACTGTGTCATATAGATTAAAAAGCTTATTTTTTTCTCAATACAAATTATAAAATTGGATCCTTGACATGCTGTCATAATATCTGAAAATCATACTAATCAGCCAACACATGCAGAGACCCTGGGTAAGTTAGAACAGGAAAGGGCAGGGGAAAGAGCGTGCTGTTAAATTGTTGATAAGTAAGTTAATCTACTGTTCAAATAAACAAGTTTGAATCAATTATTTGGCTATACTTAGATAACTTGCATGAAAAAGAATCCTGAAATTGGCAGTCAGTCTTCATATACATAGCACAGCCAAATGTTTAATGCATCTGTAAACTTTTATTTCCTATTTTCTTTGCAAGAAAACCAGTTTTTATTTTTATTTCAGGAGTTGTATGCAATGAAAAGCTTTTGGAATTCACATCAGTTGGAAATATTTCAGTGTATTAAATATTAGAAAAACTAATGAATGCAGAATACTAAAAGTACACTGAATTGTAAATATTAAATTTAAATGTTGCAAAGTTGGATAGTTCTATCAATCATTAATACTTTTATAGGTTATGTATGCAATTTTGACATGGCAACTTTTTAATTGTGTATGTATCATGACACTAATACAATATATTTTTGTCAGACCATAACGGGAACATTTTTCTGGAACTACAAAATTTTCCAAATATCTTAGAGTATACTTATTTATGTATCAATCAAAATAATTATCTTGAATAGAAATTGCTCCAAAATGCGTTACATATTTCCTGTGTTAAAATAATTTTGATAATTTAAATGGTATGTATTAACATAAATTTCTGTAGAGTAGATCATCGAACTCTGATAGGACTCTTGTGTTTTGGTTGCCAAAAAAATTGAATTCCAATAGCAGCTCAACTCTTAGAAATAGTTTAGGGTTTTTTTGACTTGTTTATCTTTCGTTTTGTCCCTGGTTCCATATGACATTATCAGGCATTATTCAGAAATTCCTCTGCCATTGACTGCATTTGACTCCTGGCTAACTAATTTGCACTTATTAGCTTTTGAGATACTTTTTTAAAATAATGTTTTCATTTTTTGTTTGTTTTTGTTTTTCAGACTTTTTGTGCATTTTTACAACATAATCTTAGCTTTTCCTTTTTCTGGTTAGCACGCCTTGATTTCCTTTCTAGTTCTTATTGCATCCTATTGTTTATGGTCTTCATAGGGCTGTGTGTCAAGATTTAGGAATATCGCTACATGGGAATTCATGGGCACATGGTTTACTTTTGTTTATTGTGTTCATTCATTCATTTATTTTGTCCATTTGTGAATTTACTTTAGATACTTTGAATCTTGAACAGAGTGTCACAAAGACTGAAAATTGATAAGAGCTGATTTACCATAGTTATATAAACCAAATAATAATGTGAACTACTTCCTATTACATGGATCTTTTAGTTTGATCTGGTTCCTCACTTTTCCAAGTCTACATTTTTCAACTTAAAAAAAATTGTGATTCCAAGTCTTTGCTATTGTGAATAGTGCCGCAATAAACATACGTGTGCATGTGTCTTTATAGCAGCATGATTTATAGTCCTTTGGGTATATACCCAGTAATGGGATGGCTGGGTCAAATGGTATTTCTAGTTCTAGATCCCTGAGGAATCGCCACACTGACTTCCACAATGGTTGAACTAGTTTACAGTCCCACCAACAGTGTAAAAGTGTTCCTATTTCTCCACATCCTCTCCAGCACCTGTTGTTTCCTGACTTTTTAATGATTGCCATTCTAACTGGTGTGAGATGATATCTCATAGTGGTTTTGATTTGCATTTCTCTGATGGCCAGTGATGATGAGCATTTCTTCATGTGTTTTTTGGCTGCATAAATGTCTTCTTTTGAGAAGTGTCTGTTCATGTCCTTCGCCCACTTTTTGATGGGGTTGTTTGTTTTTTTGTTGTAAATTTGTTTGAGTTCATTGTAGATTCTGGATATTAGCCCTTTGTCAGATGAGTAGGTTGCGAAAATTTTCTCCCATGTTGTAGGTTGCCTGTTCACTCTGATGGTAGTTTCTTTTGCTGTGCAGAAGCTCTTTAGTTTAATTAGATCCCATTTGTCAATTTTGGCTTTTGTTGCCATTGCTTTATGTCCAACAATGATAGACTGGATTAAGAAAATGTGGCACATATACACCATGGAATACTATGCAGCCATAAAAAATGATGAGTTCATGTCCTTTGTAGGGACATGGATGAAATTGGGAACCATCATTCTCAGTAAACTATTGCAAGAACAAAAAACCAAACACCGCATATTCTCACTCATAGGTGGGAATTGAACAGTGAGATCACATGGACACAGGAAGGGGAATATCACACTCTGGGGACTGTGGTGGGGTCGGGGGAGGGGGGAGGGATAGCATTGGGAGATATACCTAATGCTAGATGACACGTTAGTGGGTGCAGCGCACCAGCATGGCACATGTATACATATGTAACTAACCTGCACAATGTGCACATGTACCCTAAAACTTAGAGTATAATAAAAAAAAAAAATTAAAAAAAAAAAAAAAAAAGAAAAAAAAAAAAATTGTGAGTGATGCTAGATCTCTAAATCCCTCTAATGAATTCCTGTTTTGCATGTACTAACCAGAGTTGACTTCTGTTACCCCCCAAAGTAGTAACAGTCCCATGATGTCTATTGGATCAGTTTGGCAAAAACAAAACAAACCAAAAAAAATGTCTAACAGTTCTCTGCTTGAGTGTACAACTCCTCCTACTGATTTTGGAAACCATTTTTAAGTTAGATAGTCCCCAGTGGTATTGAACACATGAGGAAAACCTGGGCCTCAGAGAAGCAGTTTTCCTCTCTCTATAGATAAGACCAATTTTGCTCAATATTGGATATCAGCTCCACCATCCAATACCAATCTCATAGTTAAGTATTTTTGACCACACTATTGCAAACTTAACCCAGAGTTTCTATTCCCTTTGCCACCATAAAGTCACCCTCTGTTGGTATGGATATGTGTGATGGTTAATATTAGGTGTCAACTTGATTGGACCGAGAGATGCCTAGATGACTGGTAAAGTATTGTTTCTGGATGTGTCTGTGACAATGTTGACAGAGGAGATTGATATTTTCATCAGTGAATTGGGAGAGGAAGACCCATCCTCAATGAGGGTGGGCACCATCCAATCTGCAGCCAGCATGGCTAAAACAAAGCAGGCAGAAGAAGGGGAATAAGCACCTTGTTGAATTCTTTCTTGCTCTCCCTCTTCCCCTGCCAGAGGCTTGCTTCTCCCTTCCTGCCATTGGACATCAGACTCCAGATTCTTTGGCTGTTTGGCTCTGGGACTTGCACCAGCAGCCTCCCAGGGGGTCTTTGGCCTTTGGCCTCAGACTGAGGGCTGCACTCTTGGCTTCCTTGGTTTTGAGGCTTTTGGACTTGGACTGAGCCAAGCTGCTAGCTTCTCTTTTTCGAGCTTACAGACGGCCTATCGTGGGACTTCACCTTGTAATCTTGTGAGCCAATTCTCCCTGATAAACTCCCTTTTATATATACTTTTGACCTATTGGTCAACCCTAACTGGACAACCCTAACTAATAAGGTATACATCCTCCAGCTTCTAATCTCACAAGCTCCTACCCAGGTAAATCTAGTGATAAGGGAGGTAGCTAGATGGTCTGAGAGCATGGTGGCATAAGTGCCTGTGGATAGGGAGGAGAAGAATCACTCAGTCCTGTCTCTACTGTGCAAACCTCATTCCCTAGCCATCACTGCTTCCTACCACTCCAACTGGAGAATTATGCTTTTCTTTCTTTAATATTTTATCATCTTAAATAATTTCTTATAAGGTTCATAAAACTTTTTTTTCATAGATGCATGTTCAGAAAGCCTTTGGAAGCAAAACAAATACAATGTTTCATGGTTTATTCATTAAAAATGACTTTTTTCGTTGCGGGGGAACAGAGTTTCACTCTTGTTGCCCAGGCTAGAGTGCAATGGCGGGATCTTGGCTCACTGCAACCTCAGCCTACTGGGTTCAAGTGATTCTCCTGCCTCAGCCTCCCAAGTAGCTGGGATTACAGGCATATGCCACCATGCCCGGCTAATGTTTTGTATTGTTAGTAGAGACAAGGTTTCTCCATGTTGGTCAGGCTGGCCTTGAACTCCTGACCTCATGTGATCCACCCACCTCAGCCTCCCAAAGTGCTGGAATTACAGGCATGAGCCACCACGCCCGGCTTAAAAATGACTTTTAAAAGTTATTTTTAATTGACAAATAGTAATTGTATATATTAAGGGGTACAATATGACGTTCCAATACATGTGTACATGTAGAATAATTAAATTGGGGTACTTAACATGTCCATCACTTCACATAGTTACCATGCCTTTGTGGTGAGAACATTTAAAATTTAATCTTTCAGCAATTTTGAAATATATGACACATTCTTATTAATTACACTGTGCAATCACTCACCAGAACCTATTCTTCCAGTCTCACTGAAACTTTGTACTCTTTGACCAACATCTCCCCTTTTTCTACCCAGCCCCCCAATTTCTCCCTGTTTCCACCAGCCTGTGGCAATCACCATTCTAGTCTTTATTTGTATGAGTTCAACTTTTTTAGATTCCACATATAAGTGAAATCATGCAGTATCTTCCTGTGCTTGGCTTATTTCATTTAGCATGATGTCCTGCAGATTCATCCATGTTGTTGCCAAGGACAGAATTTCCTTCTTTTTAAAGGATGAACAGTATCCATATATATATACACACACACACACCATGTATTTTTAAATCATGATGTGTTGATGAGGACTTCATTTGTTTCCATATGCTGATTGTTGTGAATAATGCTGCAGTGAACATAGGCGTGCACATTCATATACTTTTTGTGTATGTGTTTCTCTGTATTAAATGAATACAAAATTGATTGCTAGTATTAAATTTGTGGCCACTTAGGTGATTTTTATCATTTTGCTAATTCACACTTTTCTGGCAGATGATCACTTCTCATTTATTCAAGCTATTTGTTTGCTGGCAGATCTACCCAGAGCAGTTTGTCTCTCACCTTCTTATTTGTTTATTTGAATTATGCAAAGGCCTGGAAACCTCACAGCTAAATTCTGTAGTATTGACTCAATGTAATAAGTAATAGAGTTTGAGAGAGGAAGTGAGAACCACAACTGTGAATGTGTGCAATCTTGAATATTTATTTATTTACTCAAAGCCCTTTTAGGCTCACTTCCTGGTTCCTATGTCTGTACTCTTTATAAATAGACATTGTTATATAACTGAATTTAAAAATAATGAGTTAATGGATGACCTTGTGTTTGTTATTTATACCAAATCTGTTAGATGATCAAGATAGGAATTATCTTCAGGGAAGTTAGGTTGCTTGCCAAAGTTCACAAAACATGTTTTTTGGATACCTAAAACAAGTTTAATTGTTGCCCTGCCCTTCATCTCCACAATGTCTGTGTGTTTTGCTGTTTGCACTTGCAACCTTCTTGTAGGGATTGTCCTGGGGCATCTCTATGGAAAATCTGAAGTGCCTGGGAGATTTTGTCCCACCTTCTCCTGCAGGTGGCTCATTGCCAATGCTTTGCTGATATGAGAGTATAAAAGCTCAGCCCCTCTTTCTCAAGAGGGACAAACTTTGATGTGTAATTTATGTTTCAGTGTTTCTCAGGAGAATAGGCTGGATCTGAGACTTCACCCAAAATGTCATCTTTGCTTAGCTTCTTTCCTTTCCTTGCTGTATCATACCAAGCCATATTGTTGCCTGAGGCAAAAGGAAAATTGTGTATCCATTTGTATACTTGTCAAAATATTGTCCCATATTTTAAACCAAGTAAAATTTAATATAAGCTTTACAATAAAAATGACAATATATAAAGTCCTGTGTTGTTCAATCTCTTTACACCCCATTATCATCTATCATAAACCTACTTAGCAGATAGGAGGGAAACCCTGGGCTGATTGAAAACGGTTGCTTCTGTTCCACAATAACAGAGTTATAAAACAAACAAAGAATAGGCTGTCTTTATTTTTCAAATTAACATTTTGTTCAGAATGGCTATTTTGCATTAATTTTGATTTATGTATAATGTGGCATTAAGATATAATTTATCTTGATTTCTGAGTCTTGTGGCACTTCCTTATATTTTACACCTGAGGCCAGTACCCCGCTTGCCTCATCCTAATCCAGGTCCTGGTTCCCCAACTCCCTTTTCTCATTTCTACTGGGAACACTTTCATTAGAAGCCATTTGGGCTCAGATCTTTGTCTCAGTGTCTGTCCTGGGAGAACTCAGTTTAAAATAGTGAATAAACACAATTTAGGTTAACTCGCAGATTGTGGAACTTGACCAGTACGCTTTCTGTGACAATGAGCTTTGCCTTGTGTTTGGTCCATTCTCTGTTGCTGTAACAGAATACCATAGACTGAATACACAAAACAGAAACAGATTTCTCACAGTTCTGGAGGCTGGGAAGTAGAAGATCAAGGCACCAGCAGGTTTGGTCTCTGGTTTCAAGATGGTGCTTTGTTGCCGCGTCCTCTGGAGAGACGGGATGCTGTGTCCTCTCACGGCAGAAGGCAGAAAGGGGCAAACCCACTCCTTCAAGCCCTTATTATAGCAACATTATCTAAACATGTATTTCCAACACATGAATTTTAAGAGATACATTCAAACCATAGCACCTTGTTAAATAATTCTTCTTCTGCTGTTTAAGATTAGCTTAAATTTATACATCTGGTTAAATCTTACAATAAATGAATCCTTCTTTCTGTTCAATTTACATTAATTGTATTTTGCTTTAAATAGAACTCAGTGCTTATATTTTTGTCCCCATGAACAGTATCCGTTGTATACTGTTGAATATATTATTGTTTTACATTCTATTGTTTATATTTCTAAAGCAATCATCTCACTGTAAACAAACATTTGCTGTTCTAAAATTTTAGCGACTTTAGGCAGTAATAGAAACAAACAAACATTTGCTGTTAGTCAGATTAGGAAATTTTGTTTCAATGTAAAAATCAAGGTATATTTAAAAAACAAATTGATTTTCACAAACCAGATGAAAATAAAACCAAGCATAACAATTCATGTGACAATGTAATTTAAATTTGTGTCATTAAATCAGAACAAACAAACATGCAAACTTTGGAAGAATCTGTGTTTATTCAGATAATGAGTTTGATGAAAAATAAGTAAGCATAGTTAAGTTATTTAAATTTTGTTGTCATATGACACCAAATAATCAGTGTAAGTGAATTTTAAATATGTCATGTGGCAAAAATATCATATTAAATTACATATTTTAAGAGAATTTAATAGAATTCAAAGCCATACAAAAGTGGGGTGACTGAGGTTTTTAACGGTACAGAAAGAAGCAAAGGGACACAGTTTGCTTAAGGTGGCAAAGTACAGAGTGGTTCACCAAGCCAACAGGAGGGGTTTCAGCATTTGAACATGGTAGCATGGGGCTTGCCATATGTTTAACCAGTCCAGCCAAGAAAATTTTAGTGAAATTCATCTGAATCTTCTAAGGCTTTATCTCTTGTTTTTATATCATTAACTAAGATTTTTCAATAATTTCTGAGTCTTGAAATGTTATCTTACTGACTCCCTTTCATGGGTTCTTTTGTCTGTTTATTTATATATCTAATCCTGAGCTAATGCTGATAAATAATTTAATTAATTTATTCACTTAAGAAAGGTTTATTTAATAGCATCTCTTTGTTAGATACTGTATTATTATCTGAGAGACAACAAAAAACAAAGTGAGGTAAAATTTTTATTTTCAGAAAATTTACAATCCTGTGAAAGAAAAATTTAAGAAAGAAACTCAGAAGATTACAACTGAGACCTACAATAGCTATGATAGGAGACTATAGGGTTAAATGACAGCATGATTGTAAGCATTTTTGCAGAGTAAATAAAAATGTACTTTATCTGAAACTTAAAATATGAGTAAAATGTATCTATGCCAAGTTGGGTTGATGAATGGGGAAGGGGCAAAAATTAATATGTTGATAAAATGGAAAGTTCTACATAGCAATGCAAATGAGGGAAAATAAAAATCTCCTGACATTTTATTTTTTGACAAATTGGTGACGCTCATAGCATTGTGTGTATGTGTGTGTGTGTGTGTGCACCAACTACCAACTACCAACAAAATTTTTAGATTTTATCTTCCAATTATTTTTAGATTGTTGTAATAACTTCCTAATTAGTCTTCTTAAATTTTGAATGCACAGTGGATATTGGCAAATATGGATTTGAGATGAAGGTCCACAAAGTTGGATGGAAAGAAAAGTTAAGGGTAGAAAAGACAATGTAGAGATTGTAAGATGCAATCATGTTAAATAACAGGTGGAGGTTGCAGTGAGCTGAGATCTTGCTACTGCACTCCAGCCTGGGCGACGGAGCGAGAGTCCGCCTCTAAAAAAAAAAAAAAAAAGACATGAGTAAACAGAAGAGGAGAATGATATTGTTGCAGATTTTAAAATGACCACAAGCACAAGGCATGGAGAAAAAAAAGTTTGAATAAATATGTTATTAGAAATATTAAGTATAAATATCAGAAGAAACAATTACAAAGGTTTCAAGTTGTCTCTTGGAAGAGAAAAATTGGAGTGAAGAGGGGTTAGCCAAAAATTGCTATTAGTCATTTAAATCTTTGACGTATTAAAATATATATGTGTACTATTGACAAAAGTATTTTTAAAAATAATTTACATTATACTGATAAAAATTATGTAAGAAACTTAAATAATAATCTCTAGTGTATGGTTCACCATGGACTGGCAGAACAAATACCAAGAGACTTGATGGCTTAAATAACAGAAATTTATTTTCATATAGTTCTGGACGTTGGGAAGTCCATAATCAACATGCTGGTTGATTCAATTTCTGGGGAAGGCACCTTCCTGGCTTATAGAGGCCATGGCCACTTTCTCACTATGACCTCACCTGGTCATACCTCAGTGCACACATACACACACCCACACACACACACGAAGAGAAAGATTTTTTTCTTTCTCTCTTTACAAATCCACTGGTCCTATTGGATTAGGACTCTGCCCTTGTGACCTCATTCAAGCTTATTTTCCTACTAAAATTTTTACCTCCAAACACAATCATGTAGGGTTTATGGCTTCGACATATAAATTTGCAGGAATAGGGCCCTCGATTCAGTTCATAACCCCCTTTCTAACCTAAGTAGTATATATATTTTAAACAAAATTCCAAAGATGTTTTTGTTTTTCTTTTTTTTTTTTTTTTTACAAAGGTGGTAAAATAAGAATGCATTTTTAAAAAACAACTGTGTGTCTTAGAGTAACAGTTGTATTTTAAAGATGAAAACTATTAATGTAGTAATTTCAATTGTATGTTTTTTAGTTAAGTTTCCTTCTCTAATAAAAGAGATAAACCTGAAATAACCAAATACAGATAAACTGTATTCATCTATCAAGAATTACTTTTAAATATTGTGCTTATTTTTAAAAATGATGGGGGAAAATAACGTTTTGTTATGATCATTGTACATCTATGTCAGGAGAAAAAATTAGAAACAAAGAAATTTAATTACATTTATTTAAACTGAATTAACAGAACTGAAATTCAAGTGCTGATATTTATATCCCTTTAATATTTAATTAAATATTTATATTTAAATTAAATATAAAAGGGATAAAAATATTATAGGCCAAGTAGAATATGATTTTATGTGATATGGGAATATTTATCTGATTCTCAGATAGAAACAGCATTTTAAACTAAAAAAAGGGCCATGGGAAACATAAATAGATTGATAGACTCAATTACATTAAGACAAGAAAAAAATCCTCATGTTAAAAATCTCAGAAGCAAAATTGCAAATTACCAGAAACATCTTTGCAACAAATTTTACAGGAAAATCATTTGACTACATAGAGAATATAAACAGACTTTTCATGAATAAATACTACAACTAGCTATTCACCATCACATATGTTCAAAATTAAAAGGAGTTTCTTCCCTTCTACCCCTAACAGACTGGCAAAAGCTTGTTAATGATAAAAGCTTGTTAGTAATGGTGTAGAGGAAAAGCTGGGATTCTTGTGTACCTACCATTAGTGACATACTAATATCTGCACATTTTGTGGTAGAAAATTTTGTAGAATTTAGCAAAAAATAAAAATTTGCGGCCGGGCGCGGTGGCTCACGCCTGTAATCCCAGCACTTTGGGAGGCCGAGGCGGGTGGATCATGAGGTCAGGAGATCGAGACCATCCTGGCTAACAAGGTGAAACCCCGTCTCTACTAAAAATACAAAAAATTAGCCGGGCGCGGTGGCGGGCGCCTGTAGTCCCAGCTACTCGGGAGGCTGAGGCAGGAGAATGGCGTGAACCCGGGAAGCGGAGCTTGCAGTGAGCCGAGATTGCGCCACTGCAGTCCGCAGTCCGACCTGGGGAACAGAGCGAGACTCCGTCTCAAAAAAAAAAAAAAAAAAAAAAAAATTGCCTAAAATGTATCCAGTAATTATCTTTCTGATATCTGTCTTTGAGAGATTACTCTCATAAACATATCATATCCAGAACAAATATATCCACATCAACCTTGAAATCTGAAAAATTGCAAACCACCAAATACTCATTATTACTGAAGGATTAAATAAAATTTGGCAACTTTTTACAACAGCATATTATGTAGTAATAATAAAAAGTAAAAATTTTAATAATAATAAAAATTAAAAAATAGTAGAGGACTATGAATAGGAAGAGATTATCAAGGCAAATTATTAGGTAAAATAAGCAAATATGTGATATAATCTCTATTTTTTGTTTTTCTTTTTTTTGCGACAGGGTCTTACTCTGTCACCCAGGCTGGAGAGCAGTGGTGCCATCACAACTCACTGCAGCCTCAATCTCCTGGGTTCAGGTGATCCTGCCACCTAAGCCTCCCAATTAGCTGGGACAACAGGTGCAAGCCACCATGGCCAGCTAACTTTTTGTAATTTTAGTAGAGATGCAGTTTTGCCATGTTGCCCAGGCTGGTCTCCAACTCTTGGGCTCAAGTGATTCCCCCCACCTTGGCCTCCCAAAGTGCTGGGATTACAGGTGTGAGCCATCATGCATAGTAAAATGGTGGAGATGTACTTCAAACAATTGTAAGTGTTTGCCTCAATAGTAAATTTTCACTTTTTACATAATTTAATTTTCCATTATATGAAAAATTTGCAAGAGCATTTATTTCTATTGTCTGAATGTTTGTGACCCTGAAAATTCATATATTGAAAGCCAATCACGAATGTGATGGTATTAGGAGATGGGGGCTTTGGGAGATAATAAGGCAAGGGTAGCAGGGCCCTCATGAATGGGATTAGTGTCCTTATAAAAGAAGCCCCAGAAAGTTGCCCTGCCCTTTCCACCATGCGAGGACACAGCAAGAAGGTGCTATCTGTGAACCAAACAACAAGCCTCACCAGACATCAAATCTGCAGGTGCCTTGATCTTGGACTTCATAGCCTTCAGAATTGTGAAAAGTAAATTTCTATTGTTTACAGTCTACCAAGTTGATAAGATTTTGTTATAGCAGTCTAAATGGACTAGAGAAACATATGCATATGCCCTGATGCTACAAATGTAAAGCTCTTAGATTAATACCCTTAGAAGAACTTTTATAAAAAATGATTCACTCTTCAACATGGTCTACACCTTTAAGAATAACCTACACAATTCAATTGTGACAAAGATTCTATGAATAGGCAATAAAAAATATTTATTAAACAAAATTCATGAATAAATATTCATTTGAATGAATTTTCTATATTTAATAATTACTATTCATTATTGATTATTGCCACACATTTTACATTAAAATAAATTGTATCTTCTGCCCTTGGAGTTCTCCCTGAACTCATTTAATAAAAGTGATAGAAAAGTCATTAGACATGAATTTTTAGCGAATAATACCCTTAGCTATTATTATGATAAGTTGTTAATTGTCTATGTTGTTAAATAGAGACCAACTACTTACACTGGAATGTGAACAGAAAGTCTGAAATAACACACACGTATTTCTCTTTATGTTTTAAGTTTTTATTTATGGCACATGTGTCTTTCATTTGAGACAAGGTCTTGGTTTATCATTTATCTTTTTATAACAAATCAGCATTATGATATCAACCAATGGTGGTGATGTGCATTGATCTATATGTCAGTAGATATTGTCATTCAGATTGTGATACAAATAATAACATAAAATATAATTTTCCTATAGTTCGACAGGATAATCAAAGATCTTTCACAATGTTTGCCAAAAAGTCAAAAGCATTTAGAATCCAGTTTTATTTTTACTGTTAATAAGTAATTATTTTGTTATTTCTCAAAAACTGATTATTTGTTTAAATTCATATATTTCCACAACTTTAAAATGTAAGCTCACATATTTTAATTCAGTCATTAGTTGGTGTTGATACCAATGCCAATAAATATTTTATGATTTATCAAAATTCACCTGTTCACTTACTTTGTAAGTCATGCCTAGAACACAGACCTTCTGACTTTATTTTATTTCTATTAAATTATATGTATTTTTTCATATGTTTAAATAAAAATATGACATAATACATGAAAGAGTTTGAACATTAAACTAATAAAACAATCATAATTTATACATTTTTACCTTGCCTCATGAAATAGACTTTGTGTGTATATATATCCATAAACTAACCTTTGGATATTGGGTTGTTAATGACACATTCATTTACTTGGCCTTAGAACTGATGACACTAGCAGCCAAATGGGTAGAAGGCCAAAAATAGCTACTCTGGTTTGAAAAAAACAAAATAAAATAAATACATAGAGAACTATGCAATTATTTTTTCATGTCATTTTGGTTAAACAAACAAGCAATTCTTATGCTCATTTCATTAAAGAAACATATATAATTTATTGGACTAATTAATCTACAGTTTCATTCTTTCCTTTCTCTCTATGCATATATTCTCTATAGTCTCCTAGACATTTGTGGATTTAGTTGTCACTTTCGTGGATTGCTCCTCCACTTGCATCTCTCTTTCTACCTTCTCTCCACCTATCTAAATTCTTTTCTATTTTTGTGACTACTTCATTGTTGCCAGAATTCATAAAATTAGCATACCTGAATTAATTCACCAATTTTCTCTTCCAAATACACTTGTTTTCTTCATTTGCCATTTTTGTTTATGGCATTACCACCTTTCCAATAGTTTAGACTTGATAACCAGTTTGTCACTAGATTTCTACTTCTTACCATTCAATTCGATCAATACGCAGTGAGAGCTTTTATGTTCCAAGCACTGCAAGATGTCTTGACTTACAATCCAGTGGGGGAAGAAAGACAACCAGAGCGGCAGTTCTGTAAAATAATACTATAGAAATATCCAATGTTATCTGAAACGATAGTAAATATATGATAGCATGTTCCAGGAATGCGAGTTCCTGGGATAAAGGGGAGGAAAAGTAATGGAAAGAAAAGAGAGGAGGCAAGAAGAGATTGAGGAGAAGCCAGGGAAAACATTCTGGAGAAGGTAGTACCAAGAACCACTCGTTGCTTCTCTATAAGATTCCTTACATTCCACCATTTACATAAGACAATTCTACCTGAGCATTTCACTACTGTGGAATACAATGCTCCAATAGTATCTACCCGATTTTTTTCTCTCAATTCTGTTTTATTCCTGTTAGAGGACAACAGGTTTGTATGCTAGCTGCAAAGACAATACATTGAGGCAGCAGGATTTGCAGCAAAGAAAGAGTTTAATGATCACTGGGCTCTGAGTGATGAGACAGGAGAACACGCTCAAATTCATCTCCCTGAGGTGTTCTGGGCTGGGGCCTTTAAGAGGATGACGGAGGCCGAGAGGCTGGAAAATTGGGGTCATTGATTGGTCAGGGCAAGGTGGGTGAAATTATCAGGATGCAGAAATTGCATCCTTTGGTGAGTCAACTTCTCACGGGGTCCTTCAGACCAGCTGATGTCAGTAGTTTCGCTGTTACGCAGGACGTGAAAAAATGTCTCAAAGGGAAAACCTAACATTTCATAATGTTTACATAGTTATCTATGGAACAATTTAGGGGAATTGTAATCTTGCAACTGAGTCTATGTGATTCTCAGGCAATAGGCCAACAATCTTGGTCAGAGAACATCTAAACTAATGATTAATGCTGACTGTGTTGCAAGCTTGCTTTATTTTCATTTATCCCACTCCCTTTTTCCCTGATTAATTTTATACATTTATAGGAACTGTTTCATTCTCATCTACCTTTTCACAACAGTGTCAGTTGCTAGTCGTCCTGACATTCTACATTTCTGCTCTTGACATGTCTCTCCTAGAAAACTTGAAATGTTCCTATTTACTTAGTAGTCTGCTCCTCAATCAGCAGTCTGAACTCAGCCTTATTTGCCACAAGTCTAATTCACAGGCTTGAAGGTTGTGCTGCTCAATATGTCACCAGACATGATTATTCGAACTTCAATTTAAAGTAGCTAATATTAAATCTAATTATAAATTTAGTTTTTTTAGTCACATTAATTACATTTCAAGTGCTCAACAAACAAATGTTGCTAGTTGCTACCATATTGGATAGCACATATCTTCACTGAAAGATGAAAATGAAGCACTACTCTAACGTCTCGTCATGCCAGTTAGAATGGCGATCATTTCCAAGTCTGGAAAAAAAAAGATGCTGGCAGGAATGCAGAGAAATAGGTATGCTTTTACGCTGTTGGTGGGAGTTTAAATTAATTCAACCATTGTGGAAGACAGTGTGGTCATACCTCAAGGATCTAGAACCAGTAACACCATTTGACCTAGCAATCCCATTATTGTGTACATACCCAAAGGATTATAAATCGTTCTACTGTAAAGACACATGCACACATATGTTTATTGCAGCACTATTTATAATAGCAAAGACTTGGAACCAACCCAAATGTTCATCAGTGATAGACTGGATAAAGAAAATGTGGCACATATACACCATGGGATACTATGCAGCCATAAAAAAGAATGAGTTCATGTCCTTTGCAGGGATGGGTGAAGCTGAAAACCATTATCCTCAGCAAACTAACACAGGAACAGAAAACCAATCACTGCATGTTCTCACTTATAAGTGGGGTTTGAACAATGAGAACACATGGACACAGGAAGGGGAATATCACACATTGGGGCCTGTTGGGGGATCGGGGGACAGGGGAGGGAGAGCATTAGAACAAATACCTAATGCATGCAGGGCTTAAAATTTAGATGACAGGTTGATGGGTGCAGTAAGCCACCATGGCACATGTATACCTATGAAACAAATCTGCACATTCGGCACATGTATCCCAGAACTTAAAGTTAAAAAAAAAAATTGAAAGTAACTTTTCTTTCCTCTACACATCCCTCACTTCCTTACCTGTATGTGTTTTGTCCCTCTTACATTTCTTCCTAGAATGGCTTTTCTTCCATTTCTCCCTGTTCAAATGATATTCATTCTTCAAGATCCTATTCACCAGCTTTCTCTCTTCCATGAAATTTCCCTGATCTCTATATTTAAAAGTAATGTTTTAGTTACTGAATTTTTTCAATTTATCTATGTCCCTTTGACATATATCACTTTCTATCTTGCATTATAGACTTTTGTGTACATATCTTATTTCTACACTAGACTATAAGCTCTCTGGCCACCAAATTTTTATCTTTGCATTTTCTATGTCTGCTACATCCTTCACAGTGTATTAAATATTTATTGAATAATTAATTTTAGTTAAGTTCAGTTATTAGATTTATAATGTGGAGTTCATATTTATAATTTGTTTTAGTCTTGAGAAAAAGACTTGGAAAGCAAATACTTGGAGGCCTAATAGAAAATATCTGGAGGGTTGTAATGTTATTACTTTTATGTGTTTGAACAAAGATAAAATGCTTAAAGATATAATTAATACATTATCTCTCAATTAAAGTAAATGTAATTACTCCAGTCTATGAGAGGTTTAAGAAAATCCCCATTGGAAGAAACTAGCATTTTTTTTAATCAGACAAGAAATAAGTTCAGTCAACATTTTATTTTACTTTGACATTTGTTTTTAAAATACTGAAAATCAGGTGCCTTTCAATCTGATTTCCAATAAAACCACTTCCTTCCTCACTGTGTTTTAAAAATCAGGTAGCCTTGCATTTTTTAGTCATTTTAAAACACATTTGCATTTTTTAAAAAATTCTAAAAATAAAGATGTCAATAATATGAATTATTTCTAAAACATATAGATCTCAGTGTAGAAATTCAGGTGTGTGAGAAATTTAATTTAATTTTCCTATAACTAAACCATGTCAAATTTGAGTCTTTGTTATACCACATATTAAATACACAACCACTATCAATTCAGGATTTTCTCAGTTTTACAGAGGCTTTGTGTACATTCCGGAGGGTTTAGAAAATGCAAAACCATGTCTGGAGAGAGAGGTGGTAGCTTTGGATTTGTGAGCATGATGAGTCTCATCCACACTAGTGTTCCTGTGTTCCTATGTGACACCTGGATATTTATCCATATTAGTTGCCAATGTGCCATGCCTAATCCCTTACTAAAGTTTTCACCTCATTTGGTTCACTCTTTGGTTAATATATGTCCCTCCAGTAGGGGGTATTCTACTCTCTCAGTGCCACTGTGTGGTCATTGAAAACTTATGTCCTCTTCCAAAGTCCTTTAACATTTTATGCCACTTCTGGTAACTGCTATGGTTTGAATGTATGTGTCCCTCAAAAATTTATATTCTGGACTTAAACCCGAAAGGGATGGTATCGAGAGGTGGGGTCTTTTAGGGAGTGATTAATTCATCAAGGCTCTGCCCTTATTAATGAATTAGTACTTTTATAGAAGGGATTGAATAGAGTGTCCTAGAGCCGTTTGCCCTTCTGCTTCTCCTATGTGAGGACACAGCAGAAATGCACGATCTTGATAGCAGAGAGTAGCCCTCACTGACCCTGAATCTGCTGGTGCCCTGATTGTGGACTTTCCAGTCTTCAGAACTGTGAGAAGTAAATTGCTGTTTCTAAATTATCCAGTTCCAGGTATTTCGTTACAGCAACACGCATGAACGAAATGGCGACGTAGTAAACGGTTTCATCTTACTGATCTAGACAAGTGCTAGGAATTCTGAGACATCTCAGGATTTTGCCTAGTAGGAAAAATCCTATTTAGCCACTTCTATGCCCTGTGCTGGTTACAAACAGCATTGGTTTCCCGCCTGACACTGGGATTTTCCTTGGAATAGGAGCATGGTGTGCCTCTGCTCCTGAAGGCTGATCTGTATGGATCTCTATATATAGTCCACAACTAATACACAGCTAAGGCTCTACAGTGAATTTGATATGTAAAGAAGACAGGGGTATAAGCCACCTGTATTCCATCTATAATTTTCTCCTATCTGGAGACTCACCTGGCTCTTCAATACTTCCATTTTTTCTTCCAAATTATTCCCCCAAGGAAAACGTTTTTATTCTTAAAACATAAAAGCCAAAAATCAATTTCTATATTTTGCTGTATCATCTCTCCTCTGAGGTAATACATGTATAAAGTTGAGTTGCTTATAAAAGGGATAGGAGAGAAGGATGAGAATGAAGAGAGAAAAGAAATGGGCTAAGGATGAATACCCAGCAAAAATCAAATTGGCCAATCTTTTCAAAGCATTATCTTATCAAGTACAGACTAAGCTAACATTTTATTTAGCACTCATTTTGAGTCAGGCTATCTGCTGACAACTTTCCAACATGTCTCCTAAATTTCAAAATTATAAATTTAAAGAAGAAATTTGATATTTCTCCTGAAGTGCAAAGAAACCAAAGCATTTTGTCAAGATTGTACAAGTGAAAGTGAGTGAAGAGGAAAAATTGCAATCTTGGCTTTTTCTTCCAAAGTCAGGTAACATAGCTCCTTTGACCCATGCTGACTAAAATGACTAAATTAAAATTTCATTAGTCAATAGTTAAAAGTCCTTAATTTATCTTTACATATAAATACCATTGATTTTCTTCTTCTGCATTCCCAAATTGGAATGAGTATAGAATAAAACACAGCTTTTCATATCCCTGAATTCTATTTGAAACTTATGCTGCTTCATTCCTAGCTAATTTGTTGTTTAGATGTTACAAAAAATGTATTCATTTGGCAATTG
The DNA here is from genome assembly GCF_000001405.40 of Homo sapiens. Lineage (NCBI taxonomy): Eukaryota > Metazoa > Chordata > Mammalia > Primates > Hominidae > Homo > Homo sapiens. The sequence goes on from NC_000008.11 coordinate 113,468,178, forward strand.
TAGGATTTGTTACTATAAGAACCTAGAAAAAATATTTTCTGTGCCTTAATTTTCCCATCACAACATGAAAGTTACTTAAGGCAGTGCACTTTATGGTGAGATCCAGATTTTCATGGATTTACCATGGCAACTTCTTCATTCTTTGAAATGATGTAATGAATTACAACATAGTACTTTCTTTCATGATATTAACAATATTCACAATTAACCCTTAAAATTACATTTCATCACAGATAAGCACCCTCATTAATAAACTCTTGAGTATAATAAAAGAAAAATTAAGAAGGTAAAAATATATATTATATTGAACAACCTGGGAAAATAAACCTTTTAAGAACTATTTTACATTCTGGTACATATAGTAAAATCACCTCATGAGAAACAGCATTGGAAATGATGTAAAACCACTTTAAAATAAATGTAATTCTCTTAAAAAATGACAATTTGACAGCTTTAAGAATCCGAAGCTTCATCCTGCCAATGTTCATTTTTCTACTGCTTTTTCATTTGAACATATTTCTAAAAGATAGGCACCATTGAAGTGTTCCTGACAATGCTAAGCACATCAAGAAAATAAAAAGTTTCCTTATTTTTAAAGTTGAGTTGGGTATTAGATGTAAATTTTTAAAAAATAATTAATTCTCAAATTTATCATTGATCCATAATGACTGTACATATTTATGAGGTCTAGTGTGATGCTGCAATGCACTGCATAATGATCAAATCAGTGTATGTCATATACATTGTATGATGATCAAGTCAGAGTATTACCATATTCATCACCTTAAACACTTGTCATTTATTTGTGTTGACAACATCAAAATCTCTTCTTCCAGCTATACATTGTAATTTGTTATAGTCACCCTATTGTGTAATAGAACACCAGAACTTACTCTTTTAGTACAACTGTAAATCTGTACCCATTGATCAATCTCTCCCTGTCCCCTACCACTTCCTACCCTACCCAGCCTCTGGTAACCACTATTGTAATCTCTACTTCTAAGAAATCAACTGTTTTAGATTTGTCTTGTGAGTGAGACCATGTGGTGTTTGTTTTTCTTTGCCTGGATTATTGCATTTGAAATAATGTTTGCCTCCAGGTTCATCCATGTTCCTGCAAATGACAGGATTACATTCTGTTTTATAGATGAATAGTACTCCATTGTGTGTGTGTGTGTGTGTGTGTGTGTGTGTGTGTCTGTGTGTACTATATGTATATACAGATGTGTATATATATGATATATATGTGTATCATATTTTCTTTATCCATTATCTGTAGATGGGCATTTAGGTTGATTTCTTATCTTGGCTATGGTAAATAGCATTGAAATAAATGTGGGAGTGCAGATGTATTTTTAACATAATGATTATATTCCCTTTGGATATGTACCTAGTAATGGGATTGCTGGATCATTTGGTAGTTCTCTGTTTAGTTTTTGAGAAATCTCCATACCGTTTTTCATAATGGCTATACTAATTTATATTCCCCCAAACGGTATATAAAATTTCCCTTTTCTCCATATCCTCACTAGCATTTGTTATTTTTTGTCTTTCGCTAATAGCCATTCTAAGTGGGGTGAGGTGATAGCTCATTGTTTTTATTTGAATTTCCTTGATGATTAGTGATGATGAACATTTTCACTTATATCCATTGTCGACTTGTGTGTCTTCTTTGAAAAATTTATATTCACATCTTTTACCCATTTTCTAATTGGATTATTTGATTTTTTCTTATGGGTTATTTGAGTTCCTTATATATTCTAGACATTAACCCTTTGTCAGACGCATAGATTGAAAGTACATTCTCCCATTCTGTAGGTTGTCTCTTCATTTTATTTTTTCCTTAGCTACGTAGAAGCTTTTTAACCTGATGTAATTGCATTTGTTTGTTTTTAATTTTGTGGCCTGTCCTTTTGAGGTTTTGTTACTGATGGAGGGTATCCCGATTCTTGGTGTTTTGAATAAAAAATTGGACAAAACACACAAACAAAGCAACAAAAGAAAAGCACAGATTTATTGAAATGAAAGTACATTCCACAGAGTGGGCATGGGCTTGAGCAAGTGGCTCAAGAGCTCAGTTCCAGAATTTTCTGGGGTTTAAATGCCCTCTAGAGGATTCCCATTGGTGACTTGGCATACACCCTATATAAATGCAGTAATGGTCCACGATCATTCTGATTGGTTGTGGAAAGTGACCAAAGGCTGAAGTGAAGTTATAAAGTTATACTCCTATGCAAATGAAGACATGGCCCATGACCTGTCTGACTGATTGGTGGCCAGAGGGGACCAATCAGAGGTACTTTCAATTTTTCATCTGCCTTACAGAAAAGGGGGTGGGGGCAGTTGCAAATGGAGTATCCTCTGGTCTTTTTCTTTGTTGGGCATGGAAAGCTGGAGTTTTCCTTTTGATTTAGTTCTAAGAAATCAGCATGAATCATCCTTAGGTTCCCTGCCTCCAGACCCTGTTTTCCTGCGTCATTTCCTCCATGAGAGACGTGATTCCCACAAATTTTTATGGGAGGCAGCTGGACCGATGGTCTTCTAAACTGCTTCATGCTGACTTGAGGAGCAGTTCCTACCTATTTGGGGATCACAGAACTCTTGCCCTGCTCTGTCTAGTGAGACAGGGTAGCTTCTTGATGGCCAGGGGTGGTGTCTTCACCTGGAGCTGGCTGGAAATTTATCCCATGATAGTCTGAAGCTTGGTGGCCTCTAGGCAAAATGAATTGAATTTGGTTTAGAGATTTAACAAATGTGTTCCCCAAACCAAGGCAAGTATAATAATTAATAATGGGCCAGCCAGAGGAAAGAGCCGTATAACCCAACTTAGCATTTTTTGATCAGCAGCTCCATGACTCAGACAGCTGTTGCCATCTTAGAGGCCTGGTCAACTAGTTATTGGGTGGCATTTCTTACTATTCCTGATTGGTTGACATAAAAACAGCATTCTTCCTCTAGAAAAGACATGTCACCTTTTTTCAGCAGTTAGGAGCTCTAGTCCCCTTCTATCTTGCAAAAGTGACTGCTGCCAAGGAATCTAAATGATTTTGTATGATGACCATACTTTGGGCAATGACATCCAAGCTTTCCATAAAATCCTTGGACAAGCGTTGGTAATAGGATAGAGAAGTTGTAAGCCTGCTAACTTCCATTTCTACTCCTGCTGTTATTCCTAGGGGCATGAGTTGGATGGCTCATTTATGTCTGGCATCTGCAGTTAAAGGTATAATAAGGGATCGGTTATTGGGAGCTATATTGATTTGGGGGACCAAATAAACACGTGTTCAGGTTCCAGTCCAATTGGCTGATAAACATAAGTAGAAAATGGTCCTGCAAAGTTTTTGGTTTTCGAGACAAAAGTTGTTTTCTGTGCTGAACATGTGGGTTAGCTTGTTGTTTTCGCTTTTCCAAGTGGTTAAGGTCCCTGCTAAACTGACCAAGGGAAAGTGTGAACAGAGTTAGTTGGCATACCTTGACAGTACTCAGTACACTGAGACTGTATATCCTTTAAATTGTCCTTATCTATGGATGGTTTCCATGAAAGTAGTACAAGTTTTCTAAATGATGCAATTTGGGTAACTGCATAGCTTACATGATTATGTAAGGGGTTAATCTCTAGGGTGTAGTTACATTGATGACTTTTCAAGTTTCCCAAGGTTTGACCAGAATTTTGGCTTTTTATTTTTTTTAATAGTAAGTGGCACTTGGAACTTTAGTTCTGTGTATGATGATACTGGTCCCCAAATGGGTTTCTGTAACCCCAGAAAGTTTGTTTAGACATGACCGAAGAAGCTTCACTGCTTGTTCTGTCGTTGTAGGTCATTTTTTTCAAGGGTCCAAGATTGGGGTGGTATTAAGATGGCAGTATATTTGGATGATAGTGGAGATAAACAAAGCCAACAGGCTTTTGCCAGAGCTGGGCTGCTGGTATTTAGCAGTATTCATGCTAAATTTAAAGTTCTTAATAAATACCCAGAATTCATTAATTGCCAGAGAAATAAAGTGAAGCTCTGTTGTAAAATAAAGATGATTCCCATTATTCATGGTCCCAGTATACACCGGCTGTGGGTGACTATTATGGAACAACAAGAAAACTTATTCGTTCTTCTTTTCTATAGAATAGGAACTTCAGGGGGTCGTTACCTGTGCTGTCAAGAATGCTTGTTATAAAAATGAATTGAAACACTTACAGCCTGGCCAACAGGGTGAAACCCTATCTCTACTTAAAATATAAAAATTAGCCAGGCATGGTGGTGCATGCCTGTAATCCCAGCTACTTCAGAGGCTGACACAGGAGAATCACTTGAACCTGGGAAAGTGGAGGTTGCAGTGAGCGGAGATCACACCACTGCACTCCAGCCTGGGCAACAGAGTAAGCCTCTGCCTGAAAGAAAGAAAGAAAGAAAGAAAGAAAGAAAGAAAGAAAGAAAGAAAGACCATTATTACAAAGGAAGTGATTCCATCCATTTGGAAGAAGGCAATTAAATTGTAAAAATGTAAAAATGGATACTATTTTCCAGCTTACAGTAACTATGCAACAAAGAAACCAAGGAAAGCTGGTAGGCATTTACTTACATTTTGGCTGTCTTTTAAACAGGTGCTTCAGTTTTTTCACAGGTTCACAGGTGTAGTGGCTGATGGGAGCTTCAGGTTCCAGGTCCAGGTCTTCAAGTATTGCAGGCTTGACCCCTGGACAGATGTATCCAAATATCTAATCCTAGTACTTTGACCACAGGAGTCGTGGCCAGTACCACTGGAATCAGTCCTTTCTGTTTAGGTTGTAATTTTTGAGCAGGTAATCCCTCTTCCATGTTTTAACAAGTATCTTATCTTCTGGCTTGAATTTTGTTGCTGTTTAGTTCCTGGTATGGGGAGCCTTTGAGCTCCAAACTTCTGTAAAGTCTGAGAAAATTGTCCCTGGCTAACTAGGTATTTTATTAGATTGGCCGTTTCTGGATGAGTAATTAGAGCATTAGTTAAAATGGCCTTCCGTGTAACATTTCATATGGGCTCATATTAATTTTTGCTCAAGGGGAATTATGGATTCTTAAGAGAGCTATGGGCAGTAAGCTGACCCAAATTTCTGATGTTTCCTGACATAGCTTGGCTCCTGCCCATTTTTGAGTTTGATTAGCTGTTCCCATTTTTCTGGAGGATTGAGGTCTCCATGCTGAATGTAAATAGTATTTGATTCCAAGAGCCTTAGCAACAACTTGAATTATTTGGGAGATAAAAGACAGGCCACTGTCACTTTTGAGGCTTTAGGGTAACACAAACTGGGGATTATGTTCTTTAAAAGAACCTTTATAATTTCATTAGTCTTCTCTTTTCTGGTAGGGTAAGCTTCAACCCAGCCTGTATGGGTGTTATTAGTACTAGCAAAAACTTCTGTCTTTCGCAAGCTGGCATATGGGTGACGTCTACTTGCCAGTCTTCCCCTGGGTATGTTCCTCTCCCCTAGGCCAGTTCTATTAGAGGAGGCATTTTGTTTCCTGAGTTGTTAAATGCACACAATGGCAAGTTTGACAGACCTGCTTAACCACCGAAGCTAAGTTAGGCCCAATGAAGAGCCTGTTAACCATGACTATGCTTTCTCCCCATATGGAAGGAATCATGCAGGGTTTTTACAATTCTCTATTGGGCTGTTTGGGGAAAATATACTTTTGATCCCACATACCACCAGGATCCTTTTGGTTGTTGTTTTTCCCATTGCTCCATTATTTACTGTTCTTCCTTTAGTGTCTTCTGGTTTTTAGGGGGAATCATAGAAAGAAAATAGTGCTAGGATCTGTTGGGATTGCATGCTGAAAGCTGCAGCTTTGGCTTCTCTATCAGCCCTTCTCTTCTCTTGTGCTATAGGGGTTAAGTCGCCTTGATGCCTTCTACAATGAATTATAGCTACAGCCTTGGGCAGGTATATTGCTTCCAATAGTTGAAGTATTTCATTCAGTTCCATGCTTTATAGGGGAGTGTTTGCTAGTTGGTAGTCCCCTTTCTTTCCAGATTGTAGCATGAGCTTGAACGACAAGAAATGCATATTTAAAATCTGTATAGATGTTAAGCTTTTTTTCCTTATCTCAACATTAATGCTTGGATAAGGGCGATGATTTCAGCCTTTTGTGCTGATGTGCCAGGAGGCAGTGGCTAGGCTTCGCTAATTGTGTTATGATTTACTATTGCTTATTCAGCTCAGCACTCCCTTTTTGACATAAAACTACTGCCATCTGTGAACCAGTTATCCTCAGAACATGGGAGAAGCTGGTCTTTTAAATCAGGCTGGCTAACGTATGTATGTTCAATGACATGCTCACAGGAATAATCAGTTATTGGGCCTGTAGGCAGCAATAAAGCTGTATTCAAGGTGTTTAGGTTTTAAGGGTTACATCTGGATTGTCTAATGGTGTGGCCTGGTATTTGATCAGCCTATCCCCCATCATCCAGATGTGTCCTTTTATTTCTAAGACTGACTATACCTGGTGGGGGTTACAACTTCCAGTGGTTGACCTAAGGTGATTTTAGTGGATTCTTCTACTAAAATAGCAGTGGCTGCTGTTGCCCACAGCCAGCTTGGCCATCCTGTGGCCACTCCATTTAACTTTTTTGAAGAGTAGACACTTGATCTGGGTTCTGATCCTAATTTCTGGGTTAGCACTCCCACAGCTATGCCCTTCTTCTCTGCTACATGTAAGAAGAAGGGCTTAGTTAGGTCTGGTATGCCAAGAGCCGGAGCCTGGGTGAGATCTTGTTTTAACTTGGTAAAGGCTTCTCTCATTTCCAGATCCATTCCATTAGCTCATTTTAGGCCCCCTTTTTGTTTTATACAGGGGCTTTGCTATGAGTCCAAATTTGGTACCCATATTCTGCAAATTCTGGCCATTCCCCCCCAGCAAAAAAACAGAGATGCTTCTTGGTGTGGGGAGGGTCCACACCACATATGACTTGCACTCCTTCTGGGGATATTTGCCAGGCTCTGGATATTAAGATACACCCTAAATATTGGACCCATTGGAGAGTAATCTGAGCCTTCTTTCTGGACACTTTATATCCCCGGTTTGCCGGGAAATTAAAAGGTTTTCTAGTATTTTGGTCAGAAGTATCTTGGGTTGGGTCACACACAAGAGGGTCATCAACATACTGGAACATACTCTGGTTCTTCAATTGCAGATCCCTCAGATCCCTCTCTAAGACTCAGGCAAAGAAATGGGGGCTATCCCAAAAGCCCTGAGGAAGCACCTTCCAAGTGTTTTGTTATTTTTCTCTGGTGTTAGGATTTTCCCATTTGAAAGCAAAAAGATATTTGTACTCCGGGGCCAGAGGAATGGAGGGGAAAGCATCTTTTAGGTCTAGGACTAAGAACCATTTTGCATCCCCTGGCACCTGACCCAGGAAGGTATATGGATTTTCCACCAACAGGTGGATGGGGATAACAGCCTCATTAAATACTCTGAGGTCCTGTACTACCCAGTAGTACCCCAAAGGCTTTAAAATTGGTAAAATGAGGGTACTGCAGGAAGAATTGCAGGGTTTTAAGATTCCATGAGTAAATAATACCTCAACTATGGGTGCTAGGCCTTTCCTTGCTTCCGGCTTAATTTGGTATTGTTTTCAATTGGGAGAATAGCTGGGGTCTTTAAGATGTACTTTGACTGGCACTGCTGTTTTAGCCTTCCCTAGTTTTCCAGTATACCATGCCAGCAGGGTAACCTGTTTATTAATGTGGTCTGGAATTTAATAGTTTTAATTTCTAGTCTTGTGTCTCACAAAAGCATTTTGATTGTCACCTTCTCCCAAGCCTGAAGACGAGGTTTTGACTGGTGTCAATGCTCAAAATTTAGCAGGGATTGGTGCACAAGCATTACTTAATAGGATATTTATACTAGAGAAGGTCCTGTCATTTTATCTAACGTGTTACAAATTAAAATTCCGTGATTTGGTGTTTAAGAATTACTGCCTGCAGTACTTCAAATCACTGTATTAAAGTAGTTAGGTTACTCATAGCACATGTCTACTTGCTAGGATTCTAGTGACTGAACTGTGACCTAAAGCATCAAAAATGTGATAAGTGTTATGATAAACATATCAAAGTAAGACAACTAGCTCTTCTCTCCATCATTAAAAAACGGTAAATGCAAATATCAGTTTTGGAAGTTCAATATGAAAAATAATATTCTTTCATTTAAATACTTTTATTTAAATACTTTCATTTAAATTATTTCATTTAAATACTACTTTTTCAAATAACAAAACATGTAATGTATTATTTCTGTTCAGAACTTATACAAATAAGTCGTTTTTTTTTAAGCTGTCTAGATCATCAGAGGCAAGCAAAACCAACCAAATCCCAAATCTTCAGTGTGTTCCATCAATTCCTGCAGGCTGGACACAGGTAGCCTAGGAATTCCAGATAAATAGAACAAATCATGACTTGCCAAAGATGCATTTCTTTACAATATTTCTTATTTTGCTTTAATCAAGAGTAAGATTTATTTTTTTATTATTATACTTTAAGTTCTAGGGTACAAGTGTGCAACGTGCAGGTTTGTTACATATGTATACATGTGCCACGTTGGTGTGCTGCACCCCTTAACTCATCATTTACATTAGGTGTATCTCCTAATGCTACCCGTGTCCCCCTCCCCCCACCCCACTACAGGCCCCGGATGTGATGTTCCCCACCTTGTGTCCAAGTGATCTCATTGTTCAATTCCCACCTATGAGTGAGAACATGTGGTGTTTGGTTTCTTGTGATAGTTTGCTGAGAATGATGGTTTCCAGCTTCATCCATATCCCTACAAAGGACATGAACTCATCCTTTTTATAGCTGCATAGTATTCCATGGTGTATATGTGCCATATTTTCTTAATCCAGTCTATCATTGATGGACATGTGGGTTGGTTCCAAGTCTTTGCTATTGTGAATAGTGCCGCAATAAACATATGTGTGCATGTGTCTTTATAGCAGCATGATTTATAATCCTTTGGGTATATATCCAGTAATGGGATGGCTGGGTCAACTGGTATTTCTAGTTCTAGATCCTTGAGGAATTGCCACACTGTCTTCCACAATGGTTGAACTAGTTTACAGTCCCACCAACAGTGTAAAAGAGTTCCTATTTCTCCACATCCTCTCCAGCACCTGTTGTTTCTGACTTTTTAATGATTGCCATTCTAACTGGTGTGAGATGATATCTCATTGTGGTTTTGACTTGCATTTCTCTGATGGCCAGTGATGATGAGCATGTTTTCATGTGTCTGTTGGCTGCATAAATGTCTTCTTTTGAGAAGTGTCTGTTCATATCCTTTGCCCACTTTTTAATGGGGTTGTTTGATTTTTTCTTGTAAATTTGTTTAAGTTATTTGTAGATTCTGGATATCAGCCCTTTGTCAGATGGTAGATTGTAAAAATTTTCTCCCATTCTATAGGTTGCCTGTTCACTCTGATGGTAGTTTCTTTTGCTGTGCAGAAGCTCTTTAGTTTAATTAGATCCCATTTGTCAATTTTGTCTTTTGTTGCCATTGCTTTTGGTGTTTTAGTCATGAAGTCCTTGCCCATGCCTATGTCCTGAATGGTATTGCCTAGATTTTCTTCTAGGGTTTTTATGGTTTTAGGTCTAACATTTAAGTCTTTAATCCATCTTGAATTAGTTTTTGTATAAGGTGTAAAGAAGGGATCCAGTTTCAGCTTTCTACATATGGCTAGCCAGTTTTCCCAGCACCATTTATTAAATAGGGAATCCTTTCCCCATTTCTTTTTTTTGTCAGGTTTGTCAAAGATCAGATGGTTGTAGATGTATGGTATTATTTCCAAGGTCTCTTTTCTGTTCCATTGGTCTATATCTCTGTTTTGGTACCAGTACCATGCTGTTTTGGTTACTGTAGCCTTGTAGTATAGTTTGAAGTCAGGTAGCATGATGCCTCCAGCTTTGTTCTTTTGGCTTAGGATTGTCTTTGCAATGCAGGCTCCTTTTTCATTCCATATGAACTTTAAAGTATTTTTTTCCAATTCTGTGGGGAAATTCATTGGTAGCTTGATGGGGATGGCATTGAATCTATAAATTACCTTGGGCAGTATGGCCATTTTCACGATATTGATTCTTCCTATCCGTGAGCATGGAATGCTCTTCCATTTGTTTTTGTCCAAGACTAAGAGGTTTACCTATAAAAATGTTAATTAGCCAAATTTCTCCAATTTTCTATTAGGTTCTAAAGAATATTCTATTATATAAACTTTTTAAACTTTCTGCTTTCTCTATATGTGCATGAAGATAGACACACAAGAAACAGCAAAAATTACATATGACTTACACAGACCATCTGCAGATGCCTGGGCTTCCTATTCAGTCCCAGATTTTCTTATTCATCTTATTTAAATAAGCAGTTATGTTACTTTAGGTAAAAAAAATTACCATACAATATCTTTTTATATAAAATTATTATCTTTTCCTTATAATCTTCTTTACCAAAAATACATCTTCATATACATAACTTTTTCCACATCTCTCTCCCCTACTACCTCATTTCATAAATAACCTTTTCAAATCTGAAATTTGAAGTAACTTGATTAAATATTAAATTATTTTTCTCACTAATAACACACCTTTTGACACATTTTATATATAGAATTACATAATTAGCTATAATTCTTCTCCTTAGTAGCCTTAAATTTCAGTGAAACCTTAAAAAGCAAGAAATCTTGAACCATTAGGTATGAGCATTTATAGATTAAAACAATCCCACAATCTTTAGAAACCTATTTTCCCATGTTATAACCTTTTCTTAATTGGAAATGACCCAGACTTCCAACGAATATAAAAATAATTTTAAGATTTTAAATTACACAAAAAGTTTACCTAAAATATCCATCCCATTTACATGTACTAAATTCTTTCCTTTTTAACAGTTTATCTAGATTAGTGGAAACTGAGATATAAGACACCGTCATTTAAAGTTACTTATTTCCTGGTTAACCATTTTACATTCTGTGAATATCAGGTGTTCACTCAAATAAGAACTTTAAAGTTAACTGCATAGGCATTTTTGCCAATAACTTAGAAGATTAAACTGTTTTCATTAAACCAATAACATAATTAGTCTTACTTATCAAAAAATCTGCACAAAGATCATTTTGTTTTTGCTAGGGTTATAGTTTTAAAACCTTCTATGCCAAATCCTGACACCTCAAAATATCTACCAGAGACAAATATAAAACCCAGAAAAAAATGTATGCTGACAATTCTGACAACATTTCCATATTTATTTAACCAATAATTTTAAAGCCAGCTTGTTTAGTAAAGTAATACTTAAGTCATGTGAATTTGAAAATTGCTTAGACTTATTTACTTATATTATGAGCACTCTGTTATGTATGAGCCAATTTGGTAAACATAACTATTACTTACATACGCATAAACACATTTAGGCATGCATACACACACACAAAGATACAATAGCCTTTATCGTGGAATTCTAACCATGAAATAGCAATACAAACTAAACGGTTTTCCATGGTTATACTTTGTGTGCCCCATTAGGTACTCAAATGAAGACTGTGAACCAAATTTGGGTAAAGTAGTTTGATTTTTAAAGGCCAAACTTCCCCATACTCCAAAGAACACAGGGGTCAAACAGCAACAAAGGAGAACATCACATTCTAACCAGGCCTGACCCTGCTTGGAACAACAGCACAAAAGCCTTGATACATGCAACTCCATCCCATTTTCCCATTCAACAGCAAAGTTTAGAATTCCAAATGATATCAGGGCCAAAAAGTGTTGCAAAAGAATATCATGTTTACTGAATCTTAATTTCCCATGACTGTATCAAACACACATAATCACCAGAACACAATCCAACTGCTGCAACAACAAACAATCCCGAAGGATGTCCAAATTGTCCCATTGTCATCTGCAAGAGAAAATTTTAAGGAAGGCTAAGTACTAGACCTCAGAATCTCTGCTGAGGGGGTTCCCTTCAGAGAGGTTGAGTTCTGAAGGATCCCCCAGGGAATCCAGAGACTGTCAGCAGTCTCTGCCTTAGGTGGCACCAGAGCCGCTTTGCATGTTTTCCCTCCAGAGGCAATGGCCTCCTTTAAACATTCCTTTTGCCCTTTGTCAGTCAAATAGAGTAGGAGAAAGAAGGTTGAAATGCATAAGAGATATTATCTTTTGCTATTACAAGTTAACTCTACAGGAGAATTTACTATAAGAAAAGAAGGCTTAAGTCACCTGAAACGTGGTGAATTGACACTAGGTGAACTGCCACTGGCAATTGCATCACATGTAGGGATCAGGTAGTATTACCGGAAAAGGTAGAAAAGAGTCCTTTCCACTTTTGGGCTGGGCAGCCATCCCTGTTCACTCCTTGGCCTTCAGGTAACACTGGAGAATGGCCCTGGCCAGTTGTCCTCAATTACTGAGGAGCTACCAGGAAAAAGCCACTGAAAGACTGAATAAGAAGAAAAGGAAAAGGGTTCAGGTCTCTTGTCTGAACCAGGCAGAGGTGCTCAGGCAATTCCACATGAAAACCTTTCAGTTTCACCAGAGAGTGGCCCCAGCAGGAAACTGCAGTTGCGTCTGTGCTTAGGTGCTGTCCACTGAGGGTCCTGAGTTGGAAAGGGAAAAAGAGGAGAGAGAAAAGTTCCCCTATATGGAGCAGAGAGGAAAAGGGAAAAGGAGAAGAAAAATAAATGTCAAATTTGGGCTTACCTCTTGCTGGCTCACCAAAATATGTTACCAGTGGACGGTGTCCAGGATCTTGGCAATTTGAACAAAAAAATGGACAAAACACACAAACAAAGCAACAAAAGAAAAGCACAGATTTATTGAAATGAAAGTACATTCCACAGAGTAGAAGCAGGCTGAAGCAAGCAGCTCAAGAGCCCAGTTACAGAATTTTCTGGGGTTGAAATACCCTCTAGAGGTTTCCCATTCATTACTTGGTTTACACCTATGTAAAAGAAATAATGAACAGTGATCAGTCTGTTGGTTGTGGAAAGCAATCAATCAGAGGCTGAAGTAAAGCTACAAAGTTATATTCCTATGCAAATGAAGACTTGGCTCATGGCCAGTCTGATTGGTTGTAGGAGGGGACCAATCAGAGGGGTTTTCAATTTTTCATCTGCCACGCAGAAAAGTGGGGTGAGTTGCAAAGGGAGTATCCTCTGGTCTTTTTGTTACTTGGGCATGGAAAGTTGGGGTTTTCATTTTGATTTAGTTCTAGGAAGTTATCATGAATCAGCCTTAGGTTCCCTGCCTCCAGAACCTGTTCTTCTGCCTCAGTCTTACTCAAAATATTATTTCCCAGAAGACACCAATCTTTGGAGTCATTTCCCCAATGTTTTCTTCTAGTAGTTTCATAGTTTCAAGCCTTACATTTAAGTATTTAACCCATTTTATTTGATTTTTGTATATGGTGAGAGTTTCAATCTCACCATATACTGAGTCTCACCATACATATACAAAAGTCTCACACATACAAAACTCACCATATGATGAGTATATGGACTAGTTTCAGTCTTCTGCATGTGGCTATCCAGTTTTCCATCACCATTCATTGAAAACACTGTCCCTTCCTCAATGTGTGCTTTTGGCAACTTTATCAAAAATGAGTTTTCTGTAAGGATGTGGATTTATTTCTGGATTCTCTATTCTGTTCCATTTTTCCCTATGTCTGTTATCATGCCAGAACCGTATGTTTTGGTTACTATGTTTTTGTATTATAGTCTGAAGTCAGAGAGTGTGATGCCTCTGGCTTTGTCCTTTTTGCTTAGAATTGCTTTGGCTGTCTGTGGAATTTTGCATTTCCATATGAATTTAAGCTGTTTTATTTTTTAATTTATGTGACGAATATCATTGGTATTTTTATAGTGATTGCATTGGATCTGTGGAGCACCTTGGGTAATATAAGCATTTTAGCAATATTAATTTTTCTAATCCATAAACACAAGTTATCATTTCATATATTTGTATCCTTTTCAGTTTCTTTCATCAATGTCATATTGTTTTTATTGTAGAGATCTTTTATATTCTTGATTAAGTTTACTTCTAGGTATTTTTCTTTGCTGTAGCTTTATACATGAATTTTTTTTAACCTCTTTTTCAGATAGTTTGCTATCAGTGTAGAGAAATGTTACTGGTTTTTGTATGTTGACTTTGTATTCTGCAACTTTACTAACTTTATTTACTAGTTTACCATCTTTTTTTGGTGGCAACTTTAGGCATTTCTATATACCTGATCTTGTCATCTGCAAACAAGGGCAATTTGACTTTCTCCTTTTCAAATAGATTGTCCTTTCTTTCTTTTACTTGCCTGATTGTTCTGGCTAGAAGTTTTAGTTATGTTGAATAAAAGTGAAGAAAGTGTGCATCCTTGTCTTTTTCCAAATCTTAGAGGAAAATTTTCAAATTTTCCACACACACTATGATGTCAGATGTAGGTTTTTTATATATGGTCTTTATTGTGTTGAGGTATATTCCTTCTGTATTAAGTTTGTTGAGGGTTTTCATCATGAAAAAAATGTGGAATTTTTTGATTATTCTTAGCCTATATTAAAATGTCATATGGTTTCTGTCTTTGATTGTGTTAATGTGATATATCAAGTTTATTGATTTGTGTACGTTGAACCATTTGTGCCTCCCTGGGATGAATCCCACTCAATCATGGTGAGTATTTTTAATGTGTTGTTAAATTTGTTAGTATTTTGTTAAGCATTTTTGTATCTATGTTCATCAGGGATATGGGTCTGTAATTTGCTTTTTTTGTGACTTTGTCTGATTTTGGTATCAGGAGAATACTGGCCACATTGAGTGAATTTGGAAATATGCCTTCCCATTCAATATTTTGGAATAGTTTAATTGAAACTGGTATTATTTCTTATCTAAATGGTTGGTAGAATTCAGCATTGAGGCCATCACATAATTGGCTTTTATTTAATAGATTACATTTTATTACGCTTAGATATTGTAACTCAATATTGGTTTGTTTAGGATTTCTATTTTTTTCATGACTCAACCTTGGTAAGCTATATCTGTTCACAAAAGTATCCATTTTGTCTAGGTTTTTCAATTTGTTGATGTATAACTTTTTATAATAGGCTCTTATTATACTTTGTATTTCTATGGTATCAGTTGTAATGACTCCTTTTTTGTCTCTGATTTTGATTTTTTTTCTCTTTTTTTCTTAGTCTAGCTAATGGTTTATCAATTTTTTTTTTCCAAAAAACAGCTCTTTTTTGTTGATCATTTGTTTGTTTTTAGTCTCTATTTTGTGTATTTCTGCTTTTATCTTCATTATTGTCTTCTACTTATTTGGGGTTTAGATTGTTCTTTTGTATTTTTTAAAATTTTTATGGGTACATGGTAGGTGTATGTATTTACAGGGCATATGAGATATTTTGATACAGGCATACAATGTATAATAATCACATCAGGGTAAATGGGGTATCCATCACCTCAAGCATCTATTCTTTGTGTTATAAACAATCCTATTATAATTCTTTACTTATTTTTAAATGTACAAATGAATTATTATTGACTATAGTAACTCTGTTGTGTTATCAAATATTCAATCTTTTTCATTCTTTCTATTTTTTGGTATCCATTAACCATTACCACTTCCTCCCACCCCCACCCACTTCCTTCCCCACTCTCTGGAAAAGATCATTCTACTCCCTATGAGTTCAATTGTTTTGATTTTCAGATCTCACAAATAAATGAGAACATGCAATGTTTGTCTTTCTGTGCGTGGCTTATTTGACTTAACATACTGACCTCCAGTTCCATCCATGTCATTGCAAATGACAGAATCTCATTCTTTTTATGGTTGAATAGTACCCCATTGTGTATAAGTACCACCTTTTCCTTATAAATTCATCTGTTGATGGACACTTAGGTTGCTTCCAAATCTTGGCTGTTGTGAACAGAACTGCAACAAATATGAGAGTGCAGATGGCTCTTTGATATGCCAATTTTCCTTCTTTTGGGTATATACTCAGCAGTTGATTGCTGAGTCCAGATTGCTGGATCATACGGTAGTTTTATCTGTGTTTTTTTGAGAAACCTCCAAACTATTTTTCATAGTGGTTGCATGAATTCACATTCCCACCAACAGTGTATGAGGGTTCCATCTTCTCCACATCCTCTCCAACATTTGTTATTGCCTGACATTTGGATAAAAGCCATTTTAACTGGAATGAGATATTATCTCATTGTAGTTTTAATTTGCATTTCTCTGATTATCAATGACGTTAAACACTTTTTCATATGTCTGTTTGCATTTGCAGTTTTTTTTGAGAAATGTCTATTCAAATCTTTTGCCCATTTTTAAATTGGCTTATTACAGTTTTTTTTTTCCTATTGAGTTTGTTTGAGCTCTTTATGTATTCTGGTTATTAATCCCTTATCAGACGGGTAGTTTGTAAATATTTTCTCTCATTCTGTGGGTTTTCTCTTCACTTTGTTAATTGTTTCCTTTGCAGTACAGAAGCTGTCTAACTTAATGTGATCTCATTTGTCCATTTTTGCTTAGATTGCTTGTGCTTTGGGGGTATTACTCAAGAAATTTTTGCCTGGACCAATGTCCTGAAGAGTTTGCACAATATTGTAGTTTCATAGTTTGCGGTCCTACATGTAAGTCTATAATCCATTTTTATTTGATTTTTGTGTATGGAGACAGGTAAGAATCATGTTTTATTCTTTGGAATATGGATACCCAGTTTTCCCAGAAATATTTATTGAAAAAACTATCTTTCCTTAATGTATATTCTCGGCATGTTTACCAAAAATCAGTTCATTGTAGGTTCGTGGATTTGTTCCTGGGTTCTCTAGTCTGTTCCCTTGGTCTATGTGTCCGTTTTTATGCCAGTGCCATCCTGTTTTGGTTACTATAGCTCTGTAGTATAATTTGAAGTCAGTTAATGTGATTCCTCCTGTTTTGTTCATTTTGCTAAAGATAGCTTTGGCTATTCTGGGTCTTTCGAATTTCATATACATGTTAGGATATTTTTATTTATGTAAAGAATATCATTGGTATTTTTATAGGGATATATTTTGCATCTGTGTCCCCACCCAAATCTCATGTCAAATTGTAATCCTCAATGGTGGAGGAGGGGGGCCTATTGGGAGATTATTAGATCATGTGTGCAGACTTCTCCTTTTCTGTTCTTGTGATAGTGAGTGAGTTCTCATAAGATCTGTTTGTTCAAAAGTGTGTAGCACTTCTCCCTTCACTCTCTGTCTCCTGCTCTGCCATTTGAAAATATTCCTGCTTCTTCTTCACCTTCTGCCATGATTGTCGTTTTCCTGAGGCCTCCCCAGCCATGCTTCCTGTACCACCTGCAGAACCATGAGTCAATTAAAACTCTTTTCTTCATAAATTACCAAGTCTCAGGTAGTTCCTTATAGCAATGTGAGAATGGACTAATACACTCTCTGAATGATCATATATCTCTGATTCTCCAGGATTGGTCTCTGGTTCCTTATATGGCTCATTTGGTAAAGTCATGTTTCCCTACACAACATTGATACTTGTAGGTGTTCTTCAGTGTCTGGGTGTCAAAGAGTTAGGTATTTATGGTAATCTTCACAGTCTGGGCTTGTTTGTGCCTGTCCTTTTTTGGGAAAGCTTTCCAGGTATATGAAGGGACTTGGGTCCCAAGCCCACTAACACTATGGTTTTTGCAAACTTGTAGATTTAGCACCTTGGTGGTCTTTAATTAGGTCCAGAATTCTCACATTACCAGGCAGGAATTCTTGTTCTTTTCCATTATGTTCTCCCATATATACAGAATCTCTTTCTGTGCTGAGACACCTAATACTGGGGATATGGTGATACAAGCAGCCCTGTGGCCACCACCACTGAAACTACACTGGGCCAGACTTGAAGCCAGGACAGCACTGGGCCTTGCCCAAGACCTTTTCCTTCAGGGCGTCGAGTTCCCCCAGGCCTCAGGTAAGTCCAGAAATATTGCCTGGGAGCCAGGGACTGAAGTGAAAAACATTAGCAATTTACCCGATGTTCTATTCTAATGTGGCTAAGCTACCACTCAAATCACAATACGAAGTCCTTCCTGCTCTTCCCTCCTCTTTCCACAGGGAGAGGAACTTCTCCCTTTGGCTACCACCATCACTAGTCCATGAGGGATTCTGCCAGACCACTGCTTATGTTCACTTAAAGCCTAGGGACTATTGTGTTAGCTTATGGTGAATGCTGCCATGCCTGGAACTCACCCTTCAGGAGAGTGGGCTCCTCTCTGGGCCAGGGAAGATCCAGAAATGCTGTCCATGAGCCTAGTCCTGGACTCAGTGATCCCAAGATCCTGCTTGTTGTTCTGCCTCACTGTGGTCTAGCTTGCATCTAGAGTACAAGAAAAATTCCCCTTTACTTCCCTCTCTGCTTTTCTCAGACAGGAGTCTTTCACCATAGCCATGACATCTGGGAATGTGCAGGGTCTCCCATGGAGCCAGCATGTCTCGGAGTGTGCAAATGCCCACGGCATACTCATTGTATATCACTGGTTGTTAGTGAAGGTGCAGGTGATCTTTAGCCAGCAGGTGATGAATCCTGCCAGGACTGGGTTCTTCACTTCAAGGCACTGGGTTCCCTTCTGACCCAGGATGTGCCCATACATAAATGTTGTCTGGGTATTAGGATCTGAAATGGGGGCTACACGACTCTGCCCACTCTGCCCAGTGCTCTGTGGCTGAGCTGGTATCCAAGATGCAAGACAAAGTCCTCTTTACTCTTCTCTCTCCTCTCCTTAAGCAGAAGAAAGATGTTGCTTTTGTTGCTGTGAGATGTACTGCCTGGGATTAGAGGAGGGATGGCACAATCACTCCTTAGCCATGCCAGCTGGTGTCTTCCTAGGTCACATGCCACCCTAGGTCACCAGCTCAAAGCCCAGCCTAGACTACGAGTTGCCTAGTAATTGCAGTCTTTGCATCCTAGACTAACTTTCAAGTTTTCTTAGAATGCCAGAGCCCTTCATCCTGTACTGGCAAGGCTTGCCAAGAAACTCATGTTCCAATTGCTGGGATGGGTGATTCCCTTCTGGGTAGAGTTAGTCCAAATGCTCCCTCTGTGTGTATGCACTGTGAGCCCAGCACAGCTGTGTTATTTGCTGTGACAGGGCAGCACTGAGTTCAATGTAAAATTCCCCACTCACTGCGCTCTTCCTCTCCAGACTGCCACAGATTATCTGTTTGCACCATATGATCTCTGCCAGAAGATGGGGGACGACTGGCATTAGTGATTCAAGGCTGTCTCTCTTGCCCTCCTCAATGCTTCTTTTCATAATATAAAGTTTAAACCAGGTACTATAATTTCTTACCGGATTTTGGGTTCTTGTGACAATGCTTTTCCGTGTGCAGATAGATGTTAAAATTTGATGTTCCTGTATGAGAGATGAACAGTGTAGACTTCCATTCCACTATTTGTTCTGCACCCCTTCATTTTTAATTTTATTCCATTGTATTCATAATAGATACTTCATATTGTTTTACTTTATACAAAATTTGTTAAGACTTGTTTTGTGGCCTAAAATATGGTCTATCCTGGAGAATGTCCTTTTCTCATCCTGAAAAAGGTATATATTCTGTAGCTGTTGGGTGGAATGTTCTGTAAATATCTGTTCGATCCATTTGGTCTAGAGTGTAGCTTAAGTTTGATGTATTTTGTTGATTTTCCATCTGGATGAACTGTCCATTTCTGAAAGTGAGTATTGAAGTCGTTTACTATTATTCCACAACTGCCAGTCTCTCCATTTAGATCTGTTAATATTTGCTTTACATAGTTAGGAACTCCAGTTTTAGGTGCATGTATATTTACAATTGTTATATACTCCTGCTATATTTTATAATTTATCATTATATAATGGCCTTATTTGTCTTAGTAACATTATTTTGACTTAAAGTCTTTTATCTGATGTAAGTACAGTTAACTCCTTCTCTATTTTAGATTGTATTTTCATGGAGTATCTTGTTCCTACTCTTCATTTTCGGTCTACACATGTCTTTATAAGTTAAGTGAGTTTCTTGTTTAGTTTTAATACTAAAGATTTGAGTGGTTTATATATCACAATTACAGTGTTAGAGTATTCTTAATTTATCTGTATACTTAGCTTTGCCTGTGATTTTAATTCCTTTAGATGTTTTCTTGTTGCATGTTAGCACTGTTTTCTTTCAGATTGAATAACTACTTTTGTCATTTCTTGTGAGACAAGTTTGATGGGGATGAATTTTCTCAGGTTTTGCTTTTCTGAGACCGTGTTTACCTCTCCTTCATGTGTGAAAGATAGCTGTACTGAAACAGTTTTCCTTGTGGGTGTAGTCTGTTTTGTTTCTAGTACTTTGAATATATTACTCCAGTTGTCCTGCTTTGTAGAATTTTCTCCGAAAAGTCTGCCATTACACATATCAAAACTCCTTCTTAAATTATTTGCTTCTTTTCCCTCAATGCTTTTAGGATTCTCTATCTTTGACCTTTGAAAGTGTAATTATTATATGCTTTGGGATAGTTTTATTTGACTTGCATCTGCTTGTTGATATGTGACCTTCCTGTACCTGAGTGTTTATATTTTTCTTAAGGTTTTCTTTATTTCTTTGAATAACAGAAAAGTTTTCTTTTATTATTTCTTTGAATAAGCTTTCCAGCCCTTTTTCTTTCTCTACTCCCTGTTGAAGGCCAGTGACTCTTGCAGTTGCTCTTTTAATCATGTCCCACAGATCTCACAGACATTATTTGTTCATATTTATTTTTTTCTCCTCTATGTATTTTCAAATACCTGTCTTCAACCTCACAAATACTTTTTTTGATAAATTTTGCTTTTGAGACCCTCTAATGTATTAGCTCATTGATCTATTGTATTTTTCAGCTCCAAAATGTCAATTTTTAAAAATCTCTTCATTTAATTTTTCTGATAAACTTTTGAATTTCTTCTCTGTGTTTTCTGAAGTTCACTAATCTTCCTCAAAATAATTATTTTGAATTTCTTGTTAGAGAGGTTGCACTTCTCAATCTGTTCAGCGTCAGTCACTTGCACTTATTTAGTCCACATGGACAGATCATATTTCCCTGAATATCCTTGATGCTTGTACATGTACATTGATCTCTGGCTTTTGAAGGATTAGGTATTTATTCCAGTCTTCACTGTTTGCCTTTATGTCTCCTGTCCTTTTCCAGAGGGCTTTCCAGCAATTCAAAGGGGAATGAACTGTTGAATTCTCTAAGCGTGTTGACACTGCAGCCTTTTCATCAGTAGAGGGTACCCTGAGTCCAGTTATGCTGTGAGTCTCTCACAGACTCCAGGGTACCCACCCCTGATAGACTTGAGGAAGAACAGGGAGAGTTCCCTGGGTTCCCAGGTAAAGTCTCTCACGTAATTTTCTCTCTTTACTCCAAGGAGGAGTCTCTTTCCATGCTGTGTTGCCTACATGTTAAGAGAGGAGTGATGTGGACACTCTCATGTCAGCCTCATCAGGCACTATGCAGTGTCATACCTGAAGCCCAGAGTCTCCCAGACCAGTATAGCACCAGTGCTTGCCTGAGAATTGTGCCTGCTACTGCCTGATTGCTACTGGTATTTACTTCCTGCCTGAGTCCATATTTAGCTGGTTGTGATGCTGGGTAGTTCTTGGTTCTGTCCTGCTGGGAAGGGCAGCAGATTCTCTTCTGGCCCAGGGTGGGTCCAGGAGAGCCATCCAGAGAGCAATGCCTAAAATCAGGGGCCAAGAGGCTCTGCCTGTTTCTGTTTTACTGTAGCAGAGCTGGTACTAGGTCCCAAGGCAAAGTGTCTTGCACACTTTCCTTTTCTTTCCCCAAGCAAAACGGGTCTCTCTCCATACTGTGCTACCTGGAGTTGGAGGAAGGTTGAAACATGCACCCCCATGGCCACCAAAGCTGATGTCATGCTGTGTTGCACTCAAAGCTTAAGGTCTTCCAGGTCCAATTTCAGGACCCACCTGAAAACCGTGGTTACTATGGCCTACCTGCCACTAAAACTTATTTGGGGCCTGGAGCCACTTTAATCAACCAGTAGTGAAGCATGCCATGAATACAGTTTCTCCCACTGGGCCAGCAGATCCTCTTCTGGCCTGTGAAGAGTCTAAATACTTTTTCTATGGGCACTGGCTTGGAAACTGGAACCAAGGAGTTCTTCCTGGTGTTGAGTTTTAGTGTGGCAAGGCCAGTACTAAATTCCAATGCAAGGTCTTACACATCCTTCTGTCTCCCAAGCAGAAAGATTCTCTCCACACCAGACTGGCACTAGGGCAATGCAAGGCAGTTATTCTTATGTTCTTTAATACATATTTTCTTCAGTAATTACTATGCTAAAACAATGTATTGTGACCTCTTACCTGGATGCCTGTATCTCTTACAAGGGGTTGTCTTGAGTGCATAGATGTTCAATTTGATGGTCCTGCAGGGAGATGACTGATGGAGGGTTCTATGCCACCATCTTACTCTACCTCTCTTCTTAGATGTAATTTTTTAATTTTATCTTTAAATACATGCAAATATTTATCTAACACTGGTGCCATTTGAAGGAATAGTCTTATTTTCTAAGCATGTCAATTCTCAAAATATCTTTTTTAACATTGACATTATTAAACACATGTATTAAATCTTTCAACATAATGAGAATAACCATAGAACCCAAATGTATAGATCTCTTAAATAAATGAAATACAAATATGAAAATATATGTTCTTCTTTTATATGTATTTATAAGACAAAATAGTACTTTTTTGTTAAAATTACAGTTGATTCTTCAAATAAATAGTTTCCCCTAATTATTAAGTAGATTTAATACACAGTAAATTGTATTAGCCTATTATTGCAGTGTATATTTATAGTTTTTTAGATAACCTGGAAGCAGAGTACGTCCACTAAAATTTGTGTGGCAGATACTTTGATCATACAGAGAAATTATGACAATTAAAAAAATTTAAAAAAAAAACAGTGGTCTCATCTCATGTATCACTGTTCTTTCCTTGGGCTGTGAAATGAATGTTACACAATAGTGAAATCCACCTCTTAATATAAAGCATATAAATATGGAAAGAGAAGTGTTATTTCCAACCAGTGTGTTTATTCATTTTTATTATGCATCATATACTGTGTTGAATGCTAAATAATTTTTTTAAATAGTGACTAAAGATCTGTTCTTAAAAAATTCATGGTTTACTGGAGAATACTGGATGATAACAGACTATTATGACCAAGCATAACGCTTGTAATTATGGATAAACACAGTGTTATAAGAACACTGATCACATTGGTGATTACATTGCCTGGAAGAGTCAGATGAAGTGACATTAAAACTATTTAGAGAATAACAAAAATTAACTTCTTTGTTGTTGTTGTTGCAGGAATGAAGGAAGAAAAATACAAGCAGAAGACTGTATATGAAAATGAATAATATTAAAATGCCTTTTTGGATTTTGTCTTTAGAAATAATATTTGCACTACAAAGGTGTCCAATATTTTATTAGTATAGTTTATTAGTATAGTTTATCTCTTTAATGTAAATAATAAAGAGGACATGGATGTTTTAACAGATAATAAATCTGTTAAATAAGTCACATATGATACAATTTATCCATTTAAAATGTGCAATTCAATGATTTTTGTTATATTCAAGCACGTATACAACCAATACCACAGTCAATTTTAGAACATTTTCATCTCAAGAGGAAATCCTGTGTAACTTTACCTATTAGCACTTCCCCTGCGCTAACTCACCCCAGCCCTAAGCAACTATTTATCTCCATTCTACTTTCTAGAGATTTTTTTTCTATTCTTGACTTTGTATAAATTGAAATCACATAGTACATGATTATTTGTGACTGGCTTCTTTCATTTAGCATAATATTTTCAAGGTTAATTCATGTTGTAGTATTCATTAGTATTTCATTTCTTTTGTGGCTGAACTATGTTAGATTGTATGAATATAGACAGTTTATTTTATCATTTCATCCCTTGATGGACATTTGGATTGTTTCAAGCTTTTGTATATTATTAATAATAACGTTATGAACATTCCTATGCATTTTTCTTTGTAAATGTATATTTTCATTTCTCTTGGGTATATAAGTAGGAGTGGAATTACTGGGTTGTATTGTAGCTTTATCTTTAATCTTTTGAGGAAATTTCAGACTCTTCCAAAGTAGCAGAGCCATTTGGCATTCTCAACAACAGGGTATGATGGTTCTGGCTTTTCCACATTATTATGTCAACAGCTGTTGTTATCTAATTTTTAAAATTGTATTTATCCTAGTGAGTGCAAAATGATATCTCACTATGGTTTGGATTTGCCTTTAACTTTTTTTATTCTAAAGTGTATTTTACCTGATATTAGTAGCTTTCTTGTGATTGTGATTAGCATGTTTTATCATTTTTCATCTTTTTACTTTCAATCTATTTGTGATTTTGAATTTAAAATGTCTCTCCTATAGACAATATACAACTGGATAATTTTTAAAAATCCAGTCTAAAAACATCTGCCTTTTTATTTGATTATGTAATTCATAATTAATGTTATAATTATTATAGTTGAATATATCTCTTCTACTTTAATTTTTCTATATGTCTCATGTCTGTTTTGTTTTTCTATTTCTCCTCTACTGTTTTCTTTTGTATTAAATATTTTCAAATGTAGCATTTTAACTTCATGTGATTACTGATTTTATTTGTCAACTTGACTGGGCCACATGGTACCTAGATATTTGATTAAACAGTATCCTGAATGTGTCTGTGAGGGAGTTTTTAGATATGACTAACAATCTTGAATCAATATATTGAGTTTAGCAGGTTGTGATCTCCCCCAGTGTGATTGGGCCTCACCAACCCCTTGAAGATTTAAATAGAACAAATATTCTGAGTAACAGAATTCACTTTTCTTTCTGTCTGTCTTCAAGCTGGAACATTTGTCTTCTCCTGTCTTTGGACTCATTCTCAGACTGAAACTTACACTATAAGCTCTCCTGCTACTAAAGTCTTCAGACTCCAACTGGAACTAAGCCATATGCTCTCCTAGGTCCTTCTCTTGCCAACAGCAGTTCATAGGACTTCTCAGCTTTTATGATTGAGTAATAATTTCTTATAATAAATACATTTTTATCTCTATCTATATATATCTATCTTTCTGTCTAGCTATATTCTATTGGTCCTGTTTCTACTTTGGTTTAATTTAGATGAAGGTACTAAAAAACTTAGGGTGACTGGAATGTAAGAATGGATTTGCCAATGAAGTTTACTCACTCTGGGAGGGTACAGAAGACAATACTGTAGAAAACATATTTGGGCAAGGAGCCCTGTGATTGCTGTTCTCTGTAGGCTATACCTTAGAGTGCAAAGTACAGTCACTGCACTGGGAAACTTAAATGCAAAGGAAGTAAACGGATCCCAGGGTGGCAGGAGCTCAGTAGCAACACTCAACTACCAAAGGTAAGGTGGAAGTGGTAGCTGTAATGAACAGCAGAGTCAAAATTGCAATCAAAATAGTCTGACTTGTGTAGACGTATACTGTTGGCTGGTTGATTATGAAGCTCCTATAAGTGAAATAGACAGAAAGCCTAAATTGCTCCTTGATATGTATAAGCAGAAAAGGCCTATGTCAAGTGAAGAAACACCTTACATGAATCATAAAAAAGAAGAGTAATGGTCCTTCAATCAGTTCCCAGCCTAGAGCCAATAGGCAGGCCCAGAAATCTTTGAATGAAAAAAAAGCCTGGGTCTCCTTCAGGAAATTCCTCAGTACAGTGCCAAAAAGCGTATGTCATTAATATTTTTTCAGCCTTTCTCAAAGAGATTTATGGCATTTTACCAGGGTAACTGTGCACTGGAAAAAAGGAAAAACATCAGAACTTTCAGAGACCACTGAACACAGGCTCTTACCTGACACAAATTCCAGGAAACCCCAAATTTATCACTATGGTACATCAGTCAGAGAAAGGATTATGGTGGCCAGGTGATGAATGGGGTTTTAGCTCAGGTATATCTCCCCATGGGCCCAGTAGGTCCCTAAACCCATCTTGTGGTTAATTCCCAGTTCTGGAATGTTAACTAGAAAACATATGCTTAACAGATGGCAGAATCCCCAAATGGGTTCTCTGACCTGTGGAATGAGGCTTATTAGGTGGGAAAAGTCAAGTGGGAGTCACTGAAAATACATCTATCTAGGAAAATAGTAAACTGAATGCAACACTACAATTCTTAGCTGGAATTGCAGAGATTCGTGCTACCATCAAGGATGTGAAAAATGCAGGAGTGGTAATACCCAATCAATGCCCATCAACTCACCTATTTGACCTGTTCACAAGATAGATGGATCTTGGAGAATGACAGTGGATTATCGTAAGCTTAGCCAAGTCATGAGTCTAATTGTAGCTGCTGTACCAGATATGGCTTCATTGCCTGATCAAATAAACACATCTTGTGAGACCTGGTATGCAAATATTTATGTGGCAAATGCTTTTTTTCTCAATACCTTCAGTAAAGATTACCAACAATACACCTTTACTGACCTATCTCAGGGGTATATAAACTCTTTAGCCTATTTTTAATTTAATTTGCAGGGATCTTGATTGCCTTACTCTTCTACAAGATATTATACTGGTTCGTTACACTGATTACATACACTGACATTATGTTGATTGCAAGTTGATTGATGAGTAAGAGTAGCTACTAGACTTATTGGACTAGTTACACTTATTGGACACTGATGACATTATGTTGATTGTAAGTTGATTGATGAGTAAGAGTAGCTACTAGATTTATTGGACTAGTTACTGACAAGTAGCGACTAGTAAGAAGTTTAGTAACTATAGACTTAATGGTAAAGCATTTGCGTGTCAGAAGGTGGGAAATAATAGCAACTAAAATTTGAGGGACTTCTACCTCAGTGAAATTTCTAGGATTCTTCCAAGGTGAAGGATAAGTTGTTGCATTTGGCCTCTTCTACAATAAAAAAAGAGAGCAGCACCCAAAGAGCCTCTTTGGATTTTGAAGGCTAAACATTCCTCATTTGGGTGTGCTACTCTGGCCCATTAACTGAATGATATGGAAAGATTTGAGCCAGGCCCCAAATAGGAGAAATCTCTGCAACAGATTCCAGGTTGCTCCACTGCTTGGGCAATATGAGCCAGTCAACCATGGTCCTTATAGTGCCAATGGCAGTTAGGGATGCTCTTTAGAGCTTTTGACAGTCCTCTATAGGTGACTCAGAGAGCAGTAATTTAGGATTTTGGAGCAAAGTGCTTCCATTTCCTGTAGATGACTACTCTCCTTTTGATAAACAGCTCTTGGTCTGCTACTAGGCCTTAGTAGACACTGAACACTTAACCATGGGTCACAAAGTTATGACATGGCCTAAGCTTCCCATCATAATTGTTATTATCTGACTCAGCAAGTCTTAAAGTTGGGCATGCACAACAGCACTGCATTATTAAGTGGAAATGGTACATACGTGACAGGGCTCAAGCAGGCCCTAAAGGCATAAGTAAGTAACATGAAGAAGTGGCCCAGATGCTCATGATTCCCACTTCTGCTACGTTGCCTTTTCTCTCCCAGCTTGCAGTTATGCACTTGTGCAGAGTTCCCTATATGTTCAAAGAGAAAGAGAAGACTCAGGCCTAGTTTACAGATTGTTCTGCACGCTATGCAAGCACCACCTGAAAGTGGACAGCCATAGAACTAGAGACTTTCTGTGCAACATCCTTGAAGGATGGTGGTGAAGAGAAATGCTTTCAGAAAGTAGAATTCTGAGCAGTGCATTTGGTTGTTCACTTTCATTCAAACAAGAGATGGCCAGATGAACAATAATATCAATTTGTGGACTGGACAGTGGTTGAACTAGATGGTAAGATATTTCAAAGGAACATGATTGAAATTGGTGACCAGAAAATTTAATGAAGAGGTATATAGTTAGACCTCTGAGTGAGAAAAAGAATCATGAATATATGTGTGTCCCATGTGAATGCTCACCAAAGTTTTTGAGTGGAAGATTTTAATACTCTAGTAGACAGGATGACCCATTCTGTGGATACCAGTCCACCTTTTCCTTCAAACTCTGCTGTCAGTGCCGAATAAGTTCATGAGCAAAATGCCTACTAGGAAAAGTATGGGGTTATACATAGATACAACAACATGGACTTCTACTTACCAAGGCCAGCCTGGTCACAGCCATTACTGAGTGCCCAATTTGCCAGCAGCAAAGAATAAAACAGAGAGCCTGATATAACACTATGTTCTGAAGTAATTAGTTACCAAGTGATTAGTCACAATCTGGTGGCAGATTGATTACATTGAACCATTTCTTTTTATTACGGAAGGCTTAACATTTGTTTCTATATGAATAGACACTTATTCTGGATATCAATTTGCCTTCCCTGCATGCTGTGCTTCTGCCAAAACTATCATCCATAGACTGCCAGAGTATCTTATCTAGCATTATGGTATTTCACACAGCATTGCATTTCACCAAGGAACTCAGTTCAGAGCAAAATAAGTGAGGTAGTAGGCCCATGCTTATGGAAACCACTGGTTTTACCGTGATTCTTGGCATGCTGAAGCAGCTAGATTGATAGAATGGTGAAATGGCCTTCTGAGAACTCAATTACAGTGCCATATAGGTGGCCATACCTTACAAGGTTGTGCCACAATTCTTCAGATGATCAATGTCTATTGTTGGTTCTGTTCTTCCATAGCCAGGATTTATAGGTTCAGGACTCATGCTGTAAAAAAAATGGGAATGGCAGTACTCACTATTTTACGCCTAGAGACACACTAGCAAAATTTTGCTTTCTGTTCCCGTGACCTTATGCTCTGATGACTTAAAGGTCTTCATTCCAAGAAGAGGCATGCTTTCACCAGGAGACACAACAATGATTTCATTGAATTAGAAGTTAAGAGTCACATTTTGGGCTCCTCAGGACTCTGAATAAACAGGCAAAGAGTGGAGTTATTGTGTTGTTTGGTGAGATTGATCTTGATTATCAAGGAAAAATTGGGCTGGTAATCCACAATGAAGATAAAACAGAGTATGACTAGAATAAAGGAGATTGCTCAGAACACATCTTGGAATTACCATGAAGTGTAATGAAGATCAATGGAAAACTATAGCAACCCAATCCAGGTAGCACTACTAATGGTCTAGACTTTTCAGGAATAAAGGTTTAGATCATTCTACCTGGTAAAGAGCCATGGTCAGCTAAGGTTCTTGCTGAAGGTAAAAGCTATACAAAGTAGGAAGTGGAAGAAAGGCATTTTAAATACCAGCTACGAATGCTCCTTTTTGTAATTTTTTTCTTTTTCTTTTATAAAACAAAACTGTAAAATAAGACACCAAACTCTCCAGACAAGATGAACTCTGTGACTAGCAGATTTGATCCAAATTTAAAAGCAGAACTAGATCGTCATAGGGGGGTGTGAGGGCAGACATATACCCTGTGTTCTCAGAGAAAAACAGCCACTGACAGATGTCCTGCTTGCATAGCATGGACTTGAATAAACTTGATGATTGATAGAAATTATGCAAGCCAAAGAAGGGTGATGTAACTAAAGACTAGAGATTCCCAAAGTGACTTCTGGAAATCCCCAATCAGAAAGAACTTGCGGCTTTAGGCTTGAAGGTCACTCAATCAGGATGCTGCTGTCTTGATAAATCCAGGTTCAGCTGAATCAACCAATCAGAAGTAAACAATTTTGAATACTTCATTAGCATAAAAAACTGATTGAGAACATGGGCAGGAAACTTTTCTATGTAAGTCAAACCACAAACGTTCCCTTTTTTCTGGGAAATCCACTTTTGTTTCATTCTGAACACTAATTTCATTTTACAGAGAAGCTCTGTCTCCCCAGGCTACAGCTTACTTTCAGAAAATAAAGTTATCCTTTTTGCCTCCACACATTTCATGGTATTTTGTTAACACCCTTCTTTGGCTTGCATAATTTCTATCAATCATCAAGTTCATTCATGTTTTCTTATGCCCATTTAAATGTACTGTAGGTCCTCTCTAGTAAATTTTTTATTTGAATGATTGTACTTTCCAACTCTATAATTTCCATTTGGTTATTTTACAATTTTTTAACAAATCTTTTATTGATATTCTCTATTTGATCCAACACTGACACTATACCTGTCTTTACTTCTTTAATCTAGCTTTCCTTTAGATTTGTAAATATATTTAAGGTAGCTACTTTACAATGTTTTCCTATTAAATCTGGAATCTGGGAAATCTCAAAGGCATTTTTGTTGCTTGCTTTTATTCCAGTTTATGGGTCATATTTTCCTGTTTCTTTGCATACCTAGTACTTTTTTATTGAAAACTAGACTTTAAGAAATTTTTACTTTAAGTTCTGGGATACATGTGCAGAACTTGCAAAATTGTTTTA
The DNA here is from genome assembly GCF_000001405.40 of Homo sapiens. Lineage (NCBI taxonomy): Eukaryota > Metazoa > Chordata > Mammalia > Primates > Hominidae > Homo > Homo sapiens. Next base: position 113,498,564 of record NC_000008.11, read on the forward strand.
TAGATGTACATGTGCCATGGTGACTTGTTGCACCTATTGACCCATCCTCTAAGTTCCCTCCCATCGCCCCTAACCCCAACAGGACCTGGTGTCCAGTATTCCCCTCCCTGTGTCCACGTGTTCTCATTGTTCAACTCCAACTTATGAGTGAGAACATACAGTGATTGGTTTTCTGTTCCTATGCTAGTGTGATGAGGATGATGGCTTCCAGCTTCAGTCATGTCCCTGCAAAGGACATGATCTTATTCCTTTTTATGGCTGCATAGTATTCCATGGTGTATATGTACTACATTTTCTTTACCCAGTTTATCATTGATAGGCACTTGGGTTGGTTCCATGACTTTGTTACTGTAAATAGTGCTGCAGTAAACATACATGTGCATGTGTCTTTATAGAAGAATAATGTATATTTCTTTTCGTATATACCAAGTAACGGGAATGCTAGGTCAACTGGTATTTCTGGTTCCAGATCCTTGCTGAATTGCCATACTGACTTCCACAATAGTTGAACTAATTTACATTCCCACTAACGGTGTAAAAGCATTCCCATTTCTCCACAGTCTCTCCAGCATCTATTGTTTGTTAACTTTTTAATAATCATCATTCTGACTGGCGTGAGATGGTATCTCATTGTGGTATTAATTTGCAGTTCTCTAATGATCAGTGATATTGAGCTTTTTTTCATATTTTTTGGCTGCATAAATGTCTTCTTTTGAGAAGTGTCTGTTCACGTCCTTTGTCCACTTTTTGATGGATTTGTTTTTTCTTGTAAATATGTTTAAGTTCCTTGTAAATTCTGGGTATTAGACCTTTGTCAGATGGGTAGGTTGCAAAAATTTTCTCCCATTCTGTAGGTTAACTGTTCACACTAATGACAGTTTCTTCTGCTATACAGAATCTCTTTAGTTTAATCAGATCCCATTTGTCAATTTTGGCTTTTGTTGCCATTTCTTTTGCCATTTTCATCATGAAGTCTTTGTCCATGCCTATGTCCTGAATGTTATTGCCTTGCTTTTCTTCTAGGGTTTTTAGGGTTTGGGCTTTTACATGTAAGTCTTTAATCCATCTTGAATCACTTTTTGTATAAGGTGTAAGGAAGGGGTCCAGTTTCAGTTTTCTGCATATAGCTAGCCCATTTTCCCAGCACCATTTATTGAATAAGAGATCATTTTTCCATTACTCGTTTTTGTCAGGTTTATTGAAGATCAGATGGTTGTAGATGTGTGATGTTATTTCTGAAGTCCCTGTTCTGTTTCATTGGTCTACATGTCTGTTTTGGTATCAGTACCATCCTGTTTTGGTTACTGTAGCTTGTAGTATAGTTTGAAGTCAGGTAGCATGATGCCTCCAGCTTTATTCTTTTTGCTTAGGACTGTCTTGGCTATAGAGACACAAAAAAAAAGACTCCAAAAAATCAATGAATTCAGGAGCTGTTTTTTTGAAAAAATTAACAAAATAAATAGACTGCTGGCTAGAGTAATAGAAAAGAAAAGAGAGAAGAATCAAATAGACACACTAAAAACTAATAATTGGGATATCACCACTGACCCCACAGAAATACAAATTCCAATCAGAGAATACTATAAACATCTATCTCTATGCAAATAAAGTACAAAATTTAGAAGAAATAGATAAATTCCTGGACACATATACCCATCCCAAGAGTAAACCCGGCAGAAGTTGAATCCCTGAATAGACCGGTAACAAGTTCTGAAATTGAGGCAGTAATTAATAGCCTACCAACCAAAAAAAGCCCAGGACCAGATGGATTCACAGTCGAATTCTACCAGAGGTACAAAGAGGAGCTGGCACCATTCCTTCTGAAACTATTCCAAACAACTGAAAATAAGGGATTCCTCCCTAATTTATTGTATGAAGCAAGAATCATTCTGATACCAAAACTGGGAAGGGACACAACAAATAAAGAAAACTTCAGGCCAATATCCCTGATGAACATCCATGCAAGTATCCTCAATAAAATACTGGCAAACCGAATCCAGCAGCACATCAAAAAACTTATCCACCACAATTAAGTCAGCTTCAACCCTGAGATGCAAGGCTGGTTTAACATACACAAATCAATAAACATAATCCATCACATAAACAGAACCAATGACAAAAAACACATGATTGTCTCAATAGATGAAGAAAAGGCCTTTGATAAAATTCAACATCCCTTCATGTTAAAAACTCTCAATAAACTAGGTATTGATGGAACATATCTCAAAATAATAAGAGCTATTTACAACAAACCCACAGCCAATATCAAATTGAATGGGCAAAAGCTGGAAGCATTCCCTTTGAAAACCGATACAAGACAAGGATGCTCTCTCTCACCACTCTTATTCAACATAGTATTGGAAGTTCTGGCAAGGGCAATAAGGCAAGAGAAAGAAATAAAGTTTATTCAAATAGGAAGAGAGGAAGTCAAATTATCTCATGACATGATTTTATATTAAGAAAACCCCATCATCTCAGCCCCAAAACTCCTTAAACTGATAAGTAACTTCAGAAAACTCTCAGGATATAAAAATCAATGTGCAGAAATCACAAGCATTCCTTTACACCAATGATAGACAAGCAGAGAACCAAATCATGAATAAACTCCCATTCACAATCAGTATAAAAAAATAAAATACCTAGGAATACAGCTAACAAGGGATGTGAAAGACCTTTTCAAGGAGAACTACAAACCACTGATCAACAAAATAAGAGAGGACACAAACAAATGGAAAAACATTCTATCCTCATGGAAAGGAAAAATCAACATCGTAAAAATGGCCATGTTCCCAGACCAAACTGAGGGTCAGGCAGCTGTTTCTCACCACCCAAAAACAAGATGCAGATGAACTGGGGAGGAAGAGAGTTTTTATTTCTGTAACCAGTTACAGGAGGAAGGCCTGGAAATTATTGCCAGACTAACTCAAAATTACAAAGTTTTCCAGAGCTTATATACCTTCTAAGATATATGTCTTTCTGTAAGTGTGCCTTCATCTAATGATATAAGTGATTAACTTTTATTAATCTCTAACTAAGGTATGAGTCCTGAAGACCTTCCTCTGGGCCCTAAGGAAATTTACTTAATCTAAATTGGTCAAGGCACTTGGGTGAATACCCTCATCTTATCTCTTGTTAAATCAGGGAGGCTTGAGGAGTTCCTTCAGACCCCCAATAAACTTGTTTGTGGAGGCCTGGTGAATTTCTTCAGATCCACAATAAAACTTGCTTAATCCTACATAGGTGCTGTAAAGAATTTCTTCATTATTTTGTCATGCTTTAAGGCCCAGGAGAGGCCTAAGCAAAACTCTTCATGAGCTTTTGTTACATCCCAGCCTTTGTATCAGGGCACCGGCTTTTAATATTTAGTGTAACCACTCAGTACTGAAACAGTTGTTAGTGAGGCCTGGCCTGCCACAATCCCCACTGTCAATTTGTGCATGATTTCTATTATACTTGTACATAGGGAGACGGGGCATCGCTATCTTTCTGGCTACTTCCTGCTGAGAGGGGTTTGTCGTTATGGGACACCGAAGGTAGCACTGGAGTGGAAGCCGTCGATTTGTTCCTGGTAGCATTCTCTGTTTCAGGGGCTTAGAGGCAGCGCCTGTTGAAACATAATAGTAGGCAACAGCAATACATATAAATAGGTTGCTGTGGTTTTCTTCTGAAATTTAAGTTATCTAGTCTTCAGTTTGCAGGGCTTTAAGAAAGCACAGCTTAGGTTTCTGTCATTTCCAATTAGGAAAAATGGGAAAATAGGAAAAGAAAAAGGAAAAAAATTGAAAAACATTATTTTGAAAATTAATCCAAACCACAGAAAATAATAAAAATTGAAAAACATCAGGAAAGACTAGAATTTAACAACAGGTGTACTATAGTTTTTGAAACATAATTTTTCTCTCTCCAGTTTCCCATTTTTGTTAAAAGACAAATCATGGTAGTACTGGTTTGCTTTATTACACTTGACCTAATTATTTGTATATAGTGGAGCAAAAATAATTATTTTTCACATAGGCCTTTTAAATTGGCTTTGATGGAACTTTGTTCCATGGAAGGAATCTGCGATAAGACTTTTTAAAGCCAAGCCCAGCCACGGATTTGTACCATCAAATACCTAGGAGTTGGGCAAATTCCTCTCCTCTTCAGGTCTCAAGATAACTTGGGGTTTCCAGCCTGTCAGAAAGTGACATTCTTTACTTACTGCAGATTAGAAACCCTGTACAGGGACTGTGTACACAAAATATGAGGCCAGTTTTCCAAGGGATTTATTGGCTCCATAAGTCAAGTTTGATTCCTTAAAGGAAAGTGCACCATTCCATTCAAAGCCTTGGTAAAAGAACGAACTTTTCCAATTTTGTCCTGTTAAAAAACCAACCAACCAACCAACCAACAAAAAACCAGATTCTTATTGCACTTTTGCAAATAACTACATTGCCATAATTTAAGAATGCTCACAAACAGTTTCCAAATTCTGGATGGAGAATCAGGTAGAGAGAAAAAATTTGCTCCAAATTTTGTTCATAGAAGTATTCGTTACTTAGTTGTCAATTGCTGTTATAACTCAAAAGAAGAATTTCCTTGACTCTGAAATGCAAAACAAAGGATTAGCAACATTTTAAGCAAAAAGTCAAAAAGATCCCTTCAGTCTCCTATTAGCTCAGTTCATGCAGTTAATTCCTGTCCTGCTTGATATTAATGAACATTTTAGCTCTTGAAGAGTTCTAAACATTTTCCCTCTATTTGGATGTCAAAATCTCCAAAGTTTTTGGAAACATGCATTCAAGAGCACCCATTAGAGCTTCATAGCTTATTATAAAACCACCTTCTAAAGAGGAACAAAACAAGACAACCGCTGTTTATGGATGACAAAAAGTTTAAAGTATCCATAGTTAAAGACAAAATTGACAAGGAAGTCTGTACCTTTGTGGCACACAATAATTTAACATAACAATTATAATTATTACTGATAGCATACACTAAGATATATCAGAATTATAGAAGTCTCCCATAACTTTGGAACACATATCATTAACATATTTATATAACATAGCCCAAAGAAAGCCAAATGCCATTTTATATTTGACAATGCTGTCTGTATAATTTTTATACCAAATAAGCCAAATTTCACTTTTACATTAGTATACTATTAACGTTAAACCCAATTCTTAGTAAAATATTATAGACATATTTACACAATTTTAATGTTTGACCATAAAGATTTTTATAGATCTTTTATAGCCCTTTTCAATTTTTGTAAAAGAGCAGGTTAGTGCTCTAAGAGAAAACCATTGTGCTTTTATTTTAATGCTCAATTTACAGAAAAACTGGATGATACCCTTTAACTTTAGCCAATATGTTTACACACAGAATTTCCTTTATAATTAACCTCCCACAACTTGCTTAAACTGTCATCTTTATTTTATCCAACTTAAAACAATCCTTTAACCTTTTAATCTATGCAAAAATCCGCATTCTCATGTCTCCTTATAACCTTTTTAACAAAAGCATGTATTACTTTCCTTACACACCTTGCATGTAAACTGTTTCTCCAATAGTCTTAAATACATGTTACAGTGTTAATTCTAGGCAACCTTTACTTTTGGTGAAAACCTCGGTAAGTCTGGGATTTTAATTATGTACTAGGTGTGGAGCCTAGGACCTAGACAGAAGTGCAGACAAGGTCTGACTTATTCCAGCATCTAACTCCATGTGCCCCAGGACTTATCTAGAATTTAACACTCCAAAATAAATTGAACAAGTTTTAAGACAAAGAAGCAGTTTATGAACTAAAGCATTTAGCAAACTTAATATTTGACCTGCGTAATTTAGACCAAATGTTTACATTTTTGAAGATATTTTAATTTTACTAATAATCTTTAAAATGATCTTTATTTATATAGCTTTCTTTATATCACTCTTATTTCCTGGTTTCTTTAACCTTGTTTTATATATAAGCTTTGAATTACACAAAAATTAGTTTTCCTTTAAAAAGGACATAATTTTTAGAAAGAATATTTTCATGTAATATATTTTATTGGAAAATACCCAAATAATGAGAAATCTATTGTTTAATTTAGTATAACTTTAGATTCTAAATTACGACAAGTTTGTTTATGAGTATTCATCCCATTACATTTATCTAATTATTTATTTTAATCATTCACCTGGATCATTTATGAAAACTGTAATAGTCATCATTTAAAGTTATGAAACTGCCATTGCAAAGTTATAACTGAGACAGGGAAAATGATCTGACCTAACTGACTCCATCTTGCTTCTAACCTACAAATGTTTCTTGTTGATTAACTTAGTTTATAGTTTAGCTTTGAAAAAAAGATGGTAACAGTCGTTTCCCAGAACAAACTTCCTTCATATTTGTGGACTAGACTGTCTAAGCCCACAAGATTAGAAGTTAGGGTATTTTACTAAATAATTCAAGATGTAGCTATCTTCATTAAACCAATATTAATATTTCAGTTATTATAAAATTACACAAGCAAGGTTCATTCTGTTTGGGCTGAGTTATAGCTTTGAAGCCTCCATGCCAAATTTTGACACCTTACAGTATTTGGCAGAGATATTACTGATCAATAAATGCAAACAAAAATGTATGCTGGCAACTCTTAAGACATTTTTAATATTACTTTACCAATAATTTTAAAACTAGCTTATTTATCAAATATTTTATTTAGGTCACATAAACTTGAAAAAGCATTTGACCAGTCTTGTCTTTTCTCTATTAAAATAATTCAGTGCGCTATTATTTTTCTTTGAGCCAATTAATTACAACTCTTTTATATATTTTCAGTAGTGAAACATGGTATACACAAGACATAAATACATAGACATATTAGGCATGCCAATGGAAGTACATTTTATAGATTCATAAGACCTCTTTTTTCCTATCTTTTAACTGGATCTTTGAGCTCTGAGCAGAGCCCACACTGAATCCTGGGTTTTCAAACAGGGAGAATTATTATGAGGCTACACCATGTGATGCTTTTACAGTGCACTTAAATTTTTTTTTCTAAACAAAGACATTTCTAAGTGTCTAATTTACGCTTTTCCTTAAAAACCCCAGAGTAGCTTCTGTTGTAATAGATATTAATGAAGAAAACAGAATTCAGTCAACTGAGATGAAAAAACACTTTTGCTAAAAAAGACAAGGTTCTAGGAGAGAAATAAAAACAAAATCATGAAGGCCTTTTAAATATAAGCATGCACACATGCACACATACATATACACATCTTACGTGTTAGCTTTAATTAAGCTGATCTTTAACCATTGAACTCCTAAAAAAATATTTTTCCTTCCCAGAGGCCTCTTAGCAGGAATGGACCCAATATCTCCCATTTTTAAGTTTACATTGTATCAAATGGTATCAAAAGGAATAAGACAAATACGCAAACAAGTGGAGATAAATTTTGGACAACCCAAAGAGGAGTGCATTCAGGCAAAACAGACTCAAAACCAACTCAAAACCTGATCTCAACCAAAAGGCAAAGCGAGTGTATGAGCGAGTCCTATTGCTTCCTTTGGTGGCACCGGACAAATGGCTTAATAAGCCCAGATAGGAAAACAATAGGAAACGATAGGAATATGAATCAAAGACAGGAAACAATAGGAATAGGAATCAAATAAAACTGGACTTTTTCAATAATATATTTTAACGATTTTGGGTACTAGTTCCCTCCTTTCTTAGGCTTGTTATTTTTATTTGCTTTTGTATCTGTTTATTGACCAGCTGCATTAGTGAATCTATTCCTCCCCATAAACCCTCCCACATACAAACACACTTAGTGCTAAGTCTCTTTGAAGTTGTTCCTCTGGGAAATGAAGCTTTGGGTATACCCACAGTCACCCTGAGATAACAGTAGTTTTGGCAGGTCTCCCATTCTCTCTTCCAGACCATACTCAGATGTTAAACTCCACTAATTGCTGGTACATTACACTATTGTTTATAAAAGTGCTCTGGGGCATAAATTCCTCTACAAAGTAATCTAATCACATTGTGTGGCTCCTTCAGACAACAGTTTCTGAGGTTAGTGTTAATTTGCTCTGATCTTAGGAGGGCTTCTCCCAAATGTCTTATTTCCTGATCCCCTTCCTTTTTCCCTACCAAATAGCTGGCCAAAAATCTAAACTGTATCTTCATTAAATCCACAAATCTCCAAATTCACTTGACTACAGCCTCCATTATTTTTATTTGTATTCTTAGGTTTAAACTTTTCCATGCTCTGTTGAAAATGAAGTCAGCTCCTTCAGGAAGAGATTGGGCTCCGTTTTATTGCTTGTTTCTCTAATATTCCCCTCACCTCCTGCAAAATCTCTGAGTCAATGTTCTCAAGCTGGGGGTAGGATCAATGGAAAATTCTGTCAAGTGGCAAAATTATTAAAAGTATAGCTTAAATATCTTAATTGATTTTCATTTGTGAGTCCAGAATTGGGCAACATCTCATTTTGTAAAACAGAATGAGTTTCAAATAAGCTGAGCAGAGGAGGTTGTTTTATACAGAGAGAAGGACTGGAGAAAGCAGAAACAGAAAACAAAAAGCAGATTGATTATTTCAAAGTACTTTCCTTGTAAAGATTAAAGCGGAGAGGACTTCCTTATCATGCTGGCTAAAACTGGCTTTGATGTCTCACTCTCCTGATTTCTCAGTTTGGTGACATGGAATTTTAGCATGAATTATTCCATTTTAGTTTGGTCTGTTGAACCTAGTGCAGGAGCTCAGTGAAAACCAATGGTCTTCTGTAAACTTTACTTATATTTCCCTCTAAAAGTCACCTCCATTCTAGAAGCTGAACTCTCAGTGAAGTGGGAGAACAGACTGAGGTTTCCTCAGTTTGCCTCTGCTGGTATGATCATGAGGTCAGGAGATTGAGACTATCCTGACTAACATGGTGAAACCCTGTCTCTACTAAAAATACAAAAAAAAAAAAAAAAAAGCCAGGCATTGTGGTGGGCGCCTGTAATCCCAGCTACTCGGGAGGCTGAGGCAGGAGAACGGGTGAACCCCGGAGGCTGAGCTTGCAGTGAGCCAAGATCGCACCTCTGCATTACAGCCTGGGCAAAAAAGCGAGGCTCCATCTCAAAAACAAACAAACAAACAAACAAAAAAAGCAAGAAAGAAACAACAACAACAAAACAGAAAAACAAAAACTCCCACCATCTCAAGAGCCAGGGGAAGGGTTATCTGGAACTTGGTATTCTCAGCAGTTTACAGCACAGGTTGAACTTCCATGTGAGGGAGGCTTTGTAAAAGAAGAGAGCCCCAACTACTCAACTACAGTAGGCTGGGGGAGAGGATGAGAAATGCTAAAGTTCTGTTTCTCCTAGGAAAGAAGCCCTCTAGCAGGGAGCTGGTTGGGGTGGAGAGGCACCCACCTATACTGCTGACTGAAGTAGTCTGGAACTCGGAAGCAGAAATCAGCATTGGTTCAAATATCAGCTTCTCATATTTCTTACCAAATATTCAAAGATTTTCTTGAATCGACATTTATTCATTTGATGTCTGCCCTTATGAGTATTTTTAGAATATTTAAATTTTTTTGTTAATAAAAATAATAATAATAATAATAATTTGTATCAGCTTCACTGGAGATCTGGTCAGCAGAGGTCCTGACCCAATTAGGAACTATCAGGACAAAAGATGATCTTCCAGGAGATGAATATTTTTAAGTTAAAGAGTGTCCCAGAAGTTTTTCCTTTCTTTCTTCTTTGATTCTTTCTTTTATGTTAATAAATCTCTTTTACATCTTTCTATGTAAAAATTGATATACTTTTTTGGAGACTGACCTCAACTTGAGGTGTATTTTGGGAATATGAATCACCTCACTGTCAAAAATTGTCAAATCAACAGTTAACATAATGATGGTATATTCATAAGCTAATAATTAATTTTTTAAAAAAGTGGTTGCCTGTGACAGAAAATAAGTATTATATTTGTTAGAACGTTAATAAGAAAATAATGTGAGTTTGAGTTTTGCATATCTTGATTAACTGAATAAATTTTCTTTGCTTTTTATTTCATATAAGTTTATAGAACAAGGGCAATGCTGAGGTATAAAAAACAAATGGAGTGATTCTCCAATGTTAACAAAAGTCTCAGCAGCTAGCATACAGTATTTTGCTTATGCATTTTTATTTTTGATATTCCTTTTGGGCTTTAAACAATCTCTTTTTGGCTAAATATGAACTCTACTTTACCGATTTGTTACTCACTTTAAAAGACATAGCCTTCTACTCCACTCTGCATAGTCGCATGCTATGCTTCATGTTAAGAAAGGTGCATGATATTTTATCTAGTATATACTCAAAGTGTGAAAATAAGTAAATAAAAATCTAAGCTGTTGAACCTGTAAGTTATTTTGAGCCTTAAAGGAATGTGATGAGTCCTGAGTCACCTGGCAGACAGCTGTAACCTAGGCACCTGTCCCCTAGGCAGCTGTAATTTTGTTTCTTTAATTATAGATGAGCTTTATTTTTTAACTGCATTGGTTTGTAAAATGCTATAAATGACTAAAGAGTTCCAGGGAAGACCTTTTCTCTCTTCACTGTTGATCTTTATTATAGGTGAACTTCCCTCTTACCTTTTTCACATAAAGACTTCATGGCTATCACAATATCTTAAGAGTGAATGTTAAATGTAGTCTTTTAAATTGTAAAAAGAAAATGAAACAGACGATAAATAATTAAATTTTTATAACTCACAAATCAGTGTTGTATAGAAAATGTTGTAATTCCATTAAATTTGTATTCTCCTTATATAAGCAAGACCTTAACTTTTAACTTCTGAACACTGAACCCCATTTTTCTGAAATCTGTGTCTCTTGAAACCTACTTGTGGTTTTCCCCTTGGTTTATTCTAATTGAGTTTTTTTATTATAAATGTGTAGGTTAACTAGATACAATATCAACCATTCAAATAACGTTGTGAAAACAGTTATCCTGGTAAATATTAAATAGAATATTTTGAAAGACTAAATGAAAACGTGCTGATAAAAAATAGTTGCTGTCAAATTAAGTGTGAGCAAGATAACTTTAAATGATTTGGCATGTGTTTATAAAAGTATAGACTGAGTCTCTATTTAAAATGCTTCTTGAGTTCTTTAGGTTCTTGTTCTACAACTGAAACTGAAAAGAGTCCATGATGCAATATGGGTGTAGATTATTTTAAAAGATAAGCTAAAATAAGCTTGAATTCAATTTTAAAAGCCATTTCCAAAGAAAAGGCCTTGACACTTTAAAGTGTTGTCAAATGACTGCACACATATATTTCAAAATTAAAAATAAAACAAATTAAAAAGAAAATTTAGAAGCTTCATAGTGTTGACCAAAGAAATCAAACTCTGTAAAATATTTGAAGATGTTTATTCTGAGCCAAATGTGAGGATCTTAACCCATGATACAGCGTCAGGGGGCCCTATGAACATGTGTCTAAAGTGGTTGGGTTACAGCTTGATTTTATACATTTTAGGGAGTCAGAAGTTATAGGCAAAGATATACATCAATATATGTAAGGTATACATTGGTTCAGCCTAGAGAGGTGGTTTCATGTGCATCCGAGAGAGAGAATGGGCGATGTTTCTCAGGGCTGCTTCAAGCAGGATTAGGGGTGGCGTGGGAACCTAGAGTGGGAGAGATTAAGCTGAAGGGAGGTCTTGTGGTAATGGGTGATATTGTGGGGATGTTAGAAGAAACATTTGTCGTATAGAATGATTGGTGATTGCCTGGATACGGTTTTGAATGAATTGAGAAACTAAATGGAATAACAGAAGGAGAAAAACAGGTATAAAAGGTCTAAGAATTGGGATGACTCAGGATATCTCATTAGAGAGTGCCTAAGGAGATTCAGCATAGTCCTGCCAGCAAAGATTATTTATTTACTTCAAGAGTTAAGAGTGGCAGTTTGGGGATAGCACCAGGAGATATCAGCTGTGATGGCTTGGAAAAACAGTGTAAACCAGCAGTGTAAACAAGAGCAGGGCATGTATGAGTAGCTGAGAATAAAAAGGAGCGTCTATACAGGAGCTCAAATGGGCTGTACCCTGTAGCATTCCGAGGACAGGCCTGAATTCTGAGAAGGGAAAGTGGTAAAAGTATTGTCCAGTCCTTTTTAAGTTGGTGGCTGAGCTTGGTGAGGTGTGTTTTTAAAAGACCTTTAGTCCATTCTACTTTTCTTGAAGACGGAGGACCGTAAGGGATATAAAAGTTTCACTGAATACTAAGAGCCTGAAAATCTGCTTGGCTGATTTGACTAATAAAGGCTCATCTGTTATCAGACTGTATTGAGGTGGGAAGGCTAAACTGAGGAATTATGTCTGACAGAAGGGAAGAAATGACTGTGGTGGCCTTCTCAGACCCTGTAGGAAAGGCCTCTACCTATCCAGTGAAAGTATCTACCTAGACTAAGAGGTATTTTAGTTATCTGACTCAGGGCATGTTGAGTAAAGCTAATTTGCCAGTCCTGGGTGGGGCAAATCCTCAAGCTTGATGTGTAGGGAAGGGAGGGGGCCTGAATAATCCCTGAGGAGTAGTAGAATAGCAGATGGAACACTGAGAAATTATTTCCTTGAGGATAGATTTCCATGATGGAAAGGAAATGAGAGGTTTTAAGAGGCAGGCTAGTGACTTGTACTATAGCATAACCTGCCTTTGCTGGTGTGTGGCGATTAGGCCTGGTGGAACCGCCATCAATAAATCAAGTGTGATCAGGGTGAGGAACAGGAAAGAAGGAAATTTGGGGAAATGGGGTGAATGTCAGGTGGATCAGAGAGATACAGTCATGGGGGTCAGGTGTGGTATCAGGAATAATGTGGGAGGCCGGATTGAAGTCTGGGCCAGGAACAATGGTAATTGTGGGAGACTCAACAAAGAGTGAGTACAGCTGAAGGAGCCGGGAAGCAGAAAGTATATGTGTCAGGTATGAGGAAGAAAATAGATTTTTGGAAGTTATGAGAACTGTAGAGAGTGAGTTGAGCATAGTTTGTGATTTAGAGGGCCTCTAAAAGTATTAATGCAGTGGCAGCCGCTGCACACAGACATGAGGGCTAGGCTAAAACAGTAAGGTCAAGTTGTTTGGACAGAAAGGCTACAGGGTGTGGTCCTGGCTCTTGTGTAAGAATTCTGACCATGCTAACCATGCCTAGGAAGGAAAGGAGTTGTTTTGTAGAAGGTGCTGGGGTTTGAGAAATCAGTCGGACACGATTGGCAGGGAGAGCACGTGTGTTTTTATGAGAATTATGCTGAGATAGGTAACAGATGAGGAAGAAATTTGGGCTTGATTGAAGTAATGGGGGCTGTCTGTGAAGCTTTGCAGCAGTACAGCCTAGGTAATTTGCTCAGCTTGATGGGTGTCAGGGTCAGTCCAAGTGAAAATGAAGAGAGGCTGGGATTAAGAGTGCAAAGGAATAGTAAAGAAAGCATGTTTGAGATCTAGAACAGAATAATGGGTTATAGAGGCAGGTATTGAGGATAGGAGAGTATATGGGTTTGGCACCATGGGGTGGATAGACAAAACAATTTGGTTGATAAGGTGCAGATCCTGAACTAACTTGTAAGGCTTGTCTGGTTTTACGACAGGTAAAATGGGGGAATTGTAAGGAGAGTTTATAGGCTTTAAAAGGCCATGCTGTAGCAGGCGAGTGATAACAGGCTTTAATCTTTTTAAAGCGTGCTGCGGGATGGGATATTGGCGTTGAGTGGGGTAAGGGTGATTAGGTTTTAATGAGATGGTAAGGGGTGCATGATCGGTCGCCAAGGAGGGAGTAGAGGTATCTTATACTTGTGGGTTAAGGTGGGGGGATACAAGAGGAGGATGCAAAGGAGGCTTTGGATAGGGAAGAAGGGCGACAATGAGATATAGCTGTAGTCCAGGAATAGTCAGGGAAGCAGATAATTTAGTTAAAGTGTCTCAGCCTAATAAGGGAACTGGGCAGGTGGGGATAACTAAAAAGGAGTGCTTAAAAGAGTGTTGTCTAAGTTGGCAGCAGAGTTGGGGAGTTTTAAGAGGTTTAGAAGCCTGGCCGTCAATACCCACAACAGTTATGGAGGCAAGGGAAACAGGCCCTTGAAAAGAAGGTAATGTGGAGTGGGTAGCCTCCGTATTGATTAAGAAGGGGACGGGCTTACCTTCCACTGTGAGAGTTACCCGAAACTCTGCGTCTGTGATGGTCTAGAGGGCTTCCAAGGCGATCGGGCAGTGTGTCTTCAGCCGCTAAGCCGAGAAGATCTGGGAAGGAGTCAGTCAGACAGCCTTGGGCCAGAGTTCCAGGGGCTCTGGTAGTGGCTGCCAGGTGAGTTGAACAGTCCGATTTTCAGTGGGGTCCCACACAGATGGGACGCGGCTTAGGAGGAATCCCGGGCTGCGGGCATTCCTTGGCCCAGTGGCCCGATTTCCGGCATGTGTAGCAAGCTCCTGTGGGAGGAGGTTCTGGAGGAATGCCTGGCCGCTGCGGTTCAGGCGTTTGGAAGTTCTTGTGTGCTGGAGATGTGGCTGGGGTTTGTCTCACAGTGGAGGCAAGGAATTGCAACTTTTTTTTATTATTGTACACCTTGAAGGCGAGGTTAATTAAATCCTGTTGTGGGGTTTGAGGGCCGGAATTTAATTTTTGGAGTTTTATTTAATGTCGGGAGCAGATTGGGTAATAAAATGTATTTTGAGAATAAGACGGCCTTTTGACTTTTTAGGGTCTAGGGCTGTAAAGTGTCTCAGGGTTGCTGCCAAACAAGTCATGAACTGGGCTGGATTTTTATGTTCGATGAAAAAGAGCCTAAACGCTATCTGATTTGGGATAAAGGAAAAGGAGCATTAACCTTGACTATGCCTTTAGCTCCAGCCACCTTTTTAAGAGTAAATTGCTGGGCAGGTGGGGGAGGGCTAGTCACGAAACGAAACTGTAAGCCTGACCAGGTGTGAGGAGGGGAGGCGATAAAAAGATTATAGGGTGGAGGAGCAGAGGCTGAGGAAGAATTGGGACCTAGCTCAGCCTGGCAAGGAGGGGAGAGGTCAGATGGGTCTGTAGAAAAGGAAGATTAGAAAGACTCATGACGCTTGGGGTTGGGACTGAGGGGACAGGTGGGAGGGAAAGAAGGAAGATTTGGGATGAGTTGCACTGGGCACAGAGACTAGGAAGGGACTGATGTGTAAAAGAATGCCTGGACGTCAGGCACCTCAGACTGTTTGCCTATTTTGTGACAAGAATTATTTAGATCTTACAGGATGGAAAAATTCAAAGTGCCATTTTCTGGCTATTTGGAACTACTGCCGAGATTTTATTGGGGTCAAGCGGCATTGCAGAAGAAAATAAGGCATTTAGGTTTTAGGTCAGGTGTGAGTTGAAGAGGTTTTAAGTTTTTGAGAACACAGGCCAAGGGAGTAGAAGGAGGAATGGAGAGTGGAAGGTTGCCTATAGTGAAGGAAGCAAGCCTAGAGAAAAGAGAGAGTAGAGAAATGGAGGGAAGGGGTTCGGGGGTTCTTACCTTCCAGAAAAGTGGGAAAAGGGGTTGGGGTGCAGAGATAAGAGGTCAGGGTGTGGAAATTAGGGATGGGGTGCAGAAATAAGGGGTCAGGGCACAGAAATAAGGGGTCAGGTCATGGAAATAAGGGGTCAGGGCACGGAAATAAGGGATTGGGGCACAGAGATACAAGGTTGGGGTGCGGAAATAAGGGATTGGGGGACAGAGATAAGAGGTCAGGGTGTGGAAATAAGGGATTGGGGCACAGAGATAAGAGGTTGGGGCACGGAAATAAGGGATTGGGGGTTCTTGCCCTGTAGAAAACCGGGACTTGCTGCTAAGGGTGAAGGAGAAGGGGTTGATGGGTACTTGCCCCTGCCCCAGGAAAGCAGAGAAGGGGTAGAGACAAGGAGAGAAGGGGTTGGGGTACTTGCCCCTTCCCCAGAAAAGCAGGACTTGCCGCTAAGGGTGAAGGACCAAGGCAGGTGTCCCTGCGTGGTCTGACACCTTTGAAACGTGGGTGAATAATCAGAGAGGTGTCCCTGAAATGATTAAACACCAAGGGAAGGCTGCCTTCCCAGTCAGTGACCGGCGCCGGAGTTTTGGGTCAACAGATAAAACGTGTCTCCGTTGTCTCTCCCAGAAAACGAAAGGAATTGAAATTAAGAGAAGGGAGAGATTGAAGAGTGGAAAGAAGAAAGTGGTTGAGGGACAGTGAGAGAGATTGGAGAAGAGAGTAAGAAGAGGCTGCTTACCTGATTTAAAATTGGTGAGATGTTCCCTGGGCTGGTCGGTCTGAGGACCTGAGGTCATAGGTGGATCTTTCTCATGGAGCAAAGAACAGGAGGACAGGGGATTGATCTCCCAAGGGAGGTCCCCCGATCCGAGTCACGGCACCAAATTTCATACGTGTCCGTGTGAAGAGACCACCGAACAGGCTTTGTGTGAGCAACATGGCTGTTTATTTCACCTGGGTGCAGGTGGGCTGAGTCTGAAAAGAGTCAGCAAAGGGAGATAAGGGTGGGGCCGTTTTATAGGATTTGGGTAGGTAAAGGAAAATTATAGTCAAAGGGGGTTTGTTCTCTGGCAGGCAGGAGTGGGGGTAGCAAGGTGCTCAGTGGTGGTGCTTTTTGAGCCAGGATGAGCCAGGAAAAGGACTTTCACAAGGTAATGTCATCAGTTAAGGCATGGACCAGCCATTTACACTTCTTTTGTGGTGGAATATCATCAGTTAAGGTGGGGCAAGGCATATTCACTTCTTTTGTGATTCTTCAGTTACTTCAGGCCATATAGGCCTATACATGCAAGTCACAGGGGATGCAATGGCTTTGCTTGGGCTCAGAGGCCTGACAGGTGGGACATCTCACAGTGAAGCCTTCCACATCATAGGTGGTTTCTAAGATTTTCTGGTTGGTAATTTGTTGGAAGAATTAAGCTTTTCCTAAAGAATTGAAGTCAGCAGAAAGGAATGCCTGGGTTCAAGATTAGGTAGTGGGTGACTGAAGCCAAAGTTATTTGTATGTAGATGAATCCTGCAGGTAGCATGCTTCAGAAAGAATAGATGGTGTCTCCTATCTGATGTTAAAAGGTATCAGATTTTTAGTTAAATCTCTCTTGGATCAGGAAAAGACCTGGAAAGGGAAGAGGATTTGCTACATAATGTAAATTTCCCCACAAGAGATGGCTTTGCAGAGCCATTTCAAAACAAGTCAAAGAAATATATTTTGGTAAAAAATACTTTGATTTCCTTTAGAGTCTGTTATTGGTCATGTAAAATTATACCAGAGTCAGATTGTAGTTGGCATCTTATTGCTACAAGCTATCTGTTCTGTCAGTGTTAAAATCTCTATTTTCATATTAATGCTGGTCAGTTGTGTCTAAACTCTAAAAGGGGTAAAGTAAAATGAGACAAGTTCAATCCTCCTTCTTGTCATGCCTGAACTACTTTTTTCAGGTTTCTTTGGAATCCCCTTGGCTGAGAGGGGTGTCCATTGAGTCAATTGGGGTGCTCAGAATTTTATTTTTGGTGTACAATAAGATTTATGAAAAAATACTGTAATGAGATCCAGGATGAGAGAAACTAGTACACAATGAGGATAGGGAGAACAAACTCTTGAAAATAATTCAAATAAGATTCAGTAGAGAATTTTAGAAATATTTATTTTGTGCTTTTCAGTAAAATTTGAGAAAATATAACTTTCAATAAACTACAGTTGAAAAACCAGATGATTGAGTACTGCCTTAAGAATCTGAAGAACTGCCTATGACACAGAACTATGTTATGGAACTAGTAACAAATGCCATCACAGGGTTCAGAACAGCAATAACAGTAGTAAGGAGTAGAATTATAGTAGTAAGAAGCAAGTACAATGAGGTAGAGGGCTAATATAATGATGCATTCTCAGAATACAAAAGGAAAAGACAAAGAGAAGAAAGGTATTACAGTTCTGACCACACCTAAGGAAGCACAAGAATGAACATACAAACTTCAGATAACTGATGATCTGAAGAAAAAATAAAAGCGAATGCATACATGGATGCAATTAAAAAATAAATTTTTTTCAGACTAAAAAATAAGAGACTACAGATTCAAAAAACTCACCATATACCAAACAAAGTTAATGAAAATTATATACATCTAGCAGTTACACATACCCACTTATCAATTTCAAGAACAGGTATCCAGCCAGAAAAAATCAAGTTATATCTACAAAGGAAGAAAAATTCAGAAAGTCTTAGATTTTCTTGTGCAACATTAAATGACAACAGACAGAAAAAAATAAGCTTACAAAATTCACAGAAAAATATTAATGATCAATGCATTTTCTCTATAGCTAATCCATGTTTTATGTATTAAGACAATTTTTTATACACAAGTCTAATAAACCCAAATAAGGAAAGCTGAAACAACAAAATGACTCTTTTTAAAAGCATCATACAAAGCATTAACAAAAGGCTTCAATATAAAGAATTGGCCATTTTTATTAATGGGTTTGTAAGAGTATAGGCAAATGTCAAATTTAATTTTAAAAATGGTACAAAATCTTTTATAACACATCTAAATAACAATAAGGGTTATATCATGTTCAGGAGTTAAGAAAATCTCAATGACTTCATATGTGGGATGGGAGGAGACTAAAAATTTATCAATTATTTCTAATTATAAGTGGAAAATATATATTAAAGTATGCTTTCAGTTATTGGTAGTTACTTAGAGATGGAAGTTAAATAGTTCATATTTCTATTTTAAAAGTACAGTAAGTTAGCAGAAAGAAAAATAAAAGAAAATTAACTTTTATTTTTAAAAAGCATAAAGTATTTTAGATAAATGTATTATAAAAATACATATGAATGGCTTAAATTCACTTTTTGAAGTATATACTCACATTGAGTAAAACATACACACATGCACACCTCATTTTTTATTCTATTAAACATACAATCTTGAAAAATTACTCAGGAATATTTGTAATAATATAATATGGAAGTAATATTGTTGCAGCTGGTACTTAGAGATGAGCAGGGCAGAAGAAGGCCTTCCACTTTCACCAGGAATGTTAGGTAACCATCTCTGTTCAGGTGGTTGTTAAACTGTCTCTCTAACATAATAGTTGGTCACAGCTGGTGCCAGGGAAATGCAGTCTCCCAGTAAATAAACACCTGATACTGGTGATAAGCAGCTTCCCAATGAAATCTCAAAAATTGAGTGAGTGGGCTCAAGCATGCACACTAAGAGGCAAAATGGCAGAGGTCAACAGGTATATGACTTTGCTCTAGAAACTCTACTAATAAGAGAAAAACATCTCAAGTGAGCACATGTGCAACTTCCATAAACACACTGTGCATGCCACCCCTCACAAGTGCTGGTATGCCAGGCCACTGGACATGGGGACAGCACATCTCAAGGGAAGACTCAGGGGAGAAGGACACAACTGCCTAGAAGCATGCCAACATATACAACTCCAACTCAAAGGTCAAACTGTGCAGTTGAATATCTCAAGTCCCCTGCCTGGCCCTCATCCAAGTGTATATTACTTCCTTTAGTTCCTGCTCTAAAACTTTTTTAAAAAACTTTTTATTATTATTATTATTATACTTTAAGTTTTAGGGTACATGTGCACAACGCGCAGGTTTGTTACATATGTATACATGTGCCATGTTGGTGTGCTGCACCCATTAACTTGTCATTTAGCATTAGGTATATCTCCTAATGTTATCCCTCTCCCCTCCCCCCCACCCCACAACAGTCCCCGGTGTGTGATGTTCCCCTTCCTGTGTCCATGTGTTCTCATTGTTCAATTCCCACCTATGAGTGAGAACATGCGGTGTTTGGTTTTTTGTCCTTGTGATAGTTTGCTGAGAACGATGGTTTCCAGCTTCATCCATGTCCCTACAAAGGACATGAACTCATCGTTTTTTATGGCTGCATAGCACACATACACCATGGAATACTATGCAGCCATAAAAAAACTGTTACTACTGCTCTAAATCATGGCTCTGTCTCTCCCACTGCCTTATGTCCCTCAGTCAAATTATTTCTTCTGAGGAGGCAAGAGTTGAGGTTGCTTCAAACCCATGTGGATTTACTGATGCTAACATACTTTGGTGCCACATGGCTCGGATACATTCTCTAGTGGTAACATACTTTTATACCATGTTACTTGGATATGGCCCCTAGTGGTAACATACCTTGGTGTTGCCTGACTCTGATACATTCCCTATTGGTAAGACACCTCTACACCTCACCTTCTTTGGCTGGAGGCATTCAACCACTGCACAAGGTTTTCTTCTCCCCTTTTGCTCTCCTGCCTACCAACTAGTGTCCAGCAACAGTGACTCTGCTCTCCATGGCTGATTTCTCTGTTCACCCTGATGGAAGGCTTATGGGGGTAGGAAGGACCTTGGAGATTGCGCCAAGTAGACCTGAGACACTAATGGCCCTCCTGGACAGCAGCCTCATGAGAGCGATAGGGCTAAAGCCTAACACCATGCAATGTCTGTGGTTTCGTCTGTTTTTCAACTAAAATTGGCCCTTTCTCCAAAGTCTTCTGTGTCAATTCTGCTATTTTCTCTCTGTGTTTTCTGAAATGGTCTTGCACACCCACCAGATCATTCTCATCAGGGGCAAGTCTGCCTTTTCTCTGGTTTCACTTTGCATGCCATGTGACTTTCTTCTCTGCCTTAAATGCACACATTCCCCATTGTCTCTGTGCCTGTGGCTCTTGCTGTGTTTGTTCAGCAGCAAAGACATGGGCTCCCTTGCAGATATCCCCTGAGATTTATACTGGCTTTTTACCCTACCAGCTCAGAAGAGACCTCCAACCCTTGCCTTATCTTCTGGCATGTTGCCAAGAAAGGCACTAATCAGAATCCCAGCTCTGTCAGCTCCTCATGACTTACCATATGTTTTTCATTCCTGTTACACCCCAGGGCAAAGTTTTCTGGTGGCTTTTGAAGCAGTTTGTCTGCCAGTATAGGGATTTACTCTGTGGCCCTTTAAGGACCCAACCTACTTGTTCTTTTTTTTTTTTTTTTTTTTTGAGTTAGCACCCCATTGTGAGGAGGGAAAATTCTTCCTTTGCCATTTGCAAGTTCTAACCCCAAGCCCCAAGTCTTCCAGAGGTTAGTCCTTAATGTCAAATGTGCAAATAAACATTGATCTCTCAAATTCAAGGGCTGCTGTTTTCATGAGCATATGGAAGATTTTCATGAGTATTCTTCTTGCTTCCTCCCACTTTTCCTGTAGCCTCCATTTCTCTAATTCCGCACCCTTCTCAATATGCATCAAGTCCTTCAACCTCATATTCAAAGGTAGGGAAATCCAGTCCCCTTGTGGCAGTTAACAGAAAAACAGGCTTCTAGTCTACTTAAAGAACATGGGAAATGGGAATCTGAGAAAAGAGATAATCGTTTTGTTGCTAGAATGCTCCTAGCAAGAATCACTAAAAGGTAATGGAGGAAAGGGTATAGGCCAAGCCAAAGATGCAGGCATAAAAGACCCATAGGACAGAGATAAAGGTTGGTCCCAGGCTATCAGATTACCATTAGAACAGAGTTGAAGACAAATTTAGGGGTACATGGTAAGACCGGTATATTCCAGAACCCCAAGGATGAATAGCAGGCCCCCTGTTTACTCTGGTACCTCCTCTGTTCTCAAGTGGCTAATTGTGATGAGACGGGAGCAAGGTTAAGGGTACATGGTAAGACTGCTTCATTTCAGTACCTTAAGGATGACTGGGGGACAGCCTGTTAAGGATAATAGGAAAGTAAGAGGGGATACCTTTTTTTGTCCTTGGTCTTTTCTTTCTCCTCTGTCTTCTCTTCACAGATAGGTAATCATGTCTCCATACCACATGACATGCCCCTCTGATGCATCCTCAAAAACTTGGAAAAATTTGACCCCCTGTAAAACTTAAAAAAAAATACTAGGTTTCCTTTGAAATACTGGGAGAAAATTTTAAAAGCCAGCCTTAGAACCCATAGCCCTAATAATGCAGGAAATCCTCAAATTTGCCTCCTAAGTCTTTGATAACCAAAAGCAGAATAAGGAGGACAAGTCTGAGGAAATGGAGAAACACAGGAACCAGAGACAGGCTCAACTAATGGCTGTTTATAAGCTTTCCATCCCCCTCTAGGTTGCCCTTAGAATACATTCCCAGGTAACTGCCGTTGATGTGGGGAGCCAGGCCATTGGAAGCCAAATTGTTCCAATGGGATAAATGGGAAAAAGCCCTGCACGGCTTGTCCCTTTGCCACAAGCTCAACCACTGGAAACAGGACTTTCCTGAGGGTTGAAGGGCCCCCAGTTCAGAATCCCAACCTTTGATAGCCTTGAGCTGAATGGGCTCTGTGCTCTGGCTGGCATCCAAATCAGACATTGTCATCAACAAGACCAAGCCCAGAAAAAATCTGGAGGTGACAATAAAATTATAAATTTCCCTTTGGGATTCAAGAGCTGCCTGCTCTGTGCTAATCTCCTTCTCTGAGCAACTCTCCTCCAAATCTTGTTGGGTAATGGGGCCAAATGCTACCCCCTCCCTCCAAACAAAAATATTCAAACTTCTTTGGGGAAAAAAAA
Source organism: Homo sapiens (assembly GCF_000001405.40). Taxonomy (NCBI): domain Eukaryota; kingdom Metazoa; phylum Chordata; class Mammalia; order Primates; family Hominidae; genus Homo; species Homo sapiens. The sequence continues at coordinate 113,521,103 of NC_000008.11, forward strand.
ATTTTCCAAAATGAGTCCATGCTTAATATTTACCCAACCTCTAAATTCATCTTTTCCTCTAATAGATCTATTTTTCCTGAGAAAACTACCTAAATTTTAAACCAATAACTTTAACCTGGACAGTTCTACCTCAGTGGTTTTAAAATAGCCCACACTTATTCAGACTAGCAAAAATCTAACTGAGCCAACTCTTGAAGGGGGATAACTTCTATAGTATATAGATAACCTCCTTATCTGCTTCCCCTTCAAAGGACCCCCACAGCAACATGCAGTACAAACCTTTACTTTCTAACAGAAGGAAAATTACTTTTGTCTAATTCATAGGTTATAAAGGTAAAGACATATTTTTGGCAAAGAAGGTTATAAAGAAAAGAGATTTTGTATAAAAAATGGTCTTGTATGGTAAATTCTTGCCCTAAAATAAAATAACTGTTTAAAAAGAGGAATGCTTAGAATTAGTCAGAAAGGTCAAGTATGTCATAGACGGTCTGTGTAAGTTATAAATAGTTTCATGAAAGGGAATTTATAAAAGAAATATTAAAGGTTATTAGGTCTACTAAATGCTTTAAGGTCATAAACAACTACTATGACTTTTAACTGAGCAACTTGCCTGCTATGAAGCCATTAATTTGTAGGTAAGACCTGGGACACAGAGAGTTAGCTGTGGCCCCTAGCTATGCTGAAATGTGTCAAACCTTATCTGAGCTCCTATCTAGCATCTTAGCCTCCAAGCCTACTACATAATTAGAATTGCTTTAGATTTTTACCAAAAGTAAGAGTTAACAGTTTAACATGTACTTGAGACTACTGGGAAAAGTTTTACATTCAAGGCACGTAAAGAAAGTAGAATGTGTTTTTGGTAAAAGATCATAAGAAGGCATGGGAATGTGGATTATTTTTTCTAGTTTAGAGGGTTAAAGAATTATTTTACATTAGACAGGCTAAAGCTTAAGGCTTGAGCAATTTGTGGAAAGTTTGTAAAAGACTAATCTTGTAAAAAAATCTTATCTGTGTGAATATTAGCTACAATTAAAGGGGTATTATACAGTTTATCTATAAAATAGCCATTGGAATAAAAGCACAATATGGTTTTCTTAGAGTATTATTTTTCCCTTTAACAGAAAATTGTAAAGGATTATAAAAGGTTTATACAAATCTTACCTTATTGTCAGACTGATTAAGATTGAATAGATTTGTCTATAGGTTTTATTAAGAATTGGGTTTAACATCAGTATTATACTAATGCAAATGTAAAATTTGGCTTTCTTTAGACTGTATTTGTATAAATGTGTTAATGATATGTGTTCCAAAATTATGTAAAACTCCTATAATTCTGATATGACTTGGTATACATTACCAGTAATGATTATAATTGTTTTGTGGAATTATCATGTGCCACGGGAGTAATCAAATTTTCTTATCAATTGTCTCTTTGACTGTGGCTGTCCTAAGACTTTCTGTCATCCATAGACAATTCTATTATTTTAATCCTCTTGAAAATGTGGTTTTATAATCAGCTATAGGACTCTGACAGGTGCTCTTGAATCCAGATTTCTGATGACTTTGGAGATTGTGACTTTGGAACAGTGGAAAAACTTTTGGAACTCTCATGGAAAGCTAAAATTTTCTTTTTTTTTCTTTTTTGTTTATTTATTTATTTATTATTATTATACTTTAAGTTTTAGGGTACATGTGCACAATGTGCAGGTTAGTTACATATGTATACATGTGCCATGCTGGTGCGCTGCACCCACTAACTCGTCATTTAGCATTAGGTATATCTCCCAATGCTATCCCTCCCCCCTCCCCCCACCCCACAACAGTCCCCAGAGTGTGATGTTCCCCTTCCTGTGTCCATGTGTTCTCATTGTTCAATTCCCACCTATGAGTGAGAATATGCAGTGTTTGGTTTTTTGTTCTTGCGATAGTTTACTGAGAATGATGATTTCCAGTTTCATCCATGTCCCTACAAAGGCCATGAACTCATCATTTTTTATGGCTGCATAGTATTCCATGGTGTATATGTGCCACATTTTCTTAATCCAGTCTATCATTGTTGGACATCTGGGTTGGTTCCAAGTCTTTGCTATTGTGAATAATGCCGCAATAAACATACATGTGCATGTGTCTTTATGGCAGCACGATTTATAGTCCTTTGGGTATATACCCAGTAATGGGATGGCTGGGTCAAATGGTATTTCTAGTTCTAGATCCCTGAGGAATCACCACACTGACTTCCACAATGGTTGAACTAGTTTACAGTCCCACCAACAGTGTAAAAGTGTTCCTATTTCTCCACATCCTCTCCAGCACCTGTTGTTTCCTGACTTTTTAATGATTGCCATTCTAACTGGTGTGAAATGGTATCTCATTGTGGTTTAGGTTTGCATTTCTCTGATAGCCAGTGATGGTGAGCATTTTTTCATGTGTTTTTTGGCTGCATAAATGTCTTCTGTTGAGAAGTGTCTGTTCATGTCCTTTGCTCACTTTTTGATGGGGTTGTTTGTTTTTTTGTTGTAAATTTGTTTGAGTTCATTGTAGATTCTGGATATTAGCCCTTTGTCAGATGAGTAGGTTGCGAAAATTTTCTCCCATTTTGTAGGTTGCCTGTTCACTCTGATGGTAGTTTCTTTTGCTGTGCAGAAGCTCCTTAGTTTAATTAGATCCCATTTGTCAATTTTGACTTTTGTTGCCATTGCTTTTGGTGTTTTAGACATGAAGTCCTTGCCCATGCCTATGTCCTAAAAGGTATTGCCTAGGTTTTCTTTTAGGGTTTTTATGGTTTTAGGTCTAACGGTTAAGTCTTTAATCCATCTTGAATTAATTTTTGTATCAGGTGTAAGGAAGGGATCCAGTTTCAGCTTTCTACATATGGCTAGCCAGTTTTCCCAGTGCCATTTATTAAATAGGGAATCCTTTCCCCATTGCTTATTTTTCTCAGATTTGTCAAAGATCAGATAGTTGTAGATATGTGGCGTTATTTCCGAGGGCTCTGTTCTGTTCCATTGGTCTATATCTCTGTTTTGGTACCCGTACCATGCTGTTTTGGTTACTGTAGCCTTGTAGTGTAGTTTGAAGTCAGGTAGCATGATGCCTCCAGCTTTGTTCTTTTGGCTCAGGATTGACTTGGTGATACAGGCTCTTTTTTGGTTCCATATGAACTTTAAAGTAGTTTTTTCCAATTCTGTGAAGAAAGTCATTGGTAGCTTGATGGGGATGGCATTGAATCTGTAAATTACCTTGGGCAGTATGGCCATTTTCATGATATTTATTCTTCCTACCCATGAGCATGGAATGTTCTTCCATTTGTTTGTATCCTCTTTTATTTCGTTGAGCAGTGGTTTGTAGTTCTCCTTGAAGACGTCCTTCACATCTCTTGTAAGTTGGATTTCTAGGTATTTTATTCTCTTTGAAGCAATTGTGAATGGGAATTCACTCAAGATTTAGCTCTCCTCCTCCAAAGGATGATTTGGCTCTCTGTTTGTCTAGGCTGCTCAGGGGTCAAGGGTCAGGGACCCACTTGAGGAGGCAGTCTGCCTGTTCTTAGATCTCCAGCTGTGTGCTGGGAGAACCACTGCTCTCTTCAAAGCTGTCAGACAGGGACATTTAAGTCTGCAGAGGTTACTGCTGTCTTTTTGTTTGTCTGTGCCCTGCCCCCAGAGGTGGAACCTACAGAGGCAGGCAGGCCTCCTTGAGCTGTGTTGGGCTCCTACCAGTTCGAGCTTCCTGGCTGCTTTGTTTACCTAAGCAAGCCTGGGCAATGGCGGGCACCCCTCCCCCAGCCTCGCTGCTGCCTTGCAGTTTGATCTCAGACTGCTGTGCTAGCAATCAGCGAGACTCCGTGGGCATAGGACCCTCAGAGCCAGGTGCGGGATATAATCTCCTGGTGCGCCTTTTATTAAGCCCGTCGGAAAAGCGCAGTATTTGGGTGGGAGTGACCCAATTTTCCAGCTGCCGTCTGTCACCACTTTCTTTGACTAGGAAAGGGAACTCCCTGACCCCTTGAGCTTCCCGAGTGAGGCAATGCCTCGCCCTGCTTCGGCTCGCGCACAGTGTGCGCACCCACTGACCTGCGCCCACTGACTGGCACTCCCTAGTGAGATTAACCCGGTACCTCAGATGGAAATGCAAAAATCACCCATCTTCTGCGTCGCTCACGCTGGGAGCTGTAGACCGGAGCCGTTCCTACTCGGCCCTCTTGGCTCCTCCCCGAGAAAGCTAAAATTTTCATGAATATCAAGCAGAACAGGATTTTACCACATGAACTGAACAGAAGGCTGATACAATCTTTTTACGACTTTTTGCTTAAAATGCCAGTGATCCTTTGTTTTTCAGAGCCAAGAAAACTTTTCTTTTGCATGATTTACAGATTTAACAATTAAGTAACTTATATTCCTATAAACAAAATTGGAGCATATTTCTTTCTTTCTACCTGATTTCTCCAGAATTTAGAAATTATTTGTGAGTATTCTGAACTTATGGCAATATAGTTATTTGCCTAACTTTGATAAAAATTTATTTTCTTTTGCAACAGGCCACAGTCAGAGAAACTGGTTATTTTACCAATTCTTTGACTAGAATGGCATGCTTTCCTTTAAGGAGTCAAACTTGACTTACAGAGTCAATAGAAGCCCCTTGGGAAAACTGGTCTCATACTTCGTCTACACAATCCCTGTACAGGATGTCTGACCTGTGGTAAGCAAAGAATATCACTTTCTGACAGGCCTGGGAACCTCAAGTTATCTTGGGATCTCAAGAACAGATTAATTTAGCCAACCCATACTGGGATTTGATGGCAGAAACCCTTGGCTGTGCCTAAATCTTTAAAAAGCCTTATCTGAGCTTTCTTATGGAATCAAGTTCTATCAAAGACAATTTAAAGGAGCTTATATGGCAAATAATTATCCTTGCTGTGCTTTATGCAAATAATCAGGAGAAGTATAATAATACTAAAGCTTATTTTGCAAATGAATTAATCCTATCATAATTCATTTTTAATAAAATGAGGAATGAAGAGAGAAAAATTATATTTCATGAACTATGGTATACCTGTTATTAGATTCTAGTCTCAACAGTTGTTTTTGAGTTTTTGTCTGCAATTTAGACTAACCAAGCTTATTTCTGTGAACCAACCAGTGATCTCTGGCTGCAGCTCAGAAGAAACAATAAGGATGGGCAATGTAAAATTCTAGATCAATTTTCTAACTCTGGGCACATATTAGAATTGGCCAGCAGCCCCATGCATGCAAGTCTTAGCAGGCATGACTATAGCCACCAGCTATCAGGACATTTTGGCAGTCCAGGAATATTTTTGAAACTGTCCTCACCCCCATTATTTGCTTTGACATTTCTACTTGTCCTTTTTGGCTGAAGTCTTCTAAATCTCACAACCTGATTTTTTTTCCTCTCACCTTCAGGCCATTAAACTCTATATGATTCCCAGTGAGGGATGCCAGCTTCTCAATATTTAAGAGTCACTTTTATACAGATTCTCCTAGATTGCCCATTAGAGGACATGACAGAGGTGAAACCCTGCCCTTGTCTCCCTTGGATCTGGCTGAATACGGCTTTCACCAACCCACAGCTGTCACCATGCTCTGACAGCTAGCAAGAGGCCAAGACCCACAGAACAACCACCACCACCCCTCTGTCAGCAGGAAGCAGTTACAGAAGACTGATCTTTATTCATTTTCCCCAAATAACTGAGGTCTTGGAACACTTGAGGGGGGAGATATTACAGTAGGTAGGTAGTCAGAGGTGAGCAGGGCAGAAGTGCCCTTCTCTCCCATCACCAGGAATGTCAGACTACCATCAGGTGATGTCCAGATGGTTGTTAAACTATTTAAAATAATAATCCGTCACAGCTGGTGCCAAGGAAGGGCCGTCTCCCAATAAATAAACACCTGAAATGGCTGATCAGCATCTCCTTTATTAAAATCTTAGGAGTTGGATGATTGGGCTCAAGCATGTGCATTAAGAGACATAATCACAGAGTTTAATAAAGTATATATCCTTCCTTTAGTAACACTTGACTGATAAGGGAAAAATGCCTTAAATGAGCATGAACACAACTTTGGTAAACACACCGCACATGCAGCCCCTCCCAAGTGCTAGCAGGCCACTGTGCCTTTGGACAGCCCAGCCCAAGGGAAGAATCAGGGAAGAAGGGATGCACCCTGCTGGAAGCATGCCAACATTTAAAACCTAAGTCAAAGATCAAACCATGAACTTGAATCTCTCTGGTTGCTCACTTTGCCCTCTTTCAAGTGTGCTTTATTTCCTTTCATTCCAGCTCTAAAACTTTTTAATAAACTTTTACTCCTGCTCTAAAACTTGACTTGGTCTCTTCCTCTGCCTTATGCCACTCAGTAAAATTATGTTTTTTGAGGAGGCAAGAATTGAGGTTGCTGTAAACATGTACATATTTGCCACTGCTAACAATATTAGGAAAGAATATTGCTGCAATAACCTAATATCTTAAAATGAATATTTAAAAGTTCTAGGTAAAAATTATTTTAAACCAAAGAAATTGTTATTATTTTTCTTGAAAAGGACCATTTATAATGTAGATATAATAAACATGAATGACAGGCCTTCCTTTTTTAAGTGCAAGCTGAAATGACTGAAAGAATATAAAATTAGAAAAATATTTTCCTAAGCTGAAAACTAGAAAATAATATTATCAGTGACAACACTGAAGTTATACCTATGAGAAAGAGGGCAGAAAGGACATTATTTATAGGAAATATTGAAGGTTGACACAGAACTCCCCTTCTTATAAGAGCAAAGTGATATCAGAATAAATAAAAAAGGAAGAAATGACCAAACTCTGTGAGTCACTTGGATTTGTTGGGTGATGAGCTGGAAGTGAGAGTGAATCAGATTCTGACTGGGACATTTCTCCTGGAAAGTTTTTTTACCATTGGGGAACAATATTCTATTCTATGGTAAAACTTACATGTTCTACGTGGGAGTGGTTGTCCAGGATTTTCCCCCTATTAGGTTGGCATGTGAAAAATCTATTGATCTTCATTTTATTTCCATTTGGATTCTTTTTGTTACGTAAGTGGGCTTATAAATGACCTGAGTTTTTCTAGGTAGATGACATCTACAAAATGTTTATTGTGATTTGTTTTATTCTCCTTGCAACTATGTTTTCATCACATCTCTTTTTAATTATTGTGTCAACTAGAACATCTCAGTAATTGAAGTCATTCCTATTTTGTTCACAACTTTAATACATATATCCTTAGTGTATCACTGTTTACTTGAACATATTCTTTATCATGTAAGAGAAATTATATATATACAATTTATGTATTTTTTTCCTTTGAGTCAATACATTATTGAGTTATGTAAGTAAAAAATTCACTTTTTCAAAATTTTAGTCCTTTATTTAACATATTTCTAGATTGCATTATTAACATAAGACTTTTATTTATGTCACTGCTGCCATAAAGCTATTTTTTTTGTATATTTTCTTCCAATTTTTCTCCAAATGTGTATGTTTTATATGCACATTTTTATATAGAGGGACTTTTTCTTCATAAGAAATTTCATACATTTTCACATTCTCAACATTTTCTGTGTTTTTCTATAGTCTTCATAATTGTAACTGTCATCACCAAATGAAATTGCACTGTGATACTATGATTATAATATGCTTTCATTCTCCTGTTGTCTGTTTATTGAAGGTCTATTATATCACATAATGCTTCAGTGAGTGTCTGGATGCATCTATAGCTCTCTCCTGTTTTATTTCTTCCTCTTTTTGGTTTGTTTGTTTTGCAAAGTTGTTTTTGTTTTTATTAGAAGGTAATAATTGTACATATTTAAGAAGTACATGTGATATTTTGACACGTGTATATAATGTATAATGATCAAATCAGGATAATTAGGTTATGGATATTTTTCATTTATTTGCGTTGGGAACATTCCATATCTTTTCCTGTAGCTGTTTTGAAATATACAAGAGTGGGGGGAGGAGGTATCTCACACTTTCAAAAAAACAGATACCAAGAGAACTAACTATGGAGAAGACACCACCAAGCTGTTGGGGATCTGACCACAATGACCCAAACACCTCCTCACTGGGTCCCACCTCCTGCATTGGGGATTAAAATTCAACATGAAATTTGGGCAGGGACATATACAAACTACATCAGAAGATAAATTGTTTGAATGCATTCTTTGCCCTTTTGAAGTACATGCCAGGCAGTGTTTAGTAAGAAACAGAAACTACTTTAAATGGGTTAAAGGGAATTTGAAACATTAATTGGGAATGTTCCTATTTACTACATAGTTCATTTAGCATAAGATTAACATTATTCCTTGTAAATTTAAAAGTCAGATCTGTAAAGCTATATAAGTCAAACTCAGTTATTAAATTAATATTTTAAACAACTTTTCTTAATTTTTCCATTGAGTCAATTTTGCATTTTTAAACTAGTCTTGTCAAATATCTCAGCATAAATTTTTACAAGATATTTACTCAGCTTCTATGGTTATACTTATTTCTCACAAATCTGTGTATTTCTAATATTTATCAATCTTTATTCTTCTTGATTTGACTACCAATTATATTGCATTATTGCATGAGCCAACTGGATTGTAGTTATAAATTCTGTTGATTTTCTGCAACTTTATTGACCTTAGTCACATTTTATCAGTTTTTTTATTATTGTTTTTGTTTGTTATTATTTTTCAACCAAATTTTAATTAAGGGCTTTGTTATTTCAATTTTTTGTCTTTTCTGATTACGAAAGGAAACACTTAGATATGAGAATATTTCCTGATTACAACTGTGGTTGCATTTATAAGTTTCAGTAGCCTGAGTTTTTATGTTTTCATGTTCTATTTTATATTGTAAATTTGATTCCTGCTTGAGTCAGCAGTTTTTGAGAGTTTTTTTTTCAAGTTCTATGAAATTTGGAGTTTAATTCTGTTTGACAGTTTATGCTATTTTATTAATTCTATTAATCAAACTAAATCTCATTTCATTTAATTTTGTTAATTTAATTAATTCAGTAAATACATAGGTGACCATATGTTGGGTATATTAATTTGCTGGGGTTGCCATAACAAAATACCACAGACTAGATGATAAACCACAGAAATTTATTTTCTCACTATTCTGGAGGCCTAACACTCAAGATCAAGGTATACACAGGGTTCTCCTTGTCTTATAGATAGCCATCTTCTCACACTTTTCCATCTATGATTACGTGTCCATATGATCTCTTCTTATAAGAACATTAGTCATATTGCATTTTATTTTAATTCTTTTTGGTGGGGTGGTTTTGGCTGGGCTTTATCCTTTATGATATACTTCCCTTAAGGAGTTTCTAATAAATACTATTTTTTTGTGGTATTCTCTTTCCTGTTATATATGAATATGAATATTAATAACTCATTCTTCTAATTGAGAATAAAATCAGTGCCATTATACCATCAATATTAAAGGTTATTTTTAAAATGCCCAGTTTTAAAAATATTTTGTCATATCTGAACTTTCCCGTTAAGATAATACAATAATGGGTAAATTGCAGCAGTACTTTTTTCCATATAATAAAAAAACTCTTAATCTTAAAATATATTCTTACTACAGATTCACCTTTGTACAATCATAATTATTTTAAAATACCACAAAAATAAATATTTCTACTTTTTTTAAAAAAAATAGGGTCTCACTTTGTCACCCAGGCTGGAGTGCAATGGCATGATCTTGGCTCACTGCAGCCTCAACTTGTCAGGCTCAAGTGATCCTCCCGCCTTAGCCCCTCAAGTAGCTGGGAGTACAGGTGCACACCATAATGCCCAGCTAATTTTTATATTTTTAGTAGAGATGGGGTCTCACTATGTTGCCCAGGCTGGTCTTGAACTACTGGACTGAAGCAGTCCACCCACCTCAGCCTCTCAAAGGGCTGAGAATATAAGTGTGAGCCACCACAACCTGCCTATTGCTACTTAAAATTTCTTTTTGAAAATTTCAACTGACACCATATAAACATTTTTACTTCTTAATTAGATTAAAATGCCCTCTAGAAATGTCTATAAATGAAATATTGAATTATGCATTAAATTCAAATCAGCATTTGAACACATTTTTCTCCACACAGTCTTTCATAATCATTATACTCTATGGGAAAATTCGTTAACAATTTAACTTTATTCCAGATAAAATAATTTCATATCAAAAAATTAAATTTATCTGACATCTAAAAAGATTCCTTTAAGCATTCGTTTCTGAGCAAATATACTGAGATAAAAATTAAGTAAAATTCTGTTTAAAATGTTAATGCAGTTTTGTTTGGGGAATCATTTTGCACATATAGTGGAAAATTCATAGAAAATCAATGTGATGAATCTGTTCCAATGAATTTTATGAAAACAGGAAATCTGTACAGCAGATAGATTCACAAATCTTTACTACACAATAAACAATTTTAAAAAGAACTACTACTGTTTTAGTCTATTTTTTCCCCACAAATTGCTTATAAGCTAGTATTTTTATATGTTGAAAGATTCAAAGGCAAAGAGTTTTACACAGCCTAAATTACATAAAAATAAGATCTGAGCTAGACTTTCAGAAGAGTTAACTGTTTTAATATAAAGAGAAGAGAAACAGCATCTGTGAATTTTTCAGTGCCCAAGGGTATTTCATAATGTCTAGTCCACCACATAACTGGAAGTAGAAACCCATTAGCTATTTTTGAGCAGGAAAATGACATTTATCCAAAAATAAGTTTAATGAATATTAGGCTTGGAAGCTCATCAGTAAAATGAAGGAATCCTACATATGGTCATTAGGTGAGTGAATTAGGTGATAGTAACACAAAAACAATTAATTAAATATATTGTCTGCTATGGGAGTTTTGAACGAAAAAAACAAATTTGAGAGCCAAAGATAGAATCCAGAGAAAAATCAAGAGAGCCCAAGACATGTAAAATAGGTTTCAGTGCCCTTTTAACCAAGTAATTGTTTTGCCATATACAGATTTTTAGAAAGTGATACAGTTTGACTCTATGTCCCGACCCAAATCTCATGTTCAATTGTAATCTTCAGGGTTAGAGGTGGGGCTTGGTGGGAGGTGATTGGATCATGGGGATGGTTTTTAATGGTTTAGCACCATTTCCCTAGTGCTGCATCATGATAGAGTTCTCACAGGATCTGGTGGTTTAAAAGTGTGTAGCACAGCCCCCTTCGCTCTCTTCCTCCTTCTCAGGCCACATAAGGCTTGCCTCCTTCCTCTTTGACTTCCGCCATGATTGTAAGTTTCCTGAAGCTACCACAGCCATGCTTTCTGTACAGCTTCTGGAACTATGAGTCAAGCCTCTTTTCATTATAAATTACCCAGTCTCAGGTAGTTCTTTGTAGCATATGAGAATGGGCTAATACAGAAAAGGAGTTAACTGTAAAGTGCATTTAATAATAAAGTAGGAAAAAGGAATGTTGCAATATGAAGAAGATATTAATGCTTTTATTCATATGCCTACATCTAGATTGACAGTTTCGAGTGAACTAACTAAATAATTGAGTAATCTATCCACTAAAATTGTTTTGATGAATATATCAATTGACCTACTGAATTAAATCAGGTGGTTAAAAAAAGTCACCTGTCCCATTATCCAGATAATTTTTTTTTGAAAAACAAGTGCTCTAGTTGAGATGTCATCTCAATTTTTACATATATATATTTTCCAGCAAACCTAAAGCATTGTTTATGATGTGCCACGACAGTTAATAGATATTTTCCCCACGAAACACACACATACACACTTTAACAGCAGTTAGAATAATGATTTCAAATTTTGTCAATTATTATTATATTATACTCATTTATATTCCCTATACATATTAATTATCCCTATTGTTAACAATTTGGTTTCATGGTATATAAAACCCTAGTGAGGAAATTTGGAAACCAACTTCTAATTCAAATGATATTAGCTGAATATTTGGTTTCTCTTCCAACTTTTCTTTCCAAAAACATCCTAGTTTTTGGATCTCTATGTTATTGATAACAGTTAAATTGCAAACTAGAGACAATTTAGGTTTTCCTCACAAACTGCAGGACCTTAACTCTCTGTTAGTGAACGCTTTTGGAAAGAGATTGGAATAAATAGTTCTAACTTCACTGTAAGACTTTTGTAACTACTGTATGTTGACAACTGCATTTTGTTAGATTATCAAACACATACCAGTTAAGTTATAATAAAAAATAGAAAAAATGTTATTTATATGAATGAGCTATAAATCAATAATTAGATCATTAAAATGAGAAATCTTGGCACTAAGATCATTTACAGTGGTATATTGTTTACAACAGCATTGCTTATTTCTCATTCTATATCTCACTACAATAAATTTAAAAGGCAATGGGAGACAGAGTATGCTTCAAGTGCTTAGAAGTTGAGGACTGTGGTGTAAAACAACTTTACTGTTTTCCTACCTGGCAAGAGCGGACATCCAATAAACACTTGCTAAATTGAACTATTGTCAACAAAATGCCCTTTACTTTCTATTTGCTCTTTCTTCTCACCATATGTTCTCCATGGGTGTTTTGCTCAAGAGAATATTGATAACTGAGAATTTTTGTTAATTCTCAGTGTAATATTTGAAAGTATTACCATAATGTTTTGTTTTTTCTTTTTATGTTTTTGGTAGTTTATTTTTCTATCTTTATTTATTTATTTTTGCATTGACAGATAAAATTGTATGTCTGTATCATGTACAACATAATGTTTTGAAGATTCTGTACATGGTAGAATCAATGACTAAATATAGCTAATTAACATATGCGTTACCTCCCTCAGTTATCATTTCTGTGATAAGAACACTAAATATCCATTCTCTTAGCATTTTTCAAGACTACAAACTATGTAGTCTTATGTTTTATTAATTATTTAATTTATTATTATTTATTAATTATTATGTATTAACTATATTATTATTATGTATTAACTACAGTAATCATTTTGTACAACAGATTTCTTTAATTTATTCTTAATTAATTTTTGACCAACATTTTCCCAACCACCTCTCATAAACTACTCCGACTGCTAGTAACCATCATTCCATTCTCTACTTTCATGAGATCAACATTTTTAGATTCCACATGAGTGAGATCACGTAGTCTTTCTGTCTTTCTGTGCCTGGTTTATTTCACTTAACATAATGTCGTCCATGTTCATTCATGTTATGGCAAATGATAGAATTTTATTATTGTTTATGACTGAATAACATTCCATCTGTGCGTATACTACATTTTCTTTATTCATTTGTCTGTTGATGGACACGTAGGTTGACTTCATAACCTGGTTGTTGTGAACAGTGCTGAAATAAATATGAGAGTGTAGATACCTCTTTGACAGATTAATTTTATTTCTTTTGGATATATATCCAACAGTGAAATCACTGGATCATATGGTAGTTCTAGCTTTGATTTATTGAGGAACTTCCAATAATATGTCAATTATTGAGTATATTTGACTTTGAGGCCTTAGGTTTAATTCTTTTAATAAAAAAGGAAATTAAATTGCTCAGAGCTTGGCTTCAGGGAGAGCATTTCGTTAGTATACATTTTGTCTAAAAGTAGGAGACCTAGGATTTTAGAGTATATATCTTGAAGAGAGGTATCACATTGTTTAGATAACAGAAGTCCATGGAGAGAGGCTTAAAAACTTTATATATGATGGCTCATTTTATATAACTATAAAGGGCTGAGGAGAAGAATATTTCTATACTTTTTAACATTTCCAGTATTTGTCAAGTTATTACATTCAAATAAATAACTCAGCTGTGATACAATTCCAGTGAACTTAAAGTACATTTTTGTCCATGGTATACCATGATAGTTTTTTTTTTTTTCTTTCTTTTTAAGTCAGAGTCTCATTCTGTCACCCAGGCTGGAGTGTAGGGACCCAGTTACTGGCTCACTGCAGCCTTACCCTAGGCCCAGGTAATCCTTTGGAGTAGCTGAGGTTTCAGGCACATGCTACCATGCCTGGCTGATTTTTTTGTAGAGATGGGGTTTTGCCCTGTTGCCCAGGCTGGTCTCAAACAACCCGCCTGCCTTGCCCTCCCAAAGTGCTGGGATTACAGGCATGAGCCACTGAGCCCAGATACCATGATAGTTAATAGACTTTTTTCAATGAAATACTCACACACACACATACACACACATATACATAAGCAAGCACGTAATTTAGTGCTCAATGCTTTTTGCTAAACGCACTGTGGATATCTTAAGTTAAGCTGAGATAAAGTCTTTATCATATGCCTCCTCTCATTCTGTTTATTATGCTCCATATTTACTGCCAAATAAATGGGGATTGTATAACCTGTAATATTTCCAGGACACCATATAGCTCAGAACACTCTTACTTATTGCATGTATTTACAGTATCTAGAAAAGTATTTCATAAAGTAATAGAGAGGGCTTTTAAAATGCAAATTTATTCTATATTTTAAATAAGCTTTTATTAAAACAGTCTTAGACTTACAGAAAAATTTTAAGAATAATACTGAGAGTTTTCTTAAATTATTTAAGATCTTGTGCTACTATGATACATTTGTTGCAACTGATGAACCAATACTGATACATTATTAAATAAAGTTCATATTTTGTTCAGATTTCCTTAGTTTTTATCTAATGTATATTTGTGCTCTATTCAATATCCCATCGAGTTTGGTACATTACCTGTAGTCAGCATATCTTCTTAGGCTACTCTTGGTTGTATAAATTTTCCAGACTTCTTTTGTTTTTAATAAATTTGACAGTTTGAGGAGTAAAGATCCAATATTTTGTAGAATATTGTTCAGTGGAGATTTGTCTGTGTTTTTCTCTTGGGTAGAGTGAGAAGGTGGATTTTTGGGATAAAGACCACAGAGATACAGTGTGGTTTTCATTAAATAATATTAAGGATATTACTATCAATATGACTTATCACTGTTATTGATAACTTAATAACCAATGTCTGCACTATACACTTTATTTCTTTTCTACTCCGCCTTCCATGCATTTTCTATACACTATGGGAGGAGTCAATATGTGCTCCCAAAATTAAATAGTGGAGACTTATACTCCGCTTCTTTGTGAGTAGAGCATCTACACAAATTATTTGAAATTCTGTGCTATGATAGGTTTACCTATTTTTCCTTATTTACGTACATATGTATTGATTGATTCATTTATTTATGCCAATATGGGCTCATATACATTTATTTTATAATTTGGGCTACAAATTTAACGCTATTTTATTTATTTTTGTTGATAAAATTGTTCCAGGTTTGGCTACTGGGAGCTCTTCATATTGGTTCTTGTTTCTCTTTGACATATCTTCTTCATTTTGCCTTTTTTTTTCGTTTGAGCCCTTCCTTATTTTTGACACTACAAGATGCTCCAGACTCATCCTACATGTTTCCTTTCCTAGTCTTAAAATCAGCAATTTCTTCAAGAGCCCTGATTATTTTGTACTTATAATACAATTAAATTGCTTTGTCATATTTTGTATCTTATCTTTTTATTCTGGAATTTTCCTGACTTCCTAAACAATTTTTTTCTCTCCCTCTCTGTTTTTGCATATATTATGATTCACTCTTTGTGCCATAAAGTTCTTTGGGTTTTGACAAATACATAGTGCCATGTATTTACCATTACTGTGTAATAGAGTAGTTTCACCTCCCTTCAAAATCACCTGTGCTTCACCTGTTCAGCCGTATTAATTTTTTTTCATAGACTATGCTTTTGATATTGGATCAAAAAGTCACCAACCCAAGATCACTTAGATTTCCTTTTATATTTTCTTCTAGAAATTTTATTATTTTCTGTTTTACATTTAGCTCTATAATCCATTTTAATTTTCATGAAAGGTGTGAGGTTTGTGTCTTGGTTTGTATTTTTTCATAAGCATGTCTGATTTTCCCACATCATTTGTTGGAAGGACTATATTTTCTTCATTGAGTCACCTTTACTCCTCCTTATTTACTTTTTAAAAACTTTTTAGTTTGGGGTACATATGCAGGTTTGTTATATAAGTCAACGTGTGTCATTGGGGTTTGTTGTACAAATTATTTAATTACCCAGGTATTATGTCTAGTACCTATTCATTATTTTTCCTGATCCTCTCCCTCCTCCCACCCTCCACTCTCTGATAGCCCCAGTGTGTGTTGTTCACCTCTATGCGTGCTTGTGTTCCCATCATTTATACACTTGTAAGTGAGAACATGCAATATTTGGTTTTCTGTTCTTGTGTGAGTTTGCTAAGAATAATGGCCTCTAGCTCCATCCATGTCCCTGCAAAGGGCATGATCTCATTCTTTTTTATGGCTAAATAGTACCCCATGGTGTGTATGTACCACATTTTCTTTATCCAGTTTACTACTGGTGGGCATTTAGGCTGGTTCCATGTCTTCGTTATTGTGAATGGTGCTGCAATGAATGTATGAGTCCATGTGTCTTTATAATAATAAAATGATTTACATTCCTTTGGGTATATACCCAGTAATGAGTATTACTGGGTCAAATGGCATATCTGTTTTTAGGTCTTTGAGGAATCGCCACAATGTCTTCCACAATGATTGAACTAATTTATACTCCCATCAACAGTGTATAAGTGTTCCTTTTTCTCCACAACCTTGCTAGCATCTGTTATTTTTTGACTTTCTAATAATAGCCATTCTGACTGGCATGAGATGGTATCTCTTTGTGATTTTGATTTGAATTTCTCTAATGATCAGTGATTTTGAGCTTTGTTTCACATGACTGTTAGCTGCATGTATGTTCTTTTGAGAAGTGTCTGTTCATGTCCTTTACTCGATTTAGTTGGGGTTGTTTATTTCTTGTAAATTTTCTTAAATTCCTAATAAATTCTGAAATATTGTACCTTTGTTAGATGCATAGTTTCAAAAATTTTCTCCCATTCTGTAGGTTGTCTGTATACTCTGTTTATAGTTCCTTTTGCTGTGCATTAGTTTAGTTTAATTAGATCTCATTTGTCAATTTTTGCTTTTGTTGCAATTGCTTTTGGTGTCTTTGCCAAGAAATCTTTGCCCATGACTGTGTCCTGAATAGCACTGCCTACTTTGTCTTCCACGGTTTTTATAGTTTTGGGTTTTACATTTAAGCTTTTAATTGAACTTGAGTTCATTTTTGTATATGCTATAAGAAAGGGTTCCAGTTTCAATCCTCTGCATATGGCTAGCCAGTTATTTCATCACCATTTATTAAATAGAGAATCCTTTCCCCATTGTTTGTTTTTGTCAGATTTGTTAAAGATCAGATAGTTGTAGGTGTGTGGGCTTCTTTGTTCTCTACTCTGTTCCATTTAAGCATTCTTAAAAAAAAGAAAAAAGAAACTCCTATCAAGAATTTCATCCTTTGCTCCTTTAAAAGATTAATTTACTAAATTTGTGGGAGTCTATTCCTGGGCTCTGTATTCTGTTGCATTAATCTACTTGTCTTTTCTTTTGCCAATAGTATTCAATCTTGATTATTGCAGCTTTATTGTAAATAATTATTGGAATCGAATAATGTAAGTCTTCCAGCTTTATTCTTATTTAGTATTGTGTTGCTAGTCTAGATCATCTGCCTTCCATAAAAATTTTAGGACATTTTGTTGATATTTTGAAAATAGTTTTTTGAAAAGATCAAAATCTGAGATTTTGGTTGTGATTGTGTTGAATCTACAGATCAAGTTAGGAACAGTTGGCATTTTAACAGTATTAAATTTTCCAAGCTATAATCTGTATAACATTTATGTATCTATATATTGGGTAGAAAATGAAACAAAATATAAACAATCTCAATATAGTAGTACTTGGACTACTTGAGTATGGGGCCCGGGGCAAAGGGAGAGACACACAGTAGTAAAAACTTTCAGATGCTAAAGTGACATAGCAGAATAATGACATTTTCTAGATGATTTTATATTCACAGCTATAATTTCCAGTTCATTAAACATATTTTTTTAAAAAGGGAATGCTTTATATCCACTTTATTTTCTCAACTTGCTTTGATATGCCATTCTGCATATTACTATTACAAAACAGATACCTAAATTGTAGGTTGACTCCTTAAATGAGAAATCATTTTTTTCCCTTCTCCTCTTTGACTATAAGCTCAAACATTCTAAAACTGCTTCTAATGTCCAGAAATCCATCTTATCAATATAAGTTCAGGAAACAAAAATAACGAATTCTATTTATTTAGTGCATGCTAAAGTCTTTATAAATGCATAATATTTGGTATCTCAATTACAATCTCATAATTAACAGGCAACAGGCACAAAGGGACAGTACAGAAAAATTAAGTCTTTGAAATTGTATTTAAAATTTCTTTATCTCTTTTTAAAATTTATTCTTACTTGTGTCATTACTTTACAAACCATAATGTTTGTTTACAAACCATAATGGTGAGCCCAAATTGCTGAAAATCTTTGAAAATAAGAATTTGTTTTTTATGTTTAACTTTTAAAGAATTAGAATTCCAGAAAATACAACAAAATTGATATCTTGGACCATCAAATATTTTTACAAGTAAATTTCAAAGTTTAAGTGGAATAATAAATGAAGTCCACATTTCCATAATACTGTGATGTTTCACAAGATCCAGTTGACAAAGGCACTAGTAAGTTTGTTTCATATTTATGTTCATGTTTTAATACATTTTCATATCTCCCAATGCCTTTGTGTATAATTTTGTCATTTTAGACTCATCTCCAAAGGCTTTAATATTAATGTGAAATATAAAGTATTCAGTAAACAATTTTTATAGAAAAATCAATGGCAAATCTTTAACATTTTGCATGAATTAACACATGCCTTTGCTGCACGCTTGATTTTACATTTTTGTAAAGGCCAATTGCTTGACTTCAGTCAGAGAGGGAGTAAAGAGTAACTTTATTTGGGTAAACTGGGACAAATAAAATGATGTTGCTAAGTTTCTAAGAGTCATTGGTCTTCTTGTTTTGCTCTGGGTGTGGGCAGGGTTTTTGCATAGAGTTTACCATAGGTGCACATTGACAAAAACCTCCCCAGGATTAGCTGTTTAGGATTTGCTACCTGCCTGGTGGTTTGTAATATCAAAGTTTTTATTTTGCTTGTAAACTAGACTCTGTATTCATGCAGGAGACTTACTATATCAAAGAATATTTGCGGGCATCACTTCTATTAAATGCCTCATCTCCTGGAGTAGGAAACATCATTGAACCACATTAGAAAAAGTCTCAGCTCACCGCCTCTTTCAAGTACTCATCATTTATAGTGAGTCTGCCTTCTCTCTCATTTCACTCTTGAGCTCTTTTCTTCACCTGAAAACCAGGGTGCTATCTTAGACCACCCAGGCTGCTATAACAGAATACCATAGACTGGGTGGCTTATAAAAACATAAACTTATTCTTACAGTTCTTGAGGCTGGCCAAAATCAAAGCTCTGGTAGATTGAGTGTCTGGTTCTGGTTCTGAGAGCTTCCTGTTCATAGATAGCAATGTTCTCAATGTGTCCCCACATGGCAAGTTCTCTCTGAACTCTTACAAAGACACTAATCTCATTCACGAGGGCACCACTCTCATGACCTCATCTACCCCAGTTATGTCCCAACAAGCCCTACCTCCTAATACCATTACATGAAGGGGATACAATTTCAACATAGGAATTAGAGGGGGGGAAATTCATTACATAACAGCAGCAGTGCTTTTTTTTTTTTTTCCACTTCCCACTTGGCTTATCTTTTTTCCCCCGCTGAGGCATTTCACCCAGGCTTGAACCATCTTATATTGAAAGGGGATACCTACACTGACCCTACTCAGCTTAGAAATAGTAGCTTTAAGACATGATTTTTTAAATCTATAAAAACAGAAAATATACATTTTTCTTTTCAACTTAGTGAGGATTTGCATGTCTGGCCAACCTCCCACTCCCTATCCTTGCCACCCACTTTAAATTTCTAGAGAAATCATTTTCTTTCTTTCTTTCTTTCTTTCTTTCTTTCTTTCTTTCTTTCTTTCTTTCTTTCTTTCTTTCTTTTTCTTTCTTTTTCTTTCTTTCTTTTTCTTTCTTTTTTCTTCTTTCTTTCTTTCTTTTTCCTTCTTTCTTTTTTTCTATCATCTTTCTTTCTCTCTTTCTTTTCTTTTTTTTTGAGAGAGAGTCTCAATTTATCACCCACACTGGAGTGCAGTGGTGCTATCATGGTTCACTGCAGCCTTGACCTCCCAAGCTCAAGCCCTCCTTCTGCCTCAGCCTCACAAGTAGCTGGGACCACAGGTGCACACCCCTATACCCAACTATTTTTTTCTTCTAATTTTTGTGCAGCAGGGTCTTTCTGTGTTGCTCAGGCTAGTCTTGAACTCCTGGGCTCAAGGATCCTCCAGCCTCAGCATCCCAAAGTGCTGGGATTACAGGTCTGACCCACTGTACTTGGCCCTAGAGAAGTCATTTCTGCCTCATGAAAATTATAACAGAAGTAGAAACCAACATGGTCTACAAGACCACATTAATTGAATATACTGGGAACCTTGGAAGGATCAAAGTTTGCCAGTTTGTATTTATTAAATAGACATTTTAGTTGATACATCCCTGGTTTTTTCTTTTTTAATTATGTAGACATGCTTTTGCTCAATGATTGTGGGCCTTAAAATAATGTCATTCAGTGAGCAGGGTGCAGAGATCCTAATGGTCCTCTAATGTGTGGAATCGTGTAGTAATAAAATGTGCTAGCCAGAATAACCGCAATGCTACAGTTGAAGAACACTTCATTCCTGCCCAGATCCCATATATAGATCCATCATATTTTAATAAGAAGTTTCAAAAAGGAATTGCTTTTTTGCCTATTCTTACCAATTAACATTTTCTGTCTCAATTAAATACTTTTACATTTGCACTTGGAGGGTACCTGTTCTAATTAGAAAATTATTTCTGACACCCAGTCTTCTGAATACCGTTATTTGTAACCCAATTAGCTTGCACAAATCACAGTGTTCCAAGGTCACTGGTCTCATTTCAGCCTGCCATGTAAAAGCAGCAAGAATAGCTCACACATCTTAAAACAGCTTTACTCACAATTAAAAATAATACCAGGACATTAACTCATTTTATGTTCTTCCTGTGAGCTGACCCACCCACAACTTTTTTTTCTTACAGCTGGAATTGCATCAGTGTAAGGTAAAGCGCTTCTCAGTTTCTTTAAAAATTTGTTTTCCACATCTAATACCTCAGCAGTTTGCAAGTGTATGCCTAGAAAGTTGCTGCCTGCCATGCTGAGCTCAAAGTGTCCCCAGGACTTCTGCGACTCACAGCACCAACATTGTAGCTGTGTCTGTTCCAGCCCCTGGGACTACAGTTTTAGTATCTGCTTCCTCGCCAGCCAGACACCTGATCTGGCATTTTCCTGTTTCTTTCTCTTTTAACAAGCCTCAGGTGCCACTTCTATGGAGCCAATAGAAGCCACAGGAAAATTATACATTTTGCTTACTTCAGCTTCTAAGTTGTTTTTTTTTCTTTTTTTTTTTTGTTTGTTTTGTTTTTTTTTTTACCAGTAGTTTAAAGAGCCAAAGAGCCTGGAGTCAAGAAGGAAGAGAAAAAACTTTTGCAACTGTTCTTTCTAGTTCCCCAGCTATACAAGTTTTGTTGTCTGGTACCAAGAATGGTTTAAAATATCATCCTATTTTATCTGGGATCATATCTTTCCAGTTTCTGCATTTGTCTTTAAGACAATAGAGTTCAACGTTTTGTATCATATTTACTTTAGGCATCAAACTTCAGGGTTTCTATTAGGAGGATGGTGCCAGAAATATGACCGTGCACTAAGTCAAATGACAGAGATCCTTAAAAAGACAAAACTGCTACACAAAGTCAGAAAAACAATACTAATCTCAGTCATAAGGGCAAGTCTTTATGGTTTTAAAATCTCTGCAAACATACCCAGTGCCGCCCCTGAAGACAGTGAATAGCCCATTACTCCTTTGCAGAACAATTCTTTGCCATTTTTTTTTTAAATTCAGGTGGAGCGTGTTTCTAGATTCTAGTGATATCTCTGCTTTCCAACAAAAAGCATACAACTTCTAATAGCTCAAGTACTTTTTTTAGTGTTTATTGTGGGACTAGGTAAATGAAAGGTCTATTTCCCAGGTGTATCATCCTCCTTGTTATCCCAGGTTTTAGGCTTCCTTGAAGTCTGTTCTTGAACATAATTGATTTTAATTTCTAACTACCACTGAAAATAAATTTTGACCATAATTATATTCGTGATATTATTGATTGCTATATTAGCATTCTCCAGAGAAACAGAAGCAATATGGATATAATATATACATATGTATATGAATATATAAATATATAGTTTTATTTCTGACACTATCCTCATACACATATATAAATATATGTATATAGAGGAAATATATTTATATGAGGGGAAAATATCATAGACTCAGTCAAATGACAGGCATTTTCATATCCACAAAATTGCTATACACAGTCAGGAAAGCAATAGTAGTGTCAGTATGTATGATAATTAGTTCGCATGATTATGGAGGCTGAGAAGTCCTACCATCTGCTGTTTATAAGCTGGAGAACCAGAAAAGCCAATGGTATAATTCACTTTGAGTCAGAAGGACTGGGAATCAGAAACTCCTATCTGTGCCCAAGGTGAGGAGAAGATGAGTGTCTCACATTAAAAAGAGATAATCCGCCCTTCTCTGCCTTTTTGTTGTATTTAGGCCCTCACTGGACTGGATGATGCCTGTCCCCATTGGTAAGGGTGGGTCTTCTTTACTCAGCTTATTCATTCAGATGTTCATCTCTTCCTGAAATAATCTCACAGATATACTGAGAAATAATGTTTTACCAGCTATCTGGGTGAGCTTTAGCCCAATGAAGTTGATACATAAAATTAACCATTGTATTTGCCTTTGAAAGAATGTTACCAAAATAAAAATGATTTTTGCTAAGAAATACAGGACCTAAATGTTACAAATTACACTATTTCACCAATTGTAAATGCATACTGGAGATTATGCTCTTTAAAATTGGATATTCTACAAAAACCTCTTGAGAGATTTCTTTCTAATCAAGTTAGACAATTGGTAATGTGCACTTTGAACAAGCCTCAAACAAAATGGATCTCGGAGAAAAATGACATTTGTAATATATTCTATGGTTCGAAACTTTAAGCTTTCAAGGAACTGCAATTCAAGTGCTAGTTTTGATTCAAGTGGTCTTCTTAATGAAAATTCTAGCTATATCTGCAGGTATCTGTAAAGATACACCTTTTCTTTTCTTCCTTTCTTTCTTGTTTTTTTTGAAAGTTGAGGCATTCTTTCCAGTTGAATAACAATGTTGCTAGCACTTAATCTTCCTGTAGAAATGTCAACCCTATCAACTGTTGATCTATTGACCTTAGTCTTATCTTTCTATAGTCATCTGTATAGAATAGCTCCATGCCAAAATTATGGCTTCAAACTGTCTGTTATCTGCTCCCTAGCTTAGAATGCAAGACTTCTACTCTTCTTTCTTGTATCAAATTAGATCACAAAGTTGTTCATTTGGAACACATTACTTAGATTCTCTACGAAGTACTTCATTTATTTTTATTCATTCTTATGCTTTCATTTCAATAATTATTATAGAAATAGTCAAATGGAAATTCATTATACATTTGTCATAAAATTTATCTCATAGACTCTAGTGGAGCTTAAAGTTATTCATTAAAATTTTTCTGCTTAAAATTCTCTTAGAATTTGGAAACAGAAAAATCTCTCTTAATACTTGCATTCTCAATATTCATAATGAAACTAATACATTTTCTATGTCTTTTTATTTTTCTAAATTTCAAGAAATGTAATTTCCTTTTGAATGAGTAGACTCCTAAAGTGTTTGATAAACTCTTATTCTGGGTTTCACAGATATTTATTTCTGTGTAACAATTACCCCAAATAACAAGCATTTTCTTTGCTTATAATTTTGTTGGTTGACTGGGTGGTTCTATTGGCCTTGCCTAGGCTTAGTCATGCCAATATGTTCAGTTAGGAGTTAGGCTTGGCTGAAAGCTTTTAAAAGGACTCTTTCACATTTCAGGGTGCCTAAGTGATTTTTCATATGACATCTCTTTCTGTGGGCATCTTTCCAGCAAAGCAAAGTCAGGCATCTTGAAGAGGAAAGGTAAATCCTATCATGCCTCTTAATGCTCATACTTAAAAATGAAAATGAAACAGCATTATTTCTACTGACTGCCATTGATGCCAACAAAGTTTAAGTCTACCCCAAAGACAAGAGAAAAAGGAAGTGAACTCTTTCTTGATGGATGGTGCAGCACACAGTTACAGATAGAGAAGGACTTGATGGTAGTCATCTCTGGAGACTATTATTAAGAGGCAGTTGAGAGTTGATTGTATAGTAGATTAGTGGATTTTTTTTGGACTAATGGAATACTAAAGTTTGTGATGAATTCTTAGTCAGACAATTGATATGTTATGAAACAGATCAGGGACTGAGGGGAAAATAGTATAGTATTAAGCAATTCATTAATCCATTTCTTTTGAGAAGGAGAAAGGCAGCCCCTGCCATTTAAAAGCTGACCTTATATGATAAGGCAGACCTTAGTGTTGCTAGGACTGGACTGGCACTCATGGCTAGGTCTTGGTAATCTCCTGTGAAATCTAAAACATTTTTACAGAATATTATGATCAGACAAGGTCACTCCATGACTCTGATGGATTAAAAAAATACTACTCTGTAATTATGTCTGAATAGAGGCAAAAACATGAATAGTGCCCAAATAAAACAAAATGGCCATACATCTTCCTAATGTGACTGGTGTAAATCACTGCAGCTGCTCTACTGTTACAGCTTTGGCCTTTGCTGAGTCTTGCCTTCTCCTAGATGAGATGTATTAAGAAAGAATCATAAAGTTGACCCTATTTCCTGATCGCATCTAATTCAGAGCAAAGCCTTGCTTCTTTAGACAACACAGAAAGAGATGTTAAGTATCCAAAGATACTTAACACGAGCCAAAATCTTATAAAAAGTTTTTCTGACACTCTCATACAGAGATGCTCAGTGGTTCCCCATGAGGTGTGTTCTCTCTCACCGCAATGAGTCATAAACTCAACTTGATTAATGACAGGTGTTTTCCTGGTGGTCTTTGGCTGGAAGGCACTGGGATTTATTCAACAAGAACAGAAGATCAGAAACACTGATCATGCATCTGGGCAATGCTAAGCATTAAAGATCCTGTAAAAAGACAGTCTCTGTTCTCAAGAAGCTTACAGTTGCATGGAGTAGAGACCAACAAGCAAATGAATAAGTTCATTACAGTATGATACAAGCATTGATTAAGGCATTTAGGAAAAGCTTCTAATATTCTATCAAATGTGACTAAGAAATTTACATGGTTAAACAAAAATACTGAAGTATTAAATCCAGGTTTTAAATATGCCAATTGATTTCCTCTACCATCAGCATCCTCACAGATGCAATCTGAGGGTTCCAAGAGAGTAAGCGGTGAATAGTGGTGTGGGGATGACTCATACCTATTTCTCTTCTTAAAGATACATCTGTCTGGCACATTGTATCTGATGGTTTTATTCTCTCATAATGAGGATTTATGTTATCAAGTGTTGTTTATTTTGTTCTCCTTGGGTAGGTTTAATAATAAAATAGTTTGTCTTACTCAATGTTTGTGTCTAGCTTATTCTGTTGATAGCATCTCCTGATCATTTTTATTATTTGTTTTATTTAATCAAGACTTAGAAAGCATAACTAGATTTACTTTATTTTATTTATTTATTTTGTTTGAGATGGAGTCTTCCTCTGTTGTCCAGGCTGGAGTGCAGTGGGGTGATCCTGGCTCACTGCAACCTCTGCTTCCTGGATTCACGCCATTCTCCTGCCTCAGCCTTCCGAGTAGCTGGGACTACAGGCACCCACCACCACGCCCGGCTAATTTTTTTCTTTTTTTGTATTTTTAGTAGAGACAGGGTTTCACTGTGTTAGCTAGGATGGTCTCAATCTCCTGACCTCGTGATCCGCCCGCCTCGGCCTCCCAAAGTGCTGGGATTACAGGCATGAGCCACCGCGCCCAGCCCAAAAGGATAACTAGATTTAAACTGTTAGTCCAAGGATTTTGTTTTTGTTCTTTTCGTCATAGGATTGAGTCTTAAATTTTTTCTTTTAAAATAGATGCTGGTTTGTACTGATTGATTTTTATTGCTGATGTTAGCATTCAAAATATTTTAAAAAAATCAATTTTTATTAACTTTCAAAACAGTGCTCCTTTTCCCAAAACTTGTATTGAAATATTTTAAACCTGGATTTTATGGAGTGTATGTTTGTGCGTGTATGTGTGTGTGCTTGTGTGTGTGTCCAATGGTAAATGATACCTGGCATTTACTTCTTTCAAACTTATTTCTGAAATAATTTTGACTTTAAAATTTTCTTAAGAAAATGGTGAGAAGAAAATTCAGTATAGTTCAAAGCATTTTATTCACACATATTAAAGTTTCACAAATTCTACTAATCTCAGGTAATCATTCACTGAAATACAAATTTGCATTAATAAGGAAATTTTACATTTCAACTTCTTCCCTTTTTAATACTGTTTTCTATTAACCAAAAAACTAAATATGCCAAATAATAAGTCTGTAGGCAGGTATACATGGATGCACATATGTTCTGTGTGAAAAGAATAGAAATGAATACCCTTTTAGAATAATAGGTAAGATCCTGAAATATTTTTCTTCTTTAAAAATAAAAATTAAAAGTTTGATAATTGGAAAATAACTTAGAAATAAGCTTATCCCATGTAAATATTTTATGGATTAGGTAATAAATTAAGTTTGATGGTTGATGAATCAATTAATTCCTTCACTGATTTACTCACTATTCGTTAGAGTCAACTATGTGCCATACATAGTTGTAAGTGAATTAGACAAGACATGTTGCCTTCAAGGACTTTCTTCAAAATCCAACAGAAAATTTATTATCTACTGTAGTAGTAACATACAATAAGTTTTACGTGTCACATACGAAATATTGCATGTAACATATTGTGAGTTACATACAATAAATTGTGACAACTATTACACTGCATTGTGTAAGTCCTATGTGGAGGTATACATGGGTGCTAAGACTATGTAATATACAGGAGGGGTTTGGGAAAAGGGAAGGACAAGAAAGAACTAGTTATATATCAAAGAGAGTGAAGGCACTTCAGGCACAGTAAACAACATATGGAAGATTATGAAGGTGAAAAAAAGAAGGACACATTTCAGAAGATTTAAGCAGTTGAGTATGACTATAGCATAGAGAACATGAGGTAGGAAAGACTTTAATAACCAAATCATGAGAAGACTTTTATTTCAAACTAAGCTTATCCTTAAACAAGGAGAGTCACTAAAGCCTTTCAATTAAGAAAGCAACATAATTAGATCTGGACTTTAAAATTTTTATTTATGCTGTAGGGTGAAGGCTTCTATAATAAGGATAAAGAGGCCTAGTTCGGTAGCCGTAATAATATAGCAAAGAAACAAAGTAGGTCTGAAACAAGGACAGGTAAATATAAATGGAGAGAAAATATGATGATGTATTTAGAGGAAAGTTGATTGGACTTGAAGATCATCTGGACAGAGTGGCTAAAAAAGAGGAAGTTTCTCACTTATTTTGGCTTAAGCTATGAGATGGATGATGATATGATTCATAAGACAAGAAATCAAGATTGGGAAGATACATAGTAAAAATTATATATAATTCAATATATATATTTCAATATATATAAATATATATATAAATTATATATAAAAATTATATTATATATAATTCAATATATATTACATATTACAATATATTTCTATATATATATATTGAAAAAGTCAATTTGGACACATTGAGTTTATATGACTATGAAGTGGCCCATAGTGAAGATCTAGTACGCAGTTAGAAATATTCACCTGAACCTCAGTAAGTCTTGTGTTAGACTTATAACTCAGCCAAGGATAAGCAGTTGAGAGTGAATTCAGCATTACATTTCTCAACCATCATTCTCTGACTTCTCTTCTAAACAGAATGATTTGATTTCATTTGTGTTTTTATTCTTTATAGCAATAGTCATTGTGCTATTCACATGTTCATACACTTGCATTAAATTGGTAGGTTGTTTTGTTTTTTAATCACAGAAACATTTTGCTTAATGGGGTTAGAGACTCTATAAATAGTGGACCATAAATATATATTAAATTTTCTCTGTCCCTCCTTCTTCCCTTCCTGCCTCTCTTCCTTCCTTCCTTCTTTTCTTTCCTTAATTCCTTTTCTTCATTCTTTCCATACTTCATCCTTATTTTTCTCCTTTCCTACATTCCTTTTTCCTTCCTTCCTTCTCTCCTTCCTTCATTATGCTTTTTGCAGGTATCTACTACAAGATAGTGTTAGTTACATAGTGGTCAAGATCATGGATTTAGTTCTTTTGTCTTATGGAGATTTTTCTCTAGTAAAGGAAAGAGGAAATAAGCCAGTGATTTAAAAATACATATTTATTCTTAATTGTTATAAGTTCTGTGATGGTAAACATGTTTCATGTAGTGTTCACTGCTATATATCAAGACTTCCATTCAAGACTTCCTGGTACTTGGTAAATACTTAATAAATATATATTAAATGAAGAAAAACTAAGCTTAGTGTGAGATGAATGACTAATATGTAAATAACTAGAACACAGATATGACTCTTAGCTCAGTGAAGTTCTAATTATAGCTTGAATTATATAGAAAGAAAACACATTATTTGCTTTTTACTATTAAATCAAGGTTACATTTAAAAGTTATATCAATGCTGTGAATGTAGTAATTCATTGAAATTGCTGTTACAATTTCAGACCAAATTTTGCTTTTTGTGTGGTATCTACTGATTTCTAAAATAGCCCACACAAGTAATTCCCTCTCATTTTCACTGATTTACTTTCTTTATGGTACTTCTAACTAATTGAATTGGTCTTAATCATTAATTTACTTCTCTATTTTATTTTTTTTGCAATTAGAAGGTAAACTTCAGAAAAGCAGGAAATTTATATGTCTTCTAACCTTAGATTGCTGGTTTCTAGAATTCTAAATCAATTATAGTTGAATGAATACATAGGTGATTATGAAACATAATTTAAAATTCTCTATAAATTATAAATGTTTTAGGGATTTTTTTAAATGGCAACAACAAGAAACCCATATCTGTACTTCATTGTTTTATTATGAGAGAGCTTTGTGTGGTTTTCAAATCATTATTTTTGACAAGGAAGTAGACTTATATCTTGTTGACAGCCTTCTGGTGTTGTAGTGTTAGACTGGCAGATGCAGGGATAAACTTTAAATCCCTTTATAGACACTTTTACTTGTACATAAATATTTAATTTTGTCAAGGTCTCACTTTGATATCTGACTGAATAGCGTAGGTGCAGTTTTTGTTTTAAATCTCGAATCAATATTTAATGTTCCTCAGGCAATATTTCTTTATAATAAACATATATTCATGATCCAGCTCTTTTCCTTGCTTTATTCTTCTTAAAACATCACATCTAGATCTTGCGGTTTTATTTTCACAATGGAATGTTTTCAATATTTTTTTTCCCAAACTTTTTTCTTAGCAAAATGGTTTATCAAAAGACCTTCACTCAGAACTCTCTGGGACCTCCCTGGGTATCAAGTCATGTATTTAGCTCCATTTCTAATATACTTGATTTAATTTAAAAAAAAAACAGGTTTAAAAAGTCCCATGGCCAGATGTAAATTTGGAATCTGTGGGCACTTTTTGCTTTTGTGAGTTTTTAGACTTTTTTTTTTTTAACTCATGGTAACATAGTTAACTGCTTTTCATATTGGTTTATAATCTATCTATAAAGATTACTGATTATGTTTTTTTTTTGCAATCATTGAATGTTAAAAAAAATTATAAGAAGCTCTTAGTAGTATGATTAGTGTCTGCCTGTTCTGCTTGGGTCAGCTCTGAGAGCTTGGGGCTCTTGTGTAAATTAGAAAGGCCAGCCAAAGGTCTGGAAAAAATTGCAAAGTTTATTTTATTGTCATGGGTTTAATCATTTTTGAATATTATATTGTTTTCTTCTTTAATAATTAATTCTAAATTTTCTCATTTCCCAATTCACTAATAAAAATTTTGCAAATTACTTTGGGCTATTCATTTTATGTCTTCAAGCTAATGTAATTCTTCCATAGAATATTTTTCAGAGAAATAATTTCTAACAGCTACTAACGGAAGTCATACTCATTGACAGCCAATTTTCATGAATGAATTCCAGTGGCAAATTGAAAGCATGAGATCACAATTTCTTTGTGTGTTTTTGTGTGTATCATTTCAGATCATGGAATGTGTTGACAAATATCTCCATGGCCTTCCTGTGATTTTCTAGATCGGGTTTTTACTGACGCTTTATGATGATTTCAGTTATTGAATATGGAAAAACAGAAATTCATTTAATATCCACTTATATTAAATGGCAGATTGTTGGACTGTACAAGAAATGAATAAAACTGGGGCAGCCCGTATATCCTCTTTCACATCTTTGCTCTCCTTTTAAGCATTTTGGCAACATGACACCAATCCCTCTAGTAAATCTTCTAACAATTTACTGGCTAGGAAAAATCAGGCCACATTCAACTGATAAATAAGGGAATACCAACTATCACAAGCTTAAAGGTTAGACAGACTTGGGAGTGAAGTCTTCTCAGGCAGAGACAGTTGTTGGAACTTGGGTGATTTGTTTAACTTCTTTGTTAAGATAATCTCTATGAGCTGGGGAAGCTGGGGAAAACAGTGGAAACTTGACAGCATATTCCATTTCTCCTTGACCCATCATTAAGAGTGATCAAATTAAGCAATTATTTTTGTGTGAGTTTTGGTAAAATAGAAAAAATAGCACATTAACAAATTAATCTCCTGCACTCCTATTATTTCATCCTGGTTCCCAGGGCACAGTATTATTGTAGAATGCCTGGCTAGTGATGGATATGGTGGTGATGGAGGGTGATACTTCTGAGAACAGGGCTTGGCTGTTGCCAAGTCCCCACTTTACTTAGTTGCTTCTAGCAACCTAGATAGTCAAATGTGTTCATTCTCACAGAATCATCTTATCAAACAGGTTGACTATTTTGACAACTGCAGATTTCATTATTTTAAGTGTTTTCTGTTCAGTTGCAATATTAGAAATTGGACCTGCTTTTCAATGGTGCACCCTCAAAGTTTTTATGTCAGGTGCGTGTGTGTGTGTGTGTGTGTGTGTGTGTGTCTGTGTCTGTGTATTACTCTGTACTTACTTATTGCTAAGGTTCCGCAACAAAACTGAAGTCTCCCTTATAGTTAGTTGAATTACTTCTATTGTTTAGTACCTTATATTATAAAATGTAGCCTTTATTGTTATCTATTGCTCCTTCTACCTCCTCTGTATTCCCATGATGTCTCTGCTGTGAGTAATGGTTATCGAATTTTTGGAAGTTAAGTGGCTTACACATTATCCCCTGGTAGAAACAGGCAACATATACTGACTCACTAAATTTGACTACCAAAATAAAATTTAAAATGCATAAAACCTAAAAATTCAGCTTCAGTATCATATAGTCTTTAATTCAGATCTCCCAACTAAGCAGAGAGAAAATAAAGAAATGAATTCTAGATCCCTCAATATATAGACCTTATTCTAAGCCATTCTAATGTATTTTTGGTTGCCTTATAGTGTAAAAATGTTGAACAATACATAGTAATTTGAAGCAAATGCCTGTAAAATCATCTGGTTAGAATGTTTTAATATAGACTTTCCTGTTATTATTCTTTTTGTAATAGGAATCCATACTTGGCACATGACAGCTCTTAAATGTGTTTATTTTCAGTAAAAAAAATTGACATTTTCAATTACAGAATTAGACATTATCAGGAAACTTTGTAATTTCTTATTAGCAAAAATATCGAGTTTGTATGTGTAGGCGTTTAATTTATAGTGCATGCACAATATGCTTATCATCATCATTTATTTGGATGTAATGTAAAAAGAGTAGTTTGAATTGTTTCAATATCTTAAAAAAAAAGAGAAGACTTTGAGTCTCAGGAAACTGCAGATTTACTATGCGATATATCACTTACAATAATGGAATGTGAAATTTAGGTTGCCATTTGAAGCAATCTGGAAAATAATACCAGGTACAATGTAACATACTGGCAACATATTGTTTGTTATTTAACTTATGAGATTAAAATGCTAAAGCTGATATAACCCATTTAAACAGTAACATTTATAACAACTAACTGATGTAAATAATCAACATCTTATTATGAAGAAACCATTTTCTATGTGGAATCATGTTATTACATGTTATTACATAATTAAATACATATATTTAATTATGTAAAATTTCTCTCACATTAAATAAACACAACTCTCATTAAACTTTTGCCATTTTTTAACCGTTATAGGTGAGTGGCATGAGTAATCAAATCAATCAAAAGGTAGGCCAGGTGCAGTGGCTCACACCTGTAATTTCAGCATTTTGTGAGGCTGAAGTCAGAGGATCACTTGAGGCCAGGAGTTCATGACCAGCCTGGGAAACATAGTAAGACCCCATCTCTTAAAAAAAAAAAGCCAATGCTGTGGTGTGCACCTGTAGTCTCATCCACAGAGGAGATTGAGGTGGGAGGGTTGTTTGAGCCCAGGAGTTTAAGGCTTCAGTGAGCCATGATCATGCCATTGCATTCTAGCCTGGGTGACTAGTAAGATCTTTTTTTTTTCTTTTTTTCTTAAAAAAAGGATAATTGTTAAGGTACTATTATTATTTGAGGTTTTCATGTAGATACAAAACTGTATAAATAATGATAATTATTGTTATTAATTTGTTTAAAATTATAGTTTTCTTTCATTCTCAACAAATTATTGAATTCCTAAGAAATGTCTGTTCCTCTTCTATATCATGTTATCTAATTACAGTTTGACTTGCTTATAGTCTGTTTAGAATATTTTGCATTACTGTGGTATCCATAATGCAATGGACTGAACGTTTGTGTCCACCTTCAAATTCATATGTTGAAATCCTAACACTCAATGTGATGGCATTAGGAAGTGGACTTTTGGTAGGTAATTAGGTTATCAGGGTGGAGCCCCCATTTTGGATTTAGAGCTCTTATAAAAGGCACCAGAGAGAGCGCTTTCTCCTCTCTCAGCCATATGTGAGGATACAAGGAGAAGAGAGTCATCTGTAACCTTGAAGAGGGAGCTCCTCAGAACATGACCATGCTGGCACTTTGATTTTGGACATGGAGCCTCTAGAAATGTAAAAAATAAATTTTTATTGTTCATAATCCACCTGGTCTATGATATTCTGTTATAGCTGCCTGAAACAACTACATATAGCAAATGGTTAAAGCTTTCTCTTTTTCTGTCTCTCTTACCCATAATATTCCTATACCAGATTGCTCCCCTAAACAAAATATACTTGGGATGATTGCTATTTGATTGGCACTAAATAATCCACTTTCTCTATACTGCCTTTCCTTTGTCCATTGTGGTTACAAGACTGCATGTTTTTCTTATCACTCCTTCTCTCTAGCTGAAATATCCTATACATATTTCTCAATTTAATGCTACTGCTTTGCAAATCAGGAAGATCATGAATGCCTATAGATTTATAAAAAGTCACAAGAAAACAGATACTAGGATACATTCTGCCGAGACTAGCTTGGCTGGGGAGACCCTAACCCAGTGGTGCTAGAGTAATTAAAGATATACACACACAGAAATATAGAGTGTGGAGTGGGAAATCAGGGGTCTTACAGCCTTCAGAGCTGAGAGCCTCGAACAGAGATTTACCCATGTATTTATTAACTGCAAGCCACTGATAATCATTGTTTCTATAGATTACAGATTAACTAAAAGTATTCCTTACGGGAAACAAAGAGATGGGCCGAAATAAAGGGATGGGTTTGGCTAGTTATCTGCAGCAGGAGCATGTCCTTAAGGCACAGATCGCTCATGCTATTGTCTGTGGTTTAAGAACGCCTTTAAGCAGTTTTCCGCTCTCGGTGGGCCAGGTGTTCCTTGCCCTCATTCCAGTAACCCACAACCTTCCAGTGTAGGCATCATGGCCATCATGAACATGTCACAGTGCTGCAGACAGTTTGTTTATGGCCAGCTTTGGGGCCAGTTTATGGCCAGATTTTGGGGGGCCTGTTCCCAACACATTCACTGCCTAAATTCACTAATCCCTGAAGCCTTTTTAGAAGACTATCTTTTATGCTCCTGATAACCTTCTGTTTCAGGAGCTATATGGTTTATTCTATGGCTAACCTCTTTTTATACACATAGGGGTTGACAAGAATGCTGTGTTTAGTTGGATTTTCTGATAATTTTATATAGCTAATGGATATTTAAGAGTAAAATAGTCACAACTATTGTTTGAATATTATATTACATTATTGTGCTAGATAATATTTTAAAAATTATACTTCATTGTCTTAACTTTGTGTATTTTAATATAAACATAAAAACTTAGTGAAACATTATTCCATGGACACAATGTATGAGATAGGATGTCTAAATATACACAGTTGAGAAAGAAGAAGGTTAATTGTTTCAACTATATTAATAAAAGTTAATTAGTTGAAAAGACCAGGATTAATAATGGTGGGATTTTCTTGTATTGCTATACCTTGAGAGTAGAAAAAATAGTTTGAACTTAGGTTAAGGTCATAAAATAGAGAAAATATCAAAACGTGTTTGGTAGAAAATGATAGTTTTATCTACAACTTTATGTCAGTTTAACAACAACTGGCAATCAAAGACTATTCATCCAGAGCTCAATTCAAATGGAATCTTGCAAGGTCTCATATTAGAGATGGAGAAGAAAAGTTTTGATAAAAACTAGATTGTGAAAAAAAAGTTTGCTACATGAAGGAAAAAGAGAATAAGAAATTATCTTTTAAAATATCAAAAATACACAACTGAAGACAAAAAATGAGAGTAAACTGGTACATAAAGAGAAGGATTCTGAGGCACATTTAATAAAATGTGATGAAGTGATTGAAAGAAAAGCAGATGCTGAACATTAGGTGAACAACTGCATTATCTTTATTTGAACCATTGTGTTTAAGCAAATTATTTCTTATAGCCTTTTCTGTATTTTGATGTTTCTGTTTGTCTTATATTTCCTGCTACTATTGCTCTTTTTAACCTATTGTGATTGTCTGATACTTTCATATTTTCAAGATATTACTTGTAGAAAGTCCTTCTTTGGGAAAATATGATTAAAAAATCAAAATATTTTAAGGAAACACCAGATGTTTAAAATAAATTATTTGAATACATCCTAGGACAAGAAATCTGCTAGGGCTGATGAGTGAAACTCTATGCTATTATCTGGGATACTAGAGGTGAACATAGGGCAAGATAAGAACAGAGGAGAAGTTTTATTTCTGAGCTTGGAGACATCAAGATGTTTCACAAGACTTGTCACTTGAGCTGAGAATTGAGAAAATGATATGTATCTAAAGTAGTATAAAATCTATCATGATTTGTACTATAACACTTAGATGTCATAAATGAATCTTAAATTTGACAAGTCTAAAATAGGTCTTACATTTTCTGTAAGAATGTTTGCATTCTCTTTCCAGTTGTTTTGGCCAAAAACTGGACACATTTATGCTTCCTTTCTTTTCTTTCTACTCCATACTCCACTATTGCATGTGGCTGAAGGTGAAAGGGCCAAGAAAGAGCAAGAGGGAACATGAATTCATTCTTTTATTATGGTATCAATTCCAGTCAACAAAATAGAGCCCACATGGACTAATCACCTCTTAAAGTTTCCACCTCTTAATATTGTTACAATGGCAATTAAATATCAACATGAGTTTTGAAGTAGACAAAACCATTCAAGCTATAACACACTTCAAACAGTGTATTTTATAATATCTAAATTATGAATAAATAAATAGATAAGACAAAATATACTATGATCAGTCCTTAGAGTGTTTTCATCCATGGGTTGGCCTATCTGTTTTATATTTCAAAAAGATCATTTGGAGAGTGGAGAATGAAGGAAGGGTGGGCAGGTTGGCAGAACAGACCATATGGAGACCAGTTGGGAGGTTGTTAAAGTAGTGGAGGTAGAGAAATTGAAGCCTTTGATGGTGATAATTCATGAAAAGTAGAGAGGTGAACTGACATGTTTTGGAAGTTGAATGCCAGGACATGTTGATAAATGAAATGTGCGTGATGGGTTAAATAAAGAAAGAAATCAAGAATTCCTATCTTTATTTTTTGTTACATCTTTTACATTATATTGTTTACTATGTCTTTTCCCATGAGTTACAATCTGCTGGCAAGGAGAGAAAGGAGGGGTAAGAGGTAGCAAACCCTTGTATAGTGACTGGCATTGTTTTCCACTCCATGTTTTCAACCAATAGACTTATCTTTCCCCTCTTTTTCTTTTTGAGCACTTGCTCCCATACATTTCACATTGAAGGCATTAGGGGCAATTATTCAAACACTTAGCAGCTTTTTTAGTCTTCACAGTTCTCCCACTGTACTTTGGTATGACTATTTGTGATTGATGAGCCTGAATAGTCTCTGATTTGAGGCTTGCAGTGATTTTTTGCTGTTGTTGTTGTTGTCTGAATTAGAAAATTCTACCTAGAGTGCTTTAAAGTATTTTGAAATCATCCAAATTCTCACTGAGACATTGCTCATTATCTCTTGGTTTGATATGTAGGAAGATGGCCACTGTGCAATTTAAAGTCTCTGTCTTCTCTTTGTTTGATTTCACTCTAACAAATTCTTGGAAAATTTTAGTGCTGTAACAGAAATTCTACTTTACTGGTTCCAGGAAAGGTTTTATACCACAACTAGGACAGATTTTTGAGGCAACAGAGCAAAGGCATTTGTCACTTATTTTTCCATAGCTGTTTCATATGACGGTTGAGAGGAAATTCAAAATAAAGTTTATGTATAACGATATTTAAGGATAAGGACCAATCCCACTAGACTAGTGAATGGCTTGTGCTTTTGGTTGAGTCTTTCTCTCTTTCTACAGTGTCAGATTGTTTACATCTCAACCTCACAGCTCGTGTCTCATTTAAGAAGACAGCATTCCTCGCAGAGAGCAGTGTCATAAAAAGTATTATGGCAGAAAGAACTGATGCCTTAAGCTGAGGGAAAGCTGTGGTGTTCTGTTGTCTTTTACAATTTTTTAAAAATAAAAACCTTCAAAGTAGGTATATTCCTCTTAGTCTCCAGCATGCATATCAACATTATACAAAATAATTTATATTACATACTGTTTATACAGGATGAATTTGAGATTCTTAAAAAATCAAGTTGTAGATTATGCAGCCTCTTTGAGAGTAACATTTATTTACAGTTTGGTAAAAGAATGAGAAAAGGAGGATTTTTTTAATCTTAAGAAATTTAGAACTTGATGAGATAGGGAAAGGTTTCCATTTTATCACTCCCTTTTGTGAGGATAAAAACCATTCCCCAGCCTCTCTTTAATGGCCACAATACCCTATAACTCACTTTAAACACACAGGAAAATGACCTCAAATGTTTATTTGGCCAGTATTAAAATAAAAATTAACTACATAATCTTCTTAAGGAGACATTATATCCAACACATGGTGTTTTTATGGGTTGAAAATTTCTATTCATTATCACTTTCAGTGTCTCAATTTTTATTTAGCTAAATATTATCTTCTGTCCATTTATATTTTTACCATTACTGGTCTTGACTGACCTATACATTTTATATTGTATAAATATAAAAGGCTCTATTATCTTCTTCCTACTCCAAAATTATAACTTAAGTACAATGTGCTTATTTTTCTAAAATTGTATATTTCTAATCACACTTTTTCTCAGAATGTCCCATCCCATTCACACTGTTTTGCCTTTTCTTGCCCCCTTCTTTCTGGCCGAAATAATTTATCTCCCTGCCCTGCAGCTTCCCAAGCCCACTTTTCTCTAGTAAAGTCCCGCACAAGTATACACTTATCTGAAAACATCATTGTCTTTATGCCACCAATGTGTTTTGCATGTGCTTCTCTTAAAGGTCCAATTTTAGTATATTGAGTAATAATTTCATTACCTATTTGAACTTCCTACTAGATTGAAGATGACTTCATCTCTCACAGGGCACTGCATTTAGCAGCCATTCAAAAGGTATTTTGAATGATTGCAAGAAAGAGTAATTCAGTTGTAAAAAGAATGAATAAGTTGATTTTAAACAATTGAGGAGACAAAACAAACCACAGAAGAGGCATTTTGCTGTCCTGTTGGCTGTGTGTTGAATTGAAATGCCAGCACTCTGTGGGAGAAAAACAAACAAACAAACAAAAAACAAAACAAAAAAACAAACATGACAGTGAAATACAGTCTAAAGAAAATTTGATTTTGGTAGTCATCTTCTAGGTCTATTCTGATCTCATCTCCTCAGCATGATTTCAATGAAGAAAGACACATAAACTGGCTAAGACTTTCCCTCTTTACATCTGGCTGGAACTGCATCTCACCTAGCCTGATGAGAAAAAAGAACCCAATCAAGCCTAAATTTATATCCTAATACACAAGTTCATTAACACCCAGGCAGGAATAAATTTCAATCTTTCAAAAGTTTCTGTGATCAATCTAAAATAGCATACGTGAGAAGGGATATACTTACAAAGAAAATTGTTATTATAAGGTTTTTAGAAATGAATGCTGTGGATCATCTAAAGTATAAACTTCAATTTCCCAAACTTTTAGCTTTAATGAAGTTTAAAAGTTTAATTAAACTTTCATCATTATTACTTCTGATTTTTCCTTCTCTGTTTCGTTTGCGATTATAAATGGATGAAGAAAAGCAATACCATGGATTATGGTTTATTTTTTAATTTTTACTGAGCAATGGATAATTCACCTGGGAATGTAAATCACACATGAAGGGAGAATTCAACTTGCCTATAAGGTGACATCCAGAGCAAGGTACTCTATTAAATATCACTTCTCCTCTATACACTGAATCTTTCCTCTACATTCCCACCTTACTTCTATAAACATTTGCTATTACCTACTCTATGCAAGTAGCTATATTAGGCCATGGATCATTGCCAACATTTTCAGCAGAAGTTACAGAAAACTCTAATATCTCATTTTATATCTCAAATACATACTGATTTAGATAAAACCTTGTATTATAATTTCGTTATTGTGCCGATTGATGGAACTTGGAGAGCTATAGGTTACAAATCAGTTAAAGCATAAGGAGATAACTTTAGTCTACATAGAACAATCCTAAAACTCAGACTCATAATTGTAACCATAACCAAAGAGGGAGTGGAAGCAAGAAAAAAATAGTAAAACATTTTCAGAAGAATATTCAATGAAGTCTTTCAAAAATAATTATAAAAATTAACTTTTACTAATGGAAACATAGCTCAAATGTTGAAAGCATAGAAATAGTTATGTTTTCATATACATATTGCCAATTAATATTTTTATACATAACTATAGATAAAAATAGAGTTTTAGATACAGAGACAGATAGTTGTGCATTTAGAATTATATTGAGTAATCATCAAAATTATATGTGTCGATTTGTTTTATCCACGAGTGGTTATAATTTATGCCGAAATATACACAGTCTGGTTTGTAATGACTTGTTTAGTTGTGGTAAGTGTTCACAAAAGTGATAAGCATATATAGGACTGACTTAATTAATCTTCAATAAAACAATACATTATTAGATCAGAACAAATCTAATTCCATTTTGGAGTGATACCAACATTATTTTGGCTTTTTTATCCAAGTGTTCTGGTTATCTAGAATCTGTTTTGTTGGAAAGATACATGGATTTGTAATGACCTTTATTTCAAGACTGAGCTTTGGCATTTCCTGGCTCTATGACTTAAAGAATAATCTAACCATCTTGATTTGTTTTTCAATAAATGCAGGTAATGACATTGAAATCTCATACAAAAGTAATATATGCTCAAACACTCTGTAAGCTGTAAAGAACTATTTAAACCTGTTATTAGCAGTATGTTCTTCTTGCAGTATGCACTGGAATTGTGTGCTTGTGGGTTTTCCATTCCAACTTGTTTGGCAGAAACAATAAGTTCACCCATCATTATAAATGTAAATGATAGGCAGAGGCTTAGAAATGGAGACTTCCAATATATTTTGAATTCAAATATACAAAATTAATGAAAATGGATATTTAAATATATTCAAAGATAAATATTAGCATACCATGTTTAAACTCTTAAATTCTGTGTATTTTTTATCAACTTTGCAAATATTCTCTCATTCAACACAAATGGTAATACATTCCTAGACTCTCACACATAAGCAAACATAACCATGGATCATGGTGTTTTACTGTCACCATAACCACATGTTGAGGGGACCACTAAGTCTGGAAAATAGATCTAGTTCTTCACGGATTTGATAGTTAACTGGAGTTAAATAAATAAATATATTTATATACACAAACACATGCTGGAGTTAAATATATATGTTTATATACGATATACATTAAAAAATATATTTTAATGTCTAGATGTAAAACAAGTGAACAAGTAGACCACTCAGGCATATGATACAAATATGATGAGCCAAAGCAAAGAGTTTTATGAATAACAATTTCATAGTCTGGAGTCATATATATATATTTTTTAACTCTAGGCATTAAAAATAATATTGACATACTTTTTCAGCTGAGTTATTCAGGAGAAAAGAGTTACATTAAATTTCACATACAAAGGAGTGAATAGGGGAGTTAGCTGGCAAGCATTCCTGGACATGGAAAGATCCAGGCAGATTCAGGTTTGAGACTAAATGGATAGTAAAAGTTGGTCAAGCTTTCACATGTCATCAAACAAGGAGTTATTGTACAGATTTAGTTTTTACCATTTTACCTTTCCTTTGCACTCCAGCTATTTTGGATTGCTCACAATTCCCAGAAAATCTCAGGGCTTTTGAAATTGTCTGAAATATATTCCTTTCCTTATTCTTTCCATCGGGTCACTGTCAACTTTCCCTAAATTTCAACTTTTTATTATTTTCATAATAGCTGGTATTGCTTTTGTAAGATATTCCTTATAGGCATTTTGTCAATATGACTCCATATATATTTTATCCTTAAATTTCTAATACCTACACTGTGATGCTTTACCACTTAGAAGATAATATGTACAACTTTCCTGGGACAAATAAACTTTTTATTAATTAATGATATTTATGAAGGCAACGCTAGATTTCCATGAGTGCATGATCTTATTTATACATAGTGTGTAGTATTTGAAATATATGCTGTATATAAATTTACATTAGAAATGATGTTAGGTAATCTTTATAACATTGCTGAGATTACAAAATATATTCCAGCTAAAACTACTCTATCAAGTTTTAACTTTTACATTTGTTTTATCAAAATATTTTAAGTAATTATGAACTTTATTATGCCAAATTTTCAGAAAGTCAGAATAAACCTGTTGTAAACAGGTACGGTGATTTACCTTAATTTTATCTGACCGTTGGAATGTGAACCTTTCTTTTATAGGAATACATTAATGGAACTTCATTATTATTCAATTGGTATGTATTCTTCAGACTCTGAAGTTGTTATTCATAAAACTCTTTGCTTTAGTCTACCATAGTATTACTAGCCTTTGCCAGAGTGTTTTACTTGTTCTCTAGGTATTGATTTTTCCCCTTTGTAGAATTCAATTTGTGCCAAAAATTTAATACTTTAAAATCAATACATTAAGATATGCAGGTGAAGTCTCAAATTTCTCATCATTTTAGATATCTACTTATCATTTTTACAATAAAATAAAGTCACATCTGAAAAAAATGAACTGAAAGTATAAAGGCAAAATATAATAGAAAGCTGCAAAGAGAATAATAATATGTTAATAAATGGTTCACAAAGAATACTGTAAGCAGCAGTGATGAAAACAGTAATAATGCCAATTGTATGGTCAAAAGAAAAGGCACGGAGAAGGTCAAGAACACACTTACTTTCATTCTTGGCTGGTAATTTTCCATTAGTCTCCTACGCACACTATTGCCTTCAATCTACTTAGGAGGTAGATTATTCAAGGTATGGTAGCTGGTCACACATTCTGGAAAATAGTTTGCTGTGCTTTGAATAAGGCAATTAATTGCCCTTTGACTGGTAGGGCAAATTCTCTGATCATGTTCACCCACTCATTTGACAAATATTTATGTGCCCACTTTAGGCTGGGCATGCAATTGCGAACCACATAGTCTTTGTATTCAAGGAGATTTCTGCATTGGGCAGATTACTTTTAATCTGTTACTTGCCTTCCCTTGCTCTTATAGCCAACAGCAGTACTAATGAGATGATTTTCTGGCCAAAGGAAGGAATTCTGTGTTTCAACCAAGCTACTCAGTCTAAAGGGATTTAAACCTTACATTGTCACAATCTTTCATATTGGAAGATGTTTGTTTTTGTTTAGTTGTTTCTATGCCTGTGAAACTCTATAAGGGTGGTGGTCAAATTTTAGTGGCTCAGGTAATCACATAAGAAACCTGTTAGAAATGCGAAGTTTCAAGACCCACCTTCAAAAATTTTTATTTAATTAAGTCTGGGCTGATGCTCCCAACCTGTGTCTTTGGTACTACAGATGATTTCAATGTAGGTAATTCATAATCCATATTTTCAGAAAATCAAAATTTAATTTTAGTTTATGGAGTTTGTGTAGGCTTGGAAATAATATTTTTGGGTTTGGGAGTTATTTGTTGCTTGTTTTATTCCTTTATGAGGTTTGGAACATTTTTATCATGTAGAAATGTCCTTTTTGATTATGAGATAACTCTTTATAAAATTGGTTTTCTCTCTCTCTCTCTCTGTCATTATTTTAAAGCTCTATAAAATTATCCAAAGAAGTTAAACACATACTATTTTGATTGCATAGAATAATAATAAAAAATAACACTGAATGTGGTAGCTGGAAAAAGGTGAAAATAATAAAATAGTTCCAGCGAAAATCTCTGTCTTTTGATTTCAAGTTGTACAGCAGTAGAAGACAAAAAAATTTCTTTTTTCAACACTCAACCTGCAAAGTCATGTCAAGTGCAACGAATTTGGAATGTCAGCACCTTGATTAACCCAGATTGTCTGAATTATAATCTCTTAAAAGTGACTTTTTAATTTATTTATTTTTTAATTTTTATTTATTTATTATTTATTTATTTATTTATTATTATTATTATACTTTTAGTTTTAGGGTACATGTGCACAATGTGCAGGTTAGTTACATATGTATACATGTGCCATGCTGGTGTGCTGCACCCATTAACTCATCATTTAGCATTAGGTATATCTCCTAAAGCCTCCCCACTCCTCCCACCCCACAACAGTCCCCAGGGTGTGATGTTCCCCTTCCTTTTCCATTCCTGTTCAAGTTCTGCTTTCCTCTCTATGTCCCAAGTTATGCATCACCTAGCTGATTTTTTTCTGTGGTTAGAAATAGGTTCAGATCCACTGTAGATACTGTAGGACTATTTAGATTTACACAGAATAGTAAGTATCATTTCTCTCCAAGAATGATTTCCATGTCCATCTGTGGAGTTTCCTCTAAAGATGAGAATTCTTCATAGTTTCTCAAACCTTGACAGGAATAAAAGTTCTAAGCATATAGTTACAAATCAGACTATGGTGGGCTAATAATGTGAGGTATGTGAACCTAGTTTGACAAAAATAACTAAAACAGCACACAGGTTTCCATGCCAGTATATGCTTCCATCATTTTCCGTAAGTTGCTATAATTACTTGGTGACCAAGTTTCATCAACTTCAGTAAGAATTGTAATATTCATTTAGGAATGAGCTCAGGCCAGGCACAGAGGCTCACATCTGTAATCCCAGTACTTTGGGAGGCCAAGGAGGGAGGATCCCTTGAGGCCAGGAGTTTGAAATCAGACTGGTCAACATAGTGAGACTCTGTCTCTACAAAAACAAAAATAAATTTTTAAAAAGTAGCTGAATGTTGTGGTATGCACCTGTGGTCCCAGGTACTTAGGAGACAGGAGCAGGAGAACGGCTTGAGCCCATGATTTTAAGGTTGCAGTGAGCTGTGATTGTGTCACTGCATGGAAGACTGGGCAAAGATAAAACAACCATAAAATAAGCTCAGATAAATTAAAAAAATAAACATTATTTAAAAAATTAATCAGAATATGTGCTTACACAAGATTTTATTTTCTTAATACTTTTAATGTGATAAGGGGATTTTCATGTATTTGCCTAAGGAGTTAAAGGCATTCCATCAAGAAAAAGTAAACTTACCATCAACTATGCTTCCTCTAAAAAATTTTACAAATTAAGTAAAATTTATTAGTGTTGGTAATTTACTAGATTTAACTCTATTTAAGTTACTCTGAATTGCTGTTTTTAGAATGTTCTGTTCTGAGAGATAGTAATCCAGAATACAATTCAACTTATTTCAATCGCTATATCAGCTCTATTTCAGCTGTTTTCAATTCATACTGAGAAAAAAAAAAAAAACAAGAATAATGGACTGAACTGAAGCATAAGTGATGTAGGTTAGATAGGGAGAAGAAGAAATTCCTGAAAATAGGATTTTAAAATCTTGGAATGTATTACAGAGGGAAGTTATGCAATCTCTCCTTGATTGAGCTGTTTAAAAATAACATATGTTTTATATCTTTCAGTCATGGGTCTAAGACTTTCTTTACCAAATAC
This sequence comes from Homo sapiens, assembly GCF_000001405.40. NCBI lineage: Eukaryota > Metazoa > Chordata > Mammalia > Primates > Hominidae > Homo > Homo sapiens. The sequence goes on from NC_000008.11 coordinate 113,565,832, forward strand.
AGATGCTCTTGAATGTGCACCCAATAACTATAGAATTCTACAATTATAAATTTAGGTTTTGCATTCAAGAGAAATGAGTTTGCCCTGTTAGCTTCTACAGTTAACTCTTTTCATGTATTATTTAATAGAAATTACTGAGTTTGCAAGTTAACAAAATTTAAGGTGAAAATATTTTATTATTTCTGATATACTTTGAATAACCAATTTAATTTTTCAAAAGAACCACTTAAGTGTTTGAATTACTAACATGGATTTTATAATTGATCATGGAGGAAACATACCTTTTGTATCTTTTTCCTCAAATGCTGTTCACTTAAGAAAGAAAGTCTCTTTTGTGATTCTTCTGAACTATAAATGATATAAATAATCTACAGAATCCTATTTAACCATTACTTTAATACCCTAATTAGAATTTTAAATAACTATAGTAAAAACAAATAATCAAGATATTTCCTCTGTTAAAAAGTATTTGTTTAAAAGATTGTCACCCTTTTGAGATTTAAAAATTTACAATAAAAATGGTGCTGGATGAGATGATCTCTAAAGTTCATTCAAGCTCCATGATTCTCTGATTATTTGAAAGTAGTGGCAGAGTCAATAATTTTATGGAGAGAATTGGGAATTTTGAATCCTCTCCCTTTGTTGTTTCAAGAAATGCACTGCTTTATATTTGAAACTTAAAAGAATAGATGAGGCATACTTTGAAAGTAGAAATCATTAATTTACTGTTCTGTTGACCAAATGAACACTATACACCTGAGTTTATCGTTTATGTAATTTAGAAACTATGGGATTTAATATTACCAAATCAAATCCCCCATTGTTAATTATTCAATGAGATACTTCTTTTTCCTCTAAGATTGTTGACATAATTAGAATTTTCTGAAAATGCACTACTTAATGATTAGCTCAAATGCCCTAGAAAGAATAATGAATTAAGCAATGTATTATTTAATAATGGAGAACTGGCTGGGTGCAGTGGCTCACACCTGTAATCCCAGCACTTTGGGAGGCCGAGACAGGCAGATCACCTGAGGTCAGGAGTTTAAGACCAGCTTGGCCAACATGGTGAAACCCCCATCTCTTCTAAAAATACAAAAATTTGCTGGGTGTGGTGGCGGGCACCTGTAATCCCAGCTACTCAGGAGGCTGAGAATTGCTAGAACCTGGGAGGCAGAGGTTGCAGTAAGCCGAGATTGTGCCACTGCACTCCAGCCTGGACGTCAGAGTGAGACTCCATCTCAAAAATAAACAAATAAATAAATAATGATAATAATAATGGAGAACCTAAATAAATATAAAGATACATCTTTATATGATAAATATGTAATAAATATAAAGATACATCATATATTTATACATATAAAGATACATTCTCTATACATCTTCATATTTATTTCCACATAAATGTGTACCTTTTTAAAAAATGTTTTTTTTCCTGCATTTATTTATTTATTTATTTATTTTTTATTATTATACTTTAAGTTTTAGGGTACAAGTGCACATTGTGCAGGTTAGTTACATACGTATACATGTGCCATGCTGGTGTGCTGCACCACTAACTCGTCATCTAGCATTAGGTATATCTCCCAGTGCTATCCCTCCCCCCTCCCTCCACCCCACAACAGTCCCCAGAGTGTGATGTTCCCCTTCCTGTGTCCATGTGTTCTCATTGTTCAATTCCCACCTATGAGTGAGAATATGCGGTGTTTGGTTTTTTGTTCTTGCGATAGTTTACTGAGAATGATGATTTCAAATTTCATCCATGTCCCTACAAAGGACATGAACTCATCATTTTTTATGGCTGCATAGTATTCCATGGTGTATATGTGCCACATTTTCTTAATCCAGTCTATCATTGTTGGATATTTGGGTTGGTTCCAAGTCTTTGCTATTGTGAATAATGCCATAATAAACATACGTGTACATGTGTCTTTATAGCAGCATGATTTATAGTCCTTTGGGTATATACCCAGTAATGGGATGGCTGGGTCAAATGGTATTTCTAGTTGTAGATCCCTCAGGAATCGCCACACTGACTTCCACAATGGTTGAACTAGTTTACACTCCCACCAACAGTGTAAAAGTGTTCCTATTTCTCCACATCCTCTCCAGCACCTGTTGTTTCCTGACTTTTTAATGATTGCCATTCTAACTGGTGTGAGATGGTATCTCATAGTGGTTTTGATTTGCATTTCTCTGATGGCCAGTGATGGATGAGCATTTTTTCATGTGTTTTTTGGCTGCATAAATGTCTTCTTTTGAGAAGTGTCTGTTCATGTCCTTCGCCCACTTTTTGATGGGGTTGTTTGTTTTTTTCTTGTAAATTTGTTTGAGTTCATTGTAGATTCTGGATATTAGCCCTTTGTCAGATGAGTAGATTGCAAAAATTTTCTCCCATTCTGTAGGTTGCCTGTTCACTCTGATGGTAGTTTCTTTTGCTGTGCAGAAGCTCTTTAGTTTAATTAGATCCCATTTGTCAATTTTGGCTTTTGTTGCCATTGCTTTTGGTGTTTTAGACATGAAGTCCTTGCCCATGCCTATGTCGTGAATGGTAATGCCTAGGTTTTCTTCTAGGGTTTTTATGGTTTTAGGTCTAACATTTAAGTCTTTAATCCATCTTGAATTGATTTTTGTATAAGGTGTAAGGAAGGGATCCAGTTTCAGCTTTCTACATATGGCTAGCCAGTTTTCCCAGCACCATTTATTAAATAGGGAATCCTTTCCCCATTGCTTGTTTTTCTCAGGTTTGTCAAAGATCAGATAGTTGTAGATATGCGGCGTTATTTCTGAGGGCTCTGTTCTGTTCCATTGATCTATATCTCTGTTTTGGTACCAGTACCATGCTGTTTTGGTTACTGTAGCCTTGTAGTATAGTTTGAAGTCAGGTAGCATGATGCCTCCAGCTTTGTTGTTTTGGCTTAGGATTGACTTGGTGATGCGGGCTCTTTTTTGGTTCCATATGAACTTTAAAGTAGTTTTTTCCAATTCTGTAAAGAAAGTCATTGGTAGCTTTATGGGGATGGCATTGAATCTGTAAATTACCTTGGGCAGTATGGCCATTTTCATGATATTTATTCTCCTACCCATGAGCATGGAATGTTCTTCCATTTGTTTGTATCCTCTTTTATTTCCTTGAGCAGCTGTTTGTAGTTCTCCTTGAAGAGGTCCTTCACATCCCTTGTAAGTTGGATTCCTAGGTATTTTATTCTCTTTGAAGCAATTGTGAATGGGAGTTCACTCATGATTTGGCTCTCTGTTTGTCTGTTGTTGGTGTATAAGAATGCTTGTGATTTTTGCACATTGATTTTGTATCCTGAGACTTTGCTGAAGTTGCTTATCAGCTTAAGGAGATTTTGGGCTGAGACAATGGGGTTTTCTAGATATACAATCATGTCCTCTGCAAACAGGGACAATTTGACTTCCTCTTTTCCTAATTGAATACCCTTTATTTCCTTCTCCTGCCTAATTGCCCTGGCCAGAACTTCCAACACTATGTTGAATAGGAGTGGTGAGAGAGGGCATCCCTGTCTTGTGCCAGTTTTCAAAGGGAATGCTTCCAGTTTTTGCCCATTTAGTATGATATTGGCTGTGGGTTTGTCATAGATAGCTCTTATTATTTTGAAATATATCCCATCAATACCTAATTTATTGAGAATTTTTAAAAAATGTTAAGAAACACATCATTAGATTAAGCCTATACGGTTAAACTGTCATTTTTAAGACATGGTTGGGATAAAGAATAAACCAAATTCATACACACACACACACACACACACACACACACACAGAAACACAAAGACAAACTGTAGTTACCAGAGGATAATAAGGTAATAAGGTGCTGGTCATACCAATTGACTTCTTGGAATACCTATGAGGTTCATTTAATTTTCTTATAAGCTTCCAAATTATGAATTATTATGTTTCAAAGTTATTTATGAATGAAAGTTTTTACATTTCAGATATATATCTTTTAGGAAAGCAATGCTGTAGATAGAGCTATGCTAACGGCTCCACCCACAATAACTAATCACTTCAAATGTAGGCATAATTGCACTACTTGTACAAAAGACAAAGGTGTAGAGACTTTTTAAAATATGAAATGTATATTTTATGAGAAGAATGATAACTCAACAATGAAATAAATTCTGGTCATATTTGATGAGCAAGGCACTGTGAGAAAGATACAAAAAATAATAGGAACTATGAGCCCCAGAAAAGGTGGTAAACAGTTCCTGCCCAGCCTTTTGTTTGTTTAGTGGCAGGACATGGTAGGATACTTACTGGGGAAAACCATGTGTGTAAGGAAAGGTATGATACACATTGCAGGAGAATGGTGCCATTTTATTTTCATTAAAATGATAGGTTTATTTTCTCACTGTATTTAAAGAGACTTTCCCATTGCTTTGTGAATTTCCTTTTCACTAGATTGTCCTCCTATCATTGCAGATGAGACAGCTCATTGGAGTTGAGAGAATGTATATTCATTGAGATCTGAGACCCTGATATACTTAGTTTTTATCATGTTGCTCTTCAAAGAAACTTAAGGTTTGTTAGAACTGATCAGAAAACTGGAAGATACCTACATACATCAGAATTCAAATGGAACCTTAAACAATCACTAAACCTCTTTCTGGTAGCCCATATGCCAGCCAGGGATGGGGTAAACTATTACTTTTAGTAACTATTTGGCCAACTTCTATGGTTATGACAGCTGGACAGGAGCCTCCGATGAGGGTAGCACCTTCTTGTTTGACTGTGAGGGTTCCTAGAAAGACTTCTTGGGGAAAAAAATAAAAACAAACAATGAGAAGGTGTTCTCTTATTTAGAGTACTATTTTAAATGTCAGCGTTCACGCATTAATTTCAACTAAGAGGTATAATACAGATTACTCAAGGACTTTTGAGAGGAGAAAAGATGCATGGAATTTACTGTTTCATGTGAATTTTTTAAACAGAATGCCATGTAGTGTTTAGGTGTTCTTAGAGTTAATAAAACTTCACATATAAATCAATTTGTAGTAGTTCTTTATATAACCTGGATGGGTACGAGTTCTTCATCAGATATATGTTTCAAACATTCCCTGTCTACGGCTTGCCTTTTCATTTTTTTATCAATGTCTTTTGATAAAAACCATTTTTAAAAATTCGGTGAAGACAAGTTAACAATTTTTCTTTCTTTTATGATCAGTGCTTTTGCATTCTGTGTAAAAAATCTTTGCCAATTCCCAGGATGAACAATTTTCTGGCCTAAGAAAGAGTATTATTTTTTCAACAGAGAAGACTTTTCTTTACCCATTGAGTTACATTTGTACCTTTGCTAAAAATTACATTTCCGTAAAATGTGTGTGTCTATTTATGAACTCTACTTTGTTCTACTGCTCTATTTGTTTATCTTTACAGGAGTACTACCAAGTTTTCATTCTGATTGTAGCATTTCAAAAAGAGTTATGAAGAAGACATTAACAAATAAAAATAAATTCCAATGTTATTTTCATCAAAAAGTAGTAATTAAAACCACAATGAGATATCATGATACACCCACCAGAAGGGCTAAAGTTAAAAGACAAACAATACAAAATGTTAGAGAGGATGGGAAACAACTGATAATTGTCGATAAAGTTTCTAAAATGTTAAACAAATACCTACCTTATGATTCAACTATTCCAATCCTAAGTAATTAAAGAGGAAAAGGCCAGGCGTGGTGGCTCATGCCTGTAATTTCAGCACTTTGGGAGGCTGAGGCAGGTGGATCACCTGAGGTCAGGAGTTGGAGCCCAGCCTGGCCAACATGGCAAAACCTCGTCTCTACTAAAAATACAAAAAAAATGAGCTGGATGTTGTGATGAATCTCAAAAGCATTGCACACAGCAAAGAAGCTATGCTAGCTGAAAACCATAGACAATGTTACCTGATTGTAATGAAGTTGAAGAACTATGTGGTGATCTGCTAGGGAAAAGACAGAAAGAGGCACGAGGGGGATTTCTAAGCAGCAAGCTATGTTCTGAACCTTGATTGGGGTTTTGGTTTCAAGGGTATATACATTTATCAAAATATTTTCCACTATTCTTTTAATATTTGTGCTTTTACTTCATTACATCTCAGTAAATACATGTATTTTTTTCTGAGATGGAGTATTTTTTTTTACTATAAAACTATTTTATATACTATCTTTTACACAACCTTTCAAGGTATGTCAACAACATTTTGAGGGATAATTAGACTTAGTTATATTTTATATATTTTAAAAACTGAGATTTTCAAATAACTTAAGTGACTCACCATATAGCACATTATGCAAGAACTCTGGCTTCTTGTCATTGCAGTCTCTGCTACAGCACACTGCGTCTCAGATTAATTCCATAGTCTAGAATATATGAGAGTAGCTCTCTGGATACAGCATACAGAGGCAATAAAAGCACGGGCTCTGAAACCATGCTGCCTTAGTATGAAACCTGGCTACTTCACTTATTAGTTGTGAGATACTGGGTCAATTATTGAGCCCTTCAATCTTTAGTTTCTTTCGTTGCAAAAAGGAAAAATCATAACTTTCTCATTTAATTACTGTGAGCATAAAAGACATGTTACTTGTAACAAGCATTTGGTACACTATCTGTCATATAATAACTGGTCATTTATATTCCTGAGTGTCATGATAATAATCATTACATTTTAAGAATTACTACTATATATTATATATTAACATATCAATGTTATTAATGTTATTAATAGTATAATTATTACTATCATGGAAGCAACTTTACAAGGGAGATGGTGGCTAAATAGCTTCACAGGAGGTGAGATTAAGATGGGAACTCAATGGAGTCCCCGTGCAACATCAGGACATCAAATTTAGGAAACTGTGAGATAAGGCAGGAACTGCACAAGCAGATAGTACCTATTGTTTATATGTGCATTTGACCATCAAAGTACAATTTTTCACCCACATAGACAGGTTGTCAGTACCACTAAGGGAACACATACTGTCCTGTCATTGTCACAGAAAGTAGCAAATTATTACCTTGATGATAGTAACGGTGAGGTTAGAGAGCAGATGTGTGATGTGACACATCCAGTTCTTTTCAAGACAAAGCACTGAAATTCTTGCAAAGATGGGGTTTACATTTTTAGTTTGGTCAACATACTTTGGACTCCATAATGGACGATGAGTAATGGCATCTTGCCATAGCTATATTGTATCCAGCTTCACAATTTTCTTGTTTTAATTAATAGGTTTTATTTTTAACAGTTTTAGATTTACAGAAAACTTGAGCACACAGTACAAGCTTCCCATATACTGACCTCCTCCCAATAGTTTCCCTTATTATTAACATCTTGAATTAATGTGGTATATTTATTATAATTAAAGAACCAATACTGATACATTATTACTCTCTAAATGCCATAGTTTACAATAGACTTACTCTTTTTGTTATATCCTTCTATGGGTTTTGATGTATAATGTAAAATATCTTCCATTACAATATCATGCAAAGTAGTTTCACTGCACTAAAAATCCCCTTTGTGTCACTTTTTACCCTAGCCCATCCCTCCCACGCAATGATAACCACTGGTCTCTATTATTTCTATAGTTTGCCTTTTCCAGAAAGCCACATAACTGGAATTATACAGTAGGTAGTCTTCTCATATCGACTTCTTTCATTTAGCAATATGTTTTTAAGATTCCTCTGGATCTTTTTGTGGCTTGACAGCTCATTCCTTATTACTGCTAAAAAATGTTCCAGTGTGTGGATGTACCACAGTTTGTTTTTCCATTCACCTCTTTATTTATTTATTTTTTTATTATACTTTAAGTTCTAGGGTACATGTGCACAATGTGAAGGTTTGTTACATATGTATACATGTGCCATGTTGGTGTGCTGCACCCATTAACTCGTCATTTACATTAGGTATATCTCCTAATGCTATCCCTCCCCTCTCACCTCACCCCATGACAGGCCCTGGTGTGTGATGTTCCCCACCCTGTGTCCAAGTGTTCTCATTGTTCAATTCCCACCTATGAGTGAGAACATGCGGTGTTTGGTTTTCTGTCCTTGTGATAGTTTGCTGAGAATGATGGTTCCTAGCTTCATCCATGTCCCTGCAAAGGACATGAACGCATCCTATTTTATGGCTGCATAGTATTCCATGGTGTGTATGTGCCACATTTTCTTAATTCAGTCTATCATTGATGGACATGTGGGTTGGTTCCAAGTCTTTGCTATTGTGAATAGTGCCACCATAAACATATGTGTGCATGTGTGTCTTTATAGCAGCATGATTTATAATCCTTTGGGTATATACCCAGTAATGGGATGGCTGGGTCAAATGGTATTTCCAGTTCTAGATCCTTGAGGAATCACCACACTGTCTTCCACAATGGTTGAACTAGTTTACGGTCCCACCAACAGTGTAAAAGTGTTCCTATTTCTCCACATCCTCTCCAGCACCTGTTGTTTCCTGAGTTTTTAATGATCGCCATTCTAACTGGTGTGAGATGGTATCTCATTGTGGTTTTGATTTGCATTTCTCTGATGGCCAGTGATGATGAGCATTTTTTCATGTGTCTGTTGGCTGCTCAATGAAATAAAAGAGGACACAAATGAATGGAAGAACATTCCATGCTCATGGATAGGAAGAATCAATATCATGAAAATGGCCATACTGCCCAAGATAATTTATAGATTCAATGCCATCCCCATCAAGCTACCAATGACTTTCTTCACAGAATTGGAAAAAACTACTTTAAAGTTCATATGGAACCAAAAAAGAGCCCGCATTGCCAAGATAATCCTAAGCCAAAAGAACAAAACTGGAGGCATCATGCTACCTGACTCCATTCGCCTCTTGAAGGGACATTTTATCTGCTTTCAGTTCTTGGCAATTATAAATAAAGTTGCTATTAGCATTCCTGTGCAGGTTATTGTGTAAACATAACTTTTCAATTGATTTGGGTAAATACCTAGGAGTCTGATTGTGGGTTTTATGGCAGCACTATGGTTAGCTTTGTAAGAAATTGCCAGATTGTCTTCCAAAGTGGTTGTATCATTTTGCATTCCCACCAGAAATAAATGAAAGTTTCTGTTTCTCCGTATTATTACTATCATTTGGTATTGTCATATTTTGGGATTTTTGCCATTCTAATAGGTATGTAGTGGCATCTCATTGTTTTAATTGGCAATTACTTATTGTCTTATGTTAATTAGTATCTTTTCATATGTTTATTTGCCATCTGTGTATCTTCTTTGGAGATAATGTGTTCATATCTTTTGGCCAGTTTAGAAATTTTGTTGTTTGTTTTATCATCACTGAGTTTTAGGAGTTCTTTGTCTATTTTGGATACAATTCCTTTATTATATATAGGATTTACAAATATTCCCTCCCAGCCTGTTTTTTTCATTCTCTCAATAGTATCTTTTTCCCAGTAGAAGTTTTAGCTTGGAATTAAGTCCAATTTATCATTTTTTTCTTTCATCAATTATGCTTTTGGTTATTTATTACTACTTTTGAGGGTTTTTCCATTTATATTTTTAATTTCAATTTTAATTGACAACAATGTGTATTTATGAGGTGCAATGTTTAGAAACATTACTTGTGTACTTTGTACACCTGTGAGTAACCAGATGTCTCCCTCATGAAAACAAGCTAAGCTCAATGAGCTGACTATTTTGAATCCTGATTTTGGACAGGGCCTTTTGGCCAAAGACTTGAAGTGATTCTCTGTTGACCAGAAGCCTGTACTTGGGATCATAAAATAAACTTCATCTCTGTGCTGTGCCTCTTGGGGTGGAAGGGGCAGGATTAAGCAGCTTCTATTGCATTTCTGTTCCTAAATTTCATTGTGTTGATTTTTTTCCCTTCCCAGTCAATGATCTTAATTATTTTCAAAAATATATATTTTTAAAATCTTTACAAATTACCTGCTTTGTTTTGGATTATTTTCTATGTCTAAACCTGCCCGGGCAGGTCTTTTCACTTGGAGGCGTGGAGGCCGGGGAGACTGACCCAGCTCACACACAGCAAATGGGTGGTGGACCTAGAAGGCACACCTGCACCCCACAAGCCTGCGTTCCTAACCACCACTCTTTGCATGTTGTTGTTTTGACTTTAGCTTCCGGCCTCAAGCCTCAGTTTCCTCCATAAAATAAAATAGTGTGAGTAAATCCAAGACAAAAAAATTATATCAAAAATTATACCAATCTAATTAGCATATTTATCACCTCACATACTTTTTTTTTACTGAGAATATTAAAATGTACTCTCTTAGCAATTTTGAAATATGCAATACATAATTATTAGTTATTGTCCCCATGCTATGTACTAGATCTTGAAATTTATCCTTCCTTATTCCTATCTAACTGAAACTTGGCATTCTATTTCTTCATTTTTTGCTTCCCTTCCACCCCTAGCCACTGGCAACCACCATAATGTTCTCTACTTCTATAGGTTCCATTGTATTAAATTTCACATATAAGTAAGATTATATACTTATCTTTCTGTGCCTGGCTTATTTCACTTAGCAAAATGTCTTCCAGGTTCACATATGTTGTCACAAATGGCAAGTTTTCTTTATTAAAAACTAAATAGTATTCCATTATATATATATATGTTTCTCAACTATTCATCTGTTGGCGGACATAGTTTGATTTCACATCTTGGCAATTGTGACTAATGATGCAAATAAACAGGGGAGTGCAGACATTTCTTCAACATACTGATTTCTATGGTCTCCTAGACTTTCTCCTATGTTATCTCCTAAAAGTTTTATAATTTTGAATTTTGAATTTTTGTCTTTAATGTACTTTGGGTTAATTTTGGTGCAAAGTATAAGATCTGTAGTTAGATTCTTAATTTTTATATTTGATTTTAAATATGAATGGCTAGTTTTTCCAGCACTATTTGCTGGAAAGACTATCTTTTCTGCATTTAATTGCTTTTGTTCCTTGGTCAATGATATGGTTTGGCTCAAATATCATTTTGAAGTTTAGTTCTGATAATCTGTATGTGTCATGAGAGGGACCCTGTGGGAGGCAATTGAATCATGGGGTCAGTTACCATCATGTTCTCATGATAGTGAGTGAATTTTCATGAGCTCTGATGGTTTTATAAGGGGCTTTTCCCCCTTTGCTCAGCACTTCTTCTTCCTTCTTCCTGCCACCATGTGAAAAAGGACATAATTTGCTTTCCCTTTAGCTATGATTGTAAGTTTCCCCTCCAGCCCTGTGGAACTGTGAGTCAATTAAACCTCTTTCCTTTATAAATTACTCGGTCTTTATAGCAGCATGAGAATGGACTATTAAAGTCTAAATCAGTTGATTATATTTTGTAAGTGAGAGATATGGTTTGTATTTGTGTCTCTGCCCAAATCTCATGTCAAATTGTAATTCCCATCGTTGGAGGAGGGGCTTTGTGGAAGGTGATTGGATCATGGGGGTGGATTTCCCACTTGATGTTCTCGTGATAGTGAGTTAATTATCACAAGATCTGGTTGTTTTAAAAATGTGTAGCATTTCCCCCTTCACTCTCTCTTTCTCCTGCTCCAGTCATGTAAGATGTGCCTCCTTCCCCTTCATCTTGTAAGTTTGCTGAGGCCTCCCTAGCCATGCTTCCTGTACTGCCTGTGGAACTGTGAGTCAATTAAACCTCTTTTCTTTGTAAACTACCCAGTCTCAGGTAGTTCTTTATAGTGATGTGAGAACAGACAAATACAGTAGGTGTATTTTGGGGTTCTCTGTTTTGTTTCATTAACTGGTTTGTCCGTAAGTCTTAAATTTCATAGTGTCAGTCCTGTAAATTTGTTCTTCTGCTTCAGTTATATATTTAATGTTATGGGCTTTAGACTTTTCATATAATTATTTTTCCAATGATAACTACTTGATTGTACTATGTTTTAAGATTTTGCAATATAAATATTCGTTGAATAATGATTAAAAGAGATTGTTTTTGTCATCAAAATAACTTGCTGGGATTTTACTGGGATTGCATTAAATCTGTAGATCATGTGAGAATAATTGATATTTTAACAATATTGAATCTTTCTATCCATGAACATGGAATATCTGTCCATTTATTTATATCTTCTTTGATTTCTTTTATCTTAATTTTATAGTTTTATCCATTTGATACCATACATATTTTGTTCGATTTATACCTAATTATTTCTTTTTTTTTTTTTTTTTTTTGAGAAGGAGTCTGGCTCTGTCGCCCAGGCTGGAGTGCAGTGGCGCAGTCTCTGCTCACCACAAGCTCGGCCTCCTGGGTTCATGCCATTCTCCTGCCTCAGGCTCCTGAGTAGCTGGGATTACAGGTGCCCGCCACCATGCCCAGCTAATTTTCGTATTTTTAGTAGAGATGGGGTTTCATTGTGTTAGCCAGGATGGTCTCAATCTCCTGACCTCGTGATCCACCCGCCTCGGCCTCCCAAAGTGCTGGGATTACAGGCATGAGTCACGGTGCCCTGACTAATTATTTCATTTTTAAGGTGCTTGTCAAATCAGTCTCATAAGAATCAGAAATCTTACACAGCACTCTACTTTGCTAATTCGTATGTTACCAATGATAGGTTATGGATAATTGAAAGATAGGTGAACCTGAAGTAATATCAACCATTTTCACAAATACACCCTTGTTTCATTAAAGCAGCATGTTGGTCCAGATTTATCATGTACATTTTTAGGTGGTGCACGTGGTGTATCATTTAGCTCATGGAAGCAATTTAGGTAATGAAGATCAACATTTTATACTACACTGATTTATATATTAAGGGACATTTTCCAGAGTTTCATCCCTTGTAAATCAATAAATTCTCAGTTTGTCTACAAAAAAAAAACATGGACACTAAGAAAATCATGCTAAAAGTAATTCATAAATAAGAACTTCATTTTATCTTTCATTAGTAATTATCATCAGGAAGAAATTGAATGCTATTTCTTTTTCTCCTCTGGGGAAAGAGTTTGGATTATAGGTAAGTTGCTAGCCCTTTTCTTCACTGGGGTGTTTGTGTGTGAGGGGAGTTTAGGAACTGGGGGAATGAGGAAGAGGAAGACAGCAAGAGCATCTGAGAAATTTTTAAACTCCAATAAATATAAGATTTACCTAGTTTAAGAACATCATATTAACTATACACATTTTCTTTGTATTTTTTCCTAGATGAGATACTATATTTTTCTATTTACAAGTTGGTGCTACTGATTATTTTTAAGGACCTAATAGCCTCCTTTTATTTTTCCAAAAATATTGATTGATTATGGTATAATGAATGAATTATTAGTTTTAGAGTAAGGCTAAACTTACCCTACCACTTTTTAAAAACTATCGGAATCTGGTAGTTTCTAGCTGTATGAATCTAACCTATACAACATTTTGTTATTTTACTTATGAAGTGGATATTATTAGGCCTTCCTTTTTATTATTTCATTGATTAAAGATTATATTAAATACACAGAATAGGGATGGGTACATCTTAAGCATGACCATTGTTACAATTATTATCCATATTACATTCTTCCTTAACTGTGTTAAATAAAATAAAATAAGTAAAGTAAATTTGGGTTCTTCTTATTTTAAACTGTGTAATAGTATGATCAAGTTAATGTTCTAAAGTTATTCTCCAAAAATTATCCCACTAAAAGCTATTTCTTCTTAAAAACTGTTCAGTCAGTACAGAATACTAGGCCAGTATAATAACATTAGAACTAGAAGACCTGAGAAGAAAAAGATTAAATATAGAGTCCATATTAAATAAGTTTTAGTGGTAGGTATATTATACTAGTGTTCTTAGGCTTTCACAACACTGGCATACTCTCTGAATAATACATGTAAATAATTATTTTGATCAGGTAGAAAATAAGAATGAAATAATATCTTTACCCATCTTAAGGGTCAGATTGAGTGAATACTGAGAAATAAAAATTCAATAGAGGATTTTGCTCTGTAATAGTAAAATAGTCACTAATTAGATAAGTATTAAGTTCTACCAATATAGAAGTTAAAAATTGGGATACTTGAGGCTCAATTTTTTCCATGGGCTGCATTTTTTATTAGTAATCATCAAGCCTTTATGGAAAAGGTATACATTGTAATGTATCCCTGGATGTACATTAAAATCACCTGGAGAACTTTTTAAAACACCATTGCTAAGTCCCCAATCAAACCTATTAAGTGAGAATCTTTGATAGTGAAACTTGGACCTTAAGGCTTCAGAATTTTAAAATGAACCCAAGTGATTCCAACAAAGAGCCATGTTTGAGAGCCAATGACCTAGTGGCAAATTCACTGACAAACTAATAGTTCTAAAAATAACCAGATAATATTAAAAGGTTTTTTTTTCATAATTATTACTGGAAAAAATGGAGTCACACTAGAACTTCAATATTTGATTGAAAATCAACAATTAATAAATGTAGGAAACATATAATTTGGGCTAGGTATCTACAAATCATAGACAGGATCTTTATATTGGATTGGTAGTTATGTGGTTATTGCCCCAAATAAGTTTAAGCAAAGTTGTCATTTTCTAAGATTTATAAAATTTCTCATTCTTCAAACTATGTAAGTTTTTAGGCTATGCTAGCAAAAATGCAAGGATACTCTCTAGTGAAACAAACCTTAAACTTTTGACTCATGATCCCAGGAGCTCTGAATTTGTATAGGCTGACAGGACATGTAACATTTTCACTAAGTCACATAATAAAGATTATGTGATTGTCCTTTACAAAAGTATGTCCTTTTCATACTTTTGAAAAGGACAGTCACATAATTTTTTTTCACTATATAAAAACAACAAGCCCTTGTGGGAGCTGAAATCATGAATATGATACTTTAAACAATAGAAATACTAAGCCAAAAGTAAGGAAGAAAAGAAGACATTGGTATTAGTTATAATGTTATTTGAAAAAAAAGCTTGGGAGGTTTGTGTGAAAAAGAATTTTCTACAAAAGTCGGGTACCCTTGAAATGTACACTGATAGAAGAAATCCAAGACATTGAAATTTAGTGTATTCCACTAAAACTGTGTCCTTTCATACTAAAAATTTGCTTCTGAAAAAAGGTGTTCGAATTTCATATTCTAGCAGTTTACTTTTAACTTTTTTACAAGCTGATTTTCAAACATGACTATTGCATTTTCTTAATGTTAAAATCTGCATTATAAAAGCTTGGGATTGGACTATATTCTAACAAAATAACTAAAATTATACCATGGTAAGCATGTATTTGCATAATTCCTATAAGCAGGCTTCAGAATTAAAAGCTTAAGAATAATATTTTGGCAAAACATTAGACAATTTTTGAGGTCAAAAACAACAAAAAATGAATCTTTATTCCATTACTGAAAAGAAAAACTTTTAAATAAAAGGTAACAAAAGTTTGTAGAACTTAGTGTAGGCTGGAAATGCAGGCTAAAACCCAACACTAACATCGAAGAGGCAGCACATGAAAAAGAAATTGGAATCATCATAAAGTTTTTAAACAAGAACATCTGGTGATAATGTCATCAATAGGATCCCCACCTTTTTTTTTTTTTTTTTTTTTTTTTTGAGATGGAGTCTTGCTCTGTCACCCAGGCTGGGGGTGCAGTGGCACAATCTTGGCTCAATGAAACCTCCACCTCTGAGGTTCATGCAATTCTCCTGTCTCAGCCTCCCTAGTAGCTGGAATTACAGGTGCATGCCACCACGCCTGGCTAATTTTTGTATTTTTAGTAGAGATGGGGTTTCAATACGTTGGCCAGGCTGGCTTCGAACTCCTGACCTCAAGTGATCTGCTCTCCTCAAAAAATGTTGGGATTGTACGTGTGAGCCACCACTCCCTGCCTCTGCAACCATTTTGAAGCTCAAGATTTGAACTGTAAGGGAGGATTTTGCCTAGGTCACATTATATACCTGTTTCTTTACTTGCCCAATAGGGAAAACGTAGTTTCTCTAAACAGGTAATTTGGGTGATATTAGAAATGGATGCTGCATATCCAGAAATAGGCATATGCTCTCTATTGAAAAGAAAACAAAAATTATCTGTGCCAAGAATTGCAAACTTGAAAAATTTTCTTTAATGCCAGGTTTGTGCAACATGGTGTAATACTATGTCTCCCTCGTGTATGTATGCATTAATATTTATTTTTAAATTTTCTTTAAAAATAAGAAGGAAAACAGCTTTTTAGAAGTGTTAACTTATTAGGCCAAGAGATGAAGTTTTTTTTTACTATAGGTATCACACATTGTAATAATTGTGTGCTAAGAACATCGTAGATGAGCATTATTGAAACTGAAATCTGAATGTAACAAGGTCTGTGTTTTCACAGAACTCTTGATCAAGTAGGATTATAAGTATCTACTGAGCTAAGAATCCAATTATGCTAGATTCTAAGCCAATGCTCTTTTTCAGTTGAAATTTTGAGAGCACATTTGATTTCCAATTTCCATTATAAAGTGTCAAGCAGACACTTGTATTTTTTGCAAGCCATAAATGCTGCAGACAGGCCATGTGAGGATAATACAAAATGGAAACTTGGGCTATTTTACTCTTGAAATATTTTATCTGCTTCCATGTATTGCACATGATCCCCATGCTCTTTGAATTGGAAAGTACTTTAAAAATATATCTTATTGATATCCCATTGGTAATTAAAACAATCAATAAACAAACAACTGTTCTTTATTGCATGGTATATAATAAAACAGGTTTTATGTCAGAAATAACATGTTACGATTTGTTATAAATATTACAATATACATTTCCTTTTATTATAATATTTAATTATATTTTATATTCATGCTAAAAATATTTGGTTGTTTTCACAGAGCCATTCTTCTCTTTCTTTACTTGCTAATAGGTCTCCAATAGTGTTTGTAGAGTAAAGTACCCAGACCAAGGGCTTGAATTAATTTGAGTTAAATTCTTTAATGATATTCTCATTCTCTTTTTCCAATGACAGTTCTCAGGTGGTATATGATATAGTTCTGGCCAAATATACATAGAAATATCTGTTTAATGCTTATGGGCAAAATGTTATTATCTGATAAGAGAAAGGGGATTAAGAACTCTGTCTTTTTCTGTGGATAGTGTGTTGTAAGGGGTTAATGCTTTAGTTGCTACATTATATTGAGGCCAAGAAACAGAGAAATGTCTGCTTCTAGCCTTTATGAATTATGCAACAAATATCAGAATAAGTTGTGTGTTCTGTTACCTGCAGTCAAAACATTTCCAACTTATGCACTAGAAATGTATTAGCTTGTTTTCCATTTAACAAGTGAGAAACATGGTACCTTAAATTATATAAGGAAAAAATACATTTTGTTGATAAACACTCAAAAATTATTTATAATATCATTTACTTGAGTTATAGTTTTAAAATAGATCAGAAATTATCTTGGAGTTGCTCTATCAAAAATGGAATAAATATTGAAAAACTATTGGTATAATACATTTTGTATTTGTTGTTAAAACTTGAAGAAAAGGGATTTTGAGTAGCTATTGGCAGTTTACAAAATACAAATTGTAGCACACTTTAAGCTTGCATTATCTTCAGCACTTGAATAGCACATTTGTAAGTTTCATTTTAACATTAATTTTAACTTGTTAGAAACATTGTCATGCTTACTATAACTTAAAGTTATAACTCAGTTAAAGAAAAAAAATTTAAAATCAATCATATATACTTAATTAATGGTGTATAAAAATTTCCGAGGGATATTGAATATTCATGACAAAAACTCAAGCAATATCAACACAAAGCATACAAATCCAACTTGAAAAATGTACTAATTTCTCCCCATCTTCCAGAAAACTTGACTAGACCCTTGGATACACAAAAATCTTATGAAATAATTTATTTCTGTATTCTGTGGAACACTAATTCTGAAAGGTTCAATACGTAGTTAATAAAATTCAAGTATTCTATAGTTGTAAAACCTTCCCTTCACACAGAATAACTACTAACACATCAAGGGTGCCATTTTTTACACATAGATCTGGGAAAACTAGCTTAAAAACACATGGATATTTAAAAAATAAGTATATTTAGGGGCATGTAGTATAGTACATATAAAAATATCCACACCACAGACAAGGTAGTATAGTGTGTGAACTATCTCTCAAACTGGAACCAGTTTTGCCACTTTCTAGATCTGTGACCTTGGGTAAGTTATGTAATTTCAATGGTTACTTTATCCATAAGATGGAAATAATAGTCATTGTTGCTCAGAATCTTTGTAAACATTAGAAAAGTTATTATGCCAAAAGCTCTTAGAAAAGTGCCTGATAGATAGTAAATACTGTATACATGTATCTCTTATGATTTGACTTCTATATTTTCTCTGTAATCATCGGAGAGTTCTCTGAATTCTACTGATATGTTTGGAAGCACCTTAACATCATGGTTATCAGTATGATGTACAACTTTTGAATATTCTAGATTTCCTTTTTTTATTAGTAATATGAGCTGTCAACTTCCTGAAATTCCAATGAGATTTGAATAGTTGATTTTTTCAACTCTTCCATTTTTTTTTAAAGAAATCAACGTTATTGTATTTCTATTAAGTATAATCCATTTGTAGAATACTGGCATAATCTCTTCACTGTAGAATGGGTCATTTACAGATTTCTGCGTTTTATTGATCTTGTTAGTAAGAACTTTATGCCTACATATTATTAAGAACATTTCTATTATCATTGTCCCTTTTAATTTTGGTAAAATGCAATGATAATGCCTTACCCTCAAAGTATTTTATTTCTTTTTCCCCAGGAAATAATAACTATGCAGCTTATTTAATCAGAAAATGCTACTGGAGACTTCCACATGTGTAGAGATACCACAACTTGTAATCTAAGAAATTATTAAAAGCTCAGCTTGACAACAATTGATGTAACTATTTTAGAGAAGCTACAATACTCACATTAATCTGCTCAGTTCATATACAAAGTTGAAATTTCAGAGAAATAAACAGTAACTCCTATTACGAAATATCCATGCGATCGTATTGCAATTCATTTTACTAAATCTAGGGTTAAGCCAAGTTCAATTTGCTTAACAGTATCCACCAGAATAAATGCAAAATAACTGCCTGCTTAAAACGTTAGTTTAATTAACATAATCCCACTCTTTTTCATATAGAGTTATGTTATAAATGTGAAAAATAGACATGTAAAACAAAGAAGTTCCTCCAAGTTATACTTATTTTTTCAATACATATGCACTTTTAAGCTAGTTTTCCCATATCTATGTGTAGCAAATGGCACTCATGATGTATTAATAGTTATTCTGTATGTGAGGGGAAATTTTTATGACTACAGAACACTTTAATTTTATAAACGACCTATTGACAACTTTCAGAATTAGTGTTTCTTTGAACACAATTTGTTAAATGCTCTTGTAATTCTTATTCACTAACAGATACTGCTAAAGCATGAAATCAAAGAAACCCAAGCCATCTTAATACTAAACTCAATTTTATTTTGTCTAAAAATCATTCTCTTTCATGTAAGCACATCTACAGCATTTATAAATATTATCATTTTTGTATTCATAAACATAAAATATGTGTGAAGAATTCATTGCCTATACCAAAAACAAAGTTAAGGCATATAAAATTGAATTATGATCAGAAAAAATAACACTTCACTGAGTTAATTCTAAATTTTACTTATTATTTATTAATAGCTATGTCATTCTGTATAAAAGGCAAACAAACAAAGAAAAAATACCTAGTAGTATGTCTGGAGTAATAAATTTGTTTAGAATATTGTATTAAGCTGTTTTCGCATTGTGGTAAGAATGAAATACTTGAGACTAGGTAATTAATGAGGAAGGAAGTTTAATTGGCTCACTGTTCTGCAGTGCATATGGGAAACACAGCACAGGCATTTGCTTCGCTTCTGGGGAGACCTCAGGGAGCTTACAATCATGGCAGAAGGGGCAGGGGAAGCAGGTGTCTCACATGGCACAGTAGGAGTGAGAGAGAATAAGGAGGAGGTTCCACACACTTTTAAATAACCAGATCTTTGGAGAACTCACTATCGTGAAGACAGCACAAAGCCATGAGGGATCTGCCCCGGAGATCCGAATGCCTCCCATGAGGACCCACCTCCAGAATTGGGGATTACAATTCAACATGAGATTCGAGTGGGGACAAATATCCAAACTATATCAATATATTATCTGAAGAAATAGTAACTTTCAATAAATAATACCATTAACTATAAATAGTATACAAAAATGCTCATTAATAAAAGCAACAATGAATTGTCATCATCAAATGAAGTTAAAGATGAACATTCTCTATTCTTCTTCCTATTCATAGTTTCCGGCTACTCAATGTGGTTTGACATATATAGATTTTTTTTATTACGAGATAATAAAATCACGTAGATTTTTATTATTTTTAGAAATAATCCCCAGATTTCTGATGTAATCCATAACATACAGATTTAACCTTTAAAATCTGAAAAGCACATGCTTTGATTTTAGCTGGAAACATTAAATATTTTGAGATTCTGCTAAATGACATCAAAAGAACTTAGTGAAATTTAAAGACTATATAAAATCAGACTATTTCCTTCAAGATTTTTTTTTTTTTCCTGAAACAGAATCTCGCTCTATCGCCCTAGCTGGAATGCAGTGGCCTGATCATGGCTAACTGCAGCCTTGACCTCCAGGGCTCAGTTGATCCTCCCACCTCAGCCTCCTGAGTAGCTGGCATGCACCACTGTGCCAATTTTTTGTATTTTCTATAGAGACGGAGTTTTGCCATGGTACCCAGGCTGGTCTCCAACTCCTGGTCTCAGGTCATCTACCCGCCATGGCCTCCCAAAGTCCTGGAATTAGAGGTGTGAGCCACAGTGCCTGGCCTTCTCTAAGATATTTAATATTCTCAAACTCCTCTCCACTTCTTTGCGCCAAAATCTTCTGACAGCGAGAGAGTTAGAAACCTTTAGTGACTCTAATTTCAGTCAGTCTGGGAAGTCCTTTGTCATGAAGCACAAACAGCTAACATTATCTTCAAATTTACCAGATGTTGGGTGTTTTGTAGACATAATTCAAAAATTACATTTTTGTTTTTGGTATTTTGAGCCTTAATTATTAATTTTATAGTTTATAAGTGTATTTATTCACAATAGGCATAAAAGTGTATATAAACTGCAAAATATGATTGATTTTTTAAAATGTTTAAACTCTTTCCAAGGAATCTATGAGGGCTGTGTTATAAGTATTTGATTACAATACTGTATTTCTGGTGCATCTATTTGTCCAACAAAAATTTACTGAATTTTTAATGTATGCCAGTGACTGTTCTGAGAATATGGCACTAAACAACACAAAATTCCTACTCTCATAAAACTTCCATTCTAGTGCAGAGAATGGAAAAGAAAGAAATGAAGTTGAGCAGCGACAAATGTTATCAGGTTTCACTGTACCATATGGTACAAATTCACAAAATTCAAGTAAAATTATAAATCCAGTTCCTCTGTCATGCTGGTCACATTTCAAATGCTCAGTACTTACAGAGGACTATTGAGGATCCTATTAGAGAAATTGGATATAGAACATTTTTGTCTTCAAAAAGAGTTCAGTTGGCAAGAACACAAATATTTTAAAAAATAAAGCAGGAAGTCATGATTGTGGGCTACAAAAAAAATAAGATGATATTTTGTTAACTGGTAGTAGGAGGCAACTCAGGGACATCCCCTTACAGGAAGGACATTGGAGCATAATTGAGTGAACTGGGGGAGTGAGCCATGTGAATATATGAAAGGAGGGCTCTCCATTCAGGAAGTGTCCCTCTATATATCTTTCAGTAATTATAAAGGTTTGTGATTTACAATTTCTCAGTAACAATTATAATGGTTCTAAACAACCGTCTCATCCAATTGCAGAAATCTAAAAATGTGGAAAACTATGTAAGATCCTAAGAATTCCTTAGAGACATTATAATAACATTTTCAGCTTTAGAAATGGATGAGTTACAACATGAATGTATTAGTGTTAATTTAAATTAATTTCAGCTTTATTATTATTCTTGTTTGGGTATGTTAACATTCATAAAAGATGTACCATGCCAAATCAAATCTATAAATCCAAAGGATGTAGTGAAACTAATCAGAATTACAAGTGGCTACAAATTTCTCACGTTTTTCATGGTTTGGCTTTGTATCTAAAGTGATATATTTCTTCACTTCTACTCATTTTTAAGACATTATAAATATCTTGGTAAATGCATGTCAAGCAATTCAGATATATTTAAGACCACAACACCTAACCTCATGAATTATTCTAGAAGAATTATAACAGAAACCTAGAAAAGGAAAGATAACTATCAAAGATGTAGAAAAGTCATAGATTATGACAAATTAAAAGGAGTCAAAATAAGACCTTTATTTGATAGATGGTAGAATACAGTATTATTGTTACTAACAACGTTGTGAAGTTCGGGGGCAAATCACAGTGTGCAAAGTGATGTGATGAACAGATTGCTTCCCCCATTGGTTTTTGACAGGAGGAGAAATGTAAGTAGGTTTATAACATTTTGTGTGGCTATTCCTCAGAGACCTGATGACAGAAACATCATTTGACCCAGCGATCCCACTTCTGGGTATATACCCAAAGGGATGTAAATCATTCTGTTATGAAGATACATGCACACGTATGTTCATTGTAGCACTGTTCACAATAGCAAAGATTTGGAATCAACCTAAATGCCCATCAATGATAGACTGGGTAAAGAAAATGTGGTACATATATACCATGGAATACTAGGCAGCCATAAGACAGAATGAGATCACATCCTTTGCAGGGGCATGGATGGAGCTGGAGGCCATTATCCTTTGCAAACTAACATAGGAAGAGAAAACCAAATACCGCATGTTCTAAGTGGGAGCTAAGTGGTAACACACGGACAGAAAAGCAAATACTGCATGTTCTCACAAGTGGGAGTTACATGATGAGAACACATGGACACATAGAGGGAAACAACACACACTGGGGCCTATTGGAGGGTTGAGATGGGGAGAAAGGAGAGGATAAGGGAAAAATAAGGGGTACTAGGATTAATACCTGGGTGATTAACATTAGTTAATTATTAGTTAAATAATTAGTTAACAAATTATCGTGTAGCAAATCCCCATGATACACATTTACCTATGTAACAAACTTGCACATCCTGCACATGTATCCCTGAAGTTAAAAGTTATTTAAAATAATTTTTCTATGGTGCCATATCTACTAACCAAAATATTAGATCAGAATTTTCTGAAGTGATTAAACATTAACCAGATACTACATGGCTACTTAAAATTTATTTGCTTGAATTGCAAACTTTACATTTTAATATGGCAAGAATAATTTTGAAGTGTATTTATCTTGACATTTTAACATTTAGTCTTATCACTATACTTGAAGTTTATTATACCCAAATATCACTTTTATCGATTTTTTCACTAGCATGTGAAATAGATTTTGACAGAACCTTTCATTAGGATAAGTCAATGCTATTTAAAAGCACTGATTATAACTATGCAGTCATTTGCTATCTGCTTTTGGATGTAATGTTACTTCTTTCCCTTTATATATATATGTATTTTATAAACTTATTTGTATATTTTTAATATTCTAATCAAAGGATATAAAATGACTTCTACCTTCATGTTATTTGGAGGGTCGTCCAAAACTTTCAGTTACTTAAAAAAGTGATAAAATTTATTTCTTATATAATTTCAGAGCTCACTTAAACATTTTATATACCTTGGGTTAGTTCCTTAGAGTCTTAACTAAGGATAGCATCTTCTGCATACACTAGAAAATATATCTATTGACTTTTCATGAGTTACTTAATCTCACAAACATTTTAATTATTTATGTATTGCTCAGTATTTACTGTAGTTATTGAAGAAATATAAAATATGCATATTCCATAACCTTGGGACTTTAGAGAAAGTTACAGTGTTATTGGGGAGGCCAGAAAAGATGGTAGATGGTTGGGAATAGTTCATGGGAGAGTGAGGAGTTGACTTAAAAATATATATATACGTACACATATACATATACATCTGTATATATGTACACATATGTGTACACACATGCGCACACATATGTGTACATATATGCGCACACATATGCGTACATACACATGTGTACACATGTGCGTGTGTGCATATGTGTGCGCATATGTGTGCATAAATGCGCGTATATATGTGTGCATATATGTGTGCATATACGTGCACACATACGTATATGTGTACATATATATGTACATATACATATATGTGTGCACATATACGTATATGTGTACGTATATGTACATATACGTATATGTGTACACATACGCATATGTGTACGTATATGTACATATACGTATATGTGTACACATACGTATATGTGTACGTATATGTACATATACATATATGTGTACACATATACGTATATGTGTACGTATATGTACGTATACATATATGTGTACACATATATATGTACATATATACGTACATATACATATATATATTTTGAGATGTAGTTTCACTCTTGTTGCCCAGGCTGGAGTGCAATGGCGTGATCTCTGCTCACTGCAACTTCTCTTTCCCGGGTTCAGGCGATTTTCCTGCCTCAGCCTCCCAAGTAGCTGGGATTACAGGCATGTGCCACCACGCCCGGCTAATTTTTGTATTTTTAGTAGAGACGGGGTTTTTCCATGTTGGTCAGGCTGGTCTCAAACTCACGACCTCAGATGATCCTCCTGCTTTGGCCTCCCAAAGTGCTGGGATCACAAGCGTGAGCCACCGCACACAGCCGACTTAAATCTTAAGGATGACTATGTACTAGAGGCAGAGTTTAGATGAGGACCAGATCTTAGACAAAGTTATTACTTTTTCAGTAAATTTCAATGTTTAGGATTGAAATTTAATAATTGTGCATAATGTATAAACACATGCAAAAGCCCTTACATTAAAAATTTTGTTTTCATTTTAATTACTGTATGAATTGGGAGCATCTGAAAAACAGAAATTTTGTTGTTTCACAACAACTAACGGAATGCTTAGCACGCATTGGATTCTGACTAAATTTTGATTGAATCATAAATTAATAATTAATGAGAAAGATTAAATAAATAAATAAATAATACTCTCCAATAGTTATATGTTAGGTTCATATTAGCTTTAGTATATTAATATAGACACATAATTTTGAGTACTGCAAGGCAAAGTCTTCCACTCTTTGGGTAGAGAAAAATGATTTATTTTTGACTTTTTAATTGGATTCTTAATTCCTAGTTTCCCTGTATAAATTTTGTGAGCTCAGAATACAATAGCTTATCTGATAAGATGAGAACGATGAAAACCAGGGCAACACTGCGAAATACTGGTTACAAATTTAACCTACAGCCGTAGTTTCCGGCTCTTTTTCTCTATGTATCTAGATACCTAGTGCAGTGGTCCCTGATGATAGTTCAACTTAATGATTTTTCAGTTTTACAACGATGGCAAAGAGATATGCATTCAGTATAAACTGTACTTTGAGTACGCATACAACCATTCTATTTTTCATTTTCAGTAAGTATTCAATAAATTACATGAGACAGTCGACACATTTTAATGAAATAGGCTTTGTTTTATATGAATTTGCCTAACTTGTAGGCTAATTTAAATAGTGTGAGCATGTATAAAGTACGTTAAGCTAGGCTATGATGTTGGATAGATGAGGTTTATTAAATGCCTTTCAACTTACGACATTTTAAACTCATGATAGGCTTATTGGTATGTCATCCCATCATAAGACAAGGAGGATATATACTCCTCTTTTCTGTTTTTGTTAAAATCCTGCCCTTAAATTTGAACACGTAACATATCCAGGTTAATCATCTGCTGCATGTTGTACTGCATTGAACTTGCTCTCCTCTGAAAACTGCCTTGGGACTGACACTTCCATGGTACAAAGCAGATAAGTATTTTTAAAAATTATCCATATTTATGAAGGCAAGATAATTAAAAAGCTACATATGCTAGGTAGTTACATTAGATTAGGACCTGGGCTATATGCATATATTATATCTTATAACCCCCCTTTAACTCTTGAGTAGATCCTCCATCACACTATTTCGTACTCCTCTAGGTACAGTGATTCTTCAGGAGTTAGCATGCTACCCAGCAGTCTAATTATAAGGATTCTTATAACAACTATTGCTGAGGCTTCAAGTAAAGGAGCATTCTCTTCCTATTGCACCTGGAGATGTGAACAGAAAGATTGTTAGTGCTGTAGCAACTATGCCCCATGAGGGGTTATGTTAGATACCACAATCAGTATACAGGAAGGTAGTATGAGACAAGAAGAGCTAAAGGCCCTGGTGAAGGCCTTGTGAAATTATTTGACTCCTTAATTAAGTGTATTTAAGTCAACCTCACCAAACCCTATTCAGTTCTGTGAGGGAATAAACTTCCTACATTTTTAAGCCACTTTGAGCTCAATTTTGTATCATTTTAACAAGGTTGGACCAGATTGAGACAAATAGTAAATGTGGAAGTCTTTCCCAAACCCAGTGTATCTGACCACTAACTCTATATTCTGTCTACTACCTGACACTGAGAGTTTCAGGCTGTCTGTTGCTGATGCTCTACATTAACTCCAAATTCCCTTCTTCCCATTTTAAATTCTGCTTTTCTTGTATGCCCTCCCACCACCAAAATTGTCCAAATATCTTTCTATCTTTTCTGTTCCTAATTTGCTTTGTTTGTGTCTAAATTGTCTGCCCAATTTATGACCTAAAACTTACTTTCTTTCTTTGAAATTTGAATATCTCAGTGCTTTTTTTGAATATGCTCCCTGGAATGATCTGCTCTAATGATATCTGGGACTTCTTTGTTTTTTGACTCCAGACTGGGTTTCCAGTGTTTCTCATTTGCCCTGCTTCCAATTTTGACTTCTGTTTCCCCATTGCCTGTCTATTTAGCTTCCAAACTTTTCCTTCAGCATGAGATCAAGTAAATTTCTTATATGGTATTATACTGTCAGTTTGATTACATTTCCATCACATTCTGTTTACCTTCAGCTTCATGATAGTGTTATAGCCTCAACTAGTTTCAGTCCTCATCACTATAAGTCAGTTCACAAAAGGTCCTTTGCTGCTGACTCACTGCTATTCAAAATACTGAACTCAAGTATGTTCTGTTTTAAATCAACAATTCAATTGATTCTATAGTTCATACTGCAGCCAGAGAAAAATAACATCAAATTGTCTATTGAGCTTCTGGGTGTTATGGTGGTCAATTAGGGTAAAGATCCAAACTGAAAGTAACAATCAAGCTTTTATTCACTTACCACAACAGTGAAAGCAAGAGGTCAATAAGAAAGGCACTGGCTCACCAGTGTTCTCTTTGCCTCCATGGAATGGCACCAGGTGTGGACAAATGATACAGTAGAGAGAAGTCAATTATCTCACCTCTGAAGACCCTGAACAAAAGCTCCTGACTTTTTATGAACCCTGGAGGTAGAAGAAAGGAAGAGAATGGGCTAGAAGTGGAAAAGTACAAAGTCGGAGTGGAGATGAGTGCATCAGCTTACTCCCTTGATTAGGAGGCTTCTGAATAGAGGTGCCTAGACGGGGAATGCAAATATGTGTATGAACTTGGCTGGCTCAGAAGGCAACATTTTTATTGCAACTCTCTCTAGAAAGCTCCAATGTGCTGACTATATACCAAATCTCATGTGTGGAGTACAGTTTCCCCCATAAGGATTGGAAGGCAAAGACTTGTAATTGCCTATGTTTGGTCCTGAAAGATAACACATAGGATTTCAGCCTAGAACTGGACTCATTATTGTCTCTTAGCTAACTCTTACTTAAACATCCAGTATGGAGTACTAGTATTTGTGAACAGTTGTTTCAAAAAAGTTTCTTTGAAAAATCATTCATTTCCTGAGACGCTCTTATATGTATTTTCAGATGAAGACTGCCAAAATACAATCATATTGTATTACAATACAGTAACCACACTAGACTATAATAACTGCACACTATTCTGCCTTTCATAGAATGCTTGCTCTGAAGTTTTTAGTCACAAACATTTTCATTGATTAGCACTACTACCTGGGAGGAAAAAAATAATGGGAAAGTCTTGTTTGCATTTAACTCTATATCCACAGAACCATGATAAACAAGATATTATCTGCTATAATGTAAGGCATAGTGTATCCACAGTAGAAAAATCCAGAAATGTTAGTAAAATTGTTCCCAAATAGAAATAAGGTAAAATTTTGCTTGATGAAGTAATGTGTTTCATCTAAGTATATCCTCTCTTTTGTAGCCATCTACTTTGGCTTTCTTTCTTTCTTTCTTTTTTAACTTCCGGGACTCAGAGTTAAATCTAAAAGTATGTTCTAATGAAACCACTCTATGGTTTATATAAATACTCATATCCTACAAAAGTTGACGTCCAGTTATTAATTTTCCCTGACAGGTACTTATTATTTATTAATTATACTTTACTATTATGTATATATTTGAAATCTCAAATATTACATAGAAGGTAATATAATTTTTTTTTTACTTCAAAGTAAAACATGTTTTAACTCATGCAAAAAAGTAATTATATAGACGATTTTTCTTTTTTCTTTTGAGACTGAGTCTTGCTGTGTCACCCAGGCTAGAGTGCAGTGGCGCGATCTCAGCTCACTGCAACCTCCACCTCTTGGCTTCAAACTATTCTCCTGCCTCAGACTCCCGAGTAGCTGGGACTACAGGCCCACACCACCACACCTGGCTAACTTTTGTATTTTTAGTAGAGACAGAGTTTTGCCATGTTGGCCTTGCTTGCCTCAAACTCCTAGCCTCAGGGGATCCACCCGCCTCAGCCACCCAAAGTTCTGAGATTACAGACATGAACCACTGCACCCAGCCTATACAGAGGATTTTAACAACATAGTTTTTATTATGGAAATAAATTTATTTTATATTACCCAAAGCTTTGGAGGATATACAGGGGCTGTCGGAAAAAATAGATTAAACCTTTAATAGTTTTACTTATAAGTTATGAGTGCACATAAGGTCCAACTCCATAACATGTATTTGTATAACCAGACCATTCAAAATACTACCTCAAAGAGTATGCAATCAGTCCATCAAGTTAATTTTATATAATCACTGAAAATATAAATCTCATAATATCTTATCTCGATGTATTAACCCCTACAAATATTAAAAGCATAATAAGTTAATTATTGTTTTTAAAAGAGATATAAGAAATACATTTAATGCATGCTGAGTGAGTTCAATATTTAAAAGTCATGAGACAAATGAATTTTGAACTCTCATTATTCTAATTAAGTCATCGTGTATCTATGGAAACAACCATTTATTAGTACTCAGAATAGAAAATGAGGTTCACAATTATCTATCCAGAATTAGCCCAAAGGTAAGCCTGATGTTGCACATACACACTGACTTACTGACTTTCATAATGTGATTATGTAAATGGCCAGTTCTCCATTTATGGAGAATGGTAGAAAATGAATTTCATTTGGACATTCCAAGGTTTAATTATATTTTTAAGAAATGGGAGATATTACATTATGAATACTCACATTTACCAATCTGAGATTATTTGAAAGTTTGAAGTTTATATGTGTAATGTAAGATTATACCAAGTTTTCTCATAAGACCTAACTTTTATTTATGTCTTTTCATTCATATTTAATGTTTGTTAGAGGTCACAATCACTAATAGTAAGTATAATAGCAATGTAAGTACCTTATATCTTGTCTACTTCATACAGATCAGGTTTTTAATTCTCACAAAGCAAAAAGTTAACATGATTACAGATAAATAAAGTCATATGAACAAAGGTTATATATTTCAGAATGTTACAAAGCTCCTACATACTGTAACAAGGATTCATGTTATTCTTTTCTAACTCTAAAACATTTTTGTACTATTTCAAATGGACAATTATTCACTCAATACATTACATTTTATTTTCAATTAAAACGTGGGAGTTATTTGCCAAGATATTTACCCCAATATGGGAAAAATATATAAATCATCAAAATAGTAATATTACAACAGGATGAAATGTTTAAAATTATTATGGATAAACAAAAAACATACCAATGTTATCCATTAAATCTTGGCCCTCACAAATTTGCCTTAATAGGAATGCGTAAATGAATATTGAAGAGAAAAAATGAAATTCCTAGCTCTTTGGGAAGCCATACGAACAATACAAACTAAATTATTAAATTTGGCTTGGTAAAACATACTACTGGTTGACAAGAAAATGTATGTAAACATTTCAATATATATTTAAAACATTGATAAAATTTGACATAAATGCATGTTACAATTCTTAATATGTTAGGATAAGAAGAGACCTTTTTAACCATTTAAAATATTTATCAACAATATTTATGACAAGCAGCATTCTACACAGGAAATATTTGAAATTTATTTTTATTTCAAAATCAGAGCTAATACAAGAACCCTGCCATTGCTACTTTCATTTAACATCTATTTGGGGTTGTAGCCAGCCAGTATGGTAAGAAAATAAATTAGAGACATAGAAATTGTAAAAAGGAAAAAATAGTTATCGTTTTGCAGATGATGTATGTTTCTATGTAAACTTTTACATAGAAAACCAAATTATTAGAAAATATGGAACAATTTAGACATACAAATGAATATAATTAATGTGAAAAAATCAGTTATATTTGCTTATACCAACAACAAACATGTAGAATGGATATTTGAAGAGAAAAAACAATTTGCAATAGTATTCAAGACCTCACAATCAATTTAACAGATGGATAAGGTCTTTACAGGAAAAGAATAAAACACTGTTATGTGAATTAAAGAAAATTAAAGGAGTAAAGTGATTGGCTAAATTTTATAAAAAGTTCTATCTAGTCTTTCTAAGCGGATATGAGGAATCAATGAAATTTCAATTAGAATTTCAATTGGTTTTATGAAACTTGTTTATTCTAAAGTTTATGTGGGAGAGGCGAAGGGCAAGAAAAGCAACGAGGCTGAGGAATTCCAGTACCACCCCCAATTAATATGATTGCGTATTGTTAAAGAAATCCTTCTCCATTCTAAGGATTAAAATATATTTCTTAAGCAATAAACAGGATTGCTAATTAAAATTAATAAATGTGATAATGTTAAAATTAAGATATTTTGTTCTTCAAAAGACAACTTAATTAGTAATCAGGAAAACGCAAATCAAGACAAGAAAGAAATACTTTTTGATACTCATTGGCCTGTCACTGCATCATAAAGTTGAACGTTCATATATCCTATAACTCAGTAGTTACCAACCTAGGTATATAACTAAGATAAACTTTTGCATTTTCTCTTTATGAGATGCATGTCAGAACATCATAAGGATGCCATACAAAAAAAAGTAAAAAATGAGGAAATAATTCAAATACTCTATAATAAAAGAGAAGATAAATTGGGATGCTAATAGATTAACACAATAGTATAAATTAATGAACTGTAATGTTGTTTACCAATGCCTGAAACTCAAAAGCACAATTAATAAAATTAAGTTCCACCAAATTACACATTAAAGATGTCATTCTAACAAAATTACAACAATCAAAATTAAATCTGTAGGTCAATTTACCTGTATATACGTCTTAAGAGATACTTAGAGCTGAGATTTTTAAAAATATGAAAAGGAAAGTAGGAAAATAATGAATAGAAAATTGATGGAGGTGGATAATTTGGGTGAGAGGAGGCAGAAGCATGTGATGGGGAAGGACCACATGGTAGATAAAAGTTGTTGTCAAGATCTTGTCCTCTGGAGCATGTGGTGGTTTCATGGAACATATTGCTTTGTTGTGAAGATGGAAGGAAAAAAAGAAGGAAAGAAAGGAGGGAGGGAGGGAAGGTGAGAGGGAAGGAAGAAGTAAGAAAGAAAATTAAAAAGTTAGAGAAATAAAATGTGCATATTAATGATAAAAAAACATTAATAGAATACTAAGATTATTACTGCTCTAGTTCTGTTCACTTAAGGGTGATAAAGAGATATAACCCCCTCCACACACACACACGTGTACAAGTATGTAAGAAGCTTCGGTGAGTAGTTATCAGGCATGCAAAAGTATTAAGATATTTGATAATTTCCAAAGGAAAGGAAACACTTTTTTCCATTCAATGATGGAATATTTATTGGGAGTCTACACTATAAGCTAGACACCATGCTAGGTACTGAGGATAAAGTCATATATGGTTTGAACATGGTTGTTGCCTTCATGACAATGTTCCCATGGTTTCCATATCTTTTAAAGTATACTGCAGATAATTTAGAGATCATTTTCATTCTCCAATTGAGAATGGTGATTTCCATTTACCCAAGGGGACAGGGTAAGGAAATAGTCATCTCTTAGGCTTGGGTGAATCCTCCAAATAAATTAACACCACTTAATTCTCACATCAAAAAATTTAAATAAATAATTTTAGAAATAATTTTACTTTTTGTAGCAGAAGTTAATTTTTAAAATCTAATATACCTTCCACCAAATTTGATAAACTATATTTATATCTAGCAAAATTAGAACTTTGGGGCATTTTACACCAAATTACTCTTAGTGAATAATAAAATTCATAAGTGCTCTTGTCTAATGGAATATTAACTTTTTAAATTTGAGGTGATTTATGATTTATAATAATCCAAAGTAGGCATGGACGGTTGACCCTCATTTATATTTTACATACATTACTTGCTAGTTACCTTTTAAAAATATATGTATATGTATCTCAGACGGTTGAGTGAGACATGTGTATGTGTGTGTATTTCTCTCTTTCTCTCTCTCTCTATCTCTGTGTGTGTGTGTGTGTGTGTGTGTGTGTGTGTGTGTATGTGTGTATGTTTGAGAGATGCAAGTAGATCAATAATACAGTTTTTTTTTTTCCTCAGGACTATGTTGCAAAAAATAATCAACATACGGTGGTCAAAGCTACTGGAAGTTTTGTGAATGTCTAGTAGGACTGAAATGTCTTATATGTTTTCCTTACACAAATTTCGTAATTTTGCACTATTTTAGATACCAATGATACATTGAATTTTTTAGCATGTAAGTATCTTCAATAAAATTGCATGCAATTAAAAGGTAAGTGTAGTCATCACATTTCCTGGATGCTAATGACAAAAGAATCTCTTCCACAGGTCTCCTAGAGGAAAACAATTAGCCCAGAATCCCTTTTACTTTTTTTTTTGCCAAAAAAACCCAGCTGTTTGATGACTGTTCGGCTTAGTTTAGAACATTTCACAATTTTTATTTTCTTCAAGAGAGTAACAGGAAACAGATGTTTCATTTGACTCTTCTATAGAGTGAATCTTTCATAAGGAAATAAGTGTTAATCTCAGATTCTCTCAAAAGCCATAGCTTTTGAACCTTAGTCAGGTGCTGGCATTTTGATTACTTCATATTAATTTAAAAATCACTTAAACTGATTAGCACATAATTTTGATGTGTTATGGTGAGCTTTCTTTTTCTTTTATTGACTCGTAATTATTTTTAACAAGAAAACATTTTGGATGGTACATGTTAAAGACATAAAAATTGTGGAAAGTTTTTACATATAGGGAGATGCAGGTATGTGCAGATATCTCTTTCTTCACATGTAACCAATAGTAAGTATTTTTGAAAATAAAATGTCCTGACAACTATTCATATTTCCCTGGGCTGCCAGACTAATCAGTAAGAATGTTCCTTGATAAAGTTCATATTATAAACAAGCTGTCTTAAGGTCTCTATTTTTTCATATAGTTTAACTTGTGTCTCATTTATTTTTGTTTATATTCTCTTTAAAGGCAGAAAATATTGACAATATGTTCCAGTGATGGTAAGATGAGCTTTTGCCTGCCTTACCTTTTTCCAATGATAGCTACATGAATGTACTATGTTTTAAGATTTTGCAATATAAATGTTTGCTGAATAATGAATAAAAGAGGTTGCTCTGTGGTAGAATAATGTATCAATATATTAATTAATACTGTTCTCACTAATATAGTTCATCATTAGGCAGGATTTTTCTCTCCTCTGTTTCAAAAGGATTTCTGATTGTTTCAATAGAGACTGATCCCCTCAGTCTAAAAAGGGGTCTTGTGTTGTGGAGACTCCATTTTAATACAATGAAATAAATTTTCAATCTAGGCATTCATTTTAACAATATGCAGGCAGACTAAATGAGGCTAGTGATAAACCTAGAAGAGGTAGGTTTACACTGCCTAAGAAGATAACAAAAAAGAGAGTGACTCGGAAGCAGGCAACAGTGGCGGATACTGTGAGTGGCATGAGTCCTGTGACCTGCATCCTGAGATGCAGGACCTCTGATGTGATGGCAGTGGATTCCTGCAGGCTGAACCCTAACAGCAGCTGCTCTTTGACAACGCTTAGCATGGAGAAACTGGAACTGTCATATACAAATGACCACACATGCTTGGAATCAAATCCCAGTGACTACCCCTCATGTACTGCAGACTAAAAGCCTCTTCTCTGTTTTCCAGGAATCTCATAGAGCACTGCACCCTAAAAATTCTTCTATGACCTTAGGAAGCAAGAAGGACCACTCCTACTCCTACTCCACATGATGCAGAAGCACTTCCCCATCCTCTTTCATGGGGCAAAGCTGAGTCAGTATTTTT
Source organism: Homo sapiens (assembly GCF_000001405.40). Lineage (NCBI taxonomy): Eukaryota > Metazoa > Chordata > Mammalia > Primates > Hominidae > Homo > Homo sapiens. Next base: position 113,600,451 of record NC_000008.11, read on the forward strand.
TAATGTTGGAACCAATAAAATAATGTGAAATTCTTAAATCTCAGCACTGTTCAGCATATTCTCAACATTACACAAAATCTGGCTGGCATGCTGGAAAAAGAACAGAATGATAAAGACCATATTTGAGCTGTCATCATATAGCAGCAATGATCTATATCATAGCAGTTGAATCATAGGCCTGATTGATCATTTTCATGTGCATTCATCAAGAAGGACATTAAAGCCTGACTTTGCATCCATTATTGTCTATTTTACCTCTAAAAATCATGTTTCTTTTTTCTAGGTGACAAATCTTTGATCAGATTTTTTCTATAATTAACATTCAATGTGAAGGGGAAAGAGTACTTACATATAAAGACGCATGTAGTAATACAAGGAAAACATACTTTATGATATTTAGAAATGTCCTTTATTAGAACAAAAATAAGCATCTAAACCTACATGTTTAAATTTCAAGTTTATTAAAGAAAATACAAGTACGCAAGATAAGTGAAAATCTTTTAGGGAGAATACGGAGTGTTTTAAAAAGCGTTTAGAAACTTTAATGGCGACTAAGCACAGTGGCTTATGTTTGTAATCCCAGCACTTTGGGAGGCTGAGGCAGGCAGATCACGAGGTCAAGAGATCGAGACCATCCTGGCCAACATAGTGAAACCCCATCTCTACTAAAAACAAAAAAATTAGCTGGGTGTGGTGGTGTGCGCCTGTAGTCCCAGTTACTCAGGAGACTGAGGCAGGAGAATTGCTTGAACCCAGGAGGCAGAGGTTGCAGTGAGCCGAGATTGTGCCACTGCACTCCAGCCTGGTGACAGAGGGAGACTCCATCACAAAAAAAAAAAAAAAGAAAAGAAAAGAAAAGTAGTTTAATGGCATTGCATGCTACGTGTTTCTGATATAAACAGTTAGGTCTCCCTTTATTCATTCATTAATGCACACATTCACCATTGGTTATTGAGTGTCTTTTTGATAGGTACATTCCATCTTGATTGAGAGGCTGCTTCGTGTCTTATAGTAGAGAAATTCAAGGTTTATTTACCTGATGATAAATTGTTTGAAATAAGAAGAAAAGAGAAAAATATAGAGATTCTTAATCATCTTGAGGCATATTTTTAACAGTGTATATTGATATTATCCATTTAACTTCTATCTTGCTTTATTCACATTACATTTGGATTGTGGCCACAATTGTCAAAGCAGAACTGCTTCCTGGTGAGGATGGAGCCAAAAGGTGGGAAGAACCAGGAAAGGATGGAACACCTTGGTGCAGTAGGTCAGAAATAAGTGAGGCTTTTTGGCTGCAGAGTGGCCGCTGGGATTTACAGAGCAATAGAGAGATGATTATTCTCATTTTCAGCACCTGGCTTTGGGGAAGGGAATTGGCATCTTTACAGAAGCTATGGGAACCTACTGCCTAGGAAAGACTAGCACAAAAAGTGCCGTGTTGACAAGAACAGTGATGGAGAAAGGGATGTGTTGGCAGAAGTGGAGAAGCAAACAAGGTTGGCTTTGTTCTGGCCTCTGACCCAGGAGGCTGTCTGAGGGATATTGGCTCAGTGCACAGCCCAGAACTGTTGGAGAAATAAACGTTCCCCATAAATTGCCAGGCTGTTTTCGCTACAATGAGATCCTGAAGGGTGATGCAGGGGCTAGATTATGTGCCAGGGCAGGAACAATAACAATAGCAATGAAAACTACTGTAGATAGTGAACCCAGATGCAGACTCAGAGGTAGTATGTAGAAAGTAGAGAGATTGATGCTACTGATGGGTATAGTGATATTCATTCTTAAATGCCCCAGGAATCTTCCTAGAGCTAAAGTCAAGAATGAGGGAACTGTTACAGCAGTGAGAAAGGCAGCACTAAAAGTTACTGCCATTTTGAATTCACCTACAGTCCCCTTTCAGGCTGAATGTTTAAAGAAGGCCTTGTTACACATGAGTATTCCTGCACTCCTCCTTTGAGGACTTTAACCCTATTAATTATTGTCAAAACCACAGTGGCTTTTGAGCTGATGCTACCACCCTTAAAACGTCTGACCTTCTGCTCTCTGCATATATGGGTTTGCCTGTGAGCCACACTCATCACACAATTTGCACTTCCATAAGCTTGTTTGTATAGACTCTTAGTAGACCTAGCAAATGTGGAGAGTTGTAGCCTATCTTCACGGTGTCACAAGCAAGTTCATCCTTTACCCCACCACTTATACTAAGCCCTCTGGTCAACCTGATCCTCAAAGTAGTCAACGAGAAAGCACCTTGTCTTAGTCTGGCTGTAATATTTAATGAAGAAAAGGTAGATCCTGTTCCCAAACCACATCAGGATGAATAGTCATTATTGGAATTTGCCACAAGAACAATGCAGGTTTTTCCTTTTAAGACAACTGACATTCAGACTGTGTCTCATCTATCTTTCACTGAAGATCAAATACACATATTTTTGTAGAACTATCAAGGAGCAGCTTATCCATACACTTTCATGAGTAGGGTGGATTGCTTCTTGCTTTTCTTCTTCCTTGATTCTTTGAATATTTAAAGTGTCTCTGTACTTGAACTCAAAGCAGAATCCTGACAGGTGCCTTAGCAGTGTGATTAAGGCTTACTATCAACTAGTTTTGGGGAGCTGTTTTTGAATACATTGGTTCTGTTCTTGTGTTTCCTGATGTCAGTGTAAAGTTTTGTGATGGTATCTTTTCTGTAACTTCCCTGCATTTTTGGACCCCCCACCACTTTATAAGACCCATATCTACTTCACAAGAGCAGAGTTTCATGTTCACTTGGCTTGAAAATAACAGAACGCCTCATGGCCTAGTTCAGAATTGGCTTTGGAATAGTTCTTATTCACTATTAAAAAGGTGGAGAAGAAGACACACCTTTGTTCTCCCTTCTTTATTATCCTCTTAGATTCTTGATAATCCCCACCTCCTGCTACTGCCTTAGCTTCCATTCTCATGTACCCCAGGAGAGAAGCCTAATGCAACTCACAGCTGGAGGGAGACCTTGACTATTGTAAATGGCAGTGCTTTGGTATACAGCTATATTATAGGAATCAAACAGCCTGCTATGTCCAAAATTTCTATATTTGATTCTCCAGAGATCTGTTTGCTCTGTGCTCTAAACAGATCTTTGGAATATGATCTTTCGGTATTAGGCACTGCCTAATATGTAAACAAGTACAGAATTTCTTGAACATGTGGGTTTGGGTGTCTATTTTTTAAATCTGTTTTACTAGTTTACAGTTGCCTATTTCGGTTCACCAGACAGCAGGTGTTTGGATTCCCTGCTGCCATTTAGTCTCAGCACATGTTCTGCCCAGCTGAGTCGTTCTTTTTTTTTCAGCAGGCATTCCTTCTAAGTATCAGTCAGAGCTTTCCTGGGTCAGCTACCAAATAAAAAAGTCAACCATGATCTCCCAGAGTCCTCTGTCATTTAGGTCTCAATGTGGTGCTTTCTATGACCCTTTTGTTAAATGTCACATATGAGAATAGCAGGAGGTTCATATTGAGACCTCCACTCTTTATTAATGCACCTTATAGATATTTGATGTTACACATTGCTATTAAAAAGTGAATTTTAATAGCAATGATGCTGAAAACATATTTTTTATGTGGCTAATCAAACAGTCACCAGTCAGCAGCAAAAGTCAGAGCAAATGAATGTAGCTTCATGTTGGAGGAAAGACAAAAAAGGAACAAAAACTAATATAACATCAAGGAAAATGTTAAATTACATCTATTTTAAATTACATTAAAATGTAATTCATAATAGATAGATTAACTTTGTTAAGAGTTATTCTCTTGAGAACTCACCATCAATAGAGGCATCCCTAGGCAAGATTTGCCTGTCTGTAGCAGATGTGTGTTTGTATTAGGAAAAAAGCAGTGGGAATTAATAAGAGAAAAGGAGTAAAGTGGAGAGCATAAAGGAAGTAATATTTCTCAAACTCAGCCTTAGGAGAAATAAAACTTAGTCAAAACAAGAAAGCTGAGTCAAAACCTCCAGGGCTTCAAATGTTTTCTTGCCTGTTAGCAAAAGAACGAATATGAGTTGTAACATATTTTACAGGTTTCAAATTTTTGCTCGGGAATCTTGGTTTGTAAGTTGATTATTCCTACCTGTATTTTAAAAGGGTTTAACCAAAATGTAAAGAGCTTTTGGGAGGGGTTTATATTCAGTTATTTTTTCTTCAGTATAAATATAGGGAGCAGTATATAAATGAAACTATATATTTTCTTTCAAAAAAGAAAATGAATAATTATGATTCTCCTGGGCACTTTTTCTACCTTTCCTATCCCACATAACACTATGACATGTATTATTCATTTAAAATATAATTATTACAATTAATTTTTATTTTAAAATCCAGTCTTAATATAAATCTATGTAAGTATTATGTAAGTTGAGTTTTTACCTGTTAGTGTTTTTTATAAATATTGGATTTTTCAATTTTTGTGTTTCTAACTTACCTGGAATTTTATGCTCTAGTGGGAATAACAATAGAGTTGGTATTTAAAAACAATGGTTCACATTACTATGTTGTGCGATTATTGTGAACTCTGTGTCAAAGTGTCCATTTCCTCTTTTATAAAATGAAGTAAATTTTATATTCCTCCCCCAGCTTTCTTTCCTTCTATATTTAAGAGTCAATATCAGTGCAATTATTCCCAATCTGAAATATCATTCTCTATTATAGGCAATCAGCTAAGAATGTTATAATGCTGTTCTTTCCCCTAAAGATTTTGGAAGGAAACCATTAAGTCAGTGGAGCATAGAAATAGATAGCTATTACTTTTTAGTAATGCAGATTTAGCATTTCTAGGAATAAGACCAAACATTTAAGCATGTTCACAGGTGTGCATCTAAACCCAGTTATTTCACTAACACTTGCAAAGAGACTTTTAGTATTTTACAGGTGCATCTGTCTCAAGGACATCGTCTGTCCAAACTGCCAGATGGTCAAACATCAGAGGCATCTCTGTACCTGTAAAATGACTATACGTTTATAAACACTGCATTTATTATGCAGGTAATTTTAAAACTTTTGATTTATTTATGGCAGTGCTTACTTGGTATATGAATACTGCACATACATATTTTATATTGTTGACATGACTTAACAAGTACTGTCATTTCATATAGTTTGGAAAATACTACAATCAGGTCAGAAAGCATGATTTTCATCCTCTGTATCAAGATTTTCAGGTGCATATTTTATTTCTTGGATTTCTGTGGTTGAAATGATTAAAATCCACTAAGTTTATATTATATTTAAAAAGTTATTGTAATTAGAAGTTTTCACAGTCAGGGCTAAGGAGGTACATTCTCAGATATAAGATTTTTATCTTCTTGGTAAAATTTTTATCTTCTTGGGTTATTATAGGACCATCTTAGACAATAGGACTCAAAGAGAATTTCTGTGTCTCTCAGAACAAAACAGTATAGGTCTGAGCCATGACCATTTCAAAGGCTCCTAAAGAGGTCAAAACAAATTTGGCATCAAATATAGGAGTTTGTATTCATTTTTGTGGCAGTGTGAAGTAATCCAAGAATAAACACAAAATAGGCTGACAAGAAATATTTATGACATATATAACTAAGAGTTAATATTTCCAATATCTAAGTGGACAAATAACTACAAAAAAGCATAAAAATAAATGTCATATTTAAAACCATCATGTTGGAAAGTATAACGAAAGATTGATAGTGTCCGTGTCCAGCATTGCTGAAGATAGGAGATAAAGTACTTTTACATGTATGATCAGAAGATGATGAAAGTGAAATTAGTTTCAGTTTTTCTTAGGGGAAATTTTTTCCACTAACTATCAAATGTAAATTAGCCCCACAGTTTGATCCAGCAATATACCTTTAATTATTCCATCAGAAACAACTCCCACTAGATTATAAATACTGCATATATGTGTATATATTGAACAAGTACACAAATATTAACATACTGAATTAGCATATTCAATGAGATAATGCATTTAAACAATTTAGACAGTACAGGCTACATAGCGAGTACTTGATTCATGTTTGTTGTATTTGTATTAAAATAATAGAGAACAGTGTTATTCTCTGTGGTTACATACACACACAAAAATAGCCTGGAAAAACATACTTTAAAATTTTAACACTAGTTACACTAGAAGAGTAGAAATTGGGAGAGGAGTGAAGTAGGATGAAAATTTTCATGTTTTCTTTTTTTTATTATTATGAACTCATGTTTAACAATTTTCAAAGAGCATTTGTGGATTTTGTAAATTAAAAAGCAGTTATGATGACTCTCATCGTGGTGATCAGGTGTGATTATACTCTAGAAAGTCAGGAACTGTTCGCTAAGAAATAACTAAATTTAACTTTAGATAGAACTTTAGATGAAAATGATTATCTATCCCCTTTCATCAAACCAAACTGGCCTTTTCTACTTCTCCTCTACTGCCCTACACAGAATCATAGCAACTTATTATTCCATTTAAAACTTAATACTCTGCCTCTAAAAATTAAATAGTTGTTTGCTATGCAAGCCCTCTAGGAAGCAGAGCTTGTTGAAATTGTATCAATACATACAAAATAATTTTGTTACATATAAGCAATAGAAAACATACCTTAGGAGAAATAGCAAGGTTAATCAATCTAGTAAGCTTGATTCATCTTTGAAAGTTTCCAATTGACTAGTTGCTCTTTAAAGTCTGGAAAGATGTTTAAAAAAAAAAACTATTCATGGAAAATCTCTAGTTCTCTTAAAGTAAAATCTATGAACTATTACTGGGAACTTGTAATTAATCTTACTTATGCTAAGGGAAAGAACCGATTTTTCATAATGCATGCCTTTTATGTTTGAAGTTGATGCTTATTATAGTGTTGTTATTGAATGTGAATGAACATGACTAAAAAAACCTGTTGCAATTAGTAGCCTTTACAAGAAAGTCTTCACATAACAATCTTTCTTTTGATGGGTATTTGTAATCACTGTTTACCATTCTGCCTCTTAAACTCATAATTACGTTTCTCAAAATGTCTTATTTCATCTTGAATTTTGCTTGAAGTGTTTTCTATTAGTAGCTCTTCAGAGCATAATTGAGCCTATCTGTTTCTCAATGTGTCTGTAAAACTTTTTATACCCTGGATTCTCTCGTTGTCCTAGTTCACCTAGTTGGTCAGTCTTGAATGTATCCACCTGCTGAAAATGTTTTCTGATTTACACAGCTCCAAAGATTTGCGTGGTGCCATAAACAATGCACTATCTGTCAGTCTGACCCATAAGGCTAATTCTGTATTCAGATCATTTAAACTTGCTTAAAGTGTTGTGAAGAAAAGTAAGGAAATTTTCAATTTGAGGGATATACTGTTTAAACACACTGGGTAGCATTCAACCTTTTATTCAATCATTTAATAAATATAATGGAATGACTTTCACGTACCAGACATGATTCTGAGTACCCAGAGACATGGTGACTTTATTTACAAAACAAATCCCATACTCCTTTTTCCTCTGTTCCTGACACTGTAATCAGTTCCTTTCAGGGATTAATAGACTAGCATTTTATCCCAGCTTCCTTCCTCAAAATTCACCCTTTTTAATTTATTCCCCATAACTCAGTTCATTCATTTCCTGTACTGCAAAAAGAATGATCTTTCCACAGACAGATTATTAAATGCTGGGGAAACGTTGTTTAAACCACCAATGGTTTCCCATTAACCTTAGAATGAAATCCAAACTTCATGTAATAGTCTACAAAGTCCAACATTAATTAAGGCCCTGTTGTCTGATTTCATTTTCTAAAATCCTCCAATGTCTTCACCAAAGTGTGATCACATTGGTCTCTTTCCAGTTCTACAACTATGCAATTTCATTCCTCCAGGTTTGTACATAACCTAATTCCTCTTTCTGGTCTATTTATTTCCCAGATTTTGGCATGTCTGGCTACTTCTTATCATTCAAGTATCATATTGAACATTACCCCAGTGAGGCTTTCCCTGGGAATTCAACTGAATGTGACCATCCATGCTTTATCTCAATTAACATATTTTCTTTTTATTATGTAATTTACCATTATTAATCAATCTTGATTTTTTTTTCATCTTTCCTTACTAGGAGGTAAGTTACATGGAAGTAGTGATCTTGTCTTTTTACTCATCCCAGTGTCCTTGGAACCTAGAACAGCGATTGGCATGCAATAAGTAAAGGAATATTTAGAATAAATAAAGCAATAAGTTACTTGGATATATGGTACCTATTGTTCTGAAGTTCAAACTATTAGCTGAGGATGTTGTCCATATTGCATATTACTAATTATAACCTCTATAGTAATGACAAGCAATGAAAGGGTTATTTCCATATTTTGTGATCCTCTTGATTGATGCAAATGATTTTTTTAATACAGAGAATATTTTGAATATACTGTAGACAGAGTCACTGGCTTGAGACACTAGCCAATGACAAGGTTACTCCCTCTTAACTGGTTAAAGGCAGAGTTAAGTTTGCACTGAGCTGCTAAGGGTGAGGATTAGAATGAAAATCTGTTTCTGGTGGCTAAAGTTTCAACTATTAAACCACTTTTTTTTGTCCACTAATTTCTGATGCAATCGAGGCCCAACGGTTGGATTTGTTCTCTTATCCTTGTGGTAACTGGTAGTTATCAATAAGTATTTCCATTTGCAGAGATGAGTACAGTTGAGGGCTAAAATCTTGGCTTTCAGTTCTGTACTATGCTTTTGTGAGGTTAATTTATTTCAGAATAACCTAGCATTAATCATAATTGTGAGCTATCTTTAATGACATTGTTGTTGTTAATTAAAATTTGTCAGTGGCAACATAAAATTTTGCCTTCTAATTTACCACAAAAACAAGAAACACTAATTACTTGAAAATAAGTTCAGATTTTGAACTTTTTTTAATCTCTCTAAAATCTAACCCCCATTCTACCTTCTCTCCCAATCTGTGGGACCATATTTAAAATTACTCATATACTTGTACTTGCAATTAAGCTTAATCCAATTAACATTCAAAAATAAATTGTTTGAGTTTCTTAATAATTTTTATTTTGATTTGGGTAAATATTTTGAATAATTTCCGAATGACTCACATTTGAAACCATGGAATTATCTTCAATGTATCTTTTTTTTTTTATTATACTTTAAGTTTTAGGGTACATGTGCACATTGTGCAGGTTAGTTACATATGTATACGTGTGCCATGCTGGTGCGCTGCACCCACTAACTCGCCATCTAGCATTAGGTATATCTCCCAATGCTATCCCTCCCCCCTCCCCCCACCCCACAACAGTCCCCAGAGTGTGATATTCCCCTTCCTGTGTCCATGTGATCTCATTGTTCAATTCCCACCTATGAGTGAGAATATGAGGTGTTTGGTTTTTTGTTCTTGCGATAGTTTACTGAGAATGATGATTTCCAATTTCATCCATGTCCCTACAAAGGACATGAACTTATCATTTTTTATGGCTGCATAGTATTCCATGGTGTATATGTGCCACATTTTCTTAATCCAGTCTATCATTGTTGGACATTTGGGTTGGTTCCAAGTCTTTGCTATTGTGAATAATGCCGCAATAAACATACGTGTGCATGTGTCTTTATAGCAGCATGATTTATAGTCCTTTGGGTATATACCCAGTAATGGGATGGCTGGGTCAAATGGTATTTCTAGTTCTAGATCCCTGAGGAATCGCCACACTGACTTCCACAATGGTTGAACTAGTTTACAGTCCCACCAACAGTGTAAGAGTGTTCCTATTTCTCCACATCCTCTCTAGCACCTGTTGTTTCCTGACTTTTTAATGATTGCCATTCTAACTGGTGTGAGATGGTATCTCATTGTGGTTTTGATTTGCATTTCTCTGATGGCCAGTGATGATGAGCATTTTTTCATGTGTTTTTTGGCTGCATAAATGTCTTCTTTTGAGAAGTGTCTGTTCATGTCCTTCGCCCACTTTTTGATGGGGTTGTTTGTTTCTTTCTTGTAAATTTGCTTGAGTTCATTATAGATTCTGGATATTAGCCCTTTGTCAGATGAGTAGGTTGCGAAAATTTTCTCCCATTTTGTAGGTTGCCTGTTCACTCTGATGGTAGTTTCTTTTGCTGTGCAGAAGCTCTTTAGTTTAATTAGATCCCATTTTTCAATTTTGTCTTTTGTTGCCATTGCTTTTGGTGTTTTGGACATGAAGTCCTTGCCCATGCCTATGTCCTGAATGGTAACACCCCACTGTCAACATTAGACAGATCAACGAGACAGAAAGTCAACAAGGATACCCAGGAATTGAACTCAGCCCTGCACCAAGCAGACCTAATAGACATCTACAGAACTCTCCACCCCAAATCAACAGAATATACATTTTTTTCAGCACCACACCACACCTATTCCAAAATTGACCACATACGTGGAAGTAAAACTCTCCTCAGCAAATGTAAAAGAAAAGAGATTATAACAATCTATCTCTCAGACCACAGTGCAATCAAACTAGAACTCAGGATTAAGAATCTCACTCAAAACCGCTCAACTACATGGAAACTGAACAACCTGCTCCTGAATGACTACTGGATACATAACAAAATGAAGGCAGAAATAAAGATGTTCTTTGAAACCAACGAGAACAAAGATACAGCATACCAGAATCTCTGGGATGCATTCAAAGCAGTGTGTAGAGGGAAATTTATAGCACTAAATGCCCACAAGAGAAAGCAGGAAAGATCCAAAATTGACACCCTAACATCACAATTAAAAGAACTAGAAAAGCAAGAGCAAACACATTCAAAAGCTAGCAGAAGGCAAGAAATAACTAAAATCAGAGCAGAACTGAAGGAAATAGAGACACAAAAAACCCTTCAAAAAATTAATGAATCCAGGAGCTGGTTTTTTGAAAGGATCCACAAAATTGATAGACTGCTAGCAAGACTAATAAAGAAAAAAAGAGAGAAGAATCAAATAGACACAATAAAAAATGATAAAGGGGATATCACCACCGATCCCACAGAAATACAAACTACCATCAGAGAATACTACAAACACCTCTACGCAAATAAACTAGAAAATCTAGAAGAAATGGATAAATTCCTCGACACATACACTCTCCCAAGACTAAACCAGGAAGAAGTTGAATCTCTGAATAGACCAATAACAGGAGCTGAAATTGTGGCAATAATCAATAGTTTACCAACCAAAAAGAGTCCAGGACCAGATGGATTCACAGCCGAATTCTACCAGAGGTACAAGGAGGAACTGGTACCATTCCTTCTGAAACTATTCCAATCAATCGAAAAAGAGGGAATCCTCCCTAACTCATTTTATGAGGCTAGCATCATTCTGATACCGAAGCCGGGCAGAGACACAACCCAAAAAGAAAATTTTAGACCAATATCCTTGATGAACATTGATGCAAAAATCCTCAATAAAATACTGGCAAAATGAATCCAGCAGCACATCAAAAAGCTTATCCACCATGATCAAGTGGGCTTCATCCCTGGGATGCAAGGCTGGTTCAATATATGCAAATCAATAAATGTAATCCAGCATATAAACAGAGCCAAAGACAAAAACCACATGATTATCTCAATAGATGCAGAAAAGGCCTTTGACAAAATTCAACAACCCTTCATGCTAAAAACTCTCAATAAATTAGGTATTGATGGGACGTATTTCAAAATAATAAGAGCTATCTATGACAAACCCACAGCCAATATCATACTAAATGGGCAAAAACTGGAAGCATTCCCTTTGAAAAACTGGCACAAGACAGGGATGCCCTCTCTCACCACTCCTATTCAACATAGTGTTGGAAGTTCTGGCCAGGGCAATTAGGCAGGAGAAGGAAATAAAGGGTATTCAATTAGGAAAAGAGGAAGTCAAATTGTCCCTGTTTGCAGAGGACATGATTGTATATCTAGAAAACCCCATTGTCTCAGCCCAAAATCTTAAGCTGATAAGCAACTTCAGCAAAGTCTCAGGATACAAAACCAATGTACAAAAATCACAAGCATTCTTATACACCAACAACAGACAAACAAAGAGCCAAATCATGAGTGAATTCCCATTCACAATTGCTTCAAAGAGAATAAAATACCTAGGAATCCAACTTACAAGGGATGTGAAGGACCTCTTCAAGGAGAACTACAAACCACTGCTCAATGAAATAAAAGAGGATACAAACAAATGGAAGAACATTCCATGCTCATGGGTAGGAAGAATCAATATCGTGAAAATGGCCATACTACCCAAGGTAATTTACAGATTCAATGCCATCCCCATAAAGCTACCAATGACTTTCTTCACAGAATTGGAAAAAACTACTTTAAAATTCATATGGAACCAAAAAAGAGCCCACATCACCAAGGCAATCCTAAGCCAAAAGAACGAAGCTGGAGGCATCACACTACCTGACTTCAAACTATACTACAAGGCTGCAGTAACCAAAACAGCATGGTACTGGTACCAAAACAGAGATATAGATCAATGGAACAGAACAGAGCCCTCAGAAATAATGCCACTTATCTACAACTATCTGATCTTTGACAAACCTGAGAAAAACAAGCAATGGGGAAAGGATTCCCTATTTAATAAATGGTGCTGGGAAAACTGGCTGGCCATATGTAGAAAGCTGAAACTGGATCCCTTCCTTACACCTTATACAAAAATCAATTCAAGATGGATTAAAGACTTAAATGTTAGACCAATGTATCTTTAAATTCACTTTTTATGGTAACAACTAATTGAATTGTGAGTCCATTTTCTCTGAATTTCTGCTTACCGATGTTTCATTTTCTTTTGCTTTGTTTTTTTTTCTGTACTTTATTCTGTATGTATGTTTTTTTCTGCATTCCATGTCAAATTTTAGTAGTATATAATAACATAATTGAATAAATTTGACAAACAGTAAGTATTCAACAATTTACTACAAGCAGTATATTCTTTAAAGTTATTCTTATCATTTTGTAAATGAGAAAACTGAAATTCACTCAAATGCACTCAATTTGATTTCAAATACCTTACTTATATCCACTATTTATGGAGGAACTTTATTTTTCTAGAAAAAAAATATTACATTGCACTTTGAGTTTCATGAGATAGACAGATGACAAGTTCTTCCTTCTTCAATTTAGGCCATCAGAATCAGACATTTTCTCATAGCCTATATTTAGGGGAAAATGTCAATACATGTAGGAAAAATTTTTAAAGATTTAATAAAGAAGTTTACACACTATACAGTATCATGGAAACATTTAATTAGACATAATATCTATTTCATTTGATGATAAGCATACAATCAGTCAAACTTTATATAGCTGCTGTTTGGTCTGTTTTAGAGCTGACTCATTGTATTTTAAGTGCTGAACAGCAGGATATAACTGGTAAAGCTTATCTGGTACTTAGAACTTAGCAAAATACAAGAATTCACAGTAAGCAGGAATAGCTTCTTTTTATAATACATTCTCTTGAAATAGTAGGAGACAATCCAATTTAGCTTACTGAGAGATAATTTTAACTCCTTAGTTCACCTAACTACATTTTTACAGTTATATGGCTTTTAAGAAGTAGACTTATTAATGTTTTAAACATACCATTTAAATGGATAATTATGGCAAAATAATTCACATTGATTATCACCAATCTGAAAGTCAAGGAAGGTAAAGCTACTAAGTTCAGTTTCTATTTTCACTTGTTATATCCTCCATAACCCTTAGATGATTCCAAGTGTGTGTACAACACAAGATTATAGGTAAATCTAAAATTTGTGTAAAAGAGTTGTTTTGTGTAAGAGTAAATCTTTAAACATTTCAAAAAAATGAAGATACAGAGCCAATGAAAGCAGGTGAAATACCATCGGCATGAAGGAACATCTTTGTAATTAAATACCTTGTCTGTATACTCATTGTTTTAATTATTGATATCTTATTGGCAAGACTGGCCATTGTAGTATACTCGAAGTTCTATACGTAAACCTTCATTTAGTTATAAATATTCCAAACACTGACTTATTTGCACAAACAAAAGTCATTATTGAAATGTTGTCTTCTTTCAATTCTTGCTATTATAGTTACTTAGGTCAAGAGATTTGATTTTAATTAACATCTTAGAAGTAAAATATTTGGCTTAACAAAAAAAAGTAAAATCATAACCTTGTATTGTATAAAAATGCCTAAGCTGTGGGTACAACTTGCAGTGTCATTTGGAGAGGTTGTCTAAATTCATTTAAATTTATTGGCACATAGAAAGTAAGAACATACAGAACACTGAGAAATGCCTTCTAATTATCTGTTGTCTCATACAACACAGTGCGGTTGCATTCAGAGGCTACTGGATCATAATTCAGCCTTGGAGTTAAGTGTGTGCTTCATCTATGTTAAAAAATCTTAGAGAAGCTGGTTATAGCTGTGAAACGCAGAGGAAAAACTGACTCAGCATCAAGCATTTATTATGTCCCCCTCCTTAAGTAAACAATAATCTTTATTAGGCAGAAAAGTATTGAGCCTCAATGATTATTTATGTTTGTACTTTTCTAGGTAATTAAATAGGATTCCTTGTGAAGTTAACTATAATTTTCATTTATCTAATCCCATATTAAAACCAATGAATTTCCTATTATATATTCAAGTTCCACAAGGACAATACTTTATTAAAAAGTTACTCAATTATTTCAAAATGAAAAAATAACAACTCAGATAAGGTGTTCCACTTAATGACAGGCTGCCTGTATAGCATTATAAAATAATTTGATTAAAAAAGCATTATTTTGTTTAATTAAAACATCATATTTTAATATCAACTCTGTGAGTGCATATGGTCCACAAGCTATGACTGTGGGCAATGGAGGCAGACATACTGAATCTCAATTATGCCTTATAACACTTTAAGCTATATGACCTTGAAAAATATCATTTACACATTTGTAAAATTGGATAAAATTCATTGCCTACTCTATAGGGTGTTTGTGAGACTTAAATTCATAATGGATATGAATTACCTACCTCAGAATACTTAGAAAGAAACCTTGTACTTCACAGTATCTTTTGACTACCTCTTTCTTTTTCTCAACTTTCCTATTAGACGAAGTACTATGCCATGAAATGTGGAACGTGGCTTCCTGAACAATGGCAGACAGTCTGAATGTTGAAATGTGAAGGTGCAGGGGAATTTGTTCACCATGGATTGAAAGTTAACCAAACAGAAATGGCAGATAGGAGACAGCCAGACATGCAGTTTCCTTCTAGTCCTTCAGTTCTTCATGCTGAGTAAGCACACCTGCCAAAAAACTTGAATGAGTTTTTTCCTGGACACTTAACAAAGCAGGTGCCAACAGGGAAATAAATTATCGTGCCGCTTTAAATATTTCCCTGTTTCATTTCCCACTTACCTCCACAACACCCGCCCTAAACTCACACCTTCCAAATTATCCTGCTATACAACACAATCTCAGACACACAATATCTAGAAATAGTCAATTATTTGTATTTTTCAGGAATTATCATTATAATTATTTATTTTTTTGGAGTTGGAGAATGATTGCATGGAATTAAAAATTATATAATATTTCTCCTTACTATGAAAATAGGATTATGAGAAATTTTTGAAGTGTTAAGGTGATGGTTTACAAATAACCTCAACTGACGCAGGGAAACTAAGCATTAATTGTATCTTTTGTTTGTCTTTTACTGTGACTCAGCGAGACAATTAGATTCAATAATGAGTTTCACAATCTTAGTCAAAACGGAAGTATATGTTTATTGTCATTTGTAATAATTAATAAAACAGATGTGTTTTAGTTTTCCATCTATGTTTTTAGTTAAGCTCATCTGTTCCCTATTATTTTTTATTTTTAAAAAATTTTGTCCCTTTTACACTTTTTAAATTAATAATAATTTTTTCTTTATTTTGCTTATTTGCTACATTCAGTAAGAATGTTTAAGATATAACACAAAATGATAGATGAGTTTTATTAACCATTTCTGTTTTTGGCTTTTTAGTTTCTCCCCATTCTTGAGAATAAAAGTATGCTTTAAGCCATTGACAGTAGTTTATTTATGGACACAAATTATAGGCCTGGGAGGACAGGTTTCTTAAAAGATATTTTAAGTCTGAATTTTTTTACTTCTAAGTGTTTATTTAAATTTTTTCTTCTTTTTCCAGTGGACACCTGCATATTGAATTATTTCATCTGAGGCAAACTACAATGGAAAAATAAAATCACCTGAAATGATGAACAGTTAAGTTATAAATGAATGCTGACAATAGAAAACAGCACAATGTCTTGTGTAGTTTAAATATATGTAGAAGTAAGATGAATTTAACAATGACACAAAATCTGAAATGGAGTAAACACATTTTGAATGTTCTCTAATTCTAACATTACTGGATGAACTGGTAGAGAAAATAATTTGTATTCAATATAATAAATAAAACACAGAAAATGTAATGTCTCATAATATTTAGTAGAACCAGTAAAAGAATATTGAAAGAATGTAACTAAGAAACCAAATAAAGAAAAAAATTATTAATTCAAAAGCTGTTGAAGAGATAAAAATTAAAAAAGAAAACAAGGAATAGGTGAACTAAAAACATAGTTATATGGCTAATTAAAACCCCACTATTTTAGTAATTATTATGATTCACCATAGACTAAATACTTCAGTTGTCACTAAGATTGTCAAACTCAGTAAAAAGCAAACAAACAAACAAAAAAACGTGCTTTATAGGTGACACTCTTAAAACAGAAAATTGAAAGACATAAAATACAACATGAAAACAACAAACTGAAAAAAACTGATGTACTTTGGGATCCGCCGAGGTGGGCGTATCATGAAGTCAGGAGATCAAGACCATCCTGGCCAACATGGTGAAACTCTATCTCTACCAAAAATACAAAAATTAGCTTGTCGTGGTGGCGCATGGCTGTGGTCCCAGCTACGCAGGAGGTTGAGGCAGGAGAATCGCTTGAACCCAAGAGGCGGAGGTTGCAGTGAGCTGAGATCGCGCCACTGCACTCCAGCCTGGTGACACAGCAAGACTCTGTCTAAAAGAAAAAAAAAAAAGAAAAAAGTGATGTAGCTATGCAAATATAAATCAAAATAAACTTTAAAGAAAAACATTACTAAGGATAAAGAATGCTAATTTATTAAAAAATAAAGAGTTCACTCCAATAGGAAATTGTCACAATTCTAAATATATATGCACTCAATAACACATCTTTAAATATACATATGGCAAGTGAAAAGGGTGGATAGAAACCACTGAGCTTACCATTGCATAAAAGCAAATTTTCAAACCTGAAAAAAAAAAAGTCAGAATCAACGTTTTCAGAATGCTGGAAGTTTAACCAAAGGCTTACACAACCTAAGGAGCATTTAGTCAAGAAAAAAATGGTTTAATCCTTATAAGAACAGAGAGCTTTGTGGTGTTTTAACTTACCTCATTTCCTACTCCTTAGCTCAACAGTAGCCTTAAAAAATAACATATTGCACTCCTTGTACAGGAGGGAGCAGGGCAGAGCTGAATCTATTTCAAAGCCTCATTCCAAAGAACAATCATTATTTCACCTGTCTGGTGGCACCCCAAAAGACACCTGAAAGACATGTCTTTATCTGATTTCTCTCAAACTCATGCAGTGCTGAAAGCATTTCTTCAGAGATTAGAGATAGCTTATTGAATTCTTTAACATTATGACTGCCTGAGGGATGGATAACATTTGGGGCAAACAACAGACTAAGCAAACAACTTAAAAGTTACGGCTGAGTAATGAGATGTTCATAGGGCTTTGAAAATCTCCCACATAGTTAGGAATTTAGAAGGCCATGCACAGGTATAGTACTTGGCAGATGCTCAGGAAGATCTGAAAAGCCCCTAAACTGTCATTTCTGACTTATATCGATGTTCTATACAAGCAGAAAGTGAAGACTAAATAAGCCAAAACTTTCTAAAATGCATATGGAAATTTAGTAATAGACCAAAATTATTAAAATCAGGGATCAAAGAGAAAAGGTTATTGTTGGACTTATAGAAATAAAAATGGATTACAAAATAATACTATGAAAAATTACAGGGCAAATATTTGATAAACTACACAAAATGAAATAGATTCTAGAAAGGCATAAATCACCAAAACAGACTAATGATTAAATCAGAATTCTAAGTAGATTTAGTAATCAACAAATTTTAT
The DNA here is from genome assembly GCF_000001405.40 of Homo sapiens. Lineage (NCBI taxonomy): Eukaryota > Metazoa > Chordata > Mammalia > Primates > Hominidae > Homo > Homo sapiens. The sequence continues at coordinate 113,618,610 of NC_000008.11, forward strand.
TAAACGAAAAGCCCATAACCATATGACTTCCTTTATGAATTGAATTCTACTAAAGGTTTAAAGAGTTAACACTTATCCTCCACAAACTCTTGAAAATGAAAGAGGAGGGTGTGCTTCCTAATATTTTCCATGAGGCCAACTTGAATTGCCTTGATATCAAAATCAGGCAAAGGGATCACACCCAAGGAAAATTACAAACCCAATATCTCTTACAAACAAATTCCTCAACAATGTAATACAATCCAAGTCATGAAGCATATAAAAATGATTATATATCATAATCAAGTGGAATTTATCACAGGAATGCAAGATAGTTTCACCATATAAAAATCATGGTAATAACGGATATCAACAGAATAAAAGATGAAAACTATATCATTATCTCAATAGAAGCAGAAAAAGCATTTCACAAAATCCAAAGCCCTTTCATGGTAAAAGCACACACAAAACTAGGAGTAGAAGAGAACATCTCCAAGCTGATATAAAGCATCTACAAAAAACCTACAGCTAACATCATACTAAATGGCGAAAGACTGAATATTAGGCCACTATGATCAGGAACAAAACAAGGATAACCCCTCTCTCAACTCTGTTCAACATTGTTTTGGAGACTTTACCTAGCACAATTAGACAAGAAAATAAAATAAAAGGCATCCAGATTGAATAAGAAAAAGTAAAGTTATTTCTACTTGTAGATCATGATCTTGTATATATAAAATCTTAAGACAGTAACTAAAAAAATGAAAACTAAAAAATGAGATTGGCAAGTTTTCAGTACACAAGACCAATACAAAGCCTCACTTGTACTATATATACTGAAGCTACGAGCAAATGTAAAAAGAAATTATGTAAACATTTCCATTTATAATACCTTAAAAAACATATTTAAAATAAATCTTAGCAGGGCTCAATGGCACAGACCTGTAGTCCCAGCTACTCCTGAGGCAGAAGCATCATTTGAGGTCAGGAGTTTGAGACCAACCTGGGCAACATAGTGGAACCACAAATCTAAAATAAAGTAATTAATTAATCCATCAAAATCCACAATTTAGTCTGAAAACTACAAAATAGTGCTGAAATAAAGAGTAATTAAGTAAATCAAAAGATGTTTTGTACTCGTAGATTGGATAATTCAATATTGTTTAGATGAAAATATAACCTAAATCTATCTACAGATTCAATGAAGCCCTTATTAAAATCCCAGATGATTTGTTTGCATAAATTGACAAGCTGATCTTAAAATGTATATAAAATTCAACAGACCCCAAAACGTCAAAATGATATTGAAAAAAAGAACAAATTTAAAGGACTTAGGTTTCCAAATTCCAGAACTTAATACAAAGTTATGAACAATGTGGTACCAGCATACACATAATCATTTAGATTAATGAATAGACTTGAGAGTTAAAAAATAAATCCATACATCTATGAGTAACTTTTTTTCAACAAAGGTGAGAAGATTATTCATTGGGGAAAGAATAATCTTTTCAACTAAAAGTACTGAGACAACTGGATATCTACATTCAAATGAGTGAAATTGGACCCCTACCTCAAACATGTACAAAAATTAACTCAAAGTGCTTCAATTACCTGAATGTAAGAACTTAATCTATAAAACTCTTAGAAGAAACTTAAGAGTAAATCTTTATGGTCATGGATTAGGAGCTTTTTAAATATAACATCAAAAGTAGGAGGGAAAAAAAGAACAAAACAGAAATACCAGACATCACTAAATTTAAAAGTTATGGGTTTCAAAGGAAGTCATCATGAATGTGAAAAGACAACCTTCAGAATGGGAGAAAAATTTTGCAAGCTATCTTATAAGAGACTTGGATCCACAATAGGTAAAGAATGGTTATCACCCAATAATAAAAAGACAACCTAATTAAAAATAAAAAAGACGCTTCTCCAAAGAAGATATAAAAATAGCTAATAAGCACATGAGTAAGCACATGAGTAAGTGCCCAACAGCATTAGTCATTAGGGAATAGGAAACCATTTGTTTTATTCATTAGCTGATTTATTAGGAAAATCTCTAGAGACTTTAAGTGCTTAGTTTTTTATACCTCATTAGTTTTGCTTGTGTTGCTGGGGAGTAGGTCTGTGAAACTCCTTGCACTGTCATTGTAGAAATGGAAACCTTTACAGCACTTCTTTTTGACATGATAAACGTATTCTGGAATTAGTAGGACTGATGGTTGCAGCGTCTTGTGAATATACAAAGGATCACTGAATTTAACATTTTAAATAGTGAATTTTAAGGTACGTAAATTTTATGTCAAGTGTTTGTATAAAATTAACAGAACAAAAGGAGAAACAGAAAAATTCAAAATCATATTGATGACCTTAACATACCACTTTATATGACAGGAAAAGCAAGATAAAAACAATGTAAGGATACCATTCTGAAAAGTACAATTCAACTTTTTTAGCAGAGTTGCATGACAGAACTTTATTCCCATTGATAAGAGACTTCACAAATTCGAAAATAGGTTGAGATCAGTAATCCAGGTCAACTATATTTTAAACTGATGAATAATGATGATATGGAAATGCACACTTGTAGGTTGTAATTAAAGTTCTCCAAGAGATAGTCATAACTTGAATGCTTATATTAAAGAAATAAAATTTGAAATTAGCTAGCCTCAACACTTCCAACTCACAAAGCAAAGAAACAAATAGCAAATCTCGCCCTCTTTCCACCTTTCCCCACAAGAAGGCAGAAAATAATGGAAGATAAGACAAATAAATGAAATAGACAAACAATAGAGAAAATTAACAAATCCAAAAGCTGATTATTTTAAAGATTAATATAATTTATGTAAAAAATAAAACATAAGGAAAATATTGTGAAGAGTTCTACTAACAAAAAATAAGATGACATTGTGAAAAACTATACACCAATATATTTTTTAATGTGAAGAAAATGCACACATTTCTTGAAAAAATGATTACATCTTATCTAACATAAGAAAAAATAGAAAATTTAAGTAGTCCACTATTTATTAAGAAATTAAATGTATTTTCTACACAGGAAATTTCTATCTCAATTACATCTACTAGTGAATGTTCCCAACATAAAACCAAATAACACATTAAAAAACCTTTTCTAACTAAAACAGAAAAGGATATTTCTTAAAAATTGTTATAAAAATCACCATTTTACATAATCTTGTGAGAACGTTGATTCATATTATAATAAGGGAAATTATTAATCTATTTTTATATACATAAATTACCAATATATTTAATGTATTGATAAGCCATACCCAGAAACATAGTGTTCTATAATCAAATATTGACTTTTATATTATTTCTGCTCTGTGCATACTATTTTTTCTTTTAAAATTTTTCTTTTGCAACTAAAAGCCTTTTTTTCTATATTACCAATGAGTAAAAGTTGAGGTCTATATTTTATAATGTGTATCTTATTATAATAATTACTTTGTTTAGGTCTTCTCTGTAATTATTTTTCATTTGAAATGTCTTCAACTTAGAGTAATAAGTTAAAGTCTTTTATTTTGAGTAGGTATTGTCTGATTTTCTATCGTTTCCTTTGCTTCTTGTAGTTTCTACTTCAGAAACTTCACTGCTATGTAATTTGTTGGATAGATATTTAGAACTGGTACACAATCATTGTGATTCCTAACCTTTAACACTGTAAATCTGTCTCATTTAATGCTTTGGAGGATAAATTCTACATTGCCAGATAAACCTTTTTTTTCTTTGTGTTTGCATTTGGGATATGTTTTGTTGATCATTTTATTTCAGCCTCTCTAAATCAATTTATTTTAGGTTTATCTCTTGCTTAAAGCGCATAAATGTAACACAGAGAAAAAAACTGAGTATAGAAAGTTAATATAGTAAGACAACAAACAACAACAACAAAAATAAATTGAAACTTTCCAACAGATGAAAATACTTCCTTCCAAGAAGCTCAAAATGGAGGCATTTGACTATAGCATTTATACTATGTGTATAATATAAATGTAATCTAAACTGTAATTGAGAAATTGCTTACATTAAAGAGAACAAGAAATTCAAAATCAGAATATAAATGAAGAAAAATGTCATTTGAACACTAAATTTGAAAAAGAAATTGAAGAAATGACGAAGTGATCTCAGAATTAAAGATAAATTGTAAAATGTTCGATGTAAAATATACATGAAAAAAGCACAGTAAGGAGCACAGTGATAGAAATGAAAAGAGCAAATAAAAGGACAGTGGTAGACACTGGCAACAGACAAATATTTCAGAATTTGAAGATCCTGAAGGAGTAAAATAATACAATGTAATAAAAATGTACACATATACATATATACATATATATAATTTTTATGTGAAAAAATATATCCTAATGCTCTAAAAATTAACCAATCAATAAAATGTAAATAGACAATTTGGGTACGTATTTTTATAATTAACCAAACAGTATTTAAATGCAGAAATAGTCAAATCATATTATTTACTCAAAATTTCTGTGACAATTTATTTTATAATAGTAGATATTGAGTTTTAGCAATTTTTACTTAAAAAAAGTATATGAAATATGTTCTATGTTATAAAGCATTTAGTTAGCATTGGCAATTTAAGATAAATAAGATGTCCTGAAAAACCTTTAGGATTTAATTCACTTAAATTCCCCCAAATATTTCTATCATTCCATTCTATGTTAATAATTTCCTAACCTTAGCATAATTATATCAGTTAACTGCTTTTAGGTATAAGCATTTTTTTTTGTTTCAGCAGCACATTGTAAAATTGTTTTTAGGAAAGAATCAGTGTGCTGAATAGTACTTCACATGTTAATAAAATAAATATGATTTTTATTAGATCAATGCATTAAAGAAAATCTGTGAATCGTACTGCCCATGTATGATGTCGAATGTTTGCAAATCTCCTTTGGGAGAGTGAACAAAATAAAAGAGCTAAACATCCTAGAGAAATATGAGTTGAGAGGACAATAATAGAAATAGCTGCAAAAGAAAGACATGGATGACTTTGGAGAGAACCTGTCTAATTCCTTCAATGGGAATTGGTGGCAAGTAATATTCTTATGTTTTCTTCCAACTTTATAAATCAGACTTAAGCATGTAACTAAACATAAGATTATGTTATATTATTAGGTATACATTAGTGTATTAGTTAAGATGTAACTAAATACAAAGACAAAAATTACTCCATTCAGCTTCTAGTTCAGCTTCTCTAGTTATTCCCAAATTCCTTTTTGCATCTTTCAGTTTTGCATCACTCCAGTTTGAGGGGGTTAGTGGAGGGTGAATGAAAGTTTGTTGGAAGAAACTGAGGGAAAAAATGATGATAGCACAAATAATTTTTCCATTACTTTTAGAAGATCCCATTTTAATAATCCCCAAATCTATTTCTGTTTGTCTCTCTCAGGCATCATTGTTGGCATTACTATGTCACGATTGAGATGAGAGATCTTGAGGTAATCTATGAACATTCTGGTAAATTTTAATATGATAAAAAAGCTACTAATGCAATATATATGCTGCTGAGTAAATGTGAGTTTACAGATAAGCTAGTTTATATGGATAAAAACATATATATATATTGCAAATGATCACATTTCCTCAGCCATCTGTTCCTTAAATATTAGGACTTATGCGCAGTTTCAACATCTGTGTATTCACATATATTTCTGTACAGCGCCGGCAAAATGCTGACAAAAGGGGAAAACAACAACAACAAAAAACCAATGGAATTTCAAAGGACTTTGCTTTTTTGCATTTATGTAGATTTATCTCCTGCTTCTAAAGTACATCTGTTGTATTTACTGAAATTCTAAAACTAGTCAAAATTCTTCTGAGAACAAAACTGCATTTAAATTAAATTTCAAATGCTGTGTAAATTCATAAACTTATTTTCAAACAGATGTACCTCATTGAACTAGATATTTGACTATCAGTAAGATACTTTGCATAAGCAATACACTGCCATCCAGTTTTTTAAAAGGTATTACTAATAAACCTCAAATAACTAAGGCAGTCACTTCCTGTGGATATTTTTTTCTAATTGGGAAAAAACTGCACATACAAACACACACACGTCATCACCCAAATAAAGAAGCAAATGTAATGTCTGAAATTAATATCTCTGAAGAGCCTCACAAATATAGAATTCTTCTATACTTGCAATTTAAAAAAGAGAAGAGATAATGGAAAAGAAAGGAAGAGAGAATTTGGATGGAAAGAGCAGCATGTGGAGACTTGCATCGTGAACTTTTGCTCCAAGATAGACTGTAGGAATATACCAGGAAAGCCAAGAGAATCCACAGACCCTTTGAAGGAAGTGAATTTCTCCTGTAGGACCTGGGAGACGGTCCAAATACTGTGTGCCCAAACTGTGAAAGTGGGAAGTGGGGATCATCCACCCTCAGACACACATCTTCCCTGGGGAACCTGAAGGTCCAGATCACAGGAGGAGAATTTGACCTTACCTGGAGCTGAGACAATTTAGAGAGCCAAGTGAAATACAGGGGTAGAAGAAGCAACAGGAAAAGCCCTGTGGGCTCTCTGGGTTCCCAGGGAAGCCATTTCTGACTTGTCTCAGGGGTCCTTGGGGAGGGCTGCAGAGGAACTGGGAAAAGACCACAGAAAGAAGGAAACCTCCAGCTGAACTTTGTAACAATTCCAATTGAATGCAAAGATTCCTGGCCAGAACTCGAGAGGGCATGAATCTCGTGTACAGACTCAACAGGTAGGGAGGCGCAAAATCCCTGTTTGCTTTCTCAGCCTAGGGGCTAGTAGCCTGGGGCAAGTTCTCAGCCCTGCTTGCCCACTGCCTGGAAACAAACTCGATGCTGTTGAGGTGGCCACAGTGTGAGTGAGGCTGGCCTTTGGGGTTGCGTGGGAACTGGGTGAGGCCTGTAACTGCTGCTTTCTCCCACTTCCCTGACAACCTGCATGACACAGCAAGGCAGCCATAATCCTTCTGGGAATATAATTCCATTGACCTGGGAACCACACCTTCATCCCCCATAGCAGCCACAGCAAGCCCTACCTAAGAAGAGTCTGAGCTCAGACATGCATATCTCTGCCACCACCTGATAGTGCTGCCCTACTGACCCTGGTAGAGGAAGACAAAGGTCATATTCTCTTGGCAGCCCTAGGGCCTTGCCTATACTTCCACAGCTGATGCTCTCTTGAAAGCATCACCTCCTGGCAGGAGGCCAACCAGCACAAAACTAGTGCATTCAACAACTAAAACTAAGGACCCTCACAAAATCCATTTTACTCCCCTGCCACCTCCATCAGAGCAGGTTCTGGTATTTATGGCTGAGAGACCTGAAGATGGTTCACATCACAGGACTCTGTGCAGACACCTCCCAGTATCAGCCTGGAGCCTGGTAGTCCTGCTGGGTGGCTAGATCCAGAAGAAAAATAACAATCACTACAGTTTGGCTCTCAGTTAGCCACATCCCTAGGAAAAAGGGGAGAGTACAACATCAAGGGAGTACCCCGTGGGAAAAAAGAATCTTTACAGCAGCCTTGAGCCCTGTATCTTCCCTCTGACAGCCTACTCAAATGAGAAGGAAACAAACAAACAAAAAAACAATTCTGGTAATATGACAAAACAGGGTTCTTTAACACCCCCCAAAAATCACAGCAGCTTACCAGCAATGGACCCAAACCAAGAAGAAATCCCTGAATTGCCAGAAAAATAATTCAGAAGGTCAATTATTAAGTTCATCAAGGAGACACTAAAGAATGGTGAAGTACAACTTAAGGAAATCAAAAAATACACAAGATGTGAGGGGATAAATCTTTAGTGAAACAGTAGCATAAATAAAAAACAATCACAACTTCAGGAAACAAAGGACACTCTTAGAGTAATGGAAAATGCACTGGAAAGGCTCCACAACAGAATTGAACAATTCTTCTTACAGAAGAAAGAATTTCAGAGCTTGAAGACAAGGTTTTGAAATAACTCAATCCAATAAAGACAAAGAAAAAAGAATAAACAAAGAAACAAAAAATGAACAAAGCCTCTAAGAAGTGTGGGAATATGTTAGATGACCAAAGCTAATAATTGGTGTTCCTGTGGAAGAAGAGAAATCTGGAAGTTTGGAAAACATATTTGGGGGAATAATCGAGGAAAACTTTTCTGGTCTTGCTAGAGATCTAGACATCCAAATACAGGAAGCTCAAAGAATACCTGGGGAATTTGTTGCAAAAAGATCATTGCCGAGGCATATAGTCATCAGGTTATAAAAAGTTAAGACAAAGGACAGAATCTTAAGAGCTGTGAAGCAAAAGTACCAGATAACCTAAAAAGAAAAACCTATCAGATTAACAGCAGATTGTCAGCAGAAACCCTGTAAGCTAGAAGAGATTGGGGCCCTATCTTCAGCCTCCTTAAACAAAACAATTTTCAGCTGAGAATTTTGTATCCAGCAAAACTAAGTTTCATAAATGTAGGGAAGATACAGTCTTTTTCAGACAAACAAATGCTGAGAGAATTCACGACTACCAAGCCAGCACCACAGTAACTGCTAAAAGGAGCTCTAAATCTTGAAACAAATCCCAGAAACACATCAAAACAAGACCTCTTTAAAGCATGAATTTCACAGGACCTATAAAACAAAAATACAATTAAAAAAACCAAGGTGTTCAGGCAACAAACAGCACAATGAATGGACTAGTACCTTACATCTTAATATTAACATTGAATGTAAATGACCTAAATGCTCCACTTAAAAGATACAGAATTACAAAATGGATAATAATTCACTAAGTATTTGCTTCAAGAGACTCACCTAAGACAAAAGGACTCACATACAGTCAGGTAAAGGGGTGGAAAAAGACATTCCATGTAAATGGACACCAAAAGTGAGCAGGAGTAGCTATTCTTACATCAAACAAAACAAACTTTAAAGCAACAGCAGTTAAAAAAGACAAAGAGGGACATTAATTACATAATGATAAAAGGCCTTGTCCAACAGGAAAATATCACAATCCTAAATATATATGCACCTAACACTGGAGCTCCCAAGTTTATAAAACAATTACTACTAGACCTAAGAAATTTGATAAACAACATCACGATAATAGTGAAGGACTTCAATGCTCCACTAACAGCACTAGACAGGTCATCAAGACAGAAAGTCAACAAAGAAACAATGGATTTAAACTATACACAAGAACAAATAGACTTAAAAGATATTTACAGAACATTCTACCTAACAACCACAGAATACACATTCTATTCATCAGTGCATGGAACTTTCTCCATGATAGACCACATCATAGGCCACAAAACAAGTCTCAATAAATTTAAGAAAATTGAAATTATATCAAGTACTCTCTCAGATCAAGTAGAATAAAATTGAAAATTAACTCAAACGAACTTTCAAAATTATGCAAATTAAATAACCTGCTCCTGAATGATCATTGGGTCAACAATGAAATCAAGATGGATATTAAAAATTCTTTGAACTGAAAGATAATAGTGACACAACCTATCAAAACCTCTGGGACACAGCAAAGTTACTGCTAAGAGGAAAGTTCATACACTAAATGCCTACATCAAAAAGTCTCAAAGAGCACAAAAGACAATCTAAGGTCACACCTCAAGGTACTAGAGAAACAAGAACAAACCAAACCCAAACCCAGCAGAAGAAAAGAAATAATCAAGAGCAGAGCAGAACTAAATGAAATTGAAACACAAAAAGACAATACAAAAGATAATTAAAACAAAAAGCTGGTTCTTTGAAAAAGATAAATAAAATCAATAGATCATTAGCAAGATTAGCCAAGAAAAGAAGAGAGAAGATCCAAATAAGCTCAATTAGAAATGAAATGGGAGATATTACAACTGATACCACAGAAATACAAAAGATCTTTCAAGGCTGCTATGAACACCTTTATACTCATAAACTATAAAACCTAAAGAAGATGCATAAATCCCTGGAAATACACAACCCTCCTATCTTAAATCAGAAATAATTAGAAACCTTAAATTGACCAATAACAAGCAGCAACATTGAAATTATAATAAAAGAATACCAACAAAAAATGTCCAGGACCAGACGGATTCACAGCTGAATTCTATCAGACATTCAAGGAAGAACTAGTATCAATCCTATTGACACTGTTCCACAAGATAGAGAAAGAGGAAATCTTCCTTAAATAATTCCATGAAGCTAATATCACCCTAAAACCAAACACCAGGAAAGAACATAACAACAACAACAACAACAAAACTACAGACTAATATCCCTGATGAACACAGGTGCAAAAATTCTTTAACAAAATACTAGCTAACCAAATTAAACAGCATATCAAAACATAATCCACCATGATCAAGTGGGTTTCATATCAGAGATGCAGGGATGGTTTAACATATGCAAGTCAATAAATGTGCTACACCACATAAACAGAATTAAAAACAAAAATCACATGATTATCTCCTGCATGATTATCTCAGTAGACATGGAAAAAAGTATTTGACCAAATTTAGCATCCCTTTATGATTAAAACCCTCATCAAAATTGGCATATGAAGGACATACCTCCAAGTAACAAAAGTCATCTATGACAAACCCATAGCCAACATAATACTGAACCAGGAAAAGTTGAAAGCATTCCTTCTGAGAACTAGAACAAGACGAGGATGCTCAATGTCACCATTTCTATTCAACATAGTACTGGAAGTCCTAACCAGAGCAATCAGACAAGAGAAAAACGTAAAGGTCATCCAAATTGGTAAAGAGGAAGTCAAACTGTCACTGTTTGCTAATGTTATGATTGTAAACCTAGGAAATCCTAAAGACTCCTCCATAAAGCTCCTAGAACTGATAAATGAATTTAGCAAAGTTTCAGGATACAAAATTAATGTACACAAAGCAGTAGCTCTCGTATACCAACAGCAGCCAAGCTGAGAATCAAATAAATAATTCAAAACCTTTTACAATAGCTACAAAAAATGAAATACTTAAGAATACACCTAACCAAGGACATGAAAGACCTCTACAAGGAAAACTACAAAACACTGCTAGAAGAAATCATAGATGACAGAAACAAATGGAAACACATCTCATGCTCATAGATGGGTAGAATCAATACTGTGAAAACAACTGAACTGCCAAAAGCAATCTACAAATTCAGTGCAATTCAAAATGCCACTATCATTCTTCACAGAACTAGAAAAAACAATCCTAAAATATGTAACCAAAAAGGAGCTTGCATAGCCAAAGCAAGACTAAGCAGAAAGAACAAATCAAATCTGGAGGCATGACATTACCTGACTTCAAACTGTGCTATAAGCCCATAGTCACCAAAACAGCATGGTGGTGGTATAAAAATAGGCATATAGACTAATAGAACAGAATAGAGAACCCAGAAATAAACCCAAAAACGTACAGCCAACTGATCTTTGACAAAGCAAGCAAAAACATAAAATGAAGAAAGGACACCCTATTTATCAAATGATGCTGGGATAATTGGCAAGCCACAGGTAGAAAAATGAAACTGGATCCTCATCTCTCACCTTATACAAAAATCAACTTAAGATGGGTCAAATACTTAAATTTAAGACCCGAAACTATATAAATTCTAGAAGACAACTTCAGAAAAACCCTTGTAGACATGGCTTAGGCAAAGATTTTATGACCAAAAACTCAAAAATAAATGCAACCAAAACAAAGATAAATAGCTGAGAATTAAACTAAAGAGCTCTGCACAGCAAAAGTATCAGTCAGCAAAGTAAACAACAACCCACAGAGTGGGAGAAAATATTCACAGTCTATATATCTGACAAAGAACTAATATCCAGAATCTACAAGGAACTCAAATTAGCAAGAAAAAAAAACAAATAATTCCATCAAAATGCTCAGCATCACTAATGATCAGGAAAATGCAAATCAAAACCACAGTGCGATCATCTTACTCCTGCAAGAATGGCTATAATAAAAAATTCAAAAAATAATGGATGCTGGTGTGGATGCAGTGAAAAGAGAACACTTCTACACTGCTGGTGGGAATGTAAACTAGTACAGCCACTGTGGAAAACAGCGCGGAGATTCCTTAAAGAACTAAAAGTAGAACTACCATTTGATCCAGTAATCCCACTACTCGGCTCCTACCATTTGATCCAGCAGTCCATTACTGGTTATCTAGCCAGAGGAAAAGAAGTCATTATGTGAAGAAAATACTTTGCACACCCATGCTTATAGCAGCACAATTCACAAATTCAAAAATATGGAACCAGTCCAAATGCCCATCAATCAACGAATGGATAAAGAAATTGTGATATATGTGTCATGTATCATATATGAATACTACTCAGCCACAAAAATGAATGAATTAATGGCATCCTGGATGGAACTGGAGACGATTCTAAGTGAGTAACTCAGGAAAGGAAAACCAAACATTGTTTGTTATCACTCATGATTGGGAGCTAAGCTATGAGGATGCAAAGGCATAAGAATGATACAATGGACTTTGAGGACTCAGGAGGAAAGGGTGGGAGGGGGTGAGGGATAAAAGACTACGAATTGGGTTCAGTGTATACTGCTTGGGTGATGGGTGCACCAAAATCTCACAAATAACCACTAAGGAACTTACTCATGTAACCAAATACCACCTGTTCCTCAAAAGCCTATGGAAATCAACAATTGAAAAAAAAGAAAGGAAGAGAGGAAGAGAGAAAACAATGAAGAAAAAAAAAAGAAATGAAGGAGGAATAAAGTTGGGGAGTGGGAAGGAGGAGGTAAGAAAAGGGAAGGAGGAAGAAGAACAAAGGATGTGAGGGAGGGGAGGAAAGAGGAGAGTGAGAGGGAAAGGGTGTGAAGGAGAGATGGAAGATGGAGATAAAAAGAGAAGGAAAGAGAAAGAGGGAGTTAGAGAAAGGATTATAGAGAATGTTAGGCTAAAGAAAAGACAGAGAAGGGATGGAAAGGAAAAACAGTTCACAACAACTGAACTTATTCAGTGGTTCATAACAGAAATATTTGGAATTTTAAAAAATGTTATCATTTATTGTAAAATATTATTATGGTATCATTGATGGTATTGCTTTTCTGGCCGGAAACTTCTGTGGCTGGGGGCACTTTTGCCCAAGTTTTGCTCAGGCCCACTGGGCCCACTTGGCCTGGCAGGCTGAGCTCAGCTCATACTACTGGCCTGTATCCCACACCTCTGAAGACACTGGGACAGAGTGCCGAGGGGTATATGAGCAAGCAAGTGTGGGGTCCAGCCACTGTGCACAGTAAGGCACACCAGCTGCTGCAGTGGGGCAGGCAGCTCCATGTGCAGGCATAGGTACCAGCTCACTGTGAGGCTACGGTTGGACCAGGCGCACTGCAAGCAGCTTCCACAGCTGGCACCAGGAAATGCAGTGGTGCCTGAAATCTTGGAGACTCCAGGAATGAAGGGCCCAAAAGGGGGAGTCCCAGCCTTGACTCCAGGAGCTCCCAGGTCTGAGCTCCTCAAAGGGCCATAGCTCTTCTCTCCTTCTTTTCTTCTCTCTTCTCTCCTTCTTTTCTTCTCTCTTCTCTCCTTCTTTTCTTCTCTCTTCTCTCCTTCTTTTCTTCTTTCTTCTCTCCTTCTTTTCTTCTCTCTTCTCTCCTCCATGTTGTCTGCAGCCTGGCAAGCAAAAGGTGTATTTCAGCCCTGTTTGTATTTCAGCTCTTTTAGCCCAGCCATTTGGCAGGTCCTCGGTCCTTGTCCTGCATCCAGGAATGATGAGGTAACCAGAGAAGTGGAGGGTGAGCAAGATAAACTGGAGCTTTATTGAGCAATAGAACAGCTCAGAGGAGACCCACAGTGGGCACCTCCTCTCAATAGTCAGGGTGTCCCAAAGACTGTTCAGCTCTTGGCAGAGAGGGTAGCTACTCTCTGCAGCTAGTGATACCATTGTCTCTTTAGCTCTCAGCAGAGAGTAGGATATCTCCTCTCTGCTAGGCAAGTCATCCCAACAAATGTCCAGATCTCCGAAGAGGGTAGTTCCTCTCTGCAGCTGGTCATCCCATTGTCTCCCCATTATCTCTCCATCCTCTCTCTACCCTCTCCATCCTCTCTTCCCATCTGGCTGAGGCAGAGGTTTTTATGGGCCTGAGTCCAAGATTTTTATGGGCCTCACAGAGGAGGAAGTGCATGTTGATTGGTCCATGGGTAACCATGGGCAGCCATGGGCGGGCCCAGGGAAAAGTACAAGTTCCCATCTGGTCTGTGTGAGTGGCAGCCCAGGCCCCAGGCTTCAGGCCCTCTTTAGCTTGAAAGTGTAGCTTATCAGGGACCTGCCCCCTTCTGCCCAGGAGCCTGTCTGCCTTCTTCTGCTGTTCATGGCTGTTCATGCCAAGGGGCACCTGCAGGCCAGTGCCAAGCTGTCCGCATCCCCACCTTGGCCTCCCTCTCCTGCTTATCAGCACCCAAAATCCAGAGGTGGCTGAGGCGGCAGGGGGCTGGTGTGTCAGCGCTGCCCTGAGCATGTGCACACCCAGCCAGGCGTGACAGTGCCCGGGGTGGCCCAGACCTGCTCTGAGATCAGAGTAGGTGCCATCAGTGGGCAGAAGCCTTACAGTGGGAGCAGGCATCTATGAGCCTACAAGGGCCAGGGAGCATTCTGAGGCCCCCAAGAGCACAGAGATGCCCAGATGTGGAGCCCTGGCAGGGTGCTGCAGCTGCACCCAAGGAACTTCCATCCAGCCAACACAGATGGAGCAGGATTTCTGCTTGTCCCCAGCTCCTGCCAGCTTCGTGGAGAATGCAGTCCTGGCCACGTCTCCTTGCAGACTGGGGCATGGGCTCCAGGTCCTCCCTGGACCCCGGCTGGCCTCCTGGGGAGGGCAATGTTGCCATAAGCTGCCCCCAGCCCTGTGGCCACAGCCTCAAGGAAGGCCCAGGGTTCCCCATCACCTGGCTCATGGCCCTGCCCAGAGTGGGGCAAGAACCTTCAGGAGCCAATAGGGGCCTGAGCTTGGCCTTCAGGAGTGTCAGGCTCAGTAATTACCTCAATGCAGAGAGGACTCTGGGGACGTGGCTCCAGAAGTCACTACGCAGAGCCTTCTCCCAAGGCACAGGAACCTGGCACCCTCAGTGGGGTGGGTGTGGTGGCTGCGCTGCTGGCTGGGTCCCTGAAGTGGGCTCCACTTCCACTGCCCACCCCAGGGCCCCTAGGCATGGCCCCAGCTCCATCCCCTGGGCCTCAGTGTGCAAGTGAAGCAACACCTCAGGCCCAGCTCCAACTCGGGGCCCCTTTCTGCCCAATGGTGCTGCTCCCCTTCTGGTGGGCCACTCGGCCAGGCTCCATCACAGCTGACCCCCAGGGTGGCAGGATCTGGGGGACTCCCAGAGGGAAGTGCCGGGGACTGTCCATCTCCTTCCCTTGCTCTCCCCACAGTGGGGGCAGGTGAGAGCAGTGACATGGGGCCAGGGTCTGGAGCAGTGGAGGCTCTGGGCAGATACCCCAGGAACACGTGAGGGTGAGGGCAATGCAATCATCTGCCTTGAGGACGTGGGACACACAGGACGTGGGGCACAGGGGTCCCACGGCCGCCACTGCTGCTCCTGCCACAACTGCTCACTCCTCCCCACTGCAGCCGGAGCAATGGCAATGGCCACTTTGGACGGCCCACCGCTGACATCAATGTGTGTATGCCTTAAGCAATCTTGGACATAACTTTTTGTATATTACTTTTTACGTAAGGACAAAACTTTGATTTTAGAGCACAGTGAAAATGGAAAATATACATTTTATTGAGAGAAATGGCATATTATAACTTCGAGTCATAGAGAAGACAGAATAGATGTTCTGTAAATTCTAGCCAGGTTAGAGTATAATGTTACAAACAGGAAATGGCAAATTAGATGCAGTGAGATATCAGTATGCTTTTGATGGAGACAAAAAATAAGAGAAAAATAGAGATCATTATCTGAGATTATTATATTACCATCTGAGTTTGCAATATACTAAGTCAGATAAAATTTCTTAAGTATTCTGAGAAATGTTGAGTTTTTCTGCATATTGTGAATATCCCTTAACTGTTGATAATTACAGTAATATCTAAGGGAACTGCAAGGTGGAGAATGACATTGCACTATAAACAGCAGTAAACAGTAGTGTCGCTCTGAAGAATGCAAAAGTTTTTTGAGCATTTGAACTGTGAAGCAAATTTTTAGCCATTCCCTGTAAGTGTATTGTTGGGAAGTGTATTGTTAATCATTGATTTTCATGTAATTGTAAATGGTTAGCCACAGTTTTAACAGTATAACCGTATTATAATAGGATGTGTAAATTTATTAGATGAAAGCATCAGTGATTTTCGGGGGCCATGGAAAATTCTCAGGACACAGGGACATTTAATTTACTGCTGGGAGAATTGAAGCATTGTGGGTTTCTGAAATAAGAGTCCCAACATTGCCAAAATCCTGATTTTCTTCAGTCTTCTTGATCCTTTAATTTTTTTAAAGAAAAGCCCCACACATCCTAGAGGTTTTAGAAATGTGTTTGTTTCCTACAGGACTCTGAATATGGCTGTATCTACAAGGGGTGATATGAAATTAACTTCTTTTACACAGCCAATTTCATGAGACAGAGCTTTAGGATTCCATATGGAAGAGCCAGAAAATGTTTTTCTCATTTCAGATACATCTGTCTTTTATTATTAGATTCTAGTATTAGGTTATCTCTCAGTCTTAGTTTATGGCTTAGTTGATGTGTATATGTGTGTGTGTGTGTGTGTGTGTGTGTATACACATATTTTATATAAATATATATATAATGTGTATATATATATAAAATCATGCTATATAAAAATCTCTCTCTATATAGTGTGTGTGTGATATAGTGTGATATGAGAGATTGCAATGAAAAATAAAAATTGTGTAACTCAGAATTTCCCCATGTGTACTTCTTATTTTTTTTATTTTTATTTTTATTTTTTGACAGGAGTTTTACTCTTGTTGTCCAGGCTGGAGTGCAATGGCACGATCTTGGCTCACTGCAATCTTGGCCTCCTGGATTCAAGCGAATCTTCTGTCTCAACCTCCCAAGTAGTTGGGATTACAGGCATGCACCACCATGCCTGGCTAATTTTTTTTTTTTTTTGGTCTTTTTAATGGAGACGGGGTTTCACCATGTCAGTCAGGCTAGTCTCGAACTCCTGACCTCAAATGATCTGCCTGCTTTGGGCCTCCCAAGGTGTACTTCTGACTGGCCTTGAATATCCTTCGTAATGATGTTAGGTCTGGATAGGCGAAATGACCTGGAGATGATTTCTCTTTTCATTTGTTAATTCCTCACCAAACCCAACCTCTCTATGCACCTTTCCCAGAGTCATAAGTATAAAGTGCTTTCTTCATGTGAAGATTTCTGATTTTTCCTAAGTACCTTCATTTCATTAATGTTTGATTTTGAGACCTAATTTTTATAGACCCAATCTATATAGAACATAGTTTTTGTTTTCTCTTAGAATTGTTTTTCTGTTTTGGCTGGTAACATAAAATGTTTGACATGTTAATAGAGGTGAACTTTTTCTTTTCAAATAAAAGCTTTAATTGGTTTGCAGGGCTGTAAATATCCATCAACTACCAATTTAACAACATATTTGAAATAAACTGATCAGACCTATATACTAAATGGAATGTCTGAGATGGTCCTGATCTCAACTGGCAGAATTATTTTTAATTGATATCAACTTAACATAAAGGAGCCCTGAAGCATGCTCTGATATTAAACCCAAATGTCATTTATCCTTTGTCATGACCTATGTATTAAACTTTTAAAAAGATTTACATGAATAATTTTCCACACACATAAAAAAAGAAAGTTAAAACCTCAATGCCATTATTATATATTTAAGATTTGGCCTATTTTAAATTAATTTATTTTTATAAGGTAACTTTTTTTAGAAAATAAATTTCACCCAGAAAAAGAATTCTCATTTTTTTTAAAAAGGAATTTATCCCACATTGTTTTCATCCATTCTGTAACTTCCTCACAACTGTTACAATTGATTTTTACAGTAGTTGCTACTTCTATTTCTTTGTGACTTTAAAACTATATATATAAACAGTGAAGTACCTACTATTGATACTAGAAAGAGGGAGGTGAAACTTTTAATAAAGTTTTGAAGCAATAGCTATTTTAAAATTTAGGCATCTGACTTAATCTCAGAAGTATGTATTGGAGGACTCAAAGCAATGCTGAGAAGTTAACCAAACAGACAACAGTATGGAAATATATATACAAAAGATAAAATTTGGTGTTGTGTAAGTATAGCATTCTATATAATTCATCATCATTGTAAAATGTTGAAGAATAATTAATATAGGTGAGATTTTTTATTTCTGCAGCTTTTGTTGAAAGCAAGAAAAAACACTTTTAGAGAAGCATGAAAATAATGATTTGCCTTTACCTTATTTGTTGTGAAATTCACCTCTTAGAATACATTCAGTTATAGAAATTCCAATCTGTAGATATAGATAAAAAACAGGGGCTCAACAAAGCAACAACATGAGAGATTCAGTGAGTAGACTGACTAATGAGATGGGATTAAAATAACTCAAATTTTATGAGCTGGAATCAGCAAAGTCTATCAAGGGACATGAAATCTACATATAAATATCAAGTCCTTGTAAACATGAATTAAGACAACAATTTTTAACCCAATAGTAAATACAGGAACCCTGGATATACAATGAGACAAATAAATTGTGCTGGGTTTTTGAGGAAACACTACTTTGCTTCAGAAAGATGATATAGACATAGTCTGAGTTTTTTGGAAATAATTTCAGGGAGAAATGAATGTTTTAGAGGCAATAGAGTCACCTAGATTAATTCCATTGAGAAATATTACAATAAAATATACTGGAAAAAATTAAAGCTAAAGGAGTAGCAGTATGTTGCACTTTTCTTTTCCTTATCCATGCTAAAATGAATAGACTCTGGTTTTCTCATCATTGCAACCAGACAGTTAACCTGGAATACTGATTCTCAATCTTAGTTGTGTTAAAATAAACATGGATAATCATAGTAATAATAACACACAATAACTCTGCCCTGATAGAGTTAGGATGTAACACAGTAGATTTATTTTCTGAACTGAATTCAAGAAGGAGGATCCAAGTTGCTCATATTCTAGGAAGAAAATAGACTTCCACTCAGAGATGACACAAAATAATATCAAAGAAATTGCTTATGAAGAACTCGGAATTACAATATAGAGAAAATTACTGAGACTCCAAGATGGTAGAGAAACCAGGTTAAAAGGAAGAAACAACTGGATAAAAAGATCTCTTGTTTCCGAGTCATCATGAAACATAAGGATAGTCAAAAAGTTACAATTAAATAATAGAAAGTTCTAGAGATAATCAGAAAATTAACACTATTTTTATCCACATCCCCCAACTGTGCACATAAATTTCATCATAGTTGCATTTGAAGAAATGATGTGGAAGGCATCTAAATTAAGTTGTGAATACAGTCTTGGTACTTTTGAATAACTTTGAAGAGTTCCAGTGCTGTTATGGTGATATAGGTCCCCTACAGCCCATTCAGTCTGCTGATTTAAACTCTGGACAATATATTAAAAAAAGAAAAGAGGAAAAGAGAAAAAAGAAAAAGTAGGCTCTGATACTTAAATAATCATAGTAAGATTGTGGTAGAGAGGCAACATCCGATAAAATGACTCCTCCATTATTTGAGTTTCTCACTTTTTCTTTCAACTTTTCCAAGCGTTCTCCACAGTCACGGACTAACACAGGCAGGGGTGGCTAAGGTTGTTACGGAGGAATCTGGAAAAAGAAAGGAAATAACTGAACAAGAGGACACTCTAATTGTATGAGAACAAAAGAAAACACACACACACACACACACACACACACATTTGAGTTGCCATATATAAATTAAAGGAATTGAATTGGTTAATAAAAATTTTCCCCAAAGTAAATTCCAGGCCTTAATGATTACACTAATGAATTCCATCAAACATTCAAGTAAAAAATAATAGCAATTTAAAAAAAAACTGCATAAAAGAAAGTGGATTAAACACAATCCAACTTATTTTGGTAGGCCAATATAACTTTAATACAAAGACTGACAAGATTTTAACAAAAAGAACAGAACAAAAAAGAGAAAAGGAAGGAAAAGAAAAAGGAGACAGAGAAGAAGAGCAAGAAGAGGCAAAAGAAGAGAAATAAGAGAAGGAAGAGGAGAACATTATAGATTGATATTTCGCATGGATATAGATGCAATATATCTTAATTAAATCTTACCAAATTGATTTTAACAATACATAAAATAAAATAGATATGACAAAGTGGGATTAATCCAAGCAATTCACCAGGTTTTAAAATTTGAAATTAGTCAATGTAATTAATGATATTACCAAAATAAAGGGGAAAATTATACGAAATAAAAGATCATTTAAACAAATGCATAAAAATCAGTTTACTGCTATTAAACATAAAACTCAAAACACTGTAGGTAGTACTTCCTCAGGCTGACATAGGCCATTTTCTGAAAGAAATTCAGTTAATGTTATTCTTACCTGGTGAAACACTGAGTTGTTTCCTAAGACCAGAAAGAATATAATAGCTCCTGTTTTAAACATTTTATTGGAAGTCTTAGTAATCACATTTGAACAAATAATAATAATAAAATTAATAAACATCAGAATGGAATAAGTACAGATGTCCTTATGTACAAATGAGAATATCAACAAAACTTCTAGAACTAAGATGAACTTAGCAAAGTAACAACATAAAAGGTAAAACTATTTTAAAAAATCAATTATATATTAGCAAAAAACTATTGGAAAATAAAATATATCTATCTGTATGTCTATCTTTGTGTCAGAGCCAAGAATACAAAGTGCTTAAGAATGAATCTAATGAAGACATCTAAGACCTCTAAACTAAGAACTGTTAACGATTTTCTGAGAGAAGTTAAAGAAGACCTAAATAAATGGAAATACATACTATATTCTCTGATGGGAGGAATTAATTTTTTTTATTATACTTTAAGTTCTAAGGTACATGTGCACAATGTGCAGGTTTGTTACATATGTATACATGTGCCATGTTGGTTTGCTGCACCCATTAACTCGTCATTTACATTAGGTATATCTCCTAATGCTATCCCTCCCCCAGCCCCCAACCCCACAACAGGCCCCGGTGTTGAGATGATAACTTTTTGCAAAGTGATCTATCTACAAATTCAGTATAATTCCAATTAAAAATTTTGCTGAGGTTTTTTTTTTGTGTGTGTATGTGTGTGGAAATTTGCAACAGGGTTCTAAATTTACAAGGAAATGCATGCTACCAAAAAAATCGAAGAGATTTTTAAAATCAAGAACAAATTTGGAGGCCTTACCTTGCTTGAATTCAAGACATCACATAAAGTACAGTTATCAAGACAGTTCGTTACTTGGTGAGATGGTATTCATAATACATAAGTAGCACCAAAAAGACAGTCCAGAATTAGATTCACACATTATATTGCCAATTAATTTTGACAAAGGTGCAAAGGTATTTCAAAGGGGAAAATAATGTCTATTCAAAAAATGGTGCTGGGCTAACATGAATACAGACCCTTACCTCACATCATACACAAAGCATTAACTTAATAGGGATCATAGGCTTAAATATAAAAGCTACAAGTATAGCATTTTTAGAAGAGTGGGAGATGTATTTTTGCCACATTGGCATAGGCAAAGCTTTCTTAGACACAATACAAAACACACGAACCATCTTTTAAAAATGAATTAATTATACTTCATTAAAGTTACTTTAAAAAATGTGGTGCACAAATGGCATCCTTAAAAATAAGCCAACCATATACTAGAAGAATTTATTTGAAATTTGAAATACATACATCACATAGAAGACTTGCAATCAGAATAAAGAATTTTAAAACCTCTATAATTAGGCAAACAGTTGAAATAAAAATGGATAAAAGTAAATTGACACTTCGTAAAAGAAGGCATAAGAAGGTTAGTTATGACAACCACATGAAAAGCTAAATATCATTAATTATCACAAAAAGCAAATTAAAACCATTGTAAGATATGATGACACACACCTAGTGATGAGTAAAATAATAATGGTAATAAAGTTATTAGTAATATACGGAAACAACAAAAAGCAACAATGAAAGCAAAAACTGACTATTCCAAGTGTTGGTGAAAGTCAAGAGAAATTCATACTCTCCTACACTGCTTGTGGGACTGTAAAACAGTTGGCAGTTTATTAAAGGGTTAGATATTCACCTGCATATAACCCAGTCCTATAGTTCCAATGTGTGTGTCCTTCCAAATTCATATATTGGAACTTAAACCACAAGATCATAGTGTTAAGAAAAGGGACCTTTGGGAGTTGATTGGGCCTTTGGGAGTTGATTAAGCCATGAGGACTCCTCATTCATGGATGGGATTAGTGTCCTTATATGTACAATTATTATGTGTCAGTTAAAAATAATAATAAATACAAAAAAGGGGGCGCTTGGGGAAGTGTCTTAGCTCCATTTGCCTTTCTACCCTTCTGCTATGTGAGCATGCAGCAACAGGCACCAGCTATGAAGCAGAGTGACCCTTCTCAGACCCCAGAATTGTAAGAAATAAATTTCTATTATTTATAAATTACCCCATCTAAGGTATTTTGTTATAGCAGCTCAAAGTAGGACATCTAACCTTCCACTGTTAGGTAATTCCCAATAAATGAAAGTGACTATCTGTACCAAGACTTGTACGTAACTAATAGAGCTTTATTTCTAATAGTTCAAATCTGGTAACATCCAAATGCCCCTAAATGGTGAATGAATGGGTAAATTGTAGTATATCCCTGTAATATTATGCTACTTGGCAATAAAAAAGCAAATATTTATACATGCAATTACATAATTGAAATAAAACAAAAACATAGATGATTTTCAGAATCCTTATGCTGAGTTAAAGCAGCTAGGGGATGAAGAATATGTACTGCATTTACATTTCCAAAATATGCAATCCAATCTATAATAAGAGATAGAAGTTCAATGGTTGTCTATGTATGGTGATGAGGGGAAAAATGGGTTACAGAATGGGTCCATGGATGGTGTTGAGGGGAAAAATGGGTTACAGGAAGCCTTTGGGGATGTTCACTATCTTGGTATGGTGAAAGTTTCTCAGATATTTTTATTTGTCAAAACTTATTATATTGTTTACTCAAAATCTGTACAATTTTTTAATACATCAAGTTTACCTCAACAAAATGTTTTCTTAAAAGCACCTCCAGCCACTCATTAATCCCAATTTAAGCTTTTTCTGGCTAAAGGAATATAGAAATAATTGTCTTCATAGTTAAATTCCTTTATTTCCATACTGTGTTTAATTATAAAAACAACAGCAACACTAAGCAATAGCATTAAAATACTAAAAGTTACTCACCTGTCCCCTAGAGTGATTATATTATGACTAAAACCCAAGGTGGTGTTAATCATAATGTTTAAAAATTTAGAGAGCAGAAAAATTTCTTGCTCAAATGTTTCATGGTTAACCAATGATATTCAATCTAGTAAATATTAACAATACCACCAAAATGTAAAAAACAGTATAAATTATCTAACATATTATGTTTAAAAACATCCAACAAAACCAAGAAGAACACAAGTTTATTCTGGTTTATTTACTTATTTTCCTTTAGTCTGCAAACTTGCACACTCACTAGGATCCAAAAGAGAAAAGATTATCTCTAGGACATAAAAGCAATAAAAAATTATTGTTACATCTGAAATCCATAAATTCATCATTATATGAAGGCCAGCCTCAGGCAAAATGGAAAAACAAAAGACGATTAGGGATAAAAAAAACCTTCGTATAGTAGGCATAAATAATATTTGTGTTTGAGACAATGAATAACAATCACATTCATCTATAAATAATCCAAACTGTACAAACAAAGGTACTCAAGTATTCCTTAGCTTATTGTGTGACCAGTCCTAAGTCTTCCTAATTTAACCCCCATGTTTACATCTCTTTTAGACCTCTAAATGTTGAAATCTCCAGATTAGACCTCGGATTTTTTTGATATTTCTATGCCTACTGTTTCTGTGGTCTTTTCAGCATTTACACAGAACTTATATGATCACGACTCCATGACTCTTTTGAATTCCAGATGTATGTATTCAACAGCATAGTCAATATCTTCACTAGGATGTCTTAATTTCATCTTAACTTTAATATACCTAGATAGGAAATTTTTCTTATTCTACTAATATCAGCTTTCAGCCCTGCCCAGAGTCTTGTATTTTGATAAGTGGGTAAGAAAACAGTGAGGATGTGGCTGTGATGCTCTGGTTTTCTTTTTATTTGATAATTCTTCATAGAGGTTTTAGCGATCTTGATTTTACAATGCCACTTGAATAGGGAGAGTATACAATGCATGGCAGGGCTGCTTTGACTGAAATGTCCTCTCAATTTTTGAATATGGAGCCACTCTTTTATTATTTAATGTTTCTCGATAACCTAAAAGACTGGAACGTTGAGTTTCTACATCTTTGTTTTGTTTTATTTATTGTAGTATATTATTTGTGGGTTTTTAAAAATTATAAAGATTCATGTTGTACAATAAAAGGTATTGCTACTATTGAGTGGGAATATTCTTATCTATCTACTATCTACTGTTCCTTTCAAAGAGGGAGCCAACCCCAGTAGCTTTTGTTCACATTGTAAGGTCAAGCATTGGATTTGGTTCATATCCCAATAGCACCTGTCTCCAAAGGATGAGAGAACTTAGTCTCCTCTGGCTACAATAGTCGATTTTTACTTTGTTATATATTGAAGGCAATGCTACCACAGGTGTGAAGATTAAAAACTTTTAAAAATCTTTCTTATTTGTTACTTTACTTAAGTAAGAAATAAAGGCCAGAGATACAGATCAAACTATATCAATATGTAAATATGAATATGAAAAAATAACTATTTTTACTCTTGGAATGTGCATTCTTGCTGTTATTTTTCAACATATCAGCATAAGCATGCATTTTACTCATATTTTAAATGCTTTCCTAATGCATAACTATTTTATGTGAACTCAATTTTTCCTCTTTTTGTTCCCATGGATGTCATTACTTTATACAATCTCAATGTTCATATAAGTAGAATTCTAATATCTTTATATATTGTAATTGTGACTTTAAAATATTTTAGCCTGTCTTTAATCTTCTCCTTGTCTTCATTATGCAATGCATTTTCATTTAGAAAAAAATTTAAATCTTAACTTTATACCGCTCTCCAGTTTCTTCTCAATATTTCCCCCAAGAGTGATTTAAAAAATACTTCCCCTCATATTTTTTATCTCTTTCACTAGTAACTCATTTTACTTTCGTCCTTACTTAGAGATGAATTTTCTCACCTTTGCTTTACCCGCAGGATTTAAAGAAAGGTTTTGACTGTTCTATTTTGCCATCACTCTGTATGTTTGTCAGTTATATTTTACTAGTTAAGTAATTGAGGAAATAGCATAAAAGTATTTACATGGGTTTCAATAGCTACTAGCAAAATTGTTCAGCATCCCTCTCTCAAGGACATTTTAATCTTTTTTTTTTTATTCCTTCCTTGAGACCCACTGGGAAAAAGAATTCAATGTTTACTGTTGGCCTACATGGATTCTGACAAAAGGGCATTGTTTTTCATTTTGTCTAAGGAGCAGAATTACATTCATTGTGTCAGCTGGACTCATGATTACATCCTTCCTCTTGAAGACAATGATACTGGGTTTTATAGTGAAGGACATGGGGAATACTTTATCTTCCCTGTGTTTGCATGAGGAGACCATGTGACATTTACTATCATTTTCCATCTCTAAAATCATTGCCTTGTTATAAAAGCTTATGATCAAATTATTTTGCTATGAACAGGTATTACTAAAATCCTTGTTTGCAAAATAATAGAGAGGGAAGGAAAGACAAGAGGAAAGAAGACAGGAGCCTGTGATTATTTTAAGCAGTGAAAACATTTAATGTAAGAATATTAGGGAGCTTACAACATTGAAGTACACAAATTCAGTGATGTCAGCTCCTTTGTGTCGGTACCAGCTCTTGGGTCCCTTTGGCAGTGTGAGCAGGGCAAATACACAGCTTATCATATGTAACAGTGATTGACCAAGAGGAAAATGCAACACTAGGAAAACTGAAAAGCCAATTTAAAATGTAGTAAAAAATTATTTGGTGGAGTTTAAAAAAAAATTCTCAAGGTTTTTATGATTTTTGGACACTTTCGTAGCTCACTGGTTTTAATCACAAATACATCTGTCAAAGTAAACTCTTTTATGTATTTCATTGCAATAATTCTTATATTTTAAAATTGTATTGCTGTGTTTCAAAGAGAAGTCTGTTTCTTTTTAATACTGTTTGACATATATTGATTATTTATGGAAAACACCCTTAATTTAATAAAAAGTATTTTCCCAATCTTGTGGTCTCATTATAATAAAGAGCAAGTGTTCTAGGATAGTCTGTGGGTCTCAGAAACCATATCTGCACCAATAGAGAGAGGCAAAGGAGATTTCTGGAAAGGCTGGGAAAATAGAAAAAAAATGTTGAAATTGGAATTCTAAACATACTGCATTAAATAAGAAATAAATCCAGACTTACTAAGGAGAGACTTTATTCACCTGAATCATTGCAAGAGGAGGGAGAAGAATTATTCCAATGTGGGAAAGGAAATATCACAATAGGGAGAATACTCCAGATCAAAATATCTGCAAGGATTAGGCAAAAAAGATTTCTGTACTATAGGGAGGAGTGAACAAAGAAAAAAATCAGATGTCTTGCTGTACTAGCAGATCAGAGAATGATCATGAAGCCAGCCTATTCTTGGGAGGGACTGCTAAGGAGGGGATGTATTTTGTCTCTAGCAGGGTGAAGACCAAAATGCAAGGACCTAGGGGAAAAGAAGATACTTAACCAAAGTTTCATTGACAAGTATTTTGTTCTGATTAAACAATGAGGACAAGTAGTGCAGCTAATCATATATGAGGCAAAGAATGGCAATTTGGAGAGTCTGCTTTTGGCCTTGTCACAGGTGAAAAAAAAGACAGCATCCATGAATCTTCTCTAAGGCATATAAGAAGGGTTGTTCTTTGCAGTAAGTCCTTTTAGGGAACACAAAATGTTAGAGGAATTTCTTAATCTTTGCTGTTTTCCAGGATCACAAGTGACCAAGACAGTCATAATATTCTCCTCAGCTTGACTCAACTTTAGCAAGCTTCTTATGACTCTGGGCAGCTGACCTTCCTCTTCTTAGAAAATTTCTTCAGAAAATTTACTATTGTAAATTTTTTCTCTGCCTCTATGAGATGTAAATCTTTACCCAGCCACTTGCCAGTTTTACAACCCAGGAATTTCTTTCTCAAGGACCCTACACAGCCATCCATTTGAAATAAAATTATTAAGAAAAATAGAGCTTCTCTCTTCTAGTCTTTGTAGGAGGGTAGGAGCCTAAGTTCAATATAAGCCAATTAATAAACACAGATGACTTAATCATATTGACCAACCTTCCACTTAATGTACTCTAGTACTTTTCATGAGCTCATCCAGCATTAAAAAATTCCTTTGCAGTTTGCTTCAGTGGAGTTGAGTTTTATCTCTTTTGTTTATTGCAGTAGTCTTCACTCCTACTGCAATAGTATTGAATAAAGTCTTCCTTGACTGTTTAACTTGTCCAGTGCAATTTTTTATGTAGGTTCAAGTAAAGTTCAACACTGTCATAACTAAAGGGATTCTTCAGTATTTAACTTTTTTTTTAGTTATCACATTTTTGCCTTCATATTTGTTTTTGTTAGTTTATTTTACATAATTGAAATATCCGCTGTGGACTTTTATCCACAGTAGTCTTGGGAAAGAATTGATAATCTCACCCAACATCAAAATTAATTTTGCTTTAAGAAAGAAGCCAAAAATAGCAAAGCATGCAAAAACAATCACACAGTGAAGGTGTAGTTACTTCCAGGCAGTTTCTATTGTCCGACTTAGGAGGTTCAGGGTCACAAGTACTACGGCTGAAAGTTCATGGAAAATCTCAGCAAGGGAGAACCTCAGCAAGGGAAAGCCCTAAGTTCTGGGGTAACTTACAGATTTATACATGGTCTATACAGGGCATGTGGTCATGAGTTCCACAGCTTCTTCAGCTGTGCCTAACTAGCCCATACCCCATTGAAGCTGTGTTATCTGATCACTCACAACTTGATCTCAACAGTGAGGGGCTTGGTCCACTGCAGTCCACATCCTAAGTCTAAATACATATCCTCCTGTAAATTTCCTGAGTAAATGTTTCTAGGAAAACTGTCCAAGAAGATAAAATCTTCAGGTATCACTGAGGGAGGGGAGGCTAAGGAATAAGCTAAAAATCCTTTCCAAAGGCTTTATTGGAAGCCAAACAATGTATACCATATTTAGTATATTATTTTGCTTTTCTTTTCTTCTTGTGGCATTTTATTTTAGGTGTTTTAACCCTTATTATTTATTTTATTAATTAATTATTGCTGCATTTAGGACTTTGTCCACCTGGTACAGGAGATAGTGTAATGGAGTAGCAATTTGAACTACACATCTAGTTCACAATATAGAATGAGAGTTTGTCTTTAAACATAAGGGCATTATATTCAGGATTTTATTACAAAAATGCAATTCATTAAGTTTATTTTTAATTTTCATATTTTAATATGACTTGTTTTGCATAAGTTGTGTTTGTATAAATTCTAATAATAAAAATTTGTAGAAATATGGAGAGTATAAAGTCAAAGCAGACATTAACCTAGCTTGCCGTTGTAATGAGTACCCTCAGAGATAACCAAAATTAATAGTTTAAAATAGGCTGGGTATAGTGGCTCACACCTGTAATCCTGGCACTTTGGGAGGCTGAAGCAGGAGGATCAGTTGATGCCTGGAGTTAGTGACCAGGCTGGACAAAATAGTGAGACCTTGTCTCTACAAAATATCAAAAATTAGTTGGACATAGTAGCACGTGCTTGTAGTCCCAGCAACTCAGGAGGCTGAGGTGGGAGGATTGCCAGAGCCTAAGACCCTGTCTCATTAAACAATAATAATAATAAAGAGAATAAAAAGAAAGACAAAAATAAATACACGTTTCAGTTTTTGTCTAGGCATGTATTTCTTTCACATCCTCTCTCGCTCTCTCTCTCTCTTTTTCCATAAATAGTTAATATCCTAATGAAATAACACTTCATGTATATTTCCCCCAACAAATTGTTTTTCCCCTTTAACAACACATTTTAGAGCTTATATATATTA
Organism: Homo sapiens; assembly: GCF_000001405.40. NCBI lineage: Eukaryota > Metazoa > Chordata > Mammalia > Primates > Hominidae > Homo > Homo sapiens. The sequence continues at coordinate 113,647,860 of NC_000008.11, forward strand.
GTTCTCATATAATCCAGGCACAATTTTCTATATTCTCCATATTCTCGTGGTATAAATGTCTGAAGGTCTACTTTGGATTGTAGTTTCAACATTTATTGCTTGTATGCTCTCAACTAACTTTATCTTTAAAATATAGATAATGAATGGCCTTACTTCGTAGGTTCATTTTCAAGTAGTAAATGAATTAATAAATTGAACTTATTAAATTTGTTTAGTTGGTGCTCAATAAAGTTTATAAAATATGGCTACTATTTAAATATTTAGCTTTGTACATAAACATTATGCAGATATGTGGATATTTTTCATAAGAGGAGAACTGCTGAATAAGCACATAATAAGATTGGGCACTTTCTATGTAATTGCCCACCCCAAAGTGTATACTAATACATATATTCCACTACAGTAAATGAGAGTTTTTGATTTTCCACATTCTTGGCAATATTTGATATTAACCAAACTTTAAAGCTATGACTAATCAGATGCTGAAGAATTAATAGATCATTTTACTGTGATTTTTATTTTCCTAATTCCAGTTTTACTATACATAGTTTCATATGCTTATGAGCAAAATTGTCTTCCTACTTTTATTTATCATATCCTCATATTCCCAGTTCTTTTCTCTGCTGAATTAATTGGTTAAATTATAAATTACATTTTAATTTTCAGAGTTCTCAGAGAAGTGTTCCATGATTTGGTCCAGGTTTGGTGTTACTGAAGCACCAGGGGTTTGGTCTAGATCCTGCTGATTGCTGCACAGAAAGCCAGTCACTGAGACAATGAGTACTTCCAGGAAAGAAGGTTTTATTTGGGTGTTGCACCTGAGCAGATGGAAGATCAGTCTTAAATTTATCTCTGGCCTAATAAAATTGAGGGTTTATACAGTGGGGAAATAATGTATCTACATGTGGCTAAAGAGAAATTAGGGATGGCTAGAAAATCATGAGGGATGAGGGTTGATACAGTGTGGATATTTTTCCCCTTCAAATTTCATGTTGAAATGTAATCCCCATTGTTGGAGGTGGGGCATGATAGAAGGTGTTTGAATCATTGGGGTGGATCAATGGCTTAGTGACATCCCCTTGGTGATGAGTGAGTTCATGTGATATCTGGTTGTTTAAAAGTGTGTGACACCTTTCCCCATCTTGCTCCCACTCTTGCCCTGTGATGTGCCTGCTCCCACTTTGCCTTCTACAAGGAATAAAAATTCCCTGAGGTGTCCCCAAAAGCCGAGCAGATGCCAGCATAGTGGTTCCTATAAAGCTTGCAGAACTGTGAGCCAATTAAACCTCTTTTCTTTATAAATTACTCAGCCTCAGGTATTTCTTTATAGCAATGCAAGAATGGCCTAATTCAAGGGATCTGGCTTCCCATTGTCTGGATGTGGTGACCTGGTGAATTTAAGTTTCTCAATACTATCTGGGAGGCCTGAGGGTCGGTTTCCTGAGGAAGGAACTCAGATAAGACAAATGCAAGCTTCAAACTTTAAGACCTGGAGGGTCAGTTTCTGTGTTTATTCTGAAAGACTGTAAATATCAGTTCTATGGGACACTTAAGCTGATCACGTTGGTAGCTGCATTTAATGGGAAAGACAGAGTAGAGCATACTTTTTTCAATCTTCTCTGGAACTAGAATGGAAAAACCTGGTTTTAATATTGTTTATTGTTTTGTCTTGTTTTTTATTTATTTTCTATATGTTTGGCCTACATCACACCCTATTATTTTTCAAAGGTGACATAAAAAATGCAGAGATATTTTAGAGCCTCTTACTTATTAGAAAAATATTCCACCAATGCTATGAATTATATTTTCAAAAATTATAAAGATTTTTATTTTATATTTTACTTTTTATAATTTTAATTTATAAAACATGTTAATAAATATCACTTTTTTACTTTTTATGAGTTTTAATTACTTTTATATCAGATTGATTTTTCTTAAAAATACATAATTAAATTTCATTAAAAATCTTTATTTCATAGAAAACCAAGATTTTATGCATCGCTATTACTGATATTTGAATCTAAGCTCCATTTATTATAGGAATGTGTTTCTCAACTAATGCAATAACACAGTAGCAAGGAATAATATTATTTGGTCAAATTTGATGCAAATAAATATAAAATCTATTTTGACACAACTAGGAGAATCAGCTATTACCATCAAATGAAAGGTTAAGTGCAGTTTGGCATGCAACATGGTATTTGACAGGATACAATTACTAGTAAATTGCTATGGTCTGAAATTTGTGTCCCCCCAAAATTTACATATTGAAACTTTATCCTTAATGCAATAGTATTATTAGGTGAAATCTTTGGGAAGTGATTGGGTGTCGAGGGCAGACCACTCATGAATGGGCTTGGTACCCTTATAAATGAGGCCTAACAGAGCTTGTGTGCCCCTTCCATTGCCCCATCCATTTCCCCTTCCACCTTGTGAGGGTGCATGGGAAAGGTGCCATTTGTGAAGCAGACAGCAAACCCTCACCAGACACCAAATCTGCTGGCATCTTAATCTTGTACTTCCCAACTTCTAAATCTGTAAGAAATAGATTTCTGTTATATATAAGCTACCCAGTTTAATGTATTTTGTTATAGCAGTCTGAATGCACTAAGACATAAATATATTAGGCATAAATATAATCCTATGCTAAAGGTAATCCTGTGTATACTGAAATATTGAAAGTACTTTGCTTTTTTATTATGAAAGAACACATCAAGTTAGCAAACAGTCTTATTTAGTCAGTTACATATGCTGAAACAGTGAACAAGGAAACAATGTAATAATAATCACTGGAAACTCTTCAAGAGCACTGCTAAAAATTCTAGTATCCAGTAGTGTTCCAGCAGTATAAAAAGTGTCTTAACAGTTTATGGGAGAATCAGAAATATCTGATTGTGTGATTAAAGAAATGTGCGCTGGGTGTGTCTTCATTGCTATTTACTTTGCAATAGGAATAAAGAATATCGATACAGACAGGAGGTAGGAGGGCGGGGGTCCCTGGTGAGAGCTACACCCTCAAGCTTGGACCTGCAGCCCTAAATGAGAACAGGCACTCCTGTTTTCCTGCCTGAATGTTGTTTTTTGACCCACCTCTTCCCACTATCCTGTACCCATATAAACCCCAGACCTCAGCTGGCAGAAGGACAAACAGCTGAACATCAAGAGGAGAAGCAGCAACTGAACGTTGGAGACTATGGATAGATGTGGCTTAACTTCAGAGAGCACAACTTCAGAAAGGAGTCCAGCTGTAGAGGGCCAGGCTTCAGGGAAAGATCACCTTCCCGTACCATACCCTTTCCAGCTCCCCTTCCACTGGGAGCTACTTCCACTGCTTAATAAATCCTCCATATTCACAATTCTTCAAGTTTTGTGACCTGATTCTTCCTGGATGCCAGGCAAGGACCCGGATACCAGAGGGCAAGTTGTAAAAGGCTGTCACCCTGACTCTCCACTGAGCTGGTTCACACTTAGCTGTCCACAGACAGCAACTGCTAAAAAAGCATTAATTGTAACACACCCCTAGACACTACTGTGGGGCCAGAGCCCAAAAGCGCTCACCCTGGCCCTGGCACCGTCTCGCCTGCATACTCCCTCCCACTCCTGCAAGGGATTTGAGCAAGGCAGCCAAACCCCTATTGCAAGTCCCTCCCAAGAAGGGGTCCAGGGAATTCTCCTGTGCCAATATTACTAAAAATCCTTTTAGAAAGCAGGAGTATGGGGGGATGACTGATAATAATACATTACTACAAAAATGGTAGGTAATTCTGAAAATATGTTTCTATTATTATTCTTTGGATCAGAATTTTAAATCTTTGGGATTTCTTTCAACTACATGAATGAGAATTAATATAGGAATTCTTCTATTCTGTTTTGTTGCTTGCTGAGAAAAGTATGTTTCCAAACACAACTTTTGGAAAGTTTACCTGATGTAAGTAATAATGTAATATATAAAGTATATTTACCTTCTCTTTTAACATCAAGTAGGCAAGTTCACAGTTAACTGAAGTTTTATAACTATTATGTACATATCACAGCCACTTCAAAATATAATACACAATAAAAATGTAGACTCTGTAGCCTGTGTAACTAGTGGATATGCAAACTTAACACATACTAAATATCTAAAATCTCTATCGATATTTAAAAAACCATTAAAATGTTTGCACTTACTTGACAAATATAATCAGTATCATTTTATTTCATCATTGTGCTTCGGGCTACAAAGTAAAATTCAGATTATCTTGTAATAGTGTCACATCTTTTCCAGGCTTTATATGTATTCTTCCATAGGCAGCCAAGCAGAACAAAAATTTGAAAAATTGTTTGGTCCAGTTAAAAGAAAACTTCTTAGTTTGATTAATAGTGTGTGTATTTGAATGTGTGTGTGTATGCATTTATATATTTATAAATTAGTGACCTCTTCTTTTTTGATAGCAGGATTTTCAAACGTAAAATTTAAATTGGACCAAAAAATTGATTGATTTATAATTCAATTGATTGTCACAACTTGAAACATTTGAGGGATCCAATTCTTAATATAAGAAAGATTTATGTTATTTTGCAAAGTAAATCTCAAGTCAATGCTGTTAGAGAAGTGAAACTCATATTCAAGCTCTTTTTTGTTTGTCTGAGAAGTTCTGCGAAGCCACTAAATCTCAAGCAGGAAATCATTAGTATAATCACTAAGATGTTTGCAATTACCACATTTTTATAGTGATAGTTTTTTTGTATTCTTATTATTGCTTACATTCTCTTAAACAAGGATGTTTGCCCATTATCAGTTTCTTTCAATTAAAAACAATACCATGAAGGAAAATCTTTCCATTTCATAAAATCCCTGCTTTAAAATTTTAGCAATCATGCAAAATAATGACTGCAGAAAGATTACAAGATGTTTTGATTATTTAAACAATAACATTACACACATTAAATAAAAATCACATGAAATCTTAATGGACTAATAAAAATTTAATTCTGACAAAGAATGTCATAGACAAAGAATGTCTATGACAAAGAATGTCTGTAAAATCCTACCCAACTGGAAACTCAAATCATTTTAAGCATATTTTAATGTTTAAACAGGCTTCATTGATAAACCACATAGAAAATACCTTGTGCAATACATTTTTAACAAGATAAAAGAGCACTGAAACTGTGAAACATATATTTTTTTATTTTATAATTGCATTGTTAAATATTTCCTCATAGTAAAAAATTAATAGAATCATTAAAGAAAAAATGTGATACATAGATAAAAAGAAAACAAAAAACACCCATAAATCCACCATAAAGAAAGACTCACTTTAAAATGTTGATTTGTTGTTTCTTGCTAGTCTTTGTCTTATTTTAGGTAATTGTTATATGGCAATGTATACTGTAAACATCTTATTGAATTGGTACTTTTACATCCAGATATGATGGAGTGACACACTTGTCCATTTACCTTAAAAATTAATATCTGGAAAAGGATATAAAAGCATAATTTTCAGACTTGAACCAAAAGCAGCACAGACAGTGATCAATGAGAGAAGTAAGGAAATAAGAACTGGAACCCAGCTGGAGCTTGGGTGCCTCTCTGAGTTCATGATAAGAATTTACAATTTGACATAGCCAAGGCATCTATAATTCACAGGGCAGAATGGAAAGAAGACACCTGGCTATCAGCAGAGTATTTCTCTCGAGAATACACCTAAATATTGATTAAGGCTGCATGTAACAAAACTACCTGAGACCTGGAAAAGAAGGACCGGGAGAGAGCAGACAGTAAAATTATCAGACACCCCAGAGGGCCAAGTATGGTTTTATGTTTCCATTAGCTAAAGCAGAAATGCCTCCTCAACAAATGGAACAGCTAGCAGATTTTTCAAAAGAAATAACCCCAGTAACGGGGCCAAATTAGCATACACTAATGATTATTCTCTGGTCCTGGCTAAGAAAGCTTAAAATCAAGCTGGGAAAATATAAAATTGTTTTCAAAATACTTAGTGCACCCTAGTACCAGCCAAGGCCAACTATATTTAACAAAATACAAAACCCAAAACAAAACCAAAAAGGATTCTCAACATAAATTCTCAAATAACAATAAGTAGCTTTTCATCAAAAAATTTCAGGCATAACAATAAGCAGGAAAATATAGTCTATAATAAGAACAAAAGATAATCAATAATGTTAGATCCAGAAATGACAGAGATGATGAAAATAGCAGACAATGTCATTGCACCATGTTTTATAAATATATTTTATATATTTATGGAATTACAGAAGAGGAAAGCCTGAGCATAATAGGGAGGTATATTAACTATACAAAAAGATACAAATCATACCTCTAGAGATAAAAATACACTGAATGACATTTAAAAATATTTGATACCACAGAACAAAATGTTAGTCAACTTGCAGATAGAGCAAAAGCAATGGAATTCTGTCCAAAACATATCTTATCTTACTTCTAACTTTTTTTAATTACTAAACTTAAGTCTACAGTCCATTGTGCTTTAATTTGTATGTGATGTGGGGAAAGGGACAAAATTTATTTTACATTGAAATGTTCATTTGTTATAGCCCAATTTGTTGTGAAGATCATTCTTTTCCATTTGAATTATCTTGGGTGTTTTATTAAACATTGATTCTACATATATGATGGGTTTATTTCTACATCCTCTAATTTGTTCTATTGATCTATATTTCTATACAGCTGCCCATCAATATTCACGTGGTATTGGTTCCAGGACCCTTGTAGATCCCAAAATTCACAGATGCTCAGTTCATATACATATATATAAATGAAATGGTGGTAGTATTTACATATAACCTATGCATATACTCCCATATACTTTAGATAATCTCTGGATTAAATACAACCTCCAATACAATGCAAATGCAATGTAAATAGTTGTTATACTGTATTGTTTTAAAATTTGTATTATTTTCTGTTGTTATATTGTTATTATTTTTCAGTATTTTTGAGCAGTGGTTGGTTGAATCCTCAGATGGGGAACTCACAGATATGGAGGACTTGACTGACTGTAGTTTCTTTATTAACAAATTGTCTTAGTTATTATTCCTTTAGGGTAAGCCTTGAAATCAAGTAGTGTATATTCTCCTTCTTTTCATTCAAAATTTGTCTTTTCCAGGTCCTTTATTTTTCTGTATAAGTTCAGGGATCAACATGTGAATTTCTAAAATAATGTGGAATGTTGGTTAGATAAGTATATTAAACTAATAGATTACTTTGTGGAGACCTGACATCATAAAAAAAAAAAACTATAACTTCTCTTCCATGAGTATTGTATCTCTCTCCGTTTACTTAGGTCTTCTTTATTTTCTTTAATAATATTTAATAGTTTTCAGGATACAAGTTCTCAAATAATGTGTTATATGTATTGGAAATACAAATGCATATTGTGTGTGTAATTCTTGCTCTTTATGATGCTGAGATAGTTAAAATGACTGTGCAAGCTAGAACTTTGCAAAGTGGTGTTAATGATTAATGGTAAAAATTATAATTGTTGGCTGGGTGTGGTGACTCACTCCTGTAATCCCAGCACTTTGAGAGGTCGAGACGGGTGGATCATGAGATCAGGAGATCAAGACCACCCTAGACAACATGGTGAAACCCCGTCTCTACTAAAAATACAAAAATTAGCCAGGTGTGGTGGTGTGCGCCTGTAGTCCTAGCTACTTGGGAGGCTGAGGCAGGAGAATTGCTTGAACCAGGGAGGCGGAGGCTGCAGTGAGCTGAAGTTGCGCCACTGCACTCCAGCCTGGGTGACAGAGCAAGACTCCATCTCAAAAAAAAAAAAAATTACAATTGTTGCATCCTCACAAAAGACCAATTCTCCATGTGACAACAATGGTCTTTTGAATATAGTAGATGGGTTCATCTGTTATACCCTGGGGCTATGTTGAAATTAAGTCATCTAGAAGGCCAGGGATCATGGTCAGAAGGCACACCTTGGACATGGGTGACATATCCTTAGGGTGTAAGGACAGGCATAGGTTTTTTTAAACAGTTATATTCCTGCCTAACAGTCACCAGGGCCTCTGGGAGTCAAGACTCTAGGCAATAAAAAGGCTAGTTGTACAGGTATTAGGTTGTTTGCCTGTAAGTTATAACCTATGTTGAATGGTTGAAGTGCCCAGAAGAAGGGAATTCTCATGTCACAGATTCCACTTGAAATGAGAGGCTGGAACAAAACCGCTAGTAACCAGTAACCAGGCACCTTTATTTGTTTACAGAGAGACAAGCTTGCATAAAATTTCACTGACTCTCTCTTCATAGGCTTTTAGGAATTTTTTTTTTGAACTATATGGCTGAGGACAAGGAAAACAAAACAAAACAAAAACAGATAAAAGAACCTACCGCCTACAGTGGGAAGCTAAAGCATCTTAATATTCCAGAAACCATTCAGGATCTTTAGGGAAAATCTCATATATGTGACAATATCTGCAAAGGTACTGATGCCCCTCAGAAGCCAGTGATTCCAAGGCTGGAGGAATTGCTAAAGCCTTAAATGTTAATTTTAACCTGTGAATGCTTGCAGAGAGTAGGATAGGGTTTACATGGGAGCCCACTTCTAACTAAAACACTGGTCTTACCCATCAGAAAGAGACAGGAGAGCCACTGAATTCAGGGAGAAAAAAAGACTTCCTTATACTCTTATTCCATTGGGAAAGAGCCTGCTGTATTAGAAAAGTTCCCGTTCTGAATTACAGGGATGTCCCAGAGATTAATATTGGTTGGCATGGGTCCAGGGTCCTGGGACATTTGCCAGGTGCTGAAGCTCTGGGTTGATACAAAGACAGACTGAATATGAAAGGACTTATGGGGAGAAAACTGTCAGGACTGGACCAACTGGGATAGTGACAGGAAAGCTAAAACAATTCTAGGGAAAGAAACATCTGGAAGATAAAGAAGGAGGGGAAAGGTCATTAGGAAGACATTGTATGAGGAATTCCTGTGTCAGGGGGCTATAATAGTCTTTAGAGATGTACGCTATTCATTCTTACCCCAGAGCACACAGCCTACTAGTTCTCAAACACATACAGTGAAGGATTGCCTATCTTGTCTCAAAATTACTTAAAAATAATATTTCCACTACTTTGATTGCCACCCCGCCATTGAACTTTACCTAGCCTGTTCAGACCAGAGAAGAACTAATCTTAGAGGCCAACAATGCCTCCCTAGACAGTTGCTACGCTGAAAGGGGAGGGAACCCCTAACATTTCCAAGTCAAGTGGACACTGGAGCCCTGGAAACTGAATTTAGGCTCACCTGATGAAACTGCTATTCTTTTAGCAACAGCTAAATGAAGCCAGGGCAGTTTGGCTTACTCACTGCAAAACCTGCTGATGGCTTTTACAGTGATGGATGGATCAAATCAGGGCTTGTTGCAGGATGGCATGCTGATGGGACAGGTGAATCTACGTAATCACCACAGCCTTTAGCAAGGACACCAGACTTTCAGGAATAAGGTATTGTAGGAATGAGGAGCCACAGTGAACTTCTTCCATTTTTCCATTTCAATTTTCGCAGATAAATAGGCCTTTATACCAAGAGAAAATAATTTCTGGGTCTCCGTGGAAAAACAATAGTAATGTGACAGATTATCTATCTGATTCACTTCTGAGGGAAAATGAATTGAACCACAGTTGACTAGATATAGACATGACACTCCAAAGGACAGATGATTATTTGGGTCAGGTAGAAGAACAAATAACCCCTCTTTTATTTCTCTCTCAGATACATCTGATATGCTCCTGAATCAAGGGATTGAACTGAAGAAGAGCAGAGTTGTCTGAAAGGACCACCAGGAGGCTCAGGAAACTTAGTACGTAGCTTGTGGTCTAACACATGTCTTCTAAATTTGTTTTGAGAAAATCGACCAAAAATATTTATCTTTTATGTGAGATGGACAACAGTTCACATTTAATCTTATGTCACATTTATATTTTGTGTTCCTACTCTCATGGTACAGTCCACAGCGATATTAACATTGGTGTTTCATAGAACATCATGCTATGTTAACGGCATCATGCTAATTTAAGCTAGTGAACAGAAATGGTAAGTACTCTGGATATGTAAATGAGCTTTACATATGCTAAAACAAGAGAGATGAACTTCATAAAGTTTTCAGGGGCCTGCAATATTAATGAAGTTTTCAAATCACCAGTGGTATGAGTATACTGAAATGTCATCTTTAAAGGCAGGGCCAGACTGCTGCCTTTTCATGACCTACTACTAAGGGAACAACTTGGAATGTTCCAAGGAACAATTTAGGGAGCCTCTGTGGATCAGAAAGAAGTCTCTGGAAAGCCACAATAGGAGAGCATGGTAGGTAGAATTTCAAAAGAAACTCAGTGGCCTTCAGTCTTGTCAAAGCTCCTCCACTCGAGTGTGGGTGGAACCTGTGAGTATGATGAACAATCGCTGCTGTGATGATGTTAAATTATATGTGAAAAGGTGTTTTGCTGAAGTGATTAGGTTCCAAACCCAAATCAGTTTACCTTAAGATAAGAAGATTATTTTTGGTGAGTCAGAGCTACTCAGGTGACACTTTAAAAGGAATGAGATTGTTTCAGGAGAAAGTTTTAAAATGTGAGAGAAATTCAACAAGAGGGAGATACTGTGTAATTGTCTTTGAAGATGGAGCGTACTAGATAGCAAGCAAAGAGCTAAGATAGTGTGTCTGGAATTGGTTCCTTCCGGTGGGTTCTTGGTCTCACTGACTTCAAGAATGAAGCCGCGGACCGTGGCAGGGAGTGTTACAGTTCTTAAAGATGGTGTGTCTCGAGTTCGCTCTTTCCGATGTTTAGATGTATCCAGAATTTCTTCCTTCCGGTGGCTTCATGGTCTTGCTGACTTCAGGAGTGAAGCCACAGACCTTCATAGTTAGTGTTACAGCTCTTAAAGCTGGCACATTCCGAGTCATTCGTTCTTCCTGGTGGGTTCACGGTCTTGCTGACTTCAGGAGTGAAGCCGCAGACCTTCAGAGTGAGTGTTACAGCTCTTAAAGGTAGTGCGGATCCAAAGAGTGAGCAGCAGCAAGATTTATTGTGAAGAGCAAAAGAACAAAGCCTCCACAGCACTCAAAAGCAGACATGAGCAGGTTGCCACGCTGGCTTGGGTGGCCAGCTTTTATTCCCTTATTTGGCCCCACCCGCATCCTGCTGATTGGTCCATTTTACGGAGTGACGATTGGTCCGTTTTACAGAATGCTGATTGGTGCCTTTACAAACCTTTAGCTAGACACAGAGTGCTGATTGTTGCATTTACAATCCTTCGGCTAGTCAGAAAAGTTCTCCAAGTCCCCTACTCCATTAGCTAGACACAGAGTGCTGATTGGTGCATTTATAAACCTTTAGCTAGACACAGAGCGCTGATTGGTGCGTTTACAATCCTTTAGCTAGAAAGAAAATTTCTCCAAGTCCCCACCCGACCCAGAAGCCCAGCTGGCTTCACCTCTAAATAGGAGCTAAGAACAACCCCAGGATGACAAGCATGAAGGAATGAGGTCTTCTTCCTACAACCACAACGAATTGGGTTCTGTCAGCAATCAGAATGAGCTTGCACACATTTATTTCATCCTTAGACCCTGACATAGTTTGGATTTGTGTCTCCACCTAAATCGCACTTCAAATTATAGTCCCCAGTGTTGGAGGAGGGACTGTGTGGAACGTGGGCAGGTCATGGGGGTGGATTTCCCCCTTGCTGTTCTGGCAATAGTGAGTTCTCACAAGATCTAGTTGTTTAAAACTGTGTAGCCTCTCTCCCTTCACTCTCTTCCTCGTGCTCTGGCCATGTGAACATGTGCCTCCTTCCTCTTTGCTTTCTGACACAATTGTAAGTTTTCTGAGGCTTTCCCAGCCTTGCTTCCTGTATAGCCTGTGGAATTGTTAATCCTCTTTTTTTTCCTAAACTACCCAGTCTCAGGTAGTTCTTCATAGCAATGTGAGAACAGAATAATAAGACCCTAAGCAGAAACCAAGCCAGACCAAGTCCAGACCATGCCTGGACTTATGATCTACAGAACTGTGAGATAATAAATGTGTGTTAAGCAAGACCAACATCCAGTTTTTAATATGATACTATCCTTCAAAAAGATAACCAGGCACTTAACGAAACATTGATTTTATTGAATCACTTCTATCCCAGAGGGGAAAACAGTTATTCTTTTATTGTTCTTGACACCAAGGTTTACTTTTCCAAGAGCAGTTTCTCTACCAGGACAACATCCCCATAAGATCCCACATATTATAGACTCAGATCAAATAATGTATTTTATGGTGAAAGAGGCTTCCATTGAACCTGAAGCTATGCTTTTCACCTGATCATTTGGGCTTATCATTTTGGTTGTTCAACAGCCAGGGAAAGGAGTGAATAGATTTTTGGATTTTGCTAGAGTTTCAGCAACACAATACATCAGAGAGAAATATATCTGGAGCCCAGGAAATTAACTGAGGCAATTCTTGATCTAAGACCAGCGATAGCTCTATGCACACTTATGACAATTATTACCTGACAACGGCAGCTGCTAAAAGCTCTTTTTTCTCAGGGATTAAGGTCTGGGTAATTTTATCAGTCAAGTAACTGAGACCAGCTGAATTATTGCTGAGGGTGAGAATAATTTGGAATACCGTTTATGGTGAAAAAAAAAAAAACGAGATGACAATATTGGTTAAGGCCTAGGGAGCAGCTGCAACTCTTGAGTATTTTAACTTGATCAATTGCCACTCTTATATTAAGTTTCTTATAGAATGTGAAGCAATCACTAACTCTGTGGGACATTGTACTTAATATAGGACACAAGAGATCGTAAGTGGTTCAAGGAGCGATGGCCTTCATCGACCCTTCTATCACAAACTTTACCATAGTTTTTTTCTCCAGCATCATGGCACATTGCTATGGGTATTTAACACACCTCTTTCTTTCTGAATGGAGCTCGTCTGCTATAGCTGCATTAGATGACTGTTGATGCCTACTCAGTCAAGCTGATGCATGTGTCTATGTTTAACTGTGGGGAGGTTGACAGTTCCTGGGTAAACAGATGTTACCCTCTTTCATGTCTCAGGCTGATATGTATTTTATAGAGATTCTCATAGAGTTTGTAGGGGAATTGAGCCCCAATGGCCCAGAGTGGAAACTTTTCAATAATGCTCTTCAAGACAACTTTTTCTCTTTTTTTGTTTCACTTCTTACATTCTTCCCATTTTGGTTCCTTCATGTCACTTCTCAAAATAAACACCTGCATGAGTCCTCACCCCAAACCCTACTTTGTTGGGCGAACCCAAACAAGGGCAGCAGTGTGTCTGAGACATCCTGTATGAGAGGTGCTTAATAAATATTTGCTTCTTTGCTGCAGACTGTCTGCTCAAGTTTCTAAACTGGTTATTCATCTTAAGGTAGTTGTAGTCCTGGCTATCAGCAGAAATCAGAGAAAAAGAATAAAGTAAAACTTTAAACTATAAACCACAAAGCATGAGAAAAATCTTTCTGAACCCAAAACTTCAAAGTTTTCCTTGAAAAATAATATATTGCAGGGTCAGTACAAATTTTTAGCTAATTTACAAAATCTCTTACCATCAGACAAAAGGAGTTTAAAGATCTTTTGATAATGTATACTTTTCTGGTTCAAGGTGTACTTAAAAGCATAGCATGTATGAAAAATTACTTGAGCTCTATGCTTGTCTTCTTTCCTTCTATGGATGCCAGGCTATCAGAGTCATAACACACGAGAAACAATTTTTATTGACGTCAAAATTCTAGCTTAACTGTTTTATTTTTTGTTAAATGAACAAATCTGTAGGATTTGTTAGAGAAAAGAATCAGGAGCCTAACTAATTTATTTTTCCTTTTCCTCAATTGTCTCTTTATATGGACTTTCTTAGGAGAAAAAATGAAAACAGGTACCGCAGTGATTTCAATTGCTATACTATTAATAGCCTTCTTTTCTTTTAGGGGGAAAAAAGAAGAAAATACTATTTTAGGATGTCAAGGCCCTTGAGATATGGGGAAGCTTTGGCTGCATGAGACTCTGTGGGTACACACAGCTATCACAGCAATACGTATCAAAGACTTTAAATGGATCTCAGTGCCCCAGAAAGAATATGTGGTAGCTAATTTATGGCTAAATTTATAAAATAGGTGGATGGTGTTCTATCAATTTCTTTTCAGACATAACCAAAGCATAAGAATTATAGTAAGATAAACATATACCTTAGAGAAAAAAAATAAGGTTATAAGGTAATAACCCCAGGGTAACTCAAAATATCTTAATATCTATGTAATGGTGTAATGGTAACAATCCAGAATATTTTGAATATAAGATCCATCAAGGATTTTAGGTGGAGGTAGTAGATCATATATATAACTTTTTAAATATAGTTTCATTTGAATTTTATGTAATAATCCATGCTGCTTATTTCCTTATATACGGTTTTTACTTCATTCTCTACCTTTTCTAATACCTAGAACTCTAGTTGGAATGAAAAGGAATATTTATGTCATTTCAATTCAATTTTACTACCATACCATGTTTCCATTATGGATAAATCTATATTAATATTTTGGTATAAGTACCCTCTTAGACATTAGAAGTCAATTTGGGTGTACTGCATGATATTAAATGAAACATAATTTTAATGGAAACAACTATAAATATATTTCAGGCCCAGAAACTTAATTAATAACTTATAAGCCTTGTCACTAACTTACATAGATCATAAAAAAAATCATTTGAAAATGTAAAAACAAACACACAAACTTATAATTTCCTTATATTTTCATTTAATTGTACTTATTTCATATTTTCTTTAATGGTAAAGTTAATTCATAATGTCATATACTTTATAAAGTTTATAAGTAACAAAAGAATTATATCTAGTAGTACATTTTGATTTTTATGCCTATTTGATCATCTATTCAAAAATGATAATTATTCAGATTTTAAAATATGAACTATGTTCAAAAATGGTATATGTTCATGTTTATGAATAAATTAAAAAGATAAGCACTCAGTGAGATATGAATAAATTAGGATGCATTACATCATTGATCACAGATATGGAAGCATGGCAGTCTCATCCTGAGAGGTGCTCAGTTCCTTTCTAAGGGTCATACAAAGAGAAATCCCTTGTTTCAAAACTCTATATAGTGGCAAAGCATGTCACCTTTCACAGAAAAGACTCAAAGAATCACTTCCGAAAATGGTAAGCTCATTCTCTCTGAGCATTTCCACAATGAAAGACAACCCTGCCAAACAGAGAAAGGCCTTTTATTTCAAAATGAGAAATCACATTAAACATTTTTTCTCATTGGATTTTATAGTATTTTCTGAGGATCAAATTTGGCACTGGCTAGATTTAAATTGAATATATATATATATTTTTCAGGCACAGAAAGTTAATTAATAACTTATAATAATTTATAAGCCTTGCCACTAACTTACATGGATCATAAAAAGAAATATATCATTTGAAAATGTAAAAAAACCACAAACTTATAATATATAATATATGTTATATACTATACTTATATTATATTAAACCTATAACATTATTTATGCTGCTTTCAGTGGAAAAAAATTTGAACAAAATTTGAAGGATGTAGTATACTCTAAATAATTTGCATAGAATATGTATTTATGCTTTTAATGATTTTAACTTATTTTATTTTCTATCATATTTACCATCAAAAAAATAAAATTAACTTTTAATATTATTTTTACATTAATAATAATCATAGTAATTATGTTAATAACTCTACTCTTTCTTCTGCTGTCAACTATGGAGAAATCTGACTTCTACAGACCATATTCTAGTCAAATGGTTTAAGACTCTTCTCTAAAGAATTTAGGTTTCTAATCTGGTAAGTGAGGATTATACTTTCATACAGTCTTCCCCAGACAGCTGAGTGTAGTGTTTAAAGGCTTAGTGCCTGAGTAATGCATCTACTACTTGTTAAGTGCAAGATACTCCCCTTGGGGCTTTAACATTTTCAGCTGTAAAATGGATGCAATACTGCAATATTAATAATACCTAGCACAAAAATTGCCAGGAATATGAAATCAGATATTATATATAGCACTTCACATTGTAACTGCCCCATATTAAATGTTAATAAATATTGTTATTTTTATTATCTTTACCTTTAAGCACTTCTGTGAATGTTACATATTAATATTTGTTAAATATTAATTTCAAAATTAATTAAAATTTAATTAAATTTAATAATTTTAATTTATTTATAAATAAATATAAATTAATTTTAAAATTCATATTAATGTTTTAGAAATATTTTAAATTAAAATTTACATATTAATAAAAAGCTATTAATATATAGGCAAAAGAAATCTCAGTAAGTCAGTTTAAGGTAGTTGATTTCTACATATTATATTGAACAAAAATAATAGTGCAAGGTAATTTTGTAGATCAGGCAACAATGTCTCTTCCAAATTTTTAACATGGAAGAAAATGATCAGATTCATGTATAGTGTCCCATAATTTATTTATGAATTGACAATATGCTGATTATCTTAGCTATCTTTTGCTCTGGCTCTATATTTTAAGTGTGGACACACATTTGGGATTTTCTTGCTACGGATGTGAGTAACTATATCAAATAAGGTAGCTATGTGTGAAGATTCTAAAATTTGATGCAAGATAAACATACTAAGATTAGAATAAGGTATGCCAGTGGGGTGGTCGGGTTGTTGCAGTCTCCTTACTCCTTAGTTTAACAAGGTTCGAGTTCTTGTCCCACAACCAAGAAGAATAAGGCACGTGGACACCAGAGAGTGAGTAATGCAGAGTAGGCTTTATTAAGCAACAGAAAAGCTCTCAGTAACGACAGGGGACTTGAAGAGGGCTGCCAAAAATGGGGCTGAGTTCTGGGTTTTTATGTGACAGAAACAAGGAAATCTACTGTAGGAACTGACTTAGTGGGAAGGGTAAAGTTCCCCCTTGGGGGTGTTGCATCTGTGTATGCCTGGGCTTGGCCATAGGGACTCCATCTTGATTATTATGCATGAATTCTTAAACAAAAACTTCAGGGGTCTAAAACCACAATCCTAATGGCATTGTAATTGGTTAAGATCATTTTTGGAAGTCTTCAGTCCTTTTCTGCACCTGCGTGGGTGGGGTAAAGTCCATTCTGAACAAGCATCTTGGTATAAGAGGAAGTTCTTTTTTTATTATTATGCTTTAAGTTCTGGGATACATGTGCAGAACATGCAAGTTTGTTACATAGGTATACATGTGCCATGGTGGTTTGCTGCACCCATCAACCCATCTTCTACATTAGGTATTTCTCCTAATGCTATCTCTCCCCTAGCTCCCCACCCCCCAACCAGCCCCGGTGTGTGATGTTCCCCTCCCTGTATCCATGTGCTCTCATTGTTCAGCTCCCACTTATGAGTGAGAACTTGCAGTGTTCCTGTGTTAGTTTGCTGAGAAAGATGGTTTCCGGCTTCATCCATATATCTGCAAAGTACATGAACTCATCCTTTTTTTATGTCTGCATAGGATTCCATGGTTTATATGTGCCACATTTGCTTTATCCAGTCTATCATTAATGGGCATTTGGGTTGGTTCCAAGTCTTTGCTATTGTGAATAGTGCTGCAATAAACATACACGTGCATGTGTGTTTATAGTAGAATGATTTATAATCCTTTGGATATATACCCAGTAATGGGATTGCTGGGCCAAATGGTATTTCTGGATCTACATCCTTGAGGAATCACCACACTGTCTTCCACATTGGTTGAACTAATTTACACTCCCACCAACAAAGTAAAAGCGTTCCTATTTCTCCACATCAAGAGGAAGTTCTTAACCACATTTCCTCCTGCTAGCTACATAACAGTGGTGGTGCCGGTGTAGTCCCTAAGACATTGTCCCTCTTCTGAGACCCTCTTTATCTATCTCACTAACCAGCTCCTACCTGCCCTCTCTCTCAGGGGCAGCCTAGAACTTAACTCAAGTGTAAAGAGTTAAATTAAGAGAACCTGGCCAAGAGGCCAAGATGTAGTAGACATGGATATGCACTGCCAGTCCTGTATTACAGTTAATTTTTTTCCTTTACTCGATTTGCCTTCTTTTGTTCAAAGGTGTTGATTCCCAACAAAGATCTTGCACCCTCCATTTCAGTGCCTGTTTCTGTATAACACAAACTAGAGCAGAGTAAGAAAGATATTTTTCCTACTTACAATTGAAATAGCAGATCAATACAATGTTTTTCCTTCTAAAGCCATTATGAAATATAGAAAACATACATAAAGATTAGAACCACTTGAAACCTTTGACAGTTTCTGGTAATAAAACCAAAGTAAATTAACTGAAATGTATAAAAAGATAACTCACAATTATATTCTGAGAAAATTAGAAATTATTTAGCATAGGAATCCTAAATGTCAATGTTATAGAGTGTTCATATGATAGAATATTATGCAGTAATTATTTATTATGTAATTGTTAAGCATTTTAATTTGACATTGTTATTTTGGCTGCTACATTGTTATATATTAATTTAAAGGTCAACTCAAAATTTGCTGCTGCAAAGCCATAATTTCTCTGCATACAATTTGTTCAATGAGGTTTTTAAAACTAATGGCAGAATGTATCTATATTCCTATTGTTTCATCTTTTTAAAAGTCAGCACCAGCAATCATCCTGTTGTTATATTTTGTATTTAGATTTTTGTCTTCTATTCTTCAAAGCTGTATGTTATCTGAAAATTTAATCATGTTCAATCAACACCTACTCTAAGTTTTTTGTCAAAATTATCTTACTGAGTGAAATTCAAAATTAGTCATAAACCAATGTCCCCAGAAATGTAGAGGACCATTACTTTGTACTATCTATAGAAGTAAGGTTATTCAACATGTGGGGGGTCTATTCAAATGTAAACTCTCGAGTTTATACTTCTTAAACTTATTCCATAAATACAGTGGGACATAATAGAACAAAAGGAGAATGTTTATTTAATGATGAAATGATGTGTCAACAGATTCAGAAAGAATGAAGGAAATTATTGTACCTTGAAGTATGATATATGAGAGATATATGGATATTTATAATACCCAGATTGGCATATAAATCTATTATAAACAGTGCAAGACTACATGAATAAGTGAATGATTAATAAACTTAATATTTAATGTTGACCAATTGACTCATGACAAATACATGTAGTTACCAAAAAAAAAAAAAAAAAAAAAAAAAAAAAAGATATTTCCAGGGCAATTTTCTGTTTTTTCCCTTCTGGATTTTAAAAGTTAGTTTTCAGGATAATAGAATACAGCTTATACTTTAATCTACACAGAAGTTTTTTTGTCTCCTTTTTGGTCTTTTCATTTTTTTGCTTCCTAAGTGCTTCCATGTTTCTCAGTCTTTAAAAACGTGGATTGCTTTAATCATCTATGTATCTTCTTTCTTGAATTCAGAAACATGATCAAATTATTGTTATTCTATGAGATCTCCTTACAATGTCTCATTCATTTTAGAGTAAAATGCATTCTTATTTTCAAAACTACTCATAGATATTATGCATGGATAAGCACCAAAGTTACTTTATTTTATGCTTTTATTTGAATTTCTTTTTTTTTCTCTACCTTCTAGGGCTCCTCATGGTTTCTGCTTTTAACATAATCACGGAAGACATTAGATCTTTTTTATTGTCTAAAATAATCTTCCCACTTATTGATTCTCATACTTTAAAAATGCCTTTTAGAAATCAATACTTTGACCTTGACATATTTTGAGTATTAAAAATATCTTTCTTACTTCAGCTTCATTTTCTTTGTCTTGGTTTTAACTAACTGGCCTAAAATTTATGAAAAGAAAAAGTAAAACTTTTTCTGTGACATATTTTTCTTAATGATTTTTCATTATTTTACTCAAATCATGGCATAAAGATTACAAGAAAACCTGGGTTTTACACTACATGGTATTTCATGTACTCCAGGTTAGAAGAACATCTTCTAAATTTTCAAATTTATTACACTATATACTTTTTTTTTGCCATTCTGCTTGACCATTCCCTGAACTCGCCTTCCCAGTTACTTGCTCTTATCCCCATATTATGACTCCAAGTCACTGAATTCTCCTTCTGACCATGTTAATATATTTTTGGGATTCTTTCTCCTCTTATTTTACAGGCTCTTTCATTTATACATTTAAAATACTGCTTCAAAGGTCTATTCCACTATTGCATTTTCCATGATTAACTGTATCTAGTTTTTTCTAAGTTTGTATGTTGTACATAAATATAATTTCTAATAGAGTAAGTTGAATGTATTCATGTTTCATTTGCTCTCATAATGTTAAATGTGTTCTCCTCTCTCTTCTCTTACATAAAATTGTTATTTCTCATAAGCGTTCCTATTTCCACTAATCAAAATTAACTATTTGATCTTAAGTATCACCAAATGGCTAAATTGTATGTGTCTTCTATAATGGAAGGCATTCTAAATAATGTTTAACATTTTAATATTAATTAATTACTAGTTTTTAAGTAAAGAATAAGTAGATATCTAAATAGTCATTGATATTAAAGCCTTTGCTTTGCTATTCATCCTTCTTTTACTAAAGACCCCAGGATAAGAATGTGGTTGGAATTAAGTTATTCACTTAAAACCTGAGCTGTAATCATCTTGAGATGTTTCATTATACCTTACTGAGACTAGTAAAATATCCACCAGATAGTAGTGTTCAATAAATATTTGTTAAACTTATTTCAAATAAAATTGAAATAAAATTTGAATGTCATTGGTTTCCAAATACTAGTCACAGAAAAAGTAATTTTAAGAATAGAAAAAATATAAATACATTCTAAATAGTTTCTAACAAAATTTAAAAAGTGAAATAGAGAATTAGAAAGATTTGTTTAAACAAAATAAAACATTTGTCTGTCATGATATTATTTTCTGTTTGTTCCTTTTGATTTTTCTTCCACTGTTTTTCCTTTTCTGTTCCCCAGGGGGTTATTTGAAACATCTTTTAGTAAACATTTTATCTCTTTTTTATAGGTTTTTAGCAGATGCTCTGTAATCAATGTGTTTTCTGTAAAGGATCAGATAGTAAATAGTTTAAGCTTTGTAGATCATACATTCTCTGTTGCACCTACTAAATTGTGCAAGCATAGCAAAAAAACAAAACAAAAGAAAACAAAAAACCAGCCACAGACAATGAATAAATAAATGGGTATGGATATGTAAAATTTAAACTTTACTTACAAAAACAGGTGAATAATAGATTTTAGCCCATGGGCAGTAATTTGCCAACCACTATCTTCTAGGGAGTACAATCTACATATGCAATTTATTACAGAATGCTAGTGTCAATATGGACCACTTCAAATAGAAAGTGCATATCTCGTACCCATGTTACGGTATTTTAGTCCTTTTATCTTCTTCATCTATGATATAGTTGCATTAATTATTATGCTTAAATTTTGAGAATATCAGTCAATTTTTGCTTCAACATTAAAGCATAAGTGAAGTGAAGCTATTGATTTCTAAGGGATTTTAAAACTAACAAATAAACATGGAACAAGGGGGAGACTATTTTAGACAATATGTAAAAATAAAAAATAAAAAAGAAGATCTACTCCTTTAATGATTATGTCAAAAGCTGAGAACTTGAGGAGCTATAACAGGCAAGGGGAAAAGGGAATTCAAATAAAAGCAATAAAGTGTCCTTTTTAACTGTCCTAAAAGGTTTTTTGAGGTACTCTTCATTACCCTTCTGTTTCTCAGACTTGATAATACCTATTGATCTATTTTTAAGTAAACTGATTTTTTCCTCTGTCATATCCATTCTGCTATTGGCTCCATCCACTGTGTTTTAAAATTTTGATTATTGTATTTTTTTTCAGTTCTAAATTTTCCTGATTCTTTTATCTCCTATTACTTTTTTGTTGTTTCTTTTAACTTTTTTCAAGAGTGTTTGTAACTACTTGTTAGAACATTTTCATGATAGAAACTTTGAGATTTTGTCAAATAATCTCAACATTTGTGTGATCTCAGTATTGCCACCTGTTGATTGCCTTTTTTTCCTTGAGAGTTGAGAGTGTCCTTACTTGCAATGATGAGTAATTTTGGACTGTATCCTGGACATTTTGAGTACTATAAGTGTCTGGTTACTATTTAAGTCTTCCTTTTATTTCAGGCATTCAATATGTTCTGGTTCAGAACAAACATCCTGGTCCACTTTGTGGTTAATGTCAACTAAATTTTCACAGCCTTTGCAATACTATTCTGGTCTGCCCTACTTGCATGCTACTCAGACACCCATCTGAAACCTGCATGGTTTTCCACATGACAATTCAGTTATCAAATGTTTTTTCTGTTTTGTATATGGTTGGTTTAATATATAGACTGCTCTGAAGTCTTCTCAGCACTTCATAAACAAATTTAAAACATCCTTGTCTCTAATTCTATCCCCTCTGAATTCCTTCTACAATTTTGTTGTGAGAAAAAGGTGCATTGTCTTTTTTTTTTTTTTTTTTTTTTGTGACGGAGTCTTGCTCTGTCACCCAGGCGGGAGTGCAATGGTGTGACCTTGGCTCACTGCAACCTCCGCCTCCTGGGTTCAAGCAATTCTGCCTCAGCCTCCCGAGTAGCTGGGATTACAGGCACCTGCCACTACGCCTGGCTAATTTTTGTATTTTTAGTAGAGATGGGTGTCACCATGTTGGTCTGGCTGGTCTTGAAGTCCTGACCTTCTGAACTACCTGCATTGGCCTCCCAAAGTGATGGGACTACAGGCGTTAGTCACTGTGCCTGGCCCCTCTCTCTCTCTCTCTCTCTCTCTCTCTCTCTCTCTCTCTCTCTCTATATATATATATATATATATATATATATATATATATATATATGTATATTTTTTTTAAGGAGAGAATGGTGGACAGAACTCTGATCACCATCTCCATGGCTGCAATGTCTGATGGAAGAGACAAGAATGCTATGTGTACGGTGTGAACAGTGGCCTATTTGCCTAGTCACCATGCTGTGAATTGTGATGCTGCCATCCTATTGCAGGGCATGGATGAAAGCTGAGTCTCCATTTATAATCCTTGTGGTCGAAATAGAGAACATCACTTCACTGTTGTAGGACAAAGATAGAAGACAGAGCTCTGCTCTCAGTCTCTGCACTCGATAAGAAAGGAGAGCAATACAGCTGGTTTTTGTTTGTTTGTTTTAATCTTCACCCAGAGCAAGATGGTCAAAATATTTCTGTCCTCGTTTGTGTGTTTTGTCTGACCCTATTGATGTTTGTTAGTAGTAGACTTCCCAGGACCCAAACTGGAATATTTATAAAGTAACAAAAAAAGAAGAAAATCTTAGAATTTACTTCTGGGTCACTTCTTAAGTCCTGTAGTTCTTAGCATCTCCACCCTCCTTCCTTCATCTTTCAAAGCCATTAGTCAATTGCTTATTGAATTTTCTCCAAGACTTTTTATTTAGTAAGAGGAATACGGTGAATCTACTTACTCTGTAATTTCCAGAACTAAAACTAGGAGGTTATTTTTGATGTTTAAAGAATTATTTTAGTTCAGTTGTCAAGTTGGAAGCCAGACTAGAATAGGTTGATGTGAAAGAGGGAAATAAAAAAAGAATATCAATATAGACATATAATTTGACAAATTTGGCAGCCAAGAGAGGCAAAAAAGCCAAGGTAATAGTAGAGAAACATATAATTTAATGGAAAGGCTTTTTTATTCCCCCAGGGAAGTAAACATCAGCCTATTTAAATAATGATGATAATTAGTCTGTATAGGCACCATGGGCTAAGAAGCAGACCCCAGACAGGAGGTTTGTGGTTGATTTGCATTTACCTGATGATTAGTGATGTTGAGTGACATTTCATGTACCTGTTGGCTATGTATATGTTTTCTTTGAAGAAACGCCCAATAGACATGATCTCATTTGTATGTTAAATCTAAATAGTCAAACTTGTACAAGCAGACAGTAGAACAGTGGTTGCTAGGGGTGGACAGACGGGGAAATGGGTAGATATTGGTGAAAGATTATACAGTTTTAGTTATGCAAGTTAAGTAAGTTCTGGAGACCTAATATATAGCTATGTAACTATTGTTAACAACAATTTGATGTATATTTCAAAAATATTACGAAGGTATATCTTAAGTGTCAAATAAAAAAGGAGATTAAAAAGGAAATATGTAGATAATGGATATCCTAGATGGCAGTGATCATTTCACAATACATACATGCATATCGAAGCATTAGACTATTTGCCTCACATATATATAATTTTTATTCATCAATTATACCTCAGTAAAACTATTTTTTTTTTTAAGTGCAGTCTTGGAAGCCGAACTGCCTGAGTTCAAATCCTGGCTACCCATGTTACCTTGAGCAAGTTAAATTACCTTTATAATTTTCAGATTATTCATCTATAAAATGAGGGCATATTAGTGCTCATACTTGATTATTAAATATGCTAATGCATGAATGTGCCTTGTTAATCTATTGTCTCTTCACCTTTAAAATCACCCATCTATGCTGTACAGCAGCAGTTGATTTCAATAGTAGGTATTAATTTCAGTTTGCAGATTTCTTGGCACTCCTATAATCAACACTTTATAATCACTCTTATAATCAACTTCATAGCACAGTATTAGAGATATCAGCACCAGCTGGCTGGAGCTTCTTAGAACTAGGACACCCATCTCTATATGATCATCTCCAAGATCCCAAGGCAACGCCTCCAGTCAAGCAGTATCCTCTCTGCAGATGTCTGGATTCTGCTTTTCTGACTCCCTTCTCCAAGATTTAAATTTTAATAGTTTCAAAAGTTCTGCTTTCTTTCCCTAAATCTTGTTTTAGAAATGCATTGTTTTATTGCACTTTATTTCCTTTTTGATCTTTTAATTTCTTCAACGTTGGTTGAAAAATTACTTATATTCAATTATTTCTGTTAAAATAGCAGGGTAGTTGATGTTCTTCTGATTGTATGTTTACTGATATGACATAGAAAGTATTCAGAACATAAACTTCTTAAACATGTTAATTATTATTGTGCTCTAATTACAGCAGAAAGAGTTCAGAATCATGGGGAACCTAGATTGTTGAGTTGAGGAATATAAAGCACAGATTATTGTGGGAATGCTTACAAGGAGAGAATATATGATAAGGAGTGTTTACCACTTATATTGTCAATGCAAATAATATCAAGGATCAGAGAGGAGACACATTGTCATTTGTCCTTAACTATTTAATCAATTAATTCCTGAATAGACTTAACTTTATTTCTAAGCAATAGGGATGGTTCACAAAAAGGCTACAGTTTTCAGGGCCCTGACATCTTGGTGCTGAGGACAACTATAGTTCTGGCCTAAAAAGCTAGTGGCTATGCTTTAGATCTCTGAGCTCAGTATTAATTAAAAACAAAAACAAATACTATATATAAAAATAACAGGGTATTGTTTTTCATATGTAAAATTAGGCCCAAAAATGGATTATACTCGATGCCAGCTAAGCTGTAGTAAAATAGTCATATCATTCATTAGAGATAAAAATGTACACTTGTACGATCTTTCCAGAAAGCAGTTTTGGAAGTATGCATCAGTGATTTAGAAACAAACCTTTCATACTGAGTAATTCTAGAACTTATTAGTAGTAATGTGTTATGAAGAAATAATCACAGTTGTAGTCAAAATTTTGCATAAAATCTGTTGAAATGAGAAGAATATCTGTAGCAGAAAAATTTAAAAAAATCTGCATTCTCCCATTAGGGGAATATCAAATTATGCCTTATAAATTATGAGACACCAATGTGATGGAATAGTATTGAGCTATTGAAAATGATAGTTCAATGATTGCCATTCTAACTGGTGTGAGATGATATCTCATAGTGGTTTTGATTTGCATTTCTCTGATGGCCAGTGATGATGAGCATTTCTTCATGTGTTTTTTGGCTGCATAAATGTCTTCTTTTGAGAAGTGTCTGTTCATGTCCTTAGCCCACTTTTTGATGGGGTTGTTTGTTTTTTTCTTGTAAATTTGTTTGAGTTCATTGTAGATTCTGGATATTAGCCCTTTGTCAGATGAGTAGGTTGCGAACATTTTCTCCCATGTTGTAGGTTGCCTGTTCACTCTGATGGTAGTTTCTTTTGCTGTGCAGAAGCTCTTTAGTTTAATTAGATCCCATTTGTCAATTTTGTCTTTGGTTGCCATTGCTTTTGGTGTTTTGGACATGAAGTCCTTGCCCACGCCTATGTCCTGAATGGTAATGCCTAGGTTTTCTTCTAGGGTTTTTATGGTTTTAGGTCTAACGTTTAAATCTTTAATCCATCTTGAATTGATTTTTGTATAAGGTGTAAGGAAGGGATCCAGTTTCAGCTTTCTACATATGGCTAGCCAGTTTTCCCAGCACCATTTATTAAATAGGGAATCCTTTCCCCATTGCTTATTTTTCTCAGGTTTGTCAAAGATCAGATAGTTGTAGATATGCGGCATTATTTCTGAGGGCTGTCAGGAAACAACAGGTGCTGGAGAGGATGTGGAGAAATAGGAACACTTTTACACTGTTGGTGGGACTGTAAACTAGTTCAACCATTGTGGAAGTCAGTGTGGCGATTCCTCAGAGATCTAGAACTAGAAATACCATTTGACCCAGCCATCCCATTACTGGGTATATACCCAAAGGACTATAAATCATGCTGCTATAAAGACACATGCACACGTATGTTTATTGCGGCACTATTCACAATAGCAAAGACTTGGAACCAACCCAAATGTCCAACAATGATAGACTGGATTAAGAAAATGTGGCACATATACACCATGGAATACTATGCAGCCATAAAAAATGATGAGTTCATGTCCTTTGTAGGGACATGGATGAAATTGGAAACCATCATTCTCAGTAAACTATCGCAAGAACAAAAAACCAAACACCGCATATTCTCACTCATAGGTGGGAATTGAACAGTGAGATCACATGGACACAGGAAGGGGAATATCACACTCTGGGGACTGTGGTGGGGTGGGGGGAGGGGGGAGGGATAGCATTGGGAGATATACCTAATGCTAGATGACACGTTAGTGGGTGCAGCGCACCAGCATGGCACATGTATACATATGTAACTAAGCTGCACAATGTGCACATGTACCCTAAAACTTAGAGTATAATAAAAAAAAAAAAAAAGAAAATGATAGTTCAATTGATGCAAAAATTCTCAACAAAATACTGGCAAACTGATTCCAGCAGCACATCAAAAAGCTTATTCACCATAATTAAGCTTCATCCCCATGATGTGAGGTTGGTTCAACATATGAAAATCAATAAATCTGACTCATCACATAACGATAACTGAAGACATAAACCACATGATTATCTCAATAGATGCAAAAAGGCCTTCAAAAATTCAACATCCTTTCATGTTAAAACTCTCAAACAACTAGGTATTGAAGGAAACATATGCCAAAATAATAAGTGCCATATGTGACAAACCCACAGCCATTAACACATTGAATGGTCAAAAACTGGAAGCAGTTGAAAACCTGCATGAGAGGAGGTTACTATCTCTCACCACTTCTATTCAACATAGTATTGGAAATTCTGGCCAGGGCAGTCAAGCAAGAGAAATAAATACAGTGTATTCAAATAGAAAGAAAGAAAGTAAAAATATCTTTGTTTGCAGATGACATAATCCTATGTTTTGAAAACCCCATCCTCTCAGCCCAAAAGCTTCTTAACCTGATAAGCAACTTCAGCAATGCCTTAGGATACAGAATGAATGTGCAAAATCAATGGCATTCCTATGCACCAAGAACAGGCAAGCCAAGAGCCAAATCATGAATGAACTGCCATTCATAATTGCCACAAAAAGAATAAAATACCTAGAAATACAGCTAACCAGGGAAGTAAAGGACCTCTTCAAGAAGAACTACAAACCACTGTTCAAAGAAATCAGAGATGACACAAAGAAATGGAAAAAACATTCTATTCTCATGCATAGGAAGAATCAGCATCATGAAAATGACCATACTGCCTAAGGCAATTTATAGATTCAATGCTATTCCCATTAAATTGACAGGGACAGGGGGCAGAGAAATTAAAGGCAGAAAAAGGCAAGTCCCCAGTGAAACCCAACCTTCAAGCTGAAAGCCTGAAACTGTGGCCCAAAGTGAGAACTCGTATCCCTGTTTTCACGCTTGTATGTTCCCTTTTCCTAAACCACCCATGGTCCCTCCCTGTCCCATCCTGTGCCTATAAAAACCCCAGACTCAGTCAAGAGACGGAACTATGTCTGGACATCGGAGAGAAGTGGCCTGACTTCAGAGGGACAGCTTGACAGTGTCACTTCGGAGAAGAATCCAGCTGAAAGTGGCCAGACTTCAAGGAAGATTACCTACCTGCCCCATTCCCTTTTAAGTTTACCTTCCCACTGAGAGCCACTTTCATCAACAATAAAATCCCCTGCATTTACCATATTTTGTGCTGCCTAATTTTTCCTGGATGCCAGACAAGAGCTCAAGAGCCACAAGTGCAGATACAAAAGGCTGTCACACTGGCCCTTTGCCCTTGCTAGTGGAGGGCAGCCACCCTATGTGACAAGGCAAAGTGCCCACTGGGCTGTTAACACTCAAACTGTCCATGAATGGCAGAGCTAAAAGGGCACATAACACTCCCTCTGGCACTTTGGAAGTCACTGGTACCCCTGCCTGGCTGCTGCTGCAGGGCCTGCATGGAATTCACTCCTGTCAGTGCTAAAGCATCCAGCCAATTCCTGCACCCACTCACCTGCATGCTCCCTCATGTGAAGGGTAGAACACGGGAGGTCCAATGAGTAGAATTTGATCCTCCCCACACTGAAGTGGCCAGCCAGTTCCAGCCCTTGTTCACTCCAGTTCCCACACTTGTTCTCTTGTGTGCTCCCTCGCACAAGAAGTTGGGAGCAGCGAGCTGAGTAAATGAGGCACCCCTGTCACAAGTCCCCGGAATGGGTCAGGGAAATATTCTGCTTCAAAAGTACCATTGACATTCTTCACAGTATTAGAAGAAACCTATTTTAAAATTCATATGAAACAAAAAAGAGCCTGAATAGCCAAGGCAAGCCTAAGCAAAAAGAACAAAGCTGGAGACATCACACTAACCAACTTCAAACTATACTACAGGGCTACAATAACCAAAACAGCATGGTACTGGTATAAGAACAGACACGTAGACCGTTGGAACAGAATACAGAGCCCAGAAATAAGACCGCACACCTACAACCATCTGATCTTCAACAAACCTGACATAAACAAGCAATGAGGAAAGTATTTTCTATTTAAAAAATGGTGCTGGGAGAACTAGCTAGCCATACGCAGAAAATTCAAACTGGACCCCTTCCTTGCACCATATATAAAAATTAACACAAGACGGATTAAAGACTTAAATGTAAAACCCAAAGCTATAAAAACTCTAGAAGAAAACCTAGGCAATATTATTTAGGACATAAACATGGGCAAAGATTTCTTGACAAAGATGCCAAAAGCAATTACAACAAAAACAAAAATTGACAAATAGAATCTAATTAAACTAAAGAGCTTCTGCATAGCAGAGGAAACTATCAACAGGGCAAACAGAAAACCTACAGAATGGGAGAAGAGTTTTAAAATCTATCCATCTGACAAAGGTTTAATATCCAGCATATGTATAAGGAAATTAAACAAATTCACAAGACATAAAAAAAAAACATTAAAAAGTGGGAAAAGGACAGAAACAGACACTTCTCAAAAGAAGACATAATGCAGTCAACAAACATTAAAAAAAGCTCAACATCACTGATCATTAGAGAAATGCAAATCAAAACCGCAACGAGATACCATCTTATACCAGTCAGAATGGCTATTACTAAAAAGTCAAAAAACAGATGCTGGTGAGGTTGTGGAGGCAAAGGAATACCTTTACACTGTTGATGGGTCTGTAAATTAGCTCAACGATTGTGAAAGACAGTGTGGCTATTCCTCAAAGTCCAAAAGGCAGAAATGCCATTAGACCCAGCAATCCCATTACTGGGTATATGCCTAAAGGAATATAAATTGTTCTATTATAAAGCTTCATGCACATGTATGTTCATTACAGCACTATTCACAATAGCAAAGACATGGAATCAACCTAAATGCCCATCAATGATAGATTAAATCAAGAAAACGTTGTACATATATGCCATTAAATATTATTCAGCCATCAAAAAGAATGAGATTGTGTCCTTTGCAGAAACATAGATGGAGCTGGAGACCATTTTTCTTAGCAAACTAACACAGGAACAGAAAACCAAATACCATGTGTTCTCACTTATAAGTGGGAGCTAAATGATGAAAACGTGGATACATGTGGGGGCACAACACACACTGGGGCCTGTCAGAGGGTGGGGGATGGAAGGAGGGAGAGCATCAGGAAGAACAGCTAATGGATACTGGGCTTAATATCTGTGTGATGGGATTATTTGTGCAGCAAATCACCATGGCACATGTTTACCTGTGTAACAAACCTGCACATCCTGCACTTGTACCCCTGAATTTGAAATAAATGTTGGAAATTAAAAAAAGAATAATTATGGTTTCACAGATCAAATAATTTTATCATAATGACATCTGGATCTATCAATCTATCACCTATCATCTATAAAACTAATCACATCCATACACACACAGAGTCTAATATGTAAAAGAAAAGATAACTTGAGTAAGATAAGTTAAAAATGGCCATCTATAGTTTTTGGGTATCTGAAATTAAAAATTCTTTTTATTTATTTCTTTTTCTTTTCTTTTCTTTTTTTTTTTTTGAGATGGAGTCTCGCTCTGTCGCTCAGGCTGCAGTGCAGTGGCACAATCTCGGCTCACTGCAAGCTCCGCCTCCCGGGTTCACGCCATTCTCCTGCCTCAGCCTCCAGAGTAGCTGGGACTACAGGCGCCCGTCACCGCGCCCGGCTAATTTTTTGTATTTTTAGTAGAGACGGGGTTTCGCCGTGGTCTCGATCTCCTGACCTCGTGATCCGCCCACCTCCGCCTCCCAAAGTGCTGGGATTACAGGCGTGAGCCACTGCGCCCGGCCTATTTCATTGTTTTTACTTTTTTCTAAGTGTTACGTATTGAACCAATATTACTTGTATGAGAACAAAAGCAATAATAAATAAAAATTGAATGTATGTATATATAACTCACTCTTCTCAGGAAAAACAGCTGAGAATTTTAACTACAAAGGTCATAATATATAAAAATATTGCAAGCTTCTTAACTGGTGGTACAAAATACGATTTTCCAGTGCTAAATTTCTCAATTTCCTCTACTATATAGCAATGATAAAATAATTTAGAAAATGATGTATAGCATTTAGATGAATGGGTTAATGGGAGAAAGCAGGCTATTTAGTTTGTTATTTTTAATCTTATTTATTATATAAAATTTTTACATAAAATTTATAAGTAAAACCTAGCCAAAATATGACTAGCTATGATTATGGCAATTATAGAAAATGAATAAAAATAAAGAAATCAACAAACATATTACAGTAGATGACAGGATATTCATCTATTAAAAATCCTCATCTGAATTGGGTAAACTGATAACCTAAGATTGTTGATTGTTATCTTTGTTTGCAAAGGGTGAGACTTCTGTAAAATGTCCTGTCTATTTCTTCTTGGTAAAGCCTATTCAATATGTTTTTTCTAGTGTCTGAATGAATTCTTATCTTTCATGAACAGAATACCACTGATATGTATCTGAAGATGATTTCTCTATTGCAGAGCTATCAAATACAATTTTTGCATGTCTCATTTCTTGAGGGACTTGTTTTCTATTGCATTACTTCTTTTTTTAATTTTGCTTTTCCCCAAATACCATACCAAAATCACCGTATCTCTTTGTGTTTGTTTATGATGTCTTACATTTTTTTTTTAAATTAAGATATCAAATTAGTTAGTCAAGATAAATACATTCTGGAGATCTTTTACACAGCATAGTGCATATAAACTATGAACAGTGTATGCATTCTCAAAATTTGCTAAAGGGTAGACCTTGTGTTGGGTGTTCTTAACATACACACAGACACATGCACAAATAGTTATAAAGGTGGAAGAAGAAAACTTTGGGAGGTGACGGATACACTTATGCCCTTGGTGGTAAATACGTGGCCATGGATATATACTTATCCTTAAACTCATCAATATGTATGTAGTAAATATGCACAGAATTTGAAGGTCAATCATGCCTAAATAGTTTAAAAAATAAAAATACATTTAAAAATAAATCAAGTTTGGTTGTTGTACAACAACTCTAAGGTAACAGTTCCTAAAAATAAATGAATTTTTAAAACTATGGTGAAAAAATAAATAGAATAGTATAGATATGTCTGTTTTTTATTTTATACTTCTATCCTCTTTTTTCTCAGAAATGATTTCAGGGTAATTAAAAAGAAACAAATAATATACAGGAAGATGGTTGGGATAAAAAACTATAACAAATGTTGGTACACACATAGTTATATTTGATCTATGTGAGTTTGGACTTTTGACTAAAATTCAGAAATATACATTATTTCAAAAAAAGAAAATTATGAAGGGTAGGCACAGGACTTTTATATGTGTGGATATTAATACATTGTGATGATAAGATGTAATTTAAAGGGGTGAAAACAGTAGAAAACATCTTGTTATATTTCTGTATTATATATGTTATTAAATGCCAAACAACATTAGGGAGAGAATATTTTCACCATATTCATACAGCAGATTGCAAAAATATAGGGTCAAGGTGTGGTTCATTCAACTAAAAAGTAGATTACATTAATTTGTTTCATATTTTATTGGCAGTTTCATTTTTGTGATGATCAAAGCAATGAGAAATTGAATAAATATTATTTAGTTTGGACAAATAAAGATATATTTAGTGTGGACAACTAAAGATGGATTCTTTAGTAAAATAATGGGGATCTTGAAAGAAAACTATTGTATCAGAAAACATTTACTAAGGCAGGATAAAAGTATGATTTCTACTTAGATAGCAGAAGTAGATTGCACAAAGATTAATTTCTATAAACTGAAGGTGAAAGATTATTTCACATGATCTATATTTGTAAAGCAGACAAATAGGCACTCTTAGAAACTTACAAAATGAGTTGTAAATCTTACAGAACACCTAATGAAACTCCAATGATTAATTCAATGTCCTCTAATTATTATAGAGTTTGAAATACATTTGTAAATAGGAATGGATGGTAGGAACTTAATCAGAAACAATATGATAGAGTGACAGGGATATATTTATAAGCATTATTCAGAATAAAGCTAAGAAGACCACATGTTCTCACTCATAAGTGGGAATTGAACAATGAGAACACATGGACACAGGAAGGGGAACATCACACACCCGGGACGGTTGTGGGGTGGGGGGAGGGGGGAGGGATAGCATTAGGAGATATACCTAACACTAAATGACGAGTTAATGGGTGCAGCACAACAATATGGCACATGTATACATATGTAACAAACCTGCACGTTGTGCACATGTACCCTAAAACTTAAAGTATAATAATAATAAAATTTAAAAAAGAAGCAGATAAGGCTTGCAATTTTTCCGAAGACAACTCAAATTCCTTTAGAAAACATTTTGATAAAAAATATATACAACAAGAATTCACTAGTAGCCTAAGATGTGTAGGAAAATGTCTCATTTATTTCTAACTGAGGGAAATGTCCTATATATTTCTCCTCTTCCTGTAAGGAGATTAAAAACATTATATATTCCCATTCATTAGATGAGGCCTGCTGTGTCTTCCTGTGAAAGGCATTTTCTTCCCCTCCTCTGTGATAACAGTAGGAGTGTGACACTTCTTTGGCCAGTGAACATGATCACAAGTGAAGGTATGGTGACTCTGAGCAGAAACGCTAAGAGCCATCACTTTGTTTCAACAGCTCTCTTGCTCTTTTACCTCTGCTATGGACTTTGCTATATATTGAGGTTTTTCCTTCAGTTTGGATCCTGAAATGAGGACAAATAGAGGAGAGTCAAATGACCAGATCTACAGCTACCATGTAATTCATCAAAGGCACAATCCCTTATTTGCATAAGCCATTGTCATTGTTGAGTTGCTGTTACCCAATAATTTTATATTATTGTCTGATTATGTGTAATATATATGTATTGTAAAAATAATAGAAAACAAAACTATAACACTCAATGTTGTTCCTGTCTTCTGACTAACAAGATGTCTAGATTGAGATATGATAGAATATACATTAATACCAGAATATTCTCTTGGTAAGTGAGGAGCTAGTTATTTTGAAGTTCATTGGTGAAAGAGAAAAGTAAAATCCTAAAATCTGCATTAGAGATATTTCTCTGATTTTTTTAAAGGAGGAGGTGGGTTATTCTTATATTATATACTAGGTGAAATATATATATATTTGTGCTTATCATGGATATTTTGTGGTTATATAATTAAAAATATGTAACTTAAGAAAGGGACACAGGATAAATTCATAGAGAATTATTAATCCACATTTATCTCATTTTCTTTGAGACGCAGTTATTCAATTTGTCAATAAAAATAAAATCCGAAGTGTAGCTGAATTTCAGCAAAGCATATGGCAAAATTTTTACATTTGTAAGTATTAATTAACCACTAATATTATTTATCAATTTCCCAAAAGTTTAATTACTCTACTCAACAACTGATTAGTGAATTTGTATATTGTTATTTAGATCTTAGCCTAGTGCTCACCTTCTGAGAAAGTCCTTCCATAACCATCCACTCCTCACTTATCTCACCCACTGTTTGCCACATTACACTATTTAAATATTTATTCCTGGCCTCTTTCTCTAGACAGTGAGCTACAAAATGGTAGAGATCTTGCCCATTTTATTTAAGTGCATTCCTGGCATCAAGGACAATAATAGAAAATGGGCTGCTCAATATGTGTTTGTTGCGTGGTTGTGTAGAAGGAAAGGAAGTAATAAAGTAAAGAAGAAAGCTAGGGAGAGAGGCACCATATACAGAAAGGTCCTTGGTTAGCCTCTATGATGAAAATGATCATGGTGAGGATGACAATGATATCAGTATTGATAATTAAATCAACACTGGAAAATATCTATGGCTTTTAAAAAGGACTAGGAATGGTTATAAGTTCTAGAGTGACAAATGCCAAGTGCCACAATTAGCAATTGTGTAACAAATGGTATTTCTATGCCTTCCTGTAGTGGTTAACTAACCTTTATTGAGAACAGTGTATGTACCAGGTGCAGGTAATACAGAGATAAGAATGTGTTAATTGATCTCAAGAAGCCTTAGGAAAACAGTCTCTTCCATAACTGTGGAGGAAATTAGAAAGGTTAGAACTCAGTAGCTGAATAAAAATAAATGCAAACAAATACAAATGCTATGTTTCTAGACAAACAACTCAGAATGATGTGGCAATTTTCTACACAAAGGATTAAAAGCATAAAACTTGTTACTTTCTCAAGTATTTGGTTAATCATTGAAATACATTTTATATTCTTTTTAACATTGAAAATGTGTCATAAAATATTCATTTTCTTTAGAAGTAATATTTAACA
This sequence comes from Homo sapiens, assembly GCF_000001405.40. Lineage (NCBI taxonomy): Eukaryota > Metazoa > Chordata > Mammalia > Primates > Hominidae > Homo > Homo sapiens. The sequence continues at coordinate 113,683,425 of NC_000008.11, forward strand.
AATTTGGCAATAAGATTATTAGCCCAAAGATTTATTAATTATTCAGGATACTGTATTTGTTGCTTACTGTGCATATATGACTAATAGAAAAATTACTGTAATCACAACTAAATTGATGTCCTTGACCTAAGTATGGTATTAAAGTTAAAAAATTACTATGTTTAAATTCAACTTAAAAATCAAACATTTGATTAACGTTCTTAATCAAAATATCCTATTATATTCATTATTACCTGACAGTCAAATAATGTGTCCAAGTTAGAAAATTTGGTATTTAATGCATGTTTAATTCTATTTAATTCAAAGTACATGAACAGTCAGTATATCCAATGAATCATCACTCTAGTATAACACAAATTTATGCATTTCTCTATTTCAGTTAATTAATGCTTATATAAGGCAAAGCAGTTTCAGAGGTTGTTTATCATAGTTTAGATTTTAGAACCTCAGTTCTAAACGGAATAGCAAACACACACATGCAAAAAAAAAAAAAAAGAAAGAAAAAGAAATAACAGTATCACAGTCGGCATAAAAACAACCTATTTAGAATAAGTAGTTCAGTTCAAGATGTAGATGCTTTATCAATGGCTTTAATTGGAAGAAAGGAGGTTTTCAACCACTCAAAGTAAAATATGATAGCTTGTGTCAGAGTGTTATAAAACATATTCCTCTTAAGAGCAGAAGGGGAGAAAGAGAAATGAAAAACATGATGGACCTTGAATAACGGCTCAACAGTAATGCTGTATAATTGCTTTTCATCATTTCTATCAGCAGTGAAGCTGTAAAACATTGATCAAAGATGATGACTATCACAAAGTGCTTAAAGTGCAGCACATTGTTAAATTTCCTCAGCGTCTGATATAATTATAGCATGAGCAAGCATAAAGATGATTTCCCCACCTCCACCTGCCTTCCTCAAATGATTTCCCAGCCAAGGTAGATGGGATTAAAGAAATCTGACATGAATTAGCTATATGAGAATGTCAATGTCAAATGATATATCACAGGCACTTGCCTCAAAAAGGATAAAAATACCATGAACATTTCACATTAATGCACACCGGAATTCAGTCACTCTCTTTACTGACAAACATGCTACTCAAATAAAGGATTCAAAGCATACCCAATGAATGAGACAGTGCAACATGGAGAAAGAAGTGTTTACTGATGGTTTAAAAGAGATAGCTCTTGGCTGCTAAGGCTTTACAGCTGAAGAAATGATTGAGGGAGAAAAGCTTTTTATCAATTCTTGGAAGTAATAGGTAAAGGATTTCTTTCAATAATTTTGTAGCTTATGCTAAATTAATATTTTAAGCATATGGTTTCATTAGAATTCAACTATATTAATGTATCAATCATTTGATAAATTAAAAATTATTAAAATTCTACTGTTTGTCTACAGGTGCTGTGCGGTTACGGTACTTGCATGTTAGGCTCCTTGCCACATCCTTTCAGCCCATCTGATTTCACCGCAGCAGGGATGAATAATCATACACCTCTGCCGGTTTCCTACATCAAGTACTCACTCTGCTGTCTCTCTGATATGGAACACCACTCGATTAAAATTAGAGGAATTAGGAAGTGAGGGGAATTTAATGCATTGGGACTGAGTTTTAACCAATGATAGAAGCGGTTAGATGTTTCCTTCCCCATATGCTCTGGAAGGATAATTGTGAGATGCACTCTACATAGTTTGATTCCCTGAGAGTGGGTTGAGGTCCTATTGCTCACAGCAGTGACCAGTGCATTAGTGCTCAGTCACTAGCTTTTACTTTATCTTTGTCTCATTTTCCCACTTCTTCCATTTTATTACTCCACCCCAAAAACCTACGTGATTCTAAGTTCTTGTTTCAGTATCAGCTTTCAGGGAGGAACTGAAACCAAGATAGCTGATACTGAAAGTAGTGATGGAAAGTTTACCCTTAAAGATGGGATTCTGAAATTAATTCTCTCATAGGTCAAATGGCAACAAGAACTTCATTGCTGGTAATAAATGAGGTGTTGATTATCCCCGGTGTGCTTTACTTCCACGTTTTTAAAGACACAACGGTGGAAAGTTAAATGAGAATCAGATGTAAAGAAATACAGATTTATGTAATAGCTCTATCACTTGAAAGCTATGGGGGCAAGGTATTTATAAGGCGTGTGGAGGTGGCTCACCTGTTTTAACTATACCAGAAGTCTTAAAGTAAAAGAACGGCAGGCTCAGTTCAGCCAACTATTATTAGCTCAGGACATGCCGGAAAGTCAAGAAGGTCTTTCTTGCAGTTTTAGTTACCTGTAACTGTAGGAAAGATAGCACTAAGAAGAAGGCCTATGATTTAATCACTGGACTTAAGCAAATGCAAACAATAATGAAGGCTCTGCTTTTGGAGGTTCCCTGACATTAGAGATACGCTATTGAATGAGTGGGAACCTGACAAGTTGCATAAATCACTTGGAAATATTGACCTGAGAATATGGCACTTCCGACGTTCCCGATCTTTTTGAACTTTGAGAAGGAGCATTGCCACTGTTGCTAGACACCAACTTCTCTTTGTATGAGGACAACGTAAAGAAATTATCTAAGGTGAGTGCCTTACAGTATGATATCTGTCTCTTTTAAAATAAATCACATCTTCAGTATTTGACTCAAATATATAAATATGATCAACTCTTAGCAAAGTCTAAGAAGACAAATATGGTCTCTTCTACAGGTGAGATATCTCATGAAACAAGTTTCAGAACTGGGGCTACTAAGGTAATATGTACTAGCAGAAACAGAAGGATGTATATAAATGGATATTGGTGTTTCATGAAAACACACACAATACAAGGTTAGAGAACTAACTATTTACCTGGATGCATTTTCAGTGACATAAAATATATTCTGTGTGAACACCTGGAAATATGATGCCGAGAGGACTACTTGAAGCTCAGATGCAGTAGTGAGCTGCAATAAGTGATGTGAACATGCAATAAATCCATGTAATGTATTAAACCCATTTTCTCAGCCCAGTGCTGTGACTGCTTTATTTATTTATTTATTTATTTATTTATTTATTTATTTATTTATTTATTGAGATGGAGTCTCACTCTGTCGCCCAGGCTGGAGTTGGAGTCCAGTGGCACAATCTCTGATCACTGCAACCTCCACCTCCCAGGTTCAAGCAATTCTCCTGCCTCAGCTTTCCCGAGTAGCTGGGACTACAGGTGCACACCACTATGCCTGGCTAATTTGTTTGTATTTTAGTAGAGACGGGGTTGCACCGTGTTGCCCAAGCTGGTCTCAAACTCCTGAGCTCAGGCAATCTGCCCTCCTTGGCCTCCCAACGTGCTGGGATTACAGGCGTGAGCCACCGAGCCCAGCCTGCTTTTTTAATACTCTACTCCTTACTCTACTAAGGTAGAGTATTCTTTAATACTCTACTCCTGTATTTTTAATACTCTACTCCTTAGTATTAAGGAAGCAGTCACAGCATTTGGCCTGAGAAAATGGGTTTATTACGTGAAGCTAGAGTTAACCTATACTTTTCGAAAGCTCCAGAAGACACTAAAGCAATATGTAATGCACTGGAGAGAGAATCATCAATGTAGTTCAGAAGGTTAATATTGGCTATTCTATGTATGCTAGGATTGACAGCAAATGATGCTTACATGGAGCTTGGTCTGATAGAATGCAGGCACAGGAGAGGACAGGTGATATCTGTGGCTCTGGCAATCAGACCATGGTGGTCCCAAGGGAAGAGAGAGATTGGCAATAGAGTAAGCTCTTGCTTGGCTTATTTAGTCAGAATAAGTTGATATCAGTCAATTGCTTGCTTCCCAAGCCTTGTGTTAAAGTCTCAGTTTGTGGTGATATCCTGCCAATAAGTTCATTTTCTAGATTGGCTGGATTCACTTTCCAGAAGGTATACTTGAATATATATGTATATTTACTAGATTACAACTTTTTTGTTTTTTGTAAGACATAGTTTTGCTCTTGTTGCCCAGACTGGAATGCAATATGCCATCTCGGCTCACTGCAACCTCCGCCTCCCGGGTTCAAGCGATTCCCCTGCCTCAGCCTCCCAGGTAGCTGGGATTACAGGCTCACATCATCATGCCCGGCTAATTTTTTGTATTTTTAGCAGAGACGGGGGTTTCACCATGTTGGATAGGCTGGTGTTGAACTCCTGACCTCAGGTGATCCACCTGCCTCGGCCTCGCAAAGTGTTGGGATTACAGGCATGAGCCACCGCACCTGGCCTAGATTAGAAGCTCTTTAAAGAGCAAAAGCCTAATTTTATTCATCATTTTATTCCCCCTAGTATAGTATAGGCATAGTGCCTAATGCATGACTTAAAGTCAAATATTTGATGAGTGTACCCATGAGAGAATATAAGAATGATATGCATTGAACATTTTGTGGAGCTATAAATTGTCTTTTTCGTTGTAGTGTAGGTGATTTAGAAGGATAATGGAATATAAAATTTGAATAGTAGGTAATAATCATAAAGTGGAGAGATTTGAAATCCAAACTGAGATGTTTGTGTTTAAATTGTAGGCAAGGCAAATGTTGGGAAGCAGTTTTTTTTTTTAAAAGAAATATGTCAGAAGAAGATAAAGGATAGATTTGAAAGATTTTTGGGGGATGAGATAACAATATCTTTTAGGTTACCATTTTCCAATCAGATATCTCAATGTAGTACACTGGCAACAGTGATGTGTGGTGGTGTTTTTTTTTTAAAGAAGTAGATTAGAACTAAAACACTTGGAGTGTACACTCACAATATAATCTACAGTCTAGAGTAAGCAACAACCACATTTTGAGATATCCAGGGAAATGTCTTTTATAATACATATACAAATTGAAAAATGTCATCCATTATTTTGGTGAAAGTAATCATGCATAGAACAAGTGTGGGTATCTTTCTGAACTACATGTTTAATAATGTCTCTCCCTTGATAAATAGTATTTAGTATTTTCACAATAGACACACAATTAAATTCAACTGTCTTGATATTACCTGTTTTTCCTAAATTTTCATACATTCACTTAATTTTCAGTTCCTCAAAATCCACAAGATTTCAGCAATAAACTTTTTTGTGTATTCTCAAACCACTTTAATAGATAGAACTATTTAGAATATCTGTTTCTTCTTAAGTGAGTTTCCTGGTATGTTTAGTTTAAGATGCTCAATTTGAGAAAGTAATTTGTTCATAATACTTCCCAGCTATTATTTAATGCCTGTGGGAGCAGTAGTGAATTCCCAACTGTTTTTCATGAATTAAAAAAATTAAATTTATTTATTTTTAATACATTATATTTGTATGTATTTATGAGTTACATGTGAAATTGTGTTACAGGCATAGAAAGTGTAATGATCAAGTCAGAGTATTTAGGGTCTTCATCATCCAAGTATGTATAATTACTATGTGTTGGGCACATTTCAAGTCCTTTCTTCTAGTTATTTTAAAAGTACAATACATTGTTGTTAACTATAGTCACCCTACTCTTCTAACAAAAATTATAATTTATTCCTTCTATGAATTATATGTTTCTACTCAGGAACAAACCTCTCTTATTTTAAAAGTACAATACATTGTTGTTAACTATAGTCACCCTACTCTTGTAACAAAAATTATAATTTATTCCTTCTATGAATTATATGTTTCTACTCAGGAACCAAGCTCTCTTTATCCCCTTCTCCCACCCATATCCCCTTTCCAGTCTGTAGTATCTATCATTCCACTGTCTACCTCCATGTGATCAGCATTTTTCACTCCCACATATGAGTGAGAACATGAAAAATGTATCTTTCTACTAACATAGTGACCTCCAGTTCCATCCGTGTTGCTGCAAATGACATGATTTCATTCCTTTTTAATGGCAAAATAGTATTACATTGTGTATACGTACCACGTTTTCCTTAGCCATTCATCCGTTGATGGACACTTAGGTTGATTGCATGTCTTTGCTGTTGAGAATAGTGCTGTAATAAACACGGGAGTGCATGTATAACTTTGACATATTGATTTATTTTCCTTCAGATAAATACTGAGTAGTGGGATTGCTGGATCATATGTTAGTTATATTTTTAGGTTTTTTTTGACAAATCATTATAATTTATTTTGTAGAGGTTGTGCTAATTTCTAATCCCCATCAACAGTCTATGAATTTCCTTTTGTCTGCATCCTTACTTTCTGTTATTATTTTTTGCCTTTTTAGTAAGTGCCATCCTAAATGAGGCAAAGTGATATCTCATTGTGATTTTCATTTGTATTTCCCTAATGAGTAGTAACAAACATTTTTTCATAACCTGTTGGTCATTTCTGTGTCGTCTTTTGAGAAATGTCTATCCACGTCCTTCATCCATTTTTTAAATGAGATCATTTGAATGTTTACTCTTGCATTGTTTGAGTTTCTTTTATATTCTTGATAGTACTCCCCAGTTGGATGAGTAATTTGCAAATATTTTCTCCCATTCAAGAGGTTATCTTTTAACTCTGTTGATCGTTTACTTTTCTATGCAGAATCTTTTTAGTTTAATGTAGTCCCATTTGATATTTTTATTTCTGTTAGCTATGCTTTTGAGGTCATGGTCATAAAATATTTGCCTACACAAACGTCCTAAATTTTTTTCCTGTTTTCTTCTAGTAGTTTTATAGTTTTGGGTTTAAAGTTTAAGTCTTTAATTCATCTTGAGTTGATTTTTGTATATAGTGTTGGATAGGGGTTCAGTTTCATTCTTTTGCATATGGTTATCCAGTTTTCCAAGCACTATTCACTAAAGAGAATGTCCTTTCCCCAGTGTATGTTCTTGATGGCTTTGTGAGAAATCAGTTAGCTGTAACTGCCTTCTCCTGAGTGTATTTTATTGATGACTTTATCAAAGATCAGTAGGGTGTATTCCTAGCTTCTCCATTGTTTTCAATTGGTCTATATGTCTGTTTTTATACCACTATTATGCTGTTTTTGTTACTTTAGTTTTGTAATATGGTTTGTAGTAAAATAGTGTGATGCCTTAGTCTTTTTTTTTTTTTTTTTTTTTGTGATAGAGTCTTGCTCTGTCGCCCAGCCTGAAGTGCAGTGGCGCTATCTCGGCTCTGCAACCTCTGCCTCCTGGATTCAAGCCATTCTCCTGCCTCAACCTACCGAGTAGCTGGAACTACAGGTGCGTGGTACCATGCCTGCCTAGGCTTGCTATTTTTGCTTAAGATTGCTTTGGCTATTGTGGTGTTTTGTTTGTTTTTCTTTCCATACAAATTTTAGAATTGTGTTTTTACTATTTCTGTGAAAAATGACATAGGAATTTTCATAGGGATTGCAGTGAATCTGTAGATTGCTTTTGGCAGTATGGTCATTTTAATGATATTAATTATTTCAATACATGAGCATGGATGGCTTTCTATTTTTCTGTATTTTCTTCAAATTATTTTATTAATGTTTTGTAGTTTTTCCTGTGGAGGTCTTTCACCTCCTTGGGTAAATTCATTTCTAGGTATTTTATTTATTTTGTGGCTATTATAAATGGGTTGACTTTTTTTCAGCTAGTTTGTTATTGGTTTATAGAAATGCTACTGATTTTTGCATGTTCGTTTTGTATCCTGCAAATTTATCACATTTTAAAATTAGTTTTAAGAGATTTTTAGTAAAGTCTTTGGTTTTTCTAAATATATCATTGTATCATCATCAAAGAGAGACAATTAGAGTCCCTCTTTTTCAATTTAGATGCCTTTTATTTCTTTCTCTTACCTGATAGTTCTGGCTAGAACTTCAAGTACTTTTTTTAAATAGAAATAGTGAAAGTGAGCATCTTTGTCTTGTTCGGATTCTTAGAGGAAAGGCTTTCAACTTCACCCCATTCAGTATGATGTTACCTACGAGTTCGTCACATGTCCTTTATTGTTTTGAGTTTTTTTTTCTCATATGCCTATTTGAGAGCTTTTATCACAAAAGGATGTTAAATTTCAACACGTGATTTTTCTGCATCGAGTTTAAAATCATATGGTTTTTGTCCTGTTGATGTTATGTACCATGTTTATTGATTTACGTATGTTGAATCATCTTTGCAACCCTGAGATAAATCTCACTTGATTGCAATGTATTATTATATTTTTGATGTATTGTTGGATTTGGTTTGCTAATATTTTCTTTAAGAGTTTTTAAATCTCTGTTCAGTAGGATTTTTGGCTTCTGATTTTCTTTTGTTTTTGTGCTTCGTGATTTTTTTCTCACTCTAATGCTGGCCTTATAAAAGGAGTTTGGAAGTATCCTCTCTTCTTTAAATATTTTTGGAATAGTTTGAGTAAATTAGTATTAGCTGTTTATATGTTTGATAGAATTCAGCAGTGAGGCTATACTTCCTGGGCATTTTCTTAATTTCCTCTTCTTCCTCCTCCCCTCCCTCTCCCCCTCCTCCTCCCCCTCCTCCTCCCCCTCCTCCTCCCCCTCCTCCTCCCCCTCCTCCTCCCCCTCCTCCTCCCCCTCCTCCTCCCCCTCCTCCTCCCCCTCCTCCTCCTCCTCTTTCTCCTCCTCCTCCTCCTCCTCCTTTCCTGGTGGATTCTGCTGTGGCCTAGGACAGGTCTAAATGCTCCCTCTGTGGGCACTGATCCAGAATTAATAGCTGAGGGGGCTTTGTCCTGTGCCTTGTCCACTGTGGTGTGGCTGGCAGTCAGTTGCAGTGCAAAGCCCCACAATAACTTCCCTTTTCCTCCCTCAAGCAGGCATTTTTTTTTGTCTCTGTGCTGTGCTGCCTGGGGTTGGGCAAGAGCCATGTAGAAAATGCAGAACTGTCTTCTTACCTCATTCAATATATCTTCTTCATTATTATGTTAACATCAGGTACTATAAAATCTGACCTGATTTTTTTTTTGTTTGTTTGTTTGTTTTTTGTGAAGATGGTTTCTTGGATGGATAGTTTTTGATTTGGTGTTCCTGTAGGGGGACAGTCACTGTAGGGTTCTATTTGGCCATCTTGCTCTGCCTCCCCCTGCTGTATTTATTGCTGATATTTTCCCTTGGCACCACCTTTTTGACTCATGGGCTATTTAGAAATGTTGATATTTTGACATTTTGCAGTTGTCTTTTGTTATTGATTTCCAGTTTAGACATATTATGGTCTGAGAACCAATTTTGTATGATTTCAATTTTTCAAAATTTCTTATAGTGCTTTATATTCATACTTATGGTCTATTCTGGTGAATGTTCCATGTGTGTTTGAGAAAAACGATTATTCTAATGTTGCTAGGAGCAGTGTTCTATACATGTCAATTACATTATGTAGATTGATATCATTTTTCAAGTTATCTGTGTATTTTCTAATTTTTTCCTACTGTTTTATTAATTACTTAGAAAACAGTGTTTCATTATCAAAATATAATTATATATTTTTTCTAATTCTGTGAAAAATGACATTAGTATTTTAATAAGGATTGAATTAAATCTGTAGATTTTTTTGGGTACTGTGGTCATTTTAATGATGTTGATTCTTCTGACCCATGCGCATGGGATGTTTTTCCATTTGTTTGTTTAATCTATGATCTGTTTCATGAGTGTTTTGTAGTTTTCCTTGTAGATCTCTTTTATCTCCTTGGTTTAACATTTCTAGATATTTTATTTTTGTATCTATTGTAAATGGAATTGCCTTCTTGATATGGTTTTCAATTTGATTGTTATTGGTGCATAGAAACATTACTAATTTTTGCATGTTAATAATTGCATCCTGAAACTACTGAATTAATTTATCAAATTTAATATTATTTCCATGGAGTGTTTAGGTTCCTCTAGATATAAGATGATATAATCAGCTAACAGGAATAATTTGACTTTCTCTTTTGTAATTTGGATGCCTTTTATTTCGTTCTCTCACTTGATAGTTTTGGCTAGGACTTCCAGTAATATGTTAAATAGGAGGGCGAGAGTGAGCATCCTTGTCTTGTTCCAGTTTTTAAAGGGAATGCTTTCATGTTCTCACATATAAGTGGGAGCTAAATAATCTCTACACATAAACATAGATTGTGGAATAATAGACATTAGAGTCTGGAAAGTGTAAAGGGGTGGGAGGAGGATGGATGATGAAAAATTACTTAATGGATAAAACGTTTTAGAGTTTGGTGTTTTTGTACTATTATGTTTCCTTTCCCATTTTCCTGTATGTATATCTTGTAGATATTTTCTTAGAGGTTACAATGAATACTATGATTGGCAACCTAAAAATATAATAGCCTCATTTGAATTAGTAGCAATTTAGCATCAATAGCATACAAAAAACATGCTCCTCTATGGTTCTGCTCCTCCTTTTGTTGTTATTGTCATAGATCATTATATCTTTATACAGATTTGCCCAGTCATCTAGATTATAAGCATATTTATGCATTTGTATTTTAAATCATGTAAGAAATAAAATCTGACTTTACAAATCAAAAATAATACAATGCTGGCTTTTATATTCATCTATGCAATTACCTTTATTCAAGATAGTTATTTCTTCAATTTTCTTTCCAGTGTCCTTTCATTTCAACCTAAGGACTCCCTTTAGTATTTCTTGTAGGGCAGGTGTGCTGGTATTGAACTCCCTCTGTTTTATTCTTTTGGAAATGTCTCAGTTTCTTTTTATGTCTTAATGCTGTTTGACAGATATAGATTCTTGGTTGACAGATTTGTTTTTTACTTTTAGTAATAAAATATGTCATCCCACCTCCTTCTGGCTTCCATGACCTCTGATGATAAATTGGCCATTAATTTTATTGAGAGTTCTTTGTATGTAACTAGTCACTTCTCTGTTTCTTCTTTCAAGATTCTCCTTCTGTCCTTGGTTTATAAAAGTTTAAAAATAAGTTGATATTATATAGTATGGGTTTTCTTGAGTTTCTCCTACTTGGAGTTAATTGAACTTGTTGAATTTTTAGATTCTTAGATTTATTTATTTTATTAAATTTGGGATGTGTTACAGTCATTGTTTTATAAATGTTCTTTTCCATGTGTCTCTTTGCCCCTCTATGTGCCTGTACGTATATGTCTCTGTGTATCTGATGTGGATCTCTGTGAATGCAGCTGTGTTATCTACCATGGGCCTCTATGTGCATCTCCGCACACCTCTCTGCCTGCCTTGGCATGTCTGTGTCTCCTTGTGTCTGTGTGTGTATGTGTGTGTGTGTGTGTGTCTCTCCTTCCCTCTCCCCCAACCCTTTTTGAGAACTTCAAATGCATGTGGTGGTCTGCTTGGTGGTATTCTACAGGTCTCTTAGGATCTGTTCATTTTTCTTCTTTGTTCTTCTTCTTATATAGTGGGTAGTTTTACTTGCCTTATCTTCATGTCTGTTTATTATCCTTCTGCAAGTTTATATCTGTTGTTGAACCCCTCTTGTAAAATTTTCATTTCAGTTAGTGTACTTTTCAGCTCCAGAATTTATATCTGATTTATTTTTATAATTTTGATCCTTTTTACTGATATTCACAATTTGTTCATACATCAATTTTTTTATTTACTTTATTTCTTTATGAATGGTTTTCATTAGCTTTTAGAGCATATTTAAGGCAGTGGATTTAAAGTCTTTGTCTAAAAACTGCAATGTCTTAGCTTCCTCAGGGATAGTTTTGGTAGATTAAATTTTTTCATCAAATAGGCCATATTTCCCTGATTTTTTTTGTATGCTATGTCTCTTTCTGTTAAAAATTAGACATTTGATTATTCTTATATAATATCTCTGTAAATAAGATTCTTTCCCCTTCCCCAAAGGTCACTGTTCTTGGTTTTTGAAATATGCAGTCATTCGTTTATTGACTTCTCAAATTAATTTCGCAAAGATTGTATTTGTAATGCATTGTCACTAAACTCTCTGTTTATTTAGATAGTTTTTAGTTATTATTAGTTTTTATTGACAGGGTTTCCCTTGAACACCAGAAACTGGTGAAAAATAAAATATTCCCATCTTGGCAGGTTGGCTCTCTGCTGAGGAATTACTGCAATATTTAGCCAAAGTGTTTACAACCCTGCTTTAGCCTTTACTTCTTGCATGCACTGAGCATAGAGATCAGCTAATGGTGAAAGTTTAAGGATGCCTCAAGGTCTTTTCCTGCCAACACCTTGTGTTGGATGTGTTAAGCTATCTAAATTCTCATGTATGAATTCCTTAATCCCCTAAATAAACTCTTTCCCCAGCTTTTCTTCCCAGGACATCTCTTAAATGTCTCAAATGAATCTTTAGTCCCGAGTAACTGAGATTTTTGTTTACGTTACCATGCATTAAAGCAGTACTTACTACTTTTCCATCCAGAGTGAGTTGAGTGAGGCAAAACAGAGCTGAGCACCTTGCATAGAGTTTTCTTCAGGTAAATCCCAGACAATTTAGAACTAACAAGCACAGTAGTTTATGAATAAGGTTTTCCCCACTTCCTCTTGAACTAGCTGTCAGGGTCATACACTGGGGCCATAGAAAGCTGTCTTCAAGAACGCTTCCAAGCCCTGGAAAGGTGAGGGCAAGTAAAATGTCGCAAAATTTTCCTACCATTTTAAAGTTGTCTCTCTATTTTTTTAATCAGCTTGGTGGCCGTAAACCATTGACTGTTTTCCAGAGTTCTGACAAAGTTAGTTCTGGAAAGTTCTGCTAGTTTCTTTGACCTTTCTGTGAAGGGATGATAGACATTGATTCTATCTTATTGACCATTTTGCTTACATTGCTCAGTCTTTTAACTTGTGTTTAAGCCTTTCACATTTAAAGTGAGTATTGATGTGGTTGGATTGACATCTATAGTTTATCTAGTTGTTTTATATTCAATTTTTTCTTTTTTATTTTCTGTTTGCCTCTTTAAGTCAAATTGAGTATGTCTTATAATTCAGTTTTAATTCTTCTGTCAATTATTTTTACTTTTTAAAAATTATTTAGTGTTTTCTCTAAGGCTAATAATGTGCATTTGAAAATAATCTCAGTATGTTACTGTTATGGTTAATACTGAGTGCCAACTTGATTGGACTGAAAGATGCAATGTATTGTTCCTGGGTGTGTCTGTGAGGGTGTTGCCAAAGGAGATTAACATTTGAGTCACTTAACTGGGAGAGGCAGACCCACCCTCAATCCAGGTGGACAGTCTCTAATCATCTGCCAGCACAGCCAGAATAGAAAACAGGCAGAGAAACGTAGAGAGAAACATAGAGAAACGTAGAGACTGGCCTAGCCTCCCATCCTACATCTTTCTCCCATGCCAGATGCCTCCTGCCCTCAAACATTGGACTCCAGGTTCTTTGGCTTTGGGACTTGGACTGGCTTCCTTGCTCCTCAGCTTGCAGACAGCTTATTGTGGAACCTTGTAATCATGTGAGTTAATACTCCTTAATAAACTCCTGTCTATATACACATCTGTCCTATTAGTTCTGTTCCTCTAGAGAACTCTGACTAATACAGATATTGGTGCCAGTAAGAGTGAGGTGCTGCTGAAAAGATACCTGAAAATGTGGAAGTGATTTGAACTGGGTAACAGGCAGAGGATGGAACAGTTTGGAGTGCTCAGAAGAAGAAAGGAAAATGTGGGAAAGCTTGGGACTCCATGGAGATTTGTTGAATGGCTTTGACCAAAATGCTAATAAAGATATGGACAATGAAATACAGGCTGAGGTGGGAACTGGAACAAGGGTAACTTTTGTTATGTTTTAGCAAAGAGACTGGAGGCATTTTGCCCCTGCCCTAGAGATTTGAGGAACTTTGATCTTGAGGAAGACAATTTAGGGTATCTGGTGGAAGAAATTTCTAAGCAACAAAGCATTCGAGAGGTGACTTGGGTGCTGTTAAAAGTATTCAGTTTTATAAGGGAAGCAGGGCATAAAAGTTCAAAGAATTTGCAGCCTGACAATGCAATAGAAAAGAAAATCCCAATTTCTGAGGAGAAATTCAAGCCAGCTGCAGAAATTTGCATAAGTAATGAGGAGCCCAGTGTGAATCCCCAAGAAAATGGGGAAAATGTCTCCAGGGCATGTCAGAGACTTTTGTGGCAGTCCCTCCCATCACAGGCCTGGAGACCTAGGAGAAAGAAAAGGTTTTGTGGGCTGTGCCCAGGGTCCCCATGCTATGTGCAGTCTAGGGACTTGGTGCCCTGCTTCCAGCCACTGTGTTGAGCCTTCGAGTCCACAGAAGTCAAGAACTGGGTTTGGGAACCTCTGCCTGGATTTCAGAGGATATACAGAAATGCCTGGATGCCCAGGCAGAAGTTTACTGCAGGGGAAGGGCCCTCATGGAGAACCTCTGCTAGAGCAGTGTGGAAGGAAAATGTGGCTTTGGAGCTTCCAAACAGAATCCCTACTGGAGCAATGCCTACTGGAGCTCTGAGAAGAAGGTCACTGTCCTCCAGACCTCAGAATGGTAGATCCACTGACAGCTTGCATGTGCACTTGGAAAAGCTATAGACACTCAATGCCAGCTGGTGAAAGCAGCTGGGAGGGAGGATATACCCTGTAAAACCACAGGGGCAGAGTTGCCCAAAACCATGAGAACCCACCTTTGGCATCAGTGTGATCTGGATGTGAGACATGGATCCAAAGGAGTCATTTTGGAGAGAGGCAGACTTAAGATTTGACTGCCACACTGGATTTCAGACTTGCATAGGGCCTGTAGCCCCTCTGTTTTGGCCATTTCTCCTATTTGGAATGGCTATATTTACCCATTGGCTGTACCCCCATTGTATCTAGGAAATAACTAACTTGCCTTTGATTTTACAGACTCATAGGCAGAGGGGACTTATGCTGAAATGAGTTAAGACTTTGGGGGACTGTTGGGAAGGCATGACTGGTTTTAAAATGTGAGAACATGAGATTTGGGAAGGGCCACAAGTCAAATGATATGTTTGGCTGTGTCCCCACCCAATCTCATCTTGAATTCTCTTGTGTGGTGGGAGGGACCTGGTGGGAAGTAATTGAATCTTTCCTGTACTGTTCTCATGATAGCGAATAAGTCCCATGAGATCTGACAGTTCTATAAGGGGGAGTTTCCCTGCACAAACTCTCTCTTTGACTGCCACCATCCACGTAAGTTGTGACTTGCTCCTCCTTGCCTTCCGCCATGATTGTGAGGCTTCCCCAGCCAGGTGGAACTGTAAGTCCATTAAACCTCTTTCTTCTGTAAATTGCCCAGTCTTGGATATGTCTTTAGCAGTGGTCCGAAAACAGACAAATACAGTTACTGTCAGTGAATCAAGGAGGGCTATTGTTGTGTCAGGTCTACTCGGTGTCGATGCTAAGGTCCTTCACACTCATCAGGGTGATCTGAGAGATGAGTCAGTGGGTGCAGAGCCACTGTGGCTGAGAATTGTTCTGGGGGTTAGCAAGCAGGAGATGAAAGTGGAGAAGAAAACCATGTCCAGGGGTTGAACACCTCCAGCTAAAGAAGGCCAGGCATAGAGGTGTCTTACGACTAGGGAACCTATTTGAGTCACTGCAATAAAGTATGTTCCTAGTAGTGAATCCACACAGGTTTGCAGCAACTTGATTCTTGCCCTCTCAGAGAAAATAATTCTGTTGAGAGGCATAAGACAGGGTGAGAGACTGAGGCAAGTTTTAGAGTAGGTGTGAAAGCTTATTAAAAAGTTTTACAGCCAACCTGGGAGGTGGAGCTTGCAGTGAGCCGAGATCGTGCCACTACACTCCAGCCTGGGCGACAGAGTGAGACTCCATCTCAAAAAGAAAAGAAAAGTTTTACGGCAAGAGTGAGAGAAAGCAAAGTACGCTTGGAAGAGGACCAAGCAGGTGATGTGAGAGATCAAGGCTCCATCAGACCTTTGACTTGGGGGTTTTATATATTGACATGGTTCTGGGGTTTGTGTTTCTTCTCCCTTGATTCATCCCTTGGAGTGGGGTGTCCGCATGTGTGGTGGCCTGCCAGCACCTGAGAGGGGCCACATGCACAGCATGTTTATTGAAGTTGTGCACATACTCACTGGGGCATTTTCCCCTTATCAGTCAAGCATTGCTAGAGAAAGGTCATATACCAGTTAAACGCTGCCATTTTGTCTCTTAGTGCGCATGCTTGAGCCCACTCACCTAACTTGTGAAATCTTATTAGGAAGCTACTGATCATCAGCAGCAGTGTCAGGTGTTTTCTATCTATCCGACGATTGCTCTTCCCTGGCACTAACTGAGACCAACTGTTATTTAGAGAGACAGTTTAACAACTGCCTGACCATCAGCTGATACTCACTCACCTGATGTTCCTGAGAGGGGTCCCTCTCTTGCCCTGCTCATGTATTCCTAGCTACTACTCTAACAAATATACCTTTAAATAATGTTATACTACTTCATGTGTAACAAAGGACCACTTAATATTATTTTTCTCATTCCTCCTACCAATCCCTGCTACCATCATTGTCATTCATTTAAACATTATTATTTTATAATTTAGTGGTTATTTTGGGAGAAATTGAGGTAACACTATATTCATCTTTTTTATATTTCCAGTGTTTTGTACTTCTTTCTGTAGATTGGAATTTTGACCTGTATCATGTTTCTTCACATTAAGCCTTCTTGTAGATAAAACGGCAATTAACTTTTCATTTGTATCTTTCTTTTCTTTCTTTAAATGTTTTTTCTTCTTCTGAATTTATTGAAGTACAATTTAGGTACATTAAACTATGTGTATTTCAAGTGTACAACTGAATAACTTTTGACATGCTTTTTTTTGGTAAAAACATTACTATACTCTTGTCTTTTAAAAAAATTTATAGTTTTCCATTTCATCCTTTTAAAATCTTTACTTGCAATTATTCTGTTAAAAAAAAAAGTTTTATTCTATAGAGTTTCCCACATACTTTCTTCTGTTGTTTCTAGTATTAATGTGGTATTTAAAGTATTCCTTTGTTTTCTATGTTTCATGAAAAAATAGTTAAATCTAAATGCTTAGACTAATTCAGTCTTAGAATTTTTAGTGATTGGGCAAAGCTAACTCATAGATAGATTAGTGTCTTTCATGGGTAATTCCTTTTTTCATTCTTTTTTTTTTTTGGAAACGGAGTCTCTCTCTGTCACCTAGGCTAGAGTACAGTGGCTCAGTCTCGGCTCACTGCAAGCTCCGCCTCCCGGGTTGATGCCATTCTGCTGCCTCAGCCTTCGAAGTAGCTGGGACTACAGGTGCCCGCCACCATGGCCGGCTAATTTTTTTGTATTTTCAATAGAGATGAGGTTTCACCGTGTTAGCCAGGATGGTCTCGATCTCCTGACCTCGTGATCCGCCCACCTTGGCCTCTCAGAGTGCTGGGATTACAGGCGTGAGTCACCATGCCCAGGTGGGTAATTCCTTTTTTACATATGAGTTTTGTCCTTCATTTGGCATTCTTCATGTTTGGTTAATCTTTATTCTAGGTATGGACTTGAGGGAAGATAGCATTTTTCTTTCAGAACTTCAAAATTGTCACTTTATTTTTTAAAATTTGCTTAGTTTTTGATAAGAATTCTGATAGACTTTATCATTATTTTTCTTTAGGGAATATATCAATTTTACATATCAATTTTCCTCTCATAGTTTTTAATATATTTATCTTCACCTGTAGTTTTCAACAATTAAAATATAAAATACCTAGATTTTTGTTTGTTTGTTCTGTTTTAAGGGGTGTGTGTGTGTGTGTTCATTTTAAAGTTTGGTGTTTTTCAATTTTGGATCTGTGGTTCATGTCTGTCACAAATTTTGGAAAATTAAAATTCTTATTCAAATATTTCTTCTGCCCTATTGTGTCTTTTAGTATTACATCACAGCTCTTAGCTACTCTGTGATATGATGCATTTTTTTCTTTGTTATTTTTTTCTTCTTTACCTCTCAGTTTGTGTAATATCTATTGACTTCTCTTAAAGTTCTTTGATTTCCTTGACTGTACTATGTGATTTTTTCCATTTCTGTTACTGTTTTTTTTTTTAATTTCTAGCATCCCCATTTTATTATCTTGACAGTTTTCCTCTTTCTGCAGAAATTACCTATTTGAGCATTCATGTTATCTATCTTTTCCATTAGAACCCTTAATAATCAAGCATAGCTATATGAAATGTGCTATCTGATAATTCCAACATCTTTGTAGTATTTGAAGCTAATTCTCATGGCTGCTTCTCGCTAGAGACTTTTAAGAAATATTTTTGTGCTTCATATTTGTATTGTTGGACAGCCTGAATAGAACAATAATACTGAGACAAATGCTCTTTAAAATTCTCGGGTGTCTTTAATATGTTGGTTAATGTTAATCTAGTCAGGTGTTAAGCTGATTTTAAAATTCTTATTTCTATTGTTAACCTCAGTGTATCAGAGATTTAGCTTGTATTTAATGAGGGAACTAATTTACTGGAGAGTTTTCCTGAATATCTGACTATATTAGTGTGTTTTCATGCTGCTGATAAAGATATACCCGAGACTGGGCAATTTACAAAAGAAAGAGGTTTATCGGACTTACAGTTCCACATGGCTGGGGAGGCCTCACAATCATGGTGGAAGGTGAAAGGCAGGTCTCACATGACAGCAGACAAGAAAAGAAGCTCGTACAGGGAAACTCCCATTTTTAAAACCATCAGATCTCATGAGACTCATTCACTATCATGAGAGGAGCTCAGGAAAGACCTACCTCCAGAATTCGATCACATCCCACTTGGTTCCTCCCATGACATGTAGGAATTGTGGGAGTTATAACTCAAGATGAGATTTGAGTGGGGATACAGCCCAATCATATCGTTCCACCCTGACCCTTCCCAAATCTCATGTCCTCACATTTCAAAACCAATCATGCCTTCCCAACAGGTACCACAAAGTCTTAACTTATTTCAGTATTAACTCAAAAGTCCACAGTCCAACATCTCATTTGAGACAAGGTAAGTCCCTTCTGCCTATGAGCCTGTAAAATCAAAAGCAAGCTAGTTACTTCCTAGATACAATGTGAGTATAGGTATTGGGTAAATACAGCTATTCCAAATGGGAGAAGTTGGCCAAAACATAGCGGCTACAGGCCCATGCAAGTCCGAAATCCAGCAGGGCAGTCAAATCTTAAAGCTTCAAAATGATCTCTGACTCCATATCTCATATTCAGATCACACTGATGCAAGAGGTGGGATCTCATGGTCTTGGGCAGCTCCACCCTGATGGTTTGCAGGGTACAGTCTCCCTCCCAGCTGCTTTTGCCAGCTGGCGTTGAGTGTGTTGGCTTTTCCAGGCACATGGTGCAAGCTATCAGTGTATCTACCATTCTGGGCTCTGGAGGATGGTGGCCCTCTTCTCAAAGCTCCACTAGGTGATGTCCCAGTAGGGACTCTGTGTGGGGGCTTTGACCTCTCATTTTCTTCCACACCATCCTAGCAGAGGTTCTCCATGACAGCCCACACCACTCCTTCAGCAAACTTCTGTCTGGGCATCCAGGAGTTTCCACACATCCTCAGAAATCTAGGTGGAGGTTCCCAAACCTAAATTCTTGACTTTTGTATACTCACAAGCTCAACACCACATGGAAGCTGCCAAGCCTCAAAGCTTGCACTCTCTGAAGCCACGGTGTGAGCTGTACCTTGTCCCCTTTCAGCCAGAGCTGGAGCAGCTGGGAAACAGGGCACTAAATCCCTAGGCTGCACACAGCAGAAGGACTCCGGGCCTGGCTGAGGAAACTGCTTTTTTCTCTTAGCCCTTCAGGCCTGTGATGGGAGGGGCTGCCATGTAGACCCCTGACATGCCCTGAAGACATTTTCCCCATTGTCTTGGGGATTAACATTTGGCCCCTTTTTACTTATGTAAATTTCTGCAGGGGGCTTGAATTTCTCCTTAGAAAATGGGATTTTCTTTTCTATGGTATTGTCAGGCTGCAATTTTTTTTAACTTTTGTGCTCTGTTTACCTTATAACATTGAACACCTTAACAGTACCCAAGTCAGTTCTTCAATGCTTTGCTTCTTAGAAATTTCTTTTGCCAGATACCCTAAATTATCTTCCTCAAGATCAAAGTTCCTCAAATCTCTAGGGCAGGGAGACAAATTGCCTCCAGTCTCTTTGCTAAAACATAACAAGAGTCACCTTTTTTCCAGTTCCTAACAAGCTCCGCATTTCCATCTGAGACCACCTCAGCCTGTACATTGTCCATATCTTTATCAGCATTTTGGTCAAAGCCACTCTACAAGTCTCTAGGGAGTTCCAACCTTTCCCACATTTTTCTGTCTTCTTCTGAGTCCTCCGAACTGTTCCATCCTCTGCTTGTTAGCCATTCCTAAAGTTGCTTCCACATTGTTGGGCATCTTTTTAGCAGCACCCCACTCTTGATACCAATTTACTATATAAGTTCATTTTCATGCTGCTGATAAAGGCATTCCTGAGACTGGGCAATTTTAAAAAGATAGACGTTTATTGGACAGTCAGTTTCATGTAGCTGGGGAGGCCTCACAATCATGGCAGCAGGTGTAAGGCATGTCTCCCATGGCTGCAGACAAGAGAACAGAGCTTGTGCAGGGAAACTCCTGTTTTTCAAAACCATTAGATCTCATGATCTTTATTCACAATCATAAGTACAGTGCAGGAAAGACCTGACCCCATAATTCAGTCACCTCCTACTGGATTCCTTCCATGACACATGGAAATTGTGGGAGTTACGATTCAAGATGAGATTTGGGTCGGGACACAGCCAAACGATATCACAGACTTTTACTTTAATATCTATTTGCTTGACTTAGGGTCTTTTTTGTGTGTGTTAACCTCCAGAGAAAAGTCTCTCTTTTAGCATTCCCAGTTTTTTTAATACTGTTGTTTTTACTTATACATGTTAATATAATAGTGTTTGGAGGGTGGGCAATGGGAGCATTATCTTATTAAACTGATTGAGCCTCAGTCTTTGATGCACTGTGAACCTGACTGAGTCTTGGGCATTGAAAAGGCTTATCTCTTTCTAAATGTAATACTAAAGCTAGCATGTATGCCTAAATTGTAGGGTTTTCTTAGTGTTTTCCTTTCTATTTGTACTCTTCCAGAAACAGTGGATTTCCACCAATACCCTTAGGTTACAGTTTTGGTTTTCAGCTCTTCCTCTTGCAGATTAAAGCTTTTGTTACAGAAGGAAAATGGGAATGATGAGTCTGGGTGAAGTATTAGCATGGCTGCTTGTTGCCCTACCACTGCCACAGGGAAGCTTTCTCAGGGTTTTTCTTGATCTTCTTGTTAGTGCCTTCTGGAATTTTAGCAAGAAAAGCCCATAAGAGGATATCAATCTACATACCTCCAAGTCTCCTAATTTACTCTTAGCAATTTGATAAAAATATCTAAGTTGAATCACTTTACTGGCTTACATAGCACTTTTCAATTTATTTCCCAGTAACCAAATACCTCAATCCTCTTTCTCCCTTTAGTCACCTGTTTCCTTCCAGATTTTAGGTCAGTTGTTTGCCCTGAAAACTCAATGTCCTAATGCAAAGTGACTAATTTGTAGTTTTCCAGCCTTTTTCCTGCTATCAGCATATAAGCAACTCTTTCCAACTCAAACATCTATGGGCTAAAACTGAAAGTCTCCTCTGGAACCATTTTGAACATAAATGTTATAGCAAGCTATTAATAATAATCTAATATGTAGTAGAGTTGAAAATACTTAACATTTAGAATCCACCCAGTTGGTTCAAGTTTCAACTCTTACATATTCATGTAACACTAGGTAGATAACTTGACCTCTGATAGGCACAAAAAGGAAATTGATACTAATCCTTACTTGGCAAATAATGCAGTAGAGCTGTTGTAAGGCTTAAATGGCAATGAAGAATATGAAGAATCTGTCAGAATAAAGGCACTCATTTGTTGCTTTCTTTTTTCTTGCTATGGCAAAATTTTACATTTGAATTGTTTGTTTAGTAAGGGCCTGTGTCCTTACTAACTGAATTCCCTGAAAGTAGATGCATTTTCTTGTTTAGATTAGAATCAATAGCACATTGTACAGTGCTTGGGACATAACAATTCTTGCTGAAAAAATAATTTCATGCATGCATCAAGATGTGTTGAAATCTAATCAGTACATGGTGCTTAGGAAAAGGTTTAACAGATGAATTTTAAGAATGAAAAATCTCCTGCAAGAAGGTTATAAGATTAAATGGTCAAAAAAGTCATACACAGAAGGGAGAGCAATCACCACTCAGAGATAACATTTCCTACCTTGAAGTCTTTGGGAGGTGATAGGTATAGATTAAAGGTTTTTCTATTATATAACCTTAGTTTTTATCCTGATTTTTTTCTTAATGGCTATGTGAATTTAGGCATATTACTTAACATCTTTGTGTCTTTAATTTTTCCTCTCTGTACCTTACAGCATTTTCAGAATTAAAAATAATGTGTGTGAAGGTTCTGGTACACAGTAACACTTAATAATGCGAGCTAATCTTAGTTCTGACATAAGATCTCTTTCTGAGAAAATTGTATTATTTTTGTAGAAAGGACTTTACATAGTTTTTAAGTACTATATGAACAAAAGGAGCTCTCTAAATTCAGAAAGTAGAAAAGCTGCATGTATTGACCCATAGGAAACTGGTTCCATGGAGAATTTGAATTCTATTCAAATCATAATATTTCCTGGGCTAACAGTCAAGGTGCTAGAACAATTATGTTGAAAAAATTATAACTTAGCCAATTTTGAAAAATATAAATAAGTATGTTTGTTTTTATCTCTGTAAATTTTAAATAAAGATTAGTATTAAACAGAATTACATACAACACCTCTTGCAAGCAACTCCATTAGCATGGACACTCTCTTCTATCTAGGAGCTTGAAATCTGTATCAAAAAATCTCCCAAGATTATTTTCATCTCTCTTCTTTAATATTTAAAAAGAATGTGCAGTATTTTTAGTGATTCTGTGGGAATACTAACGTTAGTTGGAATTGGAATAGGACCAATAATTATACCACATATTATTTCTATTTCTATTGTATTATTTTACTAGATTATTTTTAAAAGTTCATCTAATTTCTTTTAAGCTCCACTTCCGTGGGCATGACAGCTTCAATCTATGATGATGAAATTATTGGTTCAGATTTATTACATGTTTGTAATTATGAAGCCAAAAGTAATTCAGCCAGTCAGATCTACACACTGGAATTAATTAGTTAAATTTCTGTCAACTGAAGAACATGAAAAACTATCAAAATAGTCACTTTTTAAGAATGGGAGTAGGATGGGAAGAAATAATTTGATATTATTAATCTTTATAGCATCACACTATGAAGTAGAGTCCAGATATTGGGACTGGTTCATTCCACGCCCCCGACAGAAATATTATTAGCATTTCTAGGAAAAAAATGTATTTCTATTGTCTGATGAAAGATATCCATTTATCTAATACCTGACAGTTAAAATATTTATATTAAAATGTCAATTGTTTTAATTTGATAATAAATTTCATTCTGGATCACTTACAGACAATTTTCCCTTAATCACTAAAAACATTTTTTTTTCTTAGATGTAAGTGTGATATAACTTATAAGAATTTTTTTCTGGAGTATATATTCAAAATAATTTATTAAAAGTTTTTTCCTTAAACATTTGTCACTCTTCCTTGAATAATTTCCAGTTCTTATCCATGTTTTTTATTTGTTTAAATGGTAAAACTTGTATGTTTAAAAAGGGAATAAAAACATGCAATTTATAGAAAGGAAGAAAAAGAATTAGTAAACATAACTTGCTTAAACACTTATAGATTGCAGAGTGCTTTCTCTTTACCTATTCTACATAATTCTCAAGACATTCCAGGGGTGGATAAATAACTCATCCAAGAGCACATAATTAAGAAGTGGAAGAACTATTACTCTTTGTAGGACTGGATTCAAATCTTATGCTTTCTTCACTAAATATATCATTGATGCCTATCATAACCCTTTACATTTTTTGTGTTTCTTGCATTGTACAATTCAATTAACCTTGCATTGATAATGCAAATATATTTAACTTTTGGCTTAATTTTGGCATTCAAAGTTTTGAGTTTTTCTTTGCTCCCATATACCTACATGCTCTTTTTTCTTCCCTAAATATCTTGGCGAACTGGCATCCTTCACAATATTAAAATAGTTTCCATGTTATTTTTTTCCAAATCATCAAGGCAATTTAAATTAAAATTCTGACCTTCAAAATATTTGAACAGAATTTTTTTAATTAAGATCTTTTTTCATTAAACACTGATTTATGTAGAACATTAATTATTATGTTGCTAATTTTAATGCAGAACTCCTGCTGTAAAAATCCTTTCATTGGTAGTTTATTCTTACAATTTTCCATACATAAATATTGTCTCTTCTTCTCTCCTTCCTTCTTCACCTTACTTTTCTTAGTTAAACAATGTGATGTCCATACTTTCATGCAGTATGTGTTCTGAATCATATTCCCTAGAATAGGCAGCTAATAGGCCAATCACATAGAATGTCATATCGGTAGAGTGAGGAAATATGGAGTCTTAGAGTGAGGAAATATGGAGTCTTACTCTGTGGCAAGAAATAAATTTTGTAAGGAGAAAATTGTAGTGCCTCAGTGGAAAATTATACATCTTCTACAAATAATGATGTCTGAAACCCCTTGTTCCTTTTTTTTTCTTTTTTGGTAAGCATTTCTGACATTCAAATTTGATTAGATTCAGATTTACTTGGCAAATAATTAGTAGGGACAACTTGGTCCTTTTACATAGCATCACACATGAAGACACTGATTTCAATTAAAAAGCCCGCATAGAACTCAACCAGACAGCATGGCCACATATACAACTCTAATGCCCTCTTCCTTTTCTCCTCTTATTTAGGACTACAGGAAATATGTAATTTTATTTTAATAGATGGTGATGATAGCATACATTTTGATAGGTTTAGCAAAACTCAAAATTTGCTTAATATTTATGTGCTATATTAACAAGTTTACCTTAAAAGATATCTGGCATAGTTTCAGGGTGATATTTGAAAATCTAATAATTCATAAAGGATGACAGTTAAATGTATGAGGGAGGAAAGAAGAGATCAAAGTGGAGAAGAAGTAGAGATCAACGTACTCCGTTTTTAAATAAGAGTCTCAGTTGTGAAATTTGTTTGGAAATTTGTAAAGGATAGAAAGTCTAAAGAGGAGTTAATTAAAATAAATATAAGCATGAGTGACTAATTGTTATCATTTTCTCCTTGTACCGACTTGATCTCACTTTAATCCTCATGGTCTAAATATGAAATAATGGTCAGCTTTAGTAATTACATTGCCAGAGCTAATCCATCAATGACATTTAAATAAACCAAGGGATCTGGAAGGATTTCGTTTTTGTAAAATATAGATTTCTGCTTTACTTTTAAACCTTAAGCATAAATTGAACATTGACTCAACTAGTTTTCTAGTTGGGAGCTTAGTTTTCATATTCCTGCAGTGTTCCTAGGATACCAGGCCCTTGCTACATTTAGACACCTGCATAAATTTTTATGTACATTATATCAGATCATTTGTGATGCAAATAAAGAAAATAATCTAGCCAAGTAAGATTCTAATAAAATGAAGGTTTCAAGTAATTGGCTTTATTGTTTGTGTGTTTTCACACTACTCAGAAATATAAAAACTGCCTTTTTTCATTACACACTTTAAATCAACCAATTTTGAATAAAATAATGCTTATTGATCTAGTTTCTAACTTAATCATATTACCAAAACCCTATGACCAACATTTATGGCCTGTTTTTGATAATGATATTCATGATTATGATGTTAAAAAAGCCAAGTTAATTCTAACTTGTTACATTCAATAATAATTTTTTAATGAAGCATTTTGAATAAAATTTGTAAAGTTTTGCGATCAGGCAAATCAAATAAATTTCAAATAAAAAATAAATTATAAAGAAATATAAATTTTATGTCAGAAATAGTTATTGTAAAAAGCTATCTAGTGTTTTCTTATTCATCTACTTGGACTGCTTATTTTTAAGGATCTTTATTTTAGCAAATCATACCATGATTTAATTAAACAGTAAGTCTTGTGAATTCCATCTCAAGCACATGTTTACACTTTCCAAACATCAAATCTAAGTTGCAGACAACTTTTGTGGACTATTTCAATAGGATTTTAAATGATATTAGTACTTTCATTCTCCTATAATTCATTTCCACATTGTAGCCAAAGTGATCTTTTTATAAGGAAAATAATTAGAATACATCATTCATCTGTTTAATCCTCTAAATGTTTCTTATTGCCTTTAATGTGAAACCTCAACTCCTTATATTGGCTTACAGAATCATACTTGATCTGTTCCTGGCTATTTGTCTGAATGTATCATTTACTATATTCCATCTCATTTACTATTTATCAGCTACCCTGGCTGTTGAATGGCTCTTGTAACAGCCAGCTTTCATCAGCGATTGGGTTATTTTCAATAGCTGTATTGTCTGTCTAGAATTTTTTCTCTCCCAGACATTTTGCAACTAAAACTATATTAGTTATCTATTTCTTCATAAAAATTAATCCCAAAACTCTGTGGCATAAAATAACACACAGTGATCATCTCAGTTTCTGTGGGTCAGAAATCTGGGCGCAGCTTGACTGGTTCTCTAACAAGACTATGGCCAAGATGACATCCAGATCTGGAATCTCATCTAAAGGGTTGACTAGGGAAAGGATCTGTTTCCAGTCTCACTTGTTTGTTGGCAGGATTCAGTTTCTGCAGGCTGTTGGACTTAAGGGCCGTTGGTTCAGGCTGCCCTCAGTTTCTTGCCACATGGGCTTTTTCATCATGGCAGTCTGCCTCATCAAAGCATACAATCCAGGAAGGCAATAAAGTCTTCTAGCTGGCTGGAAATCACTGTCTTTGTAGTTCAATCACAGAAGTGGCACACAATCACCTTTGCCATATTCTCTTGACTAGAAGCAAATAACACACTCACGGGAAGGTGTAATTACACGAGGGTGTGAATACCAGCAGCTGGGAATTATTGGAGGCTATTTTAGAGGTTGGCCTCCCACATTACATACTGCCTTTTAAAATTCAATTTAAAATTCACTTGCTTTGAAATACCTTTATACGTATCCTCTCAATCACATGTTGCTACTCACTTATGCTTCAGTATGTTGCTCTATTTTAATCCTTGGTAGAACACTTTGCACATTTTCATATTTTTTTTTTGCCACGATCTCCACAGAACTTCAAAGTACACGAAACTGTGAATCTTACATGCTGTGTATGCTAGTGTTTTCTCAGTGACCATACAGTGTTTGGTACATATTTGGCACTAAAAAAATATTAGTTGAATAAATTGAATAGGTTTCATTAGGAATAAATGCTATATAGAATTGCCTTGAAATACCTTTCTATGTATCCTCTCAATCAAAATTTGCTACTCAGTTATGCTTCAGTATATTGCTCTGTTTTAATCCTTGATTGAACACTTTGCACATTTTTATGTTTTTATGTTTTTCCTCCATGATCTCTACAAGACTTCAAAGTACATGAAACTGAATCTTTTCTGCTGCCTATTCTGGTGTTTTCTCAATGGCCATACATAGGATTTATTGAGAAGAAATGCTATACAGAATTGTGAGGAGATATTTTATAGCCCATTATCAACTTAGCAATATTTCAATTTGTAAGATCTTTAGAAGTAATGAATCAAAGCAGTGATTCTCATCTGAAATTACACTTGTACGTAATTATTGGAAGATCTTATTTTTGCTTCATTCATTAATCCACTCTTCCATCTACCTATTTATTAAAAAAATGAGAGATGGTCATTCTTGGCAATCTGCTGAACAATGTGGATATGTTGGTTTATAGTCTGGTAGCAGTCAGGCAAATAACTATTCATATAATAGTGAAAGTAGTTGAATGACCAACTGGGGTAAATGCTAAGAAGGAAAACTTTTGAATTCAAGGAGAAAATGACAATAGTAGTATTTGACCTGGTGTGGGGAGAATTTTCATGTGGACATACCATTTTAATTGTTATTTGAAGAATAATTAGGAGTCAACTTGTAAGGAGACAGAGGATTTTGGGCATTCAAAATAATGCCTGTAGAAGCTCTGAGATGAATGGAACTTTGTCTCCTAAAAGAACTGAGAGAAGTGTGGCTAGATCAGAGGATGAAGAGGGAGGATATTATTTTACAAGAGCAGACTGAAAAGACACTCATGTCAGAACTTACAGAATTTTTATTGGAAATCATAAGAATATCGGCCCCTATTCTCATAATGAAGAAAGTCAGCTAAAGCCTCTAATGCTGTTATTATACAATTAGATGTGCATTTAGAAACGCTCACCCTGGAAAAGGTGTGGAGAATAAATAACAGGGGAGGACTGGATTATAGGAATGCAGGGATATGATTGGATGGTATCTTAACTGTTTTACAAGAAATAGTATCTTGTGAGGATGGTAGCATTCGTGAGATATGGATTTATGCAGCACAATTGGATGGCTATCATTTTTAAGCCATTGTGCTATAATGAGCACAACTGTTTATCTTTAAAACATTCCCTTGAGATGATTACAATAATCCTATATAAAACAGGAGATGGAGACAAAGAAAGCTTCACTGAATTGCCTAAGTCTCACAATGGTTGTGATATGCAGTGCATGAGGCATGAACACAAACGCATACATACACACAAGTGCATGCATTATATGATGAAAGTATAACTTCTTTTTATGAAAAATTTATTGCCAGCATGGTGGCTCACACCTGTCATCACAGCACATTGGGAGGCCAAGGCGTGAGGATTGCTTGAGGCCAGGAGTTTGAGACCAGTGTGGGCAATGCAGTGAGACCCCATCTCTACCAAAAACAAACACACAAAATTAGCTGAGTGTGGTGGCACATGCCTATAGTCCCAGCTACCCAGGAGACTAAGGCTGAAGAATCACTAGAGCCCAGGATTCCACGGCTGCAGTGAACTATAATTCTGCCACTGTACTCTAGCCTGGGTTACAGAGCGAGACCCTGTATCTTATAAAAATAAAACAAAATAAAATAAAGAAAAAAAATCTATGGAGAAGTGTATCTGTGTCTCACAACCCCATCCTTGCCAGACCCTTCATCATCTTGTGAAGAGACATGACAGTTGAATGAGTAAAAAGGTTCGGAAGGAATCTCAATCCCATAAGGGACTTACAAGGGGAGGCCAGAACATATGGAATGAGACATGTCACAAGGGGAGCTTTCTAACTAGGAAAACAGCATTGTTAGGCTAAAATTTATCTAACCTAATTTTCAAATCATCCTGTTGATACCGGCTAGATACATTTTTCTTTCAATAAGTGTATTCATTCCTTCAGAGCAACATCTCTGTCAAACTACCAAAGGGAGCAGAGAGGGCACTGCTGTGACCATCCCTGAAACAAGGAGTCTTTTTCTCTCCAACAGCAGAGTCATGATTTGAGCCAAGTCATCTTTTCTCTGTAGCTGTGTCATAACTCTTTTATTCTGCTTTATATTCCAGAGGCCATTAAGGGGGAAGGCAAGTGTGAAAGATGACTGCCTTATTATAGCTTTCCAAAGTTGTTGAATAGGAGCATCTCTGGTGGGATAAGGGGTTGTGATTATCTACAACTATTTCCCTTGTAAGTTTGAGAATCAAGTAAAAGAAGCAGGTGTGAAGGAATTGGGGTAAAAGTACCAAATTTATTACTTTTAGCCCTGATTAAAGATTGTACATGAAACTAACACAGGAACATAAAACCAAACACCGCATGTTTTCACTCATAAGTGGGAGTTGAACAATGAGAACACATGTACACAGGGAGGGGAACATCACACACCGGGGCCTGTCAGGGTATGGGGGCTAGGGGAGGGATAGCATTAGGAGAAATACCTAATGTAGAGGACAAGTTGATGGGTGCAGCAAACCACCATAGCACGTGTATTCCTATGTAACAAACCTGCAAGTTCTGCACATGTACCCCAGAACTTAAAGTATGATAATAATAATTATAATAATAAAAAGATAATGTCTGAGATCTGTTGTAGGTCTGGTAATAAGAAAATGAGTCTCAGGTGAAGATTTACTTGCAGATAATTCACCCGGGAGGCTGATGAAAAGATGATGACCAGGAAAAGGAGCAGTTGTAACAGAGGTCTCATGAACATCCTTGAGGAGCTCTGAAGTTCAGACAATATTTCAATGATGTGCCATATTGATGCAAGGAGTCAATCTTTTGAACCTATGCTGGACCAGTCACTGGGTACAGGATTCTTTCTGAGGACAGGCTGCAGACTTGAGCAAGTTAGATTTGTTTGGCCAAGGGCCAAATGTTGCCAGCAAGTGATAGTTTCAGCTGCTGGGAAAACAGCCCTTTTTGTAAGATAAATCCATTGGCTTTGTATAATAAGCTCATTTCTTTGGGGAATAGGTTCTCTGGGCTTCAGATTGGACTTCTTTTTTCTGAGAAAACTTATAAAAAGATAGTTAGTAGGATGAACTACAGCCCCTGACATGTAACTGGTCTCAGGGTTACAACTTTTTCATATTACCTTGCTTCTCTATTACCTAGCTTAGATACTCTTCACCTTTATCCTGCCCCTCTGCTTGCCTACATGGGTCTGGTCACCATACACTTCCTAGGCTGTAGTGGCTGCTTTTACCCATTTATCATCTAAATTAAGTAGGTGAATAACAGAAAACATCCCAGAGGATTACCTACACTACAAATGTTTTCTTTCCTGTCCTATTGAGTAACAGTAGGTCTGCTTCCCTCTGAATGTTAGGCCAGTATGATAACTCCTCTTCTCCTCTCTTGAAACACAATGTGCAAACTATCAAGTGGCAGCTGTGATTTTTACTTTTTGTTTGTTTATTTTTGTTGTTGATTCTTGTAAAATTCTACTTCTGCTAACTAGGAGTTGTATACCTTCTTTCTGGAAGCAGAAAGCAAAAATTCCAAGTGGGACACTAACAGTGATAGTGAACAAGACCATTTTTACAGTCCTTGATTCCCTGACCCATTTATTCTATATATCGTATACCTAGAACTATATACTTATCATTGGTGTAAACTGTATACTGCATCCAAAGGAATGACTGCCCATCCTTGTAAGGTGCCATCTCCAAGTTGAAGTCTTAGTTGAACCTTCAAGAGTATGTTTCATTTCCCTTTCAGGTTAGAGGTTGCTGTGTGTGTGGTTTGTGATGGAATTCATAAATGTCATGTTGATGTGCTCACTGATGCACATCATCTGCTTGGTCCAATGTGATGTAATGAGGGATCTTACATCAGTGGATCACTACATAAATCTTTAGACAACGATGCTGGTTAAGAAAGACAAATCTATGTCTGCAATTAGTTTGTTCTGGTGAAAATAAAGAGTACAATGGTGAAAGAAGTCTAATGATATCAATCTGCCACCAAGGTAGCTCATTGGTATCTTCTAGATATGGTTTTATGATAGATGCTTAATATTAGATTCTATTAGATATTAAGAAGCATCAGTAGCTAGATTAGCTTTAATGAGTGTCCACAACCTATTGCTGTCATTATGGGCCAATTTTAACAAGCACTGGGGTTGCTGAAGACAAGCTGATTGATCTGAATTTGTCAAGTTCAAGCTCTGTTAATTAGAAGGGGCCATTCCATCTGAATGTAGTTGTAGCACTTGACAACTGCATTTTCAGTTTGCATCTAAATATATGCTGACCCATGTGGGAACCAAGCTCAGACTTGCTCTTCTTCTGTCATTTGTTTTAAGTTAACCCCCCACCCATCAGTGTGATCATTGCTTTAAATGATCACACCCTGTATTAGTCTGTTTTCACACTGCTGATAAAGACATACCTAAGACTGGGTAATTTATAAAGAAAAATAGGTTTAATGGACTCACAGTTCCATGTGGCTGGGGAGGCCTCATTATCACGATGGGAGCTGAAAGGCGCATCTTACATGGTGGCAGACAAGAGAGAAAATGAGAGCAAATGAAAAGGGACACCCCTTATGAAACCATCAGATCTTGTGAGACTTATTCACTATCCCAAGATCAGCATGGGGGAAACCACCCCCATGATTCACTTATCACCCATGGGATCCCTCCCACAACACGTGGAAATTATGGGAGCTACAGTTCAAGATGAGATTTGGGTGGGGACACAGCCAAACCATATTACATACATAGATGTGAGCTGACAGATATGTGTTGGGACAAAATTGGGGAGATTAGAAATCTGGAGAACTTACTTATTCAGTTTATTTTGTGTGCTCAGGACCTACCTGTAACCTACTTATTATGTAACATGTATGGCTTACAATGCATTGCTGTTCAGCCTACCCAACCTTTTGACGTGGTAGTTCTGACAGACCTATACATGATGAACATTATTAATTGAAAGTCACTTGACATCTCTTAATCAGGTGACATGTACAAGATAGTTCAAAGTAGCATACCAGGTGCTGTTTTCACATGGTGGGTAATTCTCTGCTTCAGATATTGTGGCTTTGCTATGGAAAATTAAAAGTTTACATTATTATGACCATACTGGTGCTTGACATACATTCTAAGTGGTGTGATTTCTGGAGGATCAGATAGTCCAAGTATATCATAGTCTCTATCTGCTGCAGATTCCTTTTCTGCACTGGGTTCAACTAAAAGCTGTCAGCCATCAATTCACCTGAGTCAAAGCAGTAACACCAGGTATGAAATATGCTGTATTTAGAATACAAAAATGTCTAGTAGGTTCCAGTGCTTCCTTTGTAGTTTTGAGTAGTGCAAGATGCAAAATACTTTGCTTTACTTTTGAAAAAAGCGTATGGAAGGGCATTGGATCTCTGAAACCCTCACCGATATAAATAAGTCCCATAAGCTTTTGAGTGTTTACTTCCTATGCTTTGAAGCACAGGAATTTTTCTTTTGCTTTTAAGTCTCCTGTTTTTTAAAAAAAATTCAATAGTTTTTGGGGGTACGGGTGGGTTTTGTTTCTTGGATAAGTTCTTTAGTGATGATTTCTGAGATGTTATTGTCACCCAAGCACTGTACACTGCACCCAATATGTAGTTTTTTTATTCCTCACTTCCCTCCCCAAATTTCTCAATCCCCTGAGTCCCCAAAATCCACTGAATTATTTTTATTCCTTTGCATCCTTATAGCTTAGAATATACAATATTTGTTTTTTCATTCCTGAGTTACTTCACTTAGAATAATGGCCTCTAGCCCCATCCAAGTTGCTGCAAAAGAAAGCATTTTGTTCCTTTTTATGGATGAGTAGTATTCCATGGTGTATATATACCACATTTTCTTTATCCACTTGTTTGTTGATGGGCACATAGGTTAGTTCCATATTTTTGCTATTGCAAATTGTGCTGCTATAAACATGCGTGTACATGTGACTTTTTCATATAATGACTTCATTTTCTTTGGATAGATACCCAGTAGTGGGATTGCTGAATTGAATGGCAGTTCTATTTTTAGTTCACTAAGGGAGCATATGAATCTTGCCAAGTCCTTAAACATACTTTCCCTTTTTGCTTAGTTAATTTAATTATCATTTCACTGATAGAGCAGACCAATTTGATAATCTGTTGAATGTCTTGATTGTCTAGATTCTTTGGGGGTATTTTGTGAGAGAAGAGGAAAGGGCTAATGTAGTCTTGCTGTATCTCATGTAAATGTGAACTGTAAGGATTAAGAAGAATATATTGACTGTCAGTGAATACATACTAAGTGTCCAAGGCCATGTTAATATGCTCTTGCAGAGATAGCCTCTTTGGAGCAGAAATCTGGATACTACTTGCTTAAGTTTGAAGTAGTTAGTTGTCATGCTCTAGAATCCATCTTGTTCCTCTAAGGACTGGCACAATAAATAAATGAGAATATTAATGGAGACCACACTTTTCTAATTTTCTATGTATTTAATGGTAGTACTAACCTCTCCTATCTCCTGTGGTATGTGATATTGTCTTTATTTAATAACTTGGTAAGGAAATGGGTAATTTTGCAGGCCTTACTCACAAACTAGATCTTATCAAACAGGCCAAGAAAGCAGTTTGAGGATTGGTTTACTGAAAAATATGCTTAGTTAAATTAAACATTCAGAGATTGGGAAAATGAGGACTAGGTGGTGGTGAGTCTGTGAACTTAGTGGGCCCACCATAAGCCATACTTGAGCCAGTTCTCTATTTAATACCCAGACTTCACCCTGCATAAGGGCAATGATGCTTCAGGTACCATAGATCAACATCAACTAGGATTCTATGTCCAACGATTCACCAAGTACTTATGTATTCCCATTTTCCTAGTGTGTTGTTTCCTGAATAAATTGTTCTGAATATTTTTGGGAAGAGGCTAGGTGAATTACTACAAATTACACATAGTGTGGTTTTTCGGGGTCCTTCCTTCTAGGAACTTGCAGACCTTCAGTCAATTAGTTCTGAACCTAACAACTGGCCCAGGACTAGAAAGTAAGTACAGCATCATGACATTTTAGGGGAAGCTGTTCTGAGTTTCTGGATCATATATACTCAATATCTCGATTGTACGTCTTGGTTATACAGATTGAGCCATCTATCTTGCCCTTTATATATCTTTTCCCTAAGGATGCTATATCCTATTAAAAATCTCTGTAGTTCAGTGTCAGCCACCACCCTGGTTTTACTAACATTGTTGCTTATACAATAATTACATTCACTTTGTTATTGATAGTTTAGAACCATTGCAATGGCTTCTTCATTTTAGGAAATTTTCATTGCTATTTTCATTACTATCTAGGAACCCAATTTTGTAACAGTTTCTGCAACTCTCATACCTGTTTTATAGGGTCTACAGGGAAACCATTGCTTAGTTTCTCATCAATGAATGAGTTAGCATCTGTGTAAATGGAGTGCCCTTCAGGCCTCCCTTAAAATAACTGGTGGTTTTCAGCCTTAAAAAGTATATGTCCACTCCAACATCCCATTTCACCGAGCTTCTCAGTTCCTTTTCCTATTGCTTGCTTTAGCAGCAAGCTATGGCTTTTATTTTTAACTTAGTGAGAGGTATTGCCTTCTCCAGGCTTTTAATTGCTGTTCTACCAGATTAACACCGTTTCCTGTGTCCCTGACAGAATTTTAAACCTCATCATATATGAGAAGTTTCCAAATTATAAACTCTCTCTTTTCCTGTTTTATGTTATGACATCCTTGATATAAGACTTTCTGCACCAAGTCTCTAACATCATAGCCTCCTGGCTGATGTTAGCACCTGCTCACCAGACTCTGCAGCTCTTTCAGGTTAGAGTCCTTTTTCTTCCCTTAGTGGATCAAGTACCATCTCAGCTGAGTTATGTTGTCACTTAGCACTGTTTATTACTCTGATGGACAACATGGGAGGAGGGGTGGAGATTCTGAGGGGCACACAGGTCATCTTTTCAGGTAGCAACTGTTAGACTGTCTTCAAAGAAATGGGACGCAAGATTTTAACATGGACCTTCCTCCAGAGGATTCTGAAAAGCCTCGTCTCAGAGGATTTAGGAGACTCTGCAGTCTCAGAGTTCAGGAGAATCAAGGTATTCACGAGCATTGACGCACACATCCCCTCCCAACTGTAAGGGTCTCACTCCTTCCCAATGAGAACTCTGATCATGGTACAGTGGGATTCTTGGTCTAGGAGTTAACTGTCTCTGGCACTGCAGACCTTGAGCCTCAGCTGCAGGAGATAAAAGTCTCCATTTAGATTGTCAAAAAGGCACCATGGCTTTTAACATCATCTTAAATTGGTGATGAATTAATTTAGATTTTTGCTATCTTTCTTTGATTCATTAATCACCCTGAGACACAATCCAAGCAATTATGTTTCTTATAAATACTACCTCCCTGGAAACTCTCAAATGCCTAAGATATTGACACTTCAGTGCATTTATTTTACTGGTATATCATTTCAGTTTACCGTTGATGAGGTAGTAACAACGACACTGATGTCTCATGCCAGAGACTGTGAATACTCCCTCTACTCCAGTAATGAGATTCTTATTGCCAACTGGCCAATGAATAGTTTATCTCAAAAATCCCATTTTTAGAGACCGCTTCCCTTTCCTGACACCATCGGTCATTAGCCTAGTTCTGCAGAAGACTGAGTTTGAAGATTATTAGGGAATGCTTTAATGAACCATACCTTTAAGAGGGTCAAAGAAGCAGAGTTGGGCAGAGGGAAAGTCGATCTGCAGTGCTGTTATAAAAACAAACACTCAGCCAGTCCCATGGGTTGATCTGCAGCAGGTGTAGCTCTTCAAAGATATCCTCCATTGAACTAGGGCCTGGAGGATGGAGGAGGAAACATTGTACTTAGCAGAAATAGTCACTGGAAGCCAGCCATCCCTGGGGAAGAAGAGTAACTTTGATCAAATAAATTCCTTTTCCAAAGAAAAGTTTTTTCAGAGGATTCAGCTGTGACCCACCATTAGGCATCACATTTATCCCTAAAGGGAGTTTCTGAATGGTGTACCACAATATTTACTATAAGAACCTTGGCGAAATGGTTCACTACAACTTTATACCTTATACTCAGTTCTATAACCTTCTATGTTTGTCTTCTCTCCCTCTCACAGAGACCTTGCAGGAGTAAGACCTGCCTTGGTAAGTTTCCACATAGAATATCAGACCACATGTGAATTCTGAAGACAGATTATTAAAAAGATGAGAAAATAAATGCATTACGATTTTTAAATTTCTTTGTTTTAGCTCCCTAATCGTATGTCACACCTTTTCCATAGAAAGGAAAAATATGCTATTAGAGTGTCCAAAAATAATGAAAGTATACTAAAAGAAATGAAAGAGAGGTGTGTTTTTGTCCTTAGTAGTTCTCAAGCCTAGCAGTACATTAGAATTCTTTCAAGTGTAAATATACCAGAAACTGGGCATATCACTGACCAGTTAAATTAGAATCTCTGAGAAGGGTTCTCAGCCAACTCTAGGTTGTAAATGCTTATTAAGTAATTCTAAATGCCAGTAGGTCTTGCTTACCATGCTAGGCTTATCAGATAAGTTTACAATCAACCACTGCTATAGCTGGTTTTCTGAAGGGACCAGAAGTTTTACATCCATCTTTATATTTCTATTCTGCCAAGATCAACAATTGTTCACTTTTGCATCATTTTGAAACCACTGGAAAGAAGTGTTTAAAAATTTTGTCTTTGGTAGGCTGTGACATGAATCAAAGATATTCTGCTCTCTGGGCAAAAATGTATTCTCTACTGTGTCTTCTATCTCAGATTATTCTCAAACAGAGATTACACAATGAGTCTAAATTATGGCAGCATCAAAATTTTGTAAATATTTTACAATCAGCAGTGTAAAACAATGATGAAATAGTTCCCTCTAAAAATATTCAGATTCCATGAAGATATTAGAGTTCAAAATATAAGTTGTCTTTTTTTTAAGTTAAAGCCGTAGAAGTCCATATGTTAAACAAGTATCTAAATAAATTTTAAAAGTTTTTATTTTGTTTAATTTCAGCCAAAATCTTACTGAGATACTTAGGTAGTACTGGTGTTCTTCAGTCTGTCACTTTAATAAATATAATCTTGCAATACCATTGAAGATGTTTTTGTCTCCAAACTTCAAATATGCTTCACGTTTTAAAACCTGAAGGATTTATTAGACAATTAAAAGTTATCATATACTAGCCCTCAAGCAGAATGTCTTGAAAATAAAAATTTCCAACTTTTTAACAGTGCTCACACTCTTCAGGATCACTTTATATTTCCAGTCAACGACCATAGCAGAAACTTAGTTATCTTAGATGAAATGAGATAGAGAAGAAAAAACAATTCTTGGTTTTAGCTTTGTTAGGATGAGTACATCTATAAAAATTATCCAGAATCCACAACTCAAGACCTTTAACTCAGTTGAAATAATAACCTATGAAGAGGGTAAGTTTAACACTACATATCCATTCAGGGAAGAAAAAAATTGCCCAAATCCTCCGGCTTTTTCGGTGAATGAGACTCAAATACATTTTCTAACATGGTTGAGAAAAATCATTCAAGTGATACATATCATATTTCAAATATCATTTTGCCCATATAGCATATGTATTAATAATATGTCTTGTTAACATGCAGATTTAGGGCTGAGTATGGTGGCTCATGCCTGTAATTCCAGCACTTTGGGGGGCTGAGGCAGGTGGATCACTTGAGCTCAGGAGTTTGAGACAAACCTCAGCAACTTGGTGAAACCCCATCTCTACAAAAAACACAAAAATTAGCTGAGTGTGGTGGTGTGTACCAGTATTCCCAGCTACTCGGGAGGCTGAGGTGGGAGGATCGCTTGTGTCTGGAGGCCAAGGCTGCAGTGAGCTGTGTTCACACCACTGCAGTCCAGCCTGGGTGACAAAGTGAAACCTTGTCTCAAATACATACACACACACACACACACACACACACACACACATACACACAAAAGGTGCAGATTTTGATTCAGTACATCTGGGCTGTGGCCTGAGTTGATCATTTCTAACAAGCTCACAGGTGATGCTAAACATGCTAGCCTGAGGACAACACTTTTGAGTAGCTGCAGCTTAAAGGAATAAGACTCAAACTATAATTTGTTTATGAGAAACATGAACAATGCCTAAGAACTTTTTAGAAACTCACATTCTCAGGCTGCCTACCAGATAATTTAAGGATTGGCGACCAGTAATCTGTCTCTTAACAAACTCTTTACATTGTTTTGAGAATCACTACCTTAGACAATTTGTTCTCTTTAAAAAAAAAAAATTGTATTGAGGTATAATTAATATAAAATAAACTGCACTTCAAGTATCCGCAGTTTGATAGACTTTGAAACTATCAATACAATCAAGATAATGAACACGTCCATCATCCCCCTAAATTTCTTACTTTTACATGGTAATCCCTCCCACTTACTACTTTTCCCAATCCTCAGTCCCCCTAAAAAAATTCTTACTTTTGGGTAATATAGATTACTACTTTATATATGGTTTTATAGAAATGGAACCATAGAGAGCATATCCTCATTTTTAGTCTGAATTATTTTACTCAGTTTATTTATTTTGAGATTCAAAATTTAAAAATCATTAAAAATTCTCAAATTATTTGATATTTGTAATATATATTAATATTCCATTTTAAACTTTTATCTTATTGAACACTCACTTATTAAACATTTGGGTTGTTTCTAGTTTTTTGAATATTACAAATAAAGTCACTATGATCATGTCTATAAGTTTCTCTATGGACATGTCGTTTCTTTTCACTGGGGTAAATACCTCGGTATGGAATAGTTGAGTCATATGGAAGCGTATACTTAGGTGTTTCAGATACTGACAGACTATTTCCCAGTAGTCATATCATTTTGCATTCCAACCAACAATTGTTCCTTATCTCCTCCAACATGGGATATAATTATTCTTTTTAATTTTAGACATTCTAATGGGTACTCATATCTCATTGTGTTTTTAATTTGAATTTATCTAATGTCACATAAGATTGAATATTATCTCATGAGCTTATGTTTTCATTCACAGATACATCTCTTTGGTGAGGTGTCTGTTTAAATCTTTTTCCCATTTACTGGATTGTTTGTTTTTTATAACTGAGTTTTGAGAGTTCTTTACAAATTCTGTATACACATCTTTTATCAGATATATGCCTGGCAAATATTTTCTCCCAGTGTGTAACCTCTCTTGTCTTTTAATTTTCCTAACAATATATTTTGAAGGGCAGTAGTTTTAAATTTTGATGAAGTCCAACTG
This sequence comes from Homo sapiens, assembly GCF_000001405.40. Classification (NCBI taxonomy): domain Eukaryota; kingdom Metazoa; phylum Chordata; class Mammalia; order Primates; family Hominidae; genus Homo; species Homo sapiens. Next base: position 113,723,010 of record NC_000008.11, read on the forward strand.
ACAACTTTCTTCTAGATCATGAATTACAAAGAAGAAAAATTACAGATCGAAATGTCTCAAAAATGAGTGTGCCTCTAGTACTACTTGTATTTATTGTTGTACTAGACTCCCTAAAAGCAAAGAAAAAGAAATAAAATTGAATAAAGTTTATGTAGATTTAACAGAGGAAAATGAAACTTTTATGCATAGATACTGTACTTTTGTGCATATAAAAGCCAAAAAATGTGCTGAGAACTAGGATCTTAAATCCGAATTAATCATGTTACTGGGAAAATAAATGAATAATCAGAAATTTTTAGTTTTTATTTTTATTTATTTATTTTTTTGAGATGGACTCTCACTCTATCGCCCAGGCTGAAGTGCAGTGGCATGATCTTGGCTCAACGCAGCCTCCGCCTCCAGGTTCAAGCAGTTCTTCTGCCTCAGCCTCCCAAGTAACTGGGACTACAGGTGCATGCCACTACACCTGGCTAATTTTTGTATTTTTAGTAGAGATGGGGTTTCACTATATTGGCCAGGTTGGTCTCGAACTCCTGACCTTGTGATCCACCCGCCTTGGCTTCCCAAAGTGCTGGGATTACAAGTGTGAGACACCGCACCTGGCCAAGACAATTTTATTTGTATATACCCAAACTAGATAATTATAAAATAAAAATTTAAGAAATTATTATTTCTTAAACTATGCATAAACATAAGATATTTATAAATCTATCTTTTGAAATATAGGTGTCATGTTTACTGGATACTGTAAATATTACTGAGGCAAATTAATGTAAATACAGGCTAAAATGAAAGGATGAGCTTTGTTTTAGATTGAAAGGTAGAATATTTTGTTATGTATGCCAGTTCTCCCCAAATAAATTTATAGTTACAGTACAGTCCCAATTAGAATCAGTTTTTCTTAAACTAACATGACTATTCTAAAATTTTATGAAAGTGAAAATGTCTAAGATAGCCAAGAAAATATCGGGTTATAAAAATAATAGTGGAAGACTTAACTACCAGGTATAAAAATTAGCTATGAGTTTATAGCAGTTGCTGATGGTATCATGACAAACACAAATATAAACATCAATGGAATAGAAAAGAGAACCCATATATTATGCTGGATCAGTTAGGTATTATAAGAGAAAAAATACACCTTGTACCCTATCACATACTATTTACACAAATTAATTTGAGATGAGCTGTAGGCATAAAAATTAAAGGTAAAACAATGAAATATTTGAGAGAAAATATAGAATAATAATTTTATATCTGTTGGATAGGCAACATTTTCTGAAACAGAACATTTAAAGTATTACCACAAATGAAAGGATTAGACTATATTAAAATTTAGAAATTATTGACATCACATATACCATTAAGGAACTAAAAAGGCAAGTCATGGTCTGGGAGATTTTTGCTGTACTGTATCTGACAAGGAATCTGTGTCCTCAATGTGTAATAACTTTCACCACTAACATGAACAACTCACTTTTAAAGAAATGAAAAAATATATGGAAAACACTTTGTGAAAGAAAATAAGTAAATAACTAATATGAAAAACATCTCCACATAAACTTGGAGGACTAGAAAAAATATTAAAATCAGAATGAGCCCCTAATAGATGTCTACCAGAATGTCTACAATTAAAAATTGACAATAGCAAAGAGGATGAGTTTTGAAGCAGCCAGAATATTCAGACACTGTTAGTGAAACTATGGGTAAGTACAAGCACTTAGGTAGATACTCTTAGGCAGTCTCTACAGAAGTTAAAATATGATTGCACTTGATTCTAGAAATTCCACTCTTCAGTATGTACCCAAAGGAAAGAAGTGCCTGTTTAATTTTTAAAAAGTACAGAGGCAACTTCATGCAGTGCTATTTATAATAGCTCAAAACTTGAATTAAACTAAATGTTTGTCAATATAAAAGTAGATCATTAAATTAAGAAATATTTAAAAAATTCAATACTACAATATGCAATAGCAAACAAAATTGAATTTCTGGCAGCTAAGTTTGTAAAGTTTGTTTGATCATCTCTGCTCTCAGTATTTGTGTTAAATATTAAACTTATTAATATGAATCTGTCTCTTTTAAAAGTTAAATTAACTTAAAATTGTAGAATATGTAGTTCTTTGTATTATATATGATTTTGTTATTGATTTCTAATCAGTAATTTTATATTCTTGATCAGAGTTATTTAGAAGAGAATTTAAAATGGAAATATCTGACTTTTTCTATATTTGATTTGAGCCTTCATGGTTACTTTTATTTATTGGGATCAGTGGGTTTAAAAGAGATTTTTTTTCTTTAGCTAATAGGGAAATGCTTTTTAGTTTTATGTAGTTAATTTTTAAACCATGTATGTAAAAATTACTTCCCTTTATGTGTATAACATGTTCTTTCAACAGAGGGATAAATGGATACCTACAAGTCTGTTATTTGTGTTATTCAAATAATCTTGGCTAATTTACACTTTATCTTGGCATGTTTTTTCAAGATGTTGAATTACATTTTCCAAATATGGTTATATGTTTTTAATTTCTCTTTGTCTTTCTATTAGCTTTTTCATTATATGTGTGTGTGTGTTTGTGTGTGTGTGGAGAGAGAGAGAGAAAGAAAAAGAGGTACATAAAATTTCATAGCTCTTTTATATTCTTGGTAGAATGTACTTGTGTGAATATAAAATATTTTTGTTCTGTGTCCTTCTTTAGGTCCTCTAGGTAGCAAACATCAAGACAGATTTAAATGTACAAGGATTGTGTTAGGATAAATGTGTTCATTATGTAAAATAGAGAAGGAGCTGGATAAGGGTAGGTGAAGGACAGGTTGTGTTTTGATTCTAATTTTGAATGAAGAATAGAGGGAGATTGTTGACAAAAGCATCCTAAATTTCCATACAGTGTAGGGAAGATTCTGCAAAGCCATCAGGGAATCCTTGAGCAAAGGCAGCTGAGAGTCCTGTCTCTCCCACGAACTTTTCTGTCTTGGTATCTGTGAAGTACTCCTGTAGGATATAGTCTCTGTGAAAATGTGTGATGGGTTTCAAAGCTTGAACTTGCCTTTGGTCTTTTACACTTTCTGTTACAGAATGTCTACAAGGCATATTCTTATGGCTGCCACATCCTAATTTAATGATGCAACACAAAATTCTACTTTAATAATAGTATCACTATATTTACATTTGTTAGCATTTATCTTCTATACAGTTTTCATGCCTCCATTTTATTTTAGGTGTATCTCTTATAAGAAGACTATTTTTAAACAATTTTTATATCCTTCTGTTAATTCAAGCCCAATCTGATTTATGTGGATTATTAATATGCTTGAAATTACTATTTCTGTCTGAGTTCATATTATTACTCTTTACAATGGTTTCATTTTCTTTTCATTTATCCCAATTTCTGTCTTATTTACGTAGTTACTTTGAGTAAGTCAATACAGTTTCATCTTCCTTGTATGTTTTGCTGATCCACCATGCTGATTTTGGACTATTTTCTTTCCAGTGATCTTTAATAGTTTGGAAGATATATTTATATTATTCAATCAGTGACGTGAAATAATCTTTATAACCTCCAGCATAGACCTGACTAGCAGAATATTTTGTAGATCCCTATATCCAATAATTTCAGTGTAACTTAAATAAATTATGAAACTCTGGACCCTGATACAAAAATAAAATATTTCTATATTCTCTGGATAGCTTTTTACATTGCTTTAAAAAGATGAGTTTAGAATAATTCACATAATGTAGATGTATAATCATATATGCTTCAGAAACAATTATTCTACATTGCTACAACTTAAATATATTGGGAAGAAGAAATTCATTATCTAAATCTTATTTCTACATATATACACCTTCTGCCTAAACAGATATAACATCTTTTCAAAACTAGCATAGCTTTCAAATATTTACACTTAATAGTATCTACATCACATAAAACTGATTAATATTTTAAAATATATTTAAATGCTTCAAACAATAAAGAGAAAATGATTTTTCACATGCAGCTAATGTTTGACCCTTTGATTCATGATATGACAGGCTTGACTATACTTTTTCCTTCATTTTCAATAAATGGAGAATAATGTTTTTAACATGCCCACCTGAAAATTGCACCGAGAACACATATACAATGACGGTCCAATAAGATTGTACTGTACTGTATTTTTACGCACCTATTCTATGTTTGGATATGTTTGTATCTATAAATACTTACCATTGGGTTACAATTGCCTACGGTATTCAGCAGAGATTTGTAGTCTAGGAGCAAAAGGCTATACCATCTGGGTTTGTGTTAGAAAACTTTAGGATGTTTGCACAGTAAACTCACCTACAATGCAATTCATCAGAACATATACATCCGGTCATTAAGCAGCACATGACTGTATTGTGACTGCCAGCTGAAGATACTCTAACAAAAAGTTTCTTTTTATTTGGATATATTTATGATTCATATTTATAACAGCCTTGTGATTAAACTCAGTAATTTGTTTTCCACAATATTTTCTTCAGTAGTATATTAATTTTTGTTTAGACAAGGATATACTAAATATTAACTTTGGTTTCTTAAGTCATGCTTGATTACTTTCTTATGTAGATTATATTATATAACTTAAGCATAAGAATACATATTAGCTCACTTCATGTAACTATATGTGTTTGTTCTATTTGTACTTTTTTTTTACAACAACTTTTTGTATAATCTTGAAGTAGTATGGCAGGGGAGACAAGGTGCTCTTTAGAAAATCACGATTTAAGACTTTTCCTAATCTGAAGTTATTATTGTTCATGTAATCACTGTGATGTCTAAACAATGTCAATCATCTATGTTTGGATGTGTTTGGGTTTTATTTAGGTCCATGTGTCAGATGAATTGATATACATGTAATTAACTGGTAAATTATATACTAGTATACATTTGTTGTTTATGTCGTTATTATCAAAGAAATCTTTCAATGAATGTTATATATTCTACAGTTACAGAAATGAGATTCAGTTGTAAGCCCAGAGGAGTTTAGGGGCTACATTATAAGTAACTATTCAAAGCAGTTACTCTTATAGAGTACTAAGTAATGGCGGAGGCATGGAGAATATCTCACTTCTAGGACTGTAATCTAGAGAATGCACAGGCAGTATTTGGTAGAAGAGTGGTAGAAGGAGTAAAGAATAAGTCTCCTTAAGACCATATCCTTGGATTACTTAAAATATCCATACTGAAACTAATCAACTGTGATTGGAAAGAAGATTCACAATGAAATATTATAAACATACTTCTTGATGTTCAATACATGGTTTAATTGGATTAGATCATAGGAAATAAGAGTTCTGTGAGTTATAAACAGGTTATTGAAAAGAGGCAACCGCTAAGCCAGATACCTCCCATTAAGACCAATACTGAAGCAGGATGAACCAGGGTAGTGGTGAAGTAATTAAGATCTGTCAATGATAAGCAACATTATTTACTTGATTGTTTTTAAAATTTCAGGTTTGTGATTGCTTTAATCTACGATTTCTCAAAATTTTAGTTACTTACTATCTCCTAGTTACAGTTTATGGATTATTATGCTCTGCCACATAACCCTTTTCATTTCCTTTATATTTTGCATTTGTTTATCCTGGATTATTTTTGAACTTCAACTAGACTATACAATGTTTAAGAATAGGGATTATGCCTGCTTAGTAAACACTTATAGTAGTTGACACTTTGTAAGTATTCAAATATTATTTGTGTAAATGAATTAAACTGTTCTCTGCATGTCACTGTGCACATTCTCCACCCTGTTAATGATATTGTTTCAAGACTTATATATAGTAGAAACATATTTTTAAAACAATAAGATTGGTTTTCTTTGCTTCACACAAACTAATGAAAAACATAAGAACGAAACTTTCCTTAGCTATATACCCAGCAGGCATCTGACTAAAGATTAAAAGCTGTAGATATTTAATATTACTCATATACTATTTGGTGTACTATTTCAATTTTCCACTCTGCCAAGTATTAGTACAACAATGAATTATTAAAACTAACATCGACTATAATGCTGTAGCTATTTTGGTACATTAAATGCCAAACACCTATAGGTGACTCCGTTAGAAATGATGGATAGATTTGCACTACAGCATCAGCTAAATGAAATTAGCATCCTTACTATGTTGAATTAGCATTATGTCTGCTCATTTATTATGCTAAATTTAACAGCCACTCTTTCTTGAAGTTTTATTATTTTCAGAAAATTAAATGAAGGAAGAAGTGACTCAGTGTGTAATATTTTAAAATTGTCATGTTATATGGAACTCATCTGACTCGTGCAAAAAACTGCCTTTTGAAACTAAAGTTGTTTTCTTAAAAATTCGATTTAAAAATAAGATTGATTTCAGTTGATCCTAAAAATTGGTCAATGTGATAAACACATTTTTTGTCTTCAATTTTCAGTAAACTGATATGTAGTCAACATTTTATACATAATTTACCTTCTTTTGGGGGATTTAGATAATATAGTGCACTTTTGGCATAGTCTGATCTTGAGCATGAAATACAGAGAAATCAAACTGATTTCCACAGCCATCATTCAGTAAGTGCAATATCTACCATCTATATCACTGATTCTGACATCTTGAGAAACGGAGACTGCTCGGAAACACCAATGAACTAATTTACTTACAGCTAAATGTATATATAATTAAAAATTTTTTTTTGAAAATCTATTGCCTCATAACTTGCTTTATAATAGTCTTTATAGCAGTTTCTAGAACAAATATATTTAAACAGGTTTTGCCATCATTACCTTTTCACTGATAGGCAAACTGAAATCCACAGTAATTTATTCAAGTGATTTACTCAGATTTTACAGAGTGATTTGCTAAAATATATGAAGGGACTCTGGATAAAAACCATATCAAACTTATTCCTTATCCCCAATAGTTCCCTGTTAAATACAATTTGAAAACCTTTAAAAACTAACTGAACTGGGTTTTGGTGGGTTGTTTAAAGCATATCATATTGATATTTTAATGTTAATATTTTTATAATGCTTAAGATACATCATAATGATATATATGTATATATATTATATATACGTATATATATTTTAATTATATATATTAAATTAATATATACATATATTTATATATAATATATGTATATATTTATATATAATTATATATGTATATATAAAATATAATATATACATATATATAAAATATATACATATATAAAATATATATATCATGATATATATACGTATTATATATTATATATTATATGATATTATATATGTATATATAATATATACATATATACATGTATATATATTATATTATATATACGTGTATATGTATATTATATATGTGTATACATATATATATATTTTTTTGAGGCGGAGTTTTGCTCTTGTTGCACAGGCTGGAGTGCAATGGCGCCTCCCAGGTTCAAGTGATTCTCCTGCCTCAGCCTCCCGAGTAGCTGGGATTACAGGCATGTGCCACCATGCCTGGATAACTTTGTAGTTTTAGTAGAAGATGGGGTTTCTGCATGTTGGTCAGGCTGGTCTTGAGCTCCTGACCTCAGGTGATCTGCCCACCTTGACCTCCCAAAGTGCTGGGATTACAGGCTTGAGCCACTGCGCCTGGCCCATACTGGTATTTTAATACTAATATTGTTATGATGCTTAATTTGATTTCAGAGAGCATACATGAAAAAGGAGTGAAAGATACATAGATCAAATTTGACCTTGCAGCAGAATAGAAAGGCAAGCATGTTTGAGTGTTTTAGTGACATTCTTGGCAGTACTTACTGTGATACTAAGAACATCTTGCTAACTGACTGAACTGAGAATCTAGCATACGGGTTATAATTGCCAATCCATTACACAAAGCCAAAATGAAAATATAGTATTGGAAAATAAGCACAGCAAATGTTTTCAAAGCACCTGTCCCAGAACCTGTGACTTCGAATCCACAGAAATGCTGGGTGAAATAAATGTGAAACTTTCCAAAAAGGGATGATATAGGACCCTAGAAGTAACTCCAAGGCTTTTCTCAGTCAAGCCTCTCCTGCTTGCTAATGTAGCACCCTTGTACTCCCAACTACCCTAACTGGCATGCTACTGCTTAGGATTGGGTTATACATCACCTCTTCCAGTAAATCTTTTTGATCCCTGTGTATAGCACATTTGGTTCTCCTTTGAGCTACCCAAGCAAACTGTTAAACATGGCTTTATCACACTATAGTGGCATTTATAGTTTATTTACTTGATACTATATAGTAACCGAGACCCATAACATCATTCAGCTTCTGGTGCGTATGGTAAGCATTCAGTGTTTCCTAAATAATAATAAAGCAAATAAATGGATTAACAAGAAAAATTAAACAAGTGACAGAATGAGTTACTTTACTGACTCTATATTTGGGAAATATATATTTCAAGTTCAGAATTATGATGTGATACAATGGCCTCCAATTCTAAATGAAAAATAATTCAGAACTATTTGGAGGATCTCAAAAATAGAACCTTGACATTACAGTTACGGATGCTTCAAATTAGAAATACAAGGAGGGGGGTATCTAAATGAAATCCATATGGCACAGGGTGATCACTGAGAAATTTCTATTTAAAAATGGATGAAAGATTTTAAAATACAGGGTTTTTTTTTTTTAAAAAAAGTAACATTTACAGGATCTATTTGAGTCCTGTCATTAAAAGATCCAGATGTGGCCGTAAAAATAGGTAACTAAATTGGAGTAGGAGTGAAAACTCCTATGCATGAACTCCTACTTGGAATTCACTTAGGGCATTTAGCTACCCTTAAAGAATAAAGGAACCCCCCAAGATAACTATAGAGAAAGCTGACATCTAGGCCTAGAGATAAGTAAACTTCAGGAGAATTTTGTAAAGACAAATGATAGATCAATAATTAAAATTGCTTCCTTGGGATTAAATTTTAGACTTCCTTTAATTTCATGGAGAAAACTATTGGAAACAATCCAAGAATCTGAAGGTGACTGTATTTTCATGAGCTTAAATATAAGCAATACACTTCGGTATAATATAAATTTTTAAATATATATCCTCATGTATATATTTATTATAAACTCAGTGCTGGATTTATGTTTAGTTTTTTTTTAACTTTTCTGTCTATAGTTTTGAAATTGCAGTGGAAAAGAGGCATATTCAAACTTATAATCTCTCATGCAATTAGAATTAAATGTCTAAGGATTTCTGCAAGCCAAATGAAATAATTGGTTACATACTACTCAGAGATAGTATGCTAAAGAAACTGCCATAAACTACCACTATCTTAAAATATAACTGAAACACTCTTTCAATGAAAAATATATACTTGTGTAAATAGTTCAATCATGGAGAAAACCTGAGCTTCATGTGTATTGTGATCTGTGTTCTATAAAATTAAAATATATAAGTTGTCATATTTAGTGCATTCTGAAACATTTATAAGCAATATGCTTTGGCTATCAGGACTTTATTTTTCCTCTGAAGTAAACATTAAACATTAAGAAAATGGCTTTGTTATAAAAACCACATACTATTCAGTTATGCAATTTAATATTGGATTGTATTTTAGATCTTTTCTCCAAATACAAGAATATGACACCATCACAATTATTTATGATAAGATGCATACATTAAATGGAACGGAAAATTACTCAACTAGTTCAACTGAAATTATGTAATGGAAATAAGGCCACAGGCTAGAAAAATGACACAAAACAAATGACAAATGTAACACATTTGGAAAATAGATCTTTGATCAAGAGCTAAAATCAGCCATTTTATTAAAAAAAAAGACCCTGAGTTTAGACAGTGTAGAATGTATGTACCCTACAATTTACTTTATAAATTTAAAATCATTTGATGGTGATTCAAGACAGAATTTATGATTTGTAGCAAAAGTACAAGTTTAAGATTTGGGTTTTTCCATTCTAAACTCTAATATACCAAATAACTCACATTTATTCAGCATTTATTTATTGCCATATCTTATACTAGGCTCATTACACACATTATGCATAATAGGAGGCATTCTTATCCCAATTTTATAGAAAAGAACATTAGGCTCAGAGGCATTGAGTAACTTTCCCAAGGTAACACATTTAATAAATGATAGCATCAAAATGCAAATTCAGGAATTTGTGGATTCAAATTTAAGGCCATTTCCTCTCTACCAGCCACCTATCTGTTCAGTATCATATCTTACTCCTTTTATTCCCAACTCGCTTTTTACTTGAGCATTAACAGTATACCAGTTTTATGAAAATCCATGAACTTTCATATCTTTCTTGGTTGAGACTTTTTTCCTCTTTTGAGTTTGTCAAAGTTCCTTGTACTTTTAAATATCTGGTAAATTTCCATTTTTCTTAAAGAGTATCATTGTACTACAAACTCCCAATAAATCCCTTCCTAGCAACTACCATTTTCCTCAGCAAGGACATTGACTCTATTTAGCCTCTGTACCTTACACCTTACCTTGTATATTTTTTGTATCTTGTATGTATGCATTTCATTTTTATATATTTATATATATATCTAAGTTTTCTAATTTGTTGGCCTCTTCAGAGAACAAGCCATCTTATACCTTTGTTTGAATCCCATGTGTACCGAATATTGTCTAGTATATAAGAGATGCTGAATAATGTTGAACTCAAAAGGAATCAGTTTTTTCTCACAACTTTATTTATAAAGTAAAGAAGCCAAGTGTGCATAGGATCATGCATAAAAGATAATGAATTTTGGCCCTATATAGATTAGAATTATTAATAGAATTTGTACAAATTGATAGTGAAGAGATAGTTAATTGAAATCAGGAGGTCTAAATAAATTCTTGCTTTTCTATGTACAAGTTGTGGGAACTTAGACATTTCACTTCTCACTAACCTTTAGTTCTTTTGCCAATCAGATGTGGCTTATACAATTCTTTCTAAATCATATGGTTATTTTGTGGAATCAAATGGAAATGCGATGATGTGTATGTAAACACCTGTGAACTGGAATTTATCATTTCTGACATTCTTACTATTACAAAGAGAGAGAGGAATTGACCTAAGGGAAGAAATTTATTTAGTAACCTAAGGGAAATTATCAAAATATGGTGGAACTATCAGCCTAGTAATTTAGAAAAACTAGGTGACATAGACTATCTTATTGAAACTCCCAAAGGATAGTCTTTCAAAAATTCAGTGAAGAAATTTGTCAATGAACTGTGGTTAACCCAAGGTGTAGTTATCAGTGGCATTCTATAAGACTGAATTTAGACCTCATTTATTTAGAAATCAAATTTGAAGTTAAAATAAAGTATAGAAATCATAACTGTCAAAGTGGTTATTCTTCCATTTCTAAAACTGTGTCCTACCAAATGTAATAAAGTTTTATATACACCACAAAAAATTTGTTACAATAATTTAGATCACTGCATACTGTGTCCTTTTGTGGCAATTCATAATAAACATATTCAAGTTAGATATTTACTTTTTAAAGATCAGCAAATTTCAGAAATGGAGTTTTATTTTAAGCTATTCTAAACCAAGTTGTCATCTTACAAAAACCAGTTTAGAAAAAAGAACCTATCCTGGAGACTTTTAACAGATGAATAAAGGAGAAAAAAAGAGGAGGGAATCAGGAATTGAAGATTAAATGTAATTTGAGATTTATCCACAGGTAGATATTCAAATTAGGAAGAATAAAATAGTAAGATCCCTGCTTAGAACTGTGCCACGGTAAATGCTTTCACTTTTAAGAGCAGTAATGAAAGTAGCAGAAGTGTTCTGTCAATCAGTTATATTCAGCAGAGTCATATCATGGTCTAAGCAAGCCAACAGCCATACATTTTGTGAATATATACTTCTATTGATTGCTGCTTTCCTAGTAGATGAACACTAGCAGTATGTTGGGGTATAATGGTAGCTTAAGAATATATTAGTATGATTGGGCTGCTATAACAAAATACCAATGACTGGGTGGATTAAACAACAGAAACTTATTTCTCACAGTTCTGGAGGGTGGAATGTCCAAGATCAAGGTGCCAGCAAGACAGGTTTCCTCATGAGTCCTCTTCCCTTGGCTTGCAGGCAGCTACCATTTTCCTGTGTTCATATGACCTCTTCTTTATTCATGCACAAAGTGAGAGTGAGTTCTATGATGTCTCTCCTTATAAGGACACTAATCCTACTGCATTAAGGCCTAACCCTTATGATCTTATTCAACCTTAATTCCTTTCTTACTCCAAATATAGTTACACAGGGATTTAGAGCTTCAACATATGAATTTTGAGGGAAACATGCATTCAGTATTTAACAAACGGATAAGAGAATGCACGTTATTTCACAGTCAGTATATACACACAGGTACCATTAGGGTTTAACTTAGTTACATTATTAGTCCTGAAGTAAGTAATGACTGTCTTCATATTAATTTGAAAACAGAATTTATAATTAGAAAATAATGAATTTTTTAATTATCAGGTATAAGAAAACCTGTGAGCAAACCTTATTCTTAGTAGACTTAAAAAATAGTTGATATTAAAACAAGACAATTTATTAAATTTCACACAAAACTTGCAGCATGCAGATGTAGGCCAAGAGATAAGGGTCTTTAGATCAAATGTGAAATTATCTTATGTTAATTTTTGGCACCAAATACAAATGACTTTTGTACAGTGATTACTTTTTACTTTCATTTGCACTGGCTCTTGAACTTTAATTTCTAAAATGTGATACAGCAAGGTTCTTAGTATGCATTTATAGTAAATGAAAGCCCTCTTCTAGCATTTTAAATATTTTAACAGGTCTTTTTTTGTGCAGAATTTTACCAGTTGAATGTTAGTGTTATTCTTGATAATTGAAAGGAATGTGTTATAGTTTCTTTGCCTATTAATATATGTTGAACATAAGTTTAGTATGCAGGCAAAGAAGTCAGATTCTATGCCTATAAAAACATTAGAAACTGAAAAAAATAATAGACAAGGTAAAATGACATAGGATACTTTTGGAAAATCCATTTTGAGTAATATAAGAATGTATTTTGAGATTTTTTTCATTATTTATAATCAGTTATGAGTAAAAACAATAAAATAGATTTTTATTTAGACTTTATATCATTCTTTATAGTAATGCAATTGCAGATTTGATGAAGACATGGTAAAAGAAAATATCTGAAAGGAAACAATGAGAGACCGAGAATAGAAATTGTAAAAACTGAACTGATTCTAAGGTTTGAGAAAAGTTCTAGAATAAATCTTTTTAAAAAATATTTCTCATCTTGGAAAGGTTTTTTATTATACTTTAGAAAAACAGGAATTTATTAAAAACACATGGCACTGTGACACAATTTTTTTCAAAAATTATGCTTGATAAGATTAACGTATAAGTTTATCTACAAATGCTCTTGGGTGTCTATTATTTTCTAGGCTCTTCCTTAGCTGCTATGGACCTAGTATTTTTTAAAAAACCCAGCAAATTAAATTCATGTATTTATGGTCTTATATTTTATGAAGCAAGAAAAAATGAGAAACAAATAGCTAAATATTTAACATGTAAAAATGAAAAAAGCTGGGCTTGGTGCACATCTGTAGACCCATCTATTCGGGTGGGTGAGGCAAGAGGATCGCTTGAGCCCGGGAGTTCAAAGCTGTAGCGTGAAATTTTCATTTCTGTGAATAGCCACTGTACTCCACAGTGTGGGTAGCATAGTAAGACTTTTTAAAAAAGGAAAAGAAAATAATAAAGTGAAAGGTACTAAGTAGTTTCTGGGGTGATGGACGTTGCAAATTAGATAGGATAAACACGGAAGCCCTTACGGAGAAGAGGATATTTGAGCAAAGAACTAAACATTGATGCAGATATAGACCTAAGTAATTGATGCAGATATCTAGGAGAAGCATATTACAAAAGCCTTATACATATACTTTAACTCAATGTTAGTGATGATTGCAATAAATTCTCTTGGAAAATTTAGATGTTTAATATGTTAAATGGTTATAACTGAAAATGGAAAATATATTCTAAAAGAGTTTGTTAAACTGATGTCTGCCTCCAGTGAAATAGCATGCCAAAGACTGTGACTTCCAACTTATGCTCTTCAACATTTTAGCCAATAGTTGGAAATCAAGATATAGAAATTATACCCTTTATATTTGTAGACAAGTCAAAATGTTAACTTTAGTTAATACTGTGTTTATAAATTAAACTTTAGAAGGAAATTGCACTTATAATAATAAACTTGAAAGATGAATATTAGACACTGCATTTGGTGAGAAAATAATTTTATAAGTGGAGGGTAATTGAGACTTGGCTAAACAAAAATTTTACTTAGGGTATTTGAAAATTTTGGTTCACCACAAGCTCAATATTCTACAGCGTTATACAGAATTTAAAAATAGTTACATGAATTTAGGCCTTACTATTATACATGAAAAAAAAATAGCCATGGTTTATTATTTATAACGTTTATTATATCAGAAACAGTACAAAAATTTTAGGAAGTACAATTTAAGGGGGCACGAAAATACTGAAGTTAATCCAAAAAAGGAGCAATAGCTGTAGAGAAAGATCTAAAACTTTAACTGTAGTCTCCAAAATACACTTAATACAGATAAGATTCTTGACTTAGAATTTCGGAAAAAGTGTTTACTTCCTCAATGATTGTCTTAGGCTGATTGAGAGAGTTATTTATGCCATTCCCCTCTGCATAACTCACTTGTCAATGAATTGTTGCTTGTCAGACAAACCCAATAGAAAAGGGTTGTAAAGGGTTGTTTTTACAAATGAGGCATGGATTTTGGAAAAGGTGTGAATGCAAGAAAAAGATGATCATTAAGAAAGGGCTTTGAGGTGGTAATTCAAAGAAAAATAAAGAATACAAGCCAATATGGGTGAAAAGTATACGAACACCTCAGAGACTATTTTTTCATTTTTAAAGCCAAGATTTTAAATGCATGGTAAAAAGAGAAATTATTACATAACTTTAAGAAATGGAATTTGGTTAAAAACAAGTACAAAACTGAAGAAAAATAAACTCCCCTGCAGACTTTAATGAAGTATGCTGCCATGTTGTGAGAGAGCCACATGCCTAGGAATTAGTCAGTCTCTAGGTGCTGAGACTGGTCCATGGCTGACTGACAGGAAGAAAACAAAGATCTCAGTCCTGTAATCACAGAAGAATTAATTCTTCTAACAACTTATGGAACTCGGAAGATGAGGATTATTCCCTAGTCTAGTTTTCAGATGAAAATGCAGGCTGGCTGAATCCTTGATTGCAGCTTTATGAGACCCTGAGTGAAGACCTATGTAAATTATGCCTGTACTTCTGACCATGGAAACTGTGAAAATAAACTGTGTGTATTTTAAGCTGCTACATGTGTAGTAACTTGTTCTTCAGCAATAGAAAATAAACGCAAGCCATTTGAACAGTTTTTATAGCAAAGTGGAGTGATGGTGGTTATATAACCTAGGTAAAACCAATTGAAACTCCATTCCCTGAGCCAGAAAAAATTGATATAAAGATAGACATGTGAAAGAAGCTGAGTCAATCAGAAAAATCTCTTTAAGGCCAGAAAAATACATTTTCTGTTAAAGCTTTTTTTTTTAATGCCAGACATCATGATATCAGGAAAGAGTGAAAAAAATGGAAAACATTGTTCTATTTATGCTTTCAAGGCATATCTGAATAGCCTTTAATCTATTGCACCTAGAATTTCATAGTTGCATAAGAAACATATGACTTGCCACTGAGTCATAATAAATACAAAAACTAAAGATTTTTGTCTATTAACTTTTCTCAGTAGACCCTTCATAATCACTAAATTTTAGCCAACTGTAACTATATGCTAGTTCCCAAATTCATCACTTACACTTTTGTATCTTTTTTTCAAAACGTTTCTACTGCAATGCATTCCCCTGCATGCACTCTCCTTCACTTCTTATATCCAGTTTCTGTCCATTCTAAAATGATATGAGTTAAAACCCCTGTCCCTAGAATGTCTTTGCTTAAAATTTTAAAATAAATCCTTGGAGTAATTTTATCTTGATCATGTAAATTAAATTCTTTTGGGGTTAGTAAAAAGGTCTCTGTAACTTAGTATAAGATACGTATTATTTTACAACTCCTCCAAGCTTGCCTGTATTCTGTTTATAAGCTTCGCTTAGACTACTCTCCTACTGATCGTGATCCTGGGACACTGGTATGTAACTTTTAATTTAATAGGAGAACTCCAATTAAAACATTAAGTTTGACAGGTTTAAAATATAGACGACAGTCCATACATCTCATCTCATACTCTAATTAGTATTTGCATACTTGTACCAATTTTTGCTTCATTCTCTTGAGTGCAAAATCTTTCTGGCATAGGGATATCATTGTATATATCTTGGTATACTTGTCATTTTAGCTGTGCCTCAGTGATTCGCTCATCTTTGGTGCATAAATTAACTAAAAACTAAGGAAGGAGTATGAATATCTCAGAAAAAAGTGCTTCCACTTGGTGGCAACATATGGAACTTACTATGAAGTTAATAATAACAATGAATTAGTCTGCTGAGAAACTGAAGGGAAAAATATGTGATTATTGGTTTGTAAAGCACATACACACTGATATTTTAAAGTCAAAATTTAGATCATTACTTGACTGACATATATATGTAATTTTACTATGATATATGCTCCATAAGGCAGGGACTTTGTAGATAGTGTTTACGTATCTATCCTCAGCATCTATTCCCTAGTATATATTATGCCCTTGATATATATATATACACACACATACATATATGTATATATATTTATATATATTTTATAAATATATATTTGTACATATAAATATAAATATATATATTCGAGACAGTCTCACTCTATCGCTCAGGCTGGAGTGCAGTGTCACGATCTCAGCTAACTGCAACCTCTGCCTCCCTGGTTCAGGCAATTCTCCTGCCTCAGCCTCCTGAGTAGATGGAATTAGAGACGCCCGCCACCACGCCTGGCTAATTTTTGTATTTTTTAGTAGAGACAGGGTTTCACCATGTTGGTCAGGCTGGTCTCGAACTCCTGACCTCATTATCTGAAAATCCACTAGTGAATTTAACAGCATCTACTTTATTTGCAAAACCCTAAGTTCATATAAAGAAAGGACAGTCTTCACTCCTGTATTCTGGAATTTTTATATCTATATTTCACTCCTTCTTCCAACATAACATGTACAGTCCTAATGTTATCATCTTTCATTCACAATAAACTGTCCCTCTTTCATTCACAATAAACTGTCCCTCTTATCTTTTTTATCCTATTAGAGACACTACCATTTTTCCAGCCACCGGATTCTGAAAACTTCTGATAATTTTTAAATGTCTTCTTGCTCCATCATATTCAATTAATTGTCTTTGACTTTGAGGACATCTGTTAACCATGTTTATTTTGATAACAACTCAATCGGATGTGGCAGAACTCGGTGTGCAGATGGGGAGTGAATGAGTCACTTCCTCAAGAGAGGTTTAGTGATGGTTATTCAGGCCCAGATCCACTCACCACTTCCCATTTAGCTCTTTTTATAGTATTCACTCTTACATTTGACTTTTTTTTATCCAATAAAGTATTTAATGTTCTGTATTCCATTTGTAAAATCTCATATTGTACTTGAATTGTTTTACTTGTGATGATCATGTTTCCTTGGAGGTACAGTAAGGTCTTTAATTTCTCAGAGTAAGACTTTCTCTGGCTACCCCAAAAGTGAATACCTGAAGCATTACTTGTCAACTATATTCCTTCTTGACCCTTCTTTTCAGGGAAATTACCATCCTCATTTTGAACTAGCTTTATGATTGCAGATAATTCCCTATTAAACATCTATTAGGCTGGTACAAGAGTAATTGTGGGTTTTGCCATTACTCTGCACCAACCTAATGCAAATTTCCATTTTAAGTTTTTCCACTGTGGTGGACTTGTACATCAGGTACAGTCTTAGTTATTAGGCTGACATGCATTATCACTAATCCCCATGAACTCCCAGACTAGGTGAGAAGAAGTGCAAGGAAACAATGATTTCGGGAGAATCTGACAGAATCATTCAAGTAGATTTGTCTCTGTCTAGCACTTCAATGTTTGCGCTTTCTTCAGGGACAGTTTCTATTTATTGCTTTTTTCACATTTATGGGCCATACTTTGTTGTTTATTTCTAGAATCATATTTTTGGAAAACTTAAGGCTATTAATATAGTAATGTGTTGACTCTGGAAATCAGATAATCCCATCTCCCCATGGTTTGTGGATGTTCCTTACTGTAGCTGATACTGTGACTCTTCCGAATTCCTTTCAGTAGTCTGTATTCTTTTGTGTGGCCACTTAACATTGTGAGGAAAATATCTAGAATCATGCTGATACTTTGGATTTAGAAAACTAAGAAGGCACTGGTGCCATTCACTGATATTAAAAATACTAAATATGAAATGAATTTGGAGAACGGAAGGAAAATGGATGAATACAGATTTGAAGATAATGAGATTAAGTTGCCTATGAAATATATAGGGACAATATTCAACAGACACTTGGAGACACAGATTTGGCAATCAGGAGGGAATTTGGAGCTGTCAGTGTAGATTTGGTATAGCCAGATGTAAAAGGAAGCCATGTTTATATATGAAATCATTAGCAATGTAAAAAAAAAAGTGAGAAAAGATTATTAAAACTACCTTATAAAATACTATAAACTGAATAGAAAACTCAGTGGTAATATTCCTAGTGAAATTACATCATACAGTTAGAATCAATTAAAAACATTCACACTAATTCATGAAGAGCGTACTACCCTTTCTTAGGTGTGTACCTTGACTTTACAACTAGTGAAGGTTTCACAGAGTCAATCCAGGAATATTTCCAATGGAATAAGTCTGGAGGGAGAGCTTTGGTCTACTAGCATAGACTCTAACATTATTTGAATTGTAGAGCAATAGTTTAGCTAGGGTAAAACTATTGTTTTGTTCTAGGTTATCAATATGAATTTAATTTTTAGTATTGTCAGCTAGAGGAAAATTAAACTCTTCTAAGAAAACCAGTCAAGAAAGTCTGAGAATATAATCAGGTTAAAACAAAACAA
This sequence comes from Homo sapiens, assembly GCF_000001405.40. Lineage (NCBI taxonomy): Eukaryota > Metazoa > Chordata > Mammalia > Primates > Hominidae > Homo > Homo sapiens. The sequence goes on from NC_000008.11 coordinate 113,742,096, forward strand.
AACAAAATTGCTCTTGGGGAATCTGAGGTATAATTAAACCACCCAACATTAACCTTATTCCCAACCTCAATCTATCTTAGCATTAGAGATTACAAAAAAAAAAAAAACAAAAAACTTAGATCCAAAGACATAATGGCCTGTGTTTTGAGAAGTAATTATTTCTTCCTATTTAAATGTTAAAATTTTGAGGGTAAAAACAACACATTAGATTTTTTAAATTACATTACAATTAAAGAAGGAAATATTACATAAATAATATAATATATGGTATATATGAAAACAGAAATGCAACATTTGCCTTATTTTTAAGTGAAGATTGCAATTACCAGCTGCCACTACTGCTTAAAATGGGCAGCATCTGAATTTCTAATTAAGAAGAGTTCACTAACTTATTCAGAAAATGATTATTTCAATGTAAGTGACTCGATTCACACAGTGAGATAAGTTATCAATTAGTCTCATATTTCAATAATACATATAAAAGGCAATAAATCTTTATGTAAAGGTACACATGGTAAATATTTTAGGCTCTGCAGTCCATACCATCCTTCATAATTACTCAAATCTGTCCTTGTAGTTCAAAAAACAGCCATAGACAATATATAAAAGAATTAGCATGGCTGTGGTTAAAAAAGCCTTATTGATGAACACTAAACTTTGATTTTCTTTAATTACTATGTGTCATGAAATATTCTTCTTCTCTTTTTTTTTTTCATCATTAAGGATGAAAAGAAAAGCAGTTTTTTAGATCACCAAGCAGGCATAACATTGCAAAAGCAGGCAGGCCACATTCAACCTTTGGGCCATAGTTTGTTGACCTGTTGTCTAGAACTAGAACCTACATAATTATTTTCTCAAATTTTACGTATATTAGCAGCACAAACACAAGCTTAGAGCAAGTTCTCTGGATTCTGAATTCCTAAGGCTGGAGCAGTGTATTTTTTTCCCTCAGCTTTCTGTTCCTGTTATTTGACACAGAGTAATTAATTTTCTTTTGTTTGCTCTTATTATTGTGGTTTATAGGCTCAAAAGGAAATTTGTGGAATGACTTTATGCACATATGAAAAAACAAAAATCTTGACACCATTTCTATTCTGTCAGGGTACTAGAAAGAATCAAAAATCAAAATGACTCAATTTTCCTTTTTCTCAACATTTTTATGAAGCTTTAGTATAAGAAGTCCAGTTAATTCACTGGTATTGTCTTAATCCACAAGGTTTAAGGATAATCAGTTTTTACAATTTCAGTGGTTTCACAAAGGAACATTAATTATTTATCACAAGGTCAGAATAAACATAGGACATTATTGATTCTATGTTTACAAAGATTATACATTTTTAAATTCTACCATATTTTGTAACTATGAAGCAGACTTTTAAAGAATATGTCATGACTTAACAAGTAAACGTGTTATGTATTTTGAAATAATTATGTTGACTTTAACTTTCGACGTATACTGGTATTCTAAACATTTCAAATGTGTCTTCCCTACATTGTATATTTACTTGTGCTAACCTTTCAGGATATTGAACTCTTCAGTTGAGAATAATTTTTTAACAAACCTCGATATTATTGTGTAATAGTTAAGAGTTTGGGATCTGCAGTTAAACTAAATAGCTACAGATTTCAGATCCCCACCCGTTTTTGGCTGTGTGACCCTGGACAGTTTACTTATCTGTGACTTACTATCTCCTTCTTTTCATGGAGATAACAGTTGTTACCTCATAGGGTGTTGCTAATTAAAAGAGTTAATATGCATATATTGTTTACAACCGTTCCTGGTACATTTCAGGAACTCAATATATGTAAGCTTTTAAAATATATTCAAATTAGTCAATAAAACATTGTCATTAGCATGCCTATTTTTAGTTGTCTATTTCTTCCCACCCGGCTAGTATAATATGGAAGAAAATAATTTGGAGCCATCAAGGATTTCAGACAAATTGGTTAATGTATTACAAAGAGTACTTTTTCGTATTACACAAGTAACCTACATTGAAAATCAGATCTGAACAAAACTTCTACCAGTAGAACTTAGTCAAAGTCACAGCTAAAATTTTACCCTGAATCACAGAAGGAAGAGACATTCCTTTTCCCCTTAGAAGAACATACTCATATTCATCTGTAGGCACACGTTTATTTGTATCAAGTTTTTACCTTTCCATATTTTATGTTAGAAGGCACATCTGTCTCTTTTTAATGTGAATAAATCCCCTTTGGGTGAATGCTTGCTTTTTTCTTGGCTGTGAAAACATACTAATGAGAAAGTTATTTATAGAACTGTAAATTGTATGATCATTATTCTCAGAATATATAGCTATTTCAAAAGTGAATAGGAATAATAAACTAAGATGTTAAAATGAAACTAAAGGAAAGATGAGCTTTTAAAAAAGAATGTTACATTATAGATTTAATTTAATTATTGATGAACATTATTGTAAAAAAATTTACCATGTTTTTGCTTGGGTGTGGGAGCCTTTCAGAAAAGTCATTTAGATACATAGCAAATAAAACCTGAATCTCTTCATATACAGCTGAATGGATTTTGCTGTTGCTGTTTGGTAGTTTTTTGCTGTAGCTGTTGTTTTCCACCATTCTTTTTTTTAAGTGATTGTGTTTCTTATTGAATAAAATGCTGGACAGTGTATGGTTTTCAGTGTCTAAAGTAGGTATTGTGTCACTGTCAAGATAAATTATCGTTCAATATCCTAAAATGGTTTCTATTTTATAGTCTTGAGAATTACTATTTAATGTCATCAGATATAAATTTTGACAAAAAGTCAAATTTTTAGTGAGAACACATGAACCTGTTTCCTAACCTGAGAACTAGTCTACAAAAGCTTATCTGTATTTAGAGGCTACATCCTTATTACTACCTTATCATTTGCTTCTCCTCAACACCTAAATAATCATTATTATTACATTATATCTTTTTACATTCTCTATATATACCGAACATTATATTATGTAGTATTTATTATTTTTGCAACTATTAAAATGTACAGTGTAAAAATGTACAGTCTTATTTTTTGCTTATTTTATTCATTATTATATTGCCCAATCATGCCCACATTGTGACATGTATCAGGCGTAGATTGGTGGATGGATGGATAGATACATAGATAGATAGATAGATAGATAGATAGATAGATAGATAGATAGAAATATATAGATATATACTATTGTTTGCTTTTGCTTTTTCTCTTTTTAAAATATGTATCAGCCTTTTGTTTTCTTGATTGGTCAGTTTTGTTCAGGGATACCACAGCTTGACGTGATATAAAAACATCCAAATAAGACCATGTATGCATTTTATTTAAAGATAAATCTTATTTAAAAATAAACTTCTTGCAATGCTAATTTATTTAGAATTTCTATCTAAGAAACCACTATGTAGCTAGGCCATTTTAGGCTATAGAGTCATAGATATATCAGGGTTCAGTGATTTTTAATTTAATTCTAGGGATTTATTTTACAAACACATTTTTGACATTCCTAAGACTAATTTCATAAGGTTTTACCTAAATCCACATTTCTTTCTTACTGAATTAGATAGAAATACTCATTATCATATACAAGTAAAATCTATCTTAGTAGATTTTGTTACAATTTTTGGATTTAAATATAAACCCAAAATTTAAAATGTGCTTTTACTAATACTAAAAAATTCAGTATTATTCACAATATTGAATGCAATAATATTACATAAAAGGTTTAAAACAAATGTAATAACTATTTCTCTTAATTTATATCTTATATGTTAACATAAGACTTGGAACATTGGCTCAGGCACATGGTTCATTTGATCAAGTAGGCTTTTGCCAACACAAGCCCAAAGACAGATGCTTATGTAACACAATATTTCTCAAAATGTAGGGTACATGTGTAAAATCTGACATGTTGTTGTTTTTTTTTAAGTTAATATTTATGAACCTCATTCTCAGAGATTAATTTGTCAGTAGGTCTGGATTAGGGCTAGAGTTTAGACTTTTTGTGAGTAATCTTGATTATATTAATGCCAATTGTGCACCCAGACTACTTTGAAAATACTATGACTATTTCCTTTTTTGGATTTGCTATACTTTACTTCTATCTTTGATGAGGAATGAAGTACATAGTTCAATACTGCAAATTGTGTTCCTAGTAAGGAAACAACATAATTTTATGAAGTATCAGAAAAGAGTTTATATTATTTCTCTTCTTCTTCTTTAGTGTGAATTTATATTTATTTCTAAGCAAAATATCTCAGGATAATGATTTTTAAGAAATAATCAACATAACTTGCATGTCTCTTTTTTGGGGGGGGGAAATTATGCTTAGAATTCTTCATTTATGACATACTTTTAAAACATATCATTTGTATCTATCTACTCATCTACTATTTTTATATAAATCATTCATATTCATTCATTTTCTTGATTCAAAAAATAATTACTAAGTACCTACAACATACCATGTAGAGTTCTTGAGTTACCGAGATTACAGCAGTAAACATAGCTATCTCCCTGGATAAAGTTGCAATGTAGTTGGAACAAACTACAAGTTATAAAACATATACATTACTATATATTGGGTAGTAATAACAGAAAAATAGGACAAAGTTGGTTGGATCCCATGTGATGCAAGGGAAAATGTTATCAAGGACATAGTTGGTGACTTTGTAGGTCATTTGAAAACTGTGAGTTAATATCTGTGAGCAAGAAGCAACTTGATTGTTTCAAAGAGAAATGTGTAATTATCTAATCCTTCTGGTTGCTGGATGAAGAACAGGAACAAGTGAGGGAGCAGGAACACTGGTTCGGAAGCTATTGCCATCCTCTAGGTGAGAGTTGACAGTGTCTTTGACCGTTATAGCTGTGGTAGTGATTATGAAAAATAGTTATATTTTTTATTTATTTTCAAAGTACACTTCACAGGATGTGCTTATAGATTGGATAGGAAATACAAAGGAGATTAGTCAAAAGTGATCGAAAAGTTTGTGCTAAGGAAATGAAAGAATAGATAAATGTAAGATAGCAATAGAAGCATGTGAAAGATAGGAATTTTATTTGTATGTGTTGAGATACCTATTAGGTATCCTGTTAGATACCCGAGTGGGCATGCCTCTGAGAATTTTATATTACTTTTACTATTTACCACCCAGAGTTTAGTGTCCTTTGTAATCTTGAATATCTAAATCTGTAGTAGCTCTTAATGGTAATTTAGAAAACTAATGAATGTTTGGTCTTAAGCTCGGATGTAATCACCTTTTTAAATTCTCTATCAAAATAAACCTATATTAACGTCTACATTTTGTTTTTATTTCTAAATAATCTCTCTACCAATAAAGAAACAAAATTTTTAGTCCTCATTCTCTTTGCCTTTTCTGACACCAATGCATACGTGTGCTCACACACACCTATACACACCTCTTTATATATATATTGACTTGTTTTTACTAACAATTTCCTTTTGTTTTCCTAGTCAGTAGTATCACTTATCATAATTTGTTTTTACTTTATTAAAGCTCAATTAACTAGATATATAATTACACAAAATAGGTCTTCAAATTATGTTTGTGTTTATATACAATTATTGTTGAGATATTAATAAAAAAGTAAAGCAAATATAAATCTGGATTTGGGGAAATTTACCATACAATATGGACCTACGTTTTCAATTCTCACCTTTATAAACATGAAATACAAATTAGCTTCATGTTCAATGAACAGACATAATATATTTTAGTTTAACTGTGAAAGAGTAGATATTTTGTATAAGTCAATGCAATATGGCTAGAGAAGAATTTTGCTTGTCAGCAGAGCAAACACTTTTTAAACTAAGCAATAATAGTTAACATTTATTGAAACCTACTACACACTAAGCAATTTTGCTAAGGGCTTCATGTGAATTATTTCATTAAAATCTCACAAGAATGCTACAGGCCTTATTTCATTATCCATTATTTTCTAGATTACAAGTAATTGGAGGTATTGTGAAGTTAAGAAATTGGGACATGTAACACAGTTAATAGATGTAGCCTGAACACATTACCAGTTCTACCTGACCCCAACATCTGTTTTGATAAGCAACAAACTATCAAGAAATTAAGCCAAAAATAAGAAATTAAGCCAATGAGAAATACTTCCATATGTACAGTTTTGATATAATGGCTTTATGTGAGAGAATCCCATAGATTGGTCTTGTTCTGAAGTTTACTAACTGGACAACAGTGGGTTGAGGCCTCAGGGAGTATCAGTTGCAAGGTGGATAAACAGTTGACACATTTTGATTGCCAGGATAATGATGTGAGACTCCACTCAATCTGTCTCCTCTTTTGTAAAATAAGAGATGATTGAATTGAATCTCACATCAATATTAGAACAAAGCATGACAACAAACTGGGCTACCAGTTTCTTAGGATTGATCTATAAAAGAACATCATGTGCCGGGTGCCTGTAATCCTAGAACTTTGGGAGGCTGAGGCGGGCGGATCACGAGGTCGGGAGTTTGAGACCAACCTGGCCAACATGGTGAAACCCTGTCTCTACTAAAAATACAAAAAATTAACTGGGTGTGGTGGCGGGTGCCTGTAGTCCCAGCTACTTAGGATGCTGAGGTAGGAGAATCACTTGAACCCAGGAAGCAGAGGTCTCAGTGAACTAAGATCACCACACTGCACTCCAGCCTGGGTGACAGAACAAGACTCCATCTCAAAAAAAAAAAAAAAAAAAAAAAAGAACATCATACATATGTATGAGCCATATTAGGCTTAAAATAGCATTCTACCATCCTGGCTTTCACTCAGTTATGGAACATACTAAGCTCTTCTGCCTCATGTTTGCACATTTTGGTCTGTATTTTGAAAATGCTTCCTTGGATTCTTTCATTAATACATATATATTTAATCAGCCTTCTATAATCAACTTAACAGTCATGTCTTCAGAGAAATTTCCTGAAAAACTGATCGAAAACCATCCCGTGACCCATTACATATGCAGGAATTATTATTATTTTTATTATCATTACTATTATTTTATCATGACCTTGTGTTCATTTCCTTCACAGGATTCCACATATTATTTATAAACATATTTACTTGTATAGTTATTTACTGCATGTTCCTTTCTCTAAAATGCAAATTTTCCTTTTCAATGTGTAACAGTGGCTTATCACAGTATCCTACGCATCCTGGATAATCAATAATTACTTAGTAAATCACTGAAGCAATAATGCCATTACTCTCTTGTTATCTTCCCAATATGCCCAATAAATAAGATTTTGCTTCACTTTTCAGTAACTCTTGTTAAAAAGTATTTAGTTTGGTTGACAGATGTGGGTCAGAATATGAAAAATTAAAAACAGGTTTTCTATAAATTAAGTTAGCCCAGTAGCCATTTGCTGCAAACAGATTTGGAGTTTATACTGAAGTTGGCCCAAATTGCCAGCTGAAAATCTTTCTTAAAAACCTCATAATCACTTCACACTTAGAATAATGAAAACAAAACCCACCATAGGGAACCCAATAGTCCCCTCCACTCAGTACGTCTGCTTCTATTGGTCATTTACTGAACCTGAAATCTCAATACCTAAGCTTCATTTCTGAGTCTTCTTTATTTCTTTCTCTATGATCTCATGTGGTCATGAAAACCTTTATTCATTCATCTATATGTAAATCTCTTATTGAGTAGCAAATATGCGCAATGATCTGGAATTTTCAAAAAAACAAATCTTATGTATGAGCATGGACAAGTTTTAAAATTTCTGAGACTCAGATATCTTATCAGTATAAAGGTCACTATATCGCCTGGTTCTAGTAAGTGCTATAATTACCCAGTGATGCTAACTAGGGCCTTGGGGTTTGAAAGACTTTGGTTAGAGTCCTGCCTCTTCTACTTAACAAATGCTTGTCTCTAAGAAGTGTTCCAATTTATAAGCCTAAAATAAAAATAACATCTACTTCCTTTGATTGTGATATATATTTAGCGCATCTAGATTGAAAAGGGCACTGCCGAGCACAGAGTAAGCACTAAATAAATCGTAGCTTCTAAAGAACTGGGAGTCTAGAAAGGAAAGTTGTGCATACAAATATGAATGAAATAAAATACCATATGCAGAATAATAAGAAACTTATTTTCGTAGAGTGGTCGTAAAAGAAGGAAGTAGCCAATTCTTATGAGGGAAGGATTTTTTTTATGGGTGAGGCAAATTGAATTTTGAAAGATCAATATGTTTTACCTGATAGATAAGGTAGAAATGTATTCTACGAAGTGTGATGGAGACTATGAAACACTGAGAAAGAGGATAATTATCTTAGACTGAATAGCAGTGGCTAAATCTGAACTGAACTTGGATGGAAGTATAGGAAAGATAAAACGGTGAGGCAAACATATTTCAGATGTAGGTGGGGACCAATCATGGGGGACCTTATGCAATCTGATTTGTTTTTTACTGAGATTGAGGGCTTGGAAAAGGGAATCATCCAATCTCCGAGAAAACTATTAGGCCCCCAAAACGTTCCAAAACAGTGTGGTGGCAACTTCTAGTATGGCTCATGTTACACAGATTTAGTTAATAAGTCCAGGTTGATGTACAAAGTGTATTATAGTACGGCAGCTAACAGGAGTTCGTTTGGATCATTTCTTTTAGCCTGTGAAGTCTCACGGGGGTGATGCAAAGGTGGCCTAAGTGAATGTTACACAATGGTCTGTGTCAAAGCTGAGAATACTGAGCTTAAGAAACTCCCAATCCAAGCACTGCCTGGAAGTCCCCCTTTCACTCTGGATGCACTAAATATATATCACAACCACATGAAATGGATGTTATTTCTATTTTAGGCTTGTAGGTTAGAGCAATGCTCAGAGACGTTTTCACATAAAGGAGGCAGGACTCTCATCAAATTCTTTCAAACCCCAAGGCTCTAGTTTTCTTCACTATGTAATTATAGCACCTGCTAGAACCAGGAAATAATATGAACTTTATACAGATTAGAAATCTGAGTCTCGGATATTTTAAAACGTATTCATGCTCAGAGATAAGATCTGATAGGCCAGAAAAACTGCCCATCTTCCCTTCCAGAGAAAAATATTATCTTTATTACTTTGGAATATAAGCACATTTTCTCTGGAGGGAGGAGGGCTTCATCTTTGCCATCTTAGAATATATGTGGGGAAGGAGACATACTTTAAAACTGTACACTTTCTAAATCTGAGTAAATTAAATACACTTTGAATGTCTAGGAATGAAGACATGTAAGAGATTCATTGAGATAGATTATTTTTTATCCAACCAAGAGAACTCCTAAGCATAGATTTCAATGAACGTGAGAAAGCTAGCACTAGAAGATCTGAAAATGAGTGTTCCAGGAAGTGAGGACAAAAATTTAAAGTTCTCAGTTTCAATACATGGCATATTTGAGATAAACAAATATGGCATGTTTCACAAAAGCAGAGTAAATAAAGGATATAGTGTCAGAAAGTTAAGTCAGAGAGTCATGCGTAGGCCAGATTACATAGAATGTTTATTACAGGTATCAATTTGAACCTCATCCTGGGTGTATTGTGAAGCTACTCAAGGGTTTGAGAAATGGTATGACAAAATTTAATTCAAATTTTAGTAACTGCACCCTGGATACCATGTGGTTGAAAAATTCGAAGAAAGAGGACCAGTTAAGGAATATGACAGTATTAGAAACCTATGCCTGGCGCGGTGGCTCATGCCTGTAATCCCAGCACTTTGGGAGGCTGAGGCAGGTGGATCACCTGTGGTCAGGAGTTTGAGACCAGCCTGGCCAACATGGTGAAACCCTCTGTCTACTAAAAATACAAAAATTAGCCAGACATGGTGGCATGCGCTTGCAGTCCCAGCTACTCAAGAGGCTGAGGCAAGAGAATCGCTTTAACACAGAAGGCGGAGATTGCAGTGAGCCGAGATCGTTCCACTGCACTCCAGCCTGGGTAACAGAGTGCGACTTTGTCTCAATAATAGTAATAATAAAACTGAAACGATTTTTTGCATATAATACATTGAATAGATTTGGTACATATTTTGAAATCAGAGTTGATAGAATTTTTTGGCAGATGGAATACAAGAAAATAAGAGTAGTCAAAAATGAAACCTGTTATTTTGACCTGAGTGTTAGAGTAAGTTGATTTGCCATTATGACCACGGAAAAAAATAAATTTAGGAGAGAAATCAATAGGACAATTTGGAAAGAATGTCTGTGTTTATCATCCAAGTCAAGATCCCTTTGATGTTTGATGGAAACAATATTTAATAATTATGAAGAGACAATAAGGCAGTAAGTGTAAATAATGATTGTCTTGGGTAAACTGGGGTTCTTGGTGACCCCAATTTTAAATACTTGAGATGTTTACTAGATATTCAATTGTATAAGTCAAGTTGGGAGTTGTATAAGCAAGTGTAGCGTTCTGTGAGGAGGTCAGATAGAGATATAATTTGGAAATAATCAGTGAATGGATATTGTGTAAAAGCATAAGAATAAATAATATTACTATGTTAATTAATGTAGAAATAAAAGAGATCTGAGAAAGAGCACTGGGTAAGTTCACCTCTTAGAGTCTGAGAAGATAAGGCAGTGCCATAAAGAAGACTAACTGGACTAAGCACAGAAAATGGAAGACTGAGCTCTGTAGGAACAGAGAATTTTGTTTGGTTTACTGATATACCATGATATTCTAAAAATATGCTTGGCACATAATAGGCACTCAATAAATATTTGTTGTATTAAACATTTTAGGCAAAAACTCTTGGCTGCAGATAAATTACTTAATTTGATTGTGAAAACTCTTTAAATGGATAAAACATCAATAAAAGTTACTTTTAGATTTTGCCTGATTCTATACTATTAACAAGGTTACTTAAATATGCATCACACACAGTGCAAACGAGACAGTAAATCATTAGTCAGTGTCATGAGTCACGTTTGCACTAGGCCAGCAAAACCAAAATGAATAAGCCCATTTAATTGGCTGCTTCAGAACCCAGCCATAAAAATAAAATGTTACCAGAAAATCTAATACCTTTCTTTAGTGCTTATGTATATAATTCTTACACAATAAAATGCAAAGTTCTTATATTTTTTGTTTTGATGTGTTTTGAAATTGTGTACAATTACTTGCCACTATCCAACATTAGATGTAGAAATCACCATGGAAAGTACCATTAAGTTTTTTTCCAATCAATTCCCAGTCTTTCTGCATGTCTCCATTCACTCCTCCCATTCTCAGGCCTTTGAGGAGACCATTCTCTGATTTATGTTGCCATGATTATTTTGCTTATTCTTGGGTTTCATACAAATAAAATAGTAAAGTACGAGTAGATACAATTTGTCTAATTGCTTTTGTTAAATTTAATGCTTTTGTATGTGTAAAATTTTTTCTCTGTCAAAGATTTTTTTCTAGAGTGAAGAATGCTCTTAATCCAAAATTGCTGAGGATTTTTATTATAAATCCATGCTGAATATTATATTTTTTCTGTATCTATTGAGGTAATATACTCTTCTCCTTTATATTCTTAATGCATTTAAGTAAATTGATTTCCAAATGTAAAATAAGGTTTTCATTACTGAGATGACTTATTTGGTAGTGACATATTAACCTTTTTGTCTGTCACTCTATACAATTTGCTAATATTTTGTGAAGGAGTTTTGCATCTCTGGTGATGAAAGTTTATTCTGTGATTTTATTTTTTTTGTAATGTTCTTGCCATATTTTCATGTCAGTTTTATTGACTCATAAGGTGGTTTGGGAATTGTTCCATTCTGTTGGATTTTCTGAAAACATTTGTGTAAGATCTTTTATTAATGCTTCATAAAATTCATCAGTGAAGCCATCTAGGCTTAAAGTATTTTCTTATTATCTTGATATGGTCTTGCTCTGTGTCCCCACCCAAAAATCATCTTGAATTGTAATCCCCATGTGTTGGGGGAGGGACCTCATGGGAGGTAATTAGATCATGGGGATGTTCCCCCCGACACATGCTGTCCTTGTGATAGTGAGTGAATTCCCACGAGATACGATGGTTTTATAAGGAGCTTTTCTCCAACTTCACTCTGCACTTCACTCTCCTGCTGCCAAAAGAAGAAGGATGTATTTGTTTCCCCTTCCACCATGATTGTAAGTTTCCTGAGGCCTCTCTAGCCATGCAGAACTGACTCACAAGTCAATTAAACTTCCCTCCTTGATAAGTTACCCAGTCTCAGGCATTCCTTATAGCAGTATGAGAATGAACTAATATATATCATTTTAACTGCTGTAATATCTGGACTATTAATATTATCCATTCTTTTATTGATGATATCATTGATTTATTTTTTCTTTTCTTGATTATTTTCTTGATTTCTGAAAAGAAATCTTGATTCCTGACAAGACAGACAGCATATATAGTTGGTTCTTTTTAGACTAACATAACTAGTAAATCTTTTATAGTTATATCGCAGTAATGGCTCCTAAAATGATAAAAATAACCTATACTAAGTGAGGTAGAGATGTCTGTAGTGGATATAATAGAATGAATACACTATCTACTCTATAAAACTCATGAAATGCTCATGTACCAGAGGAGAGCTTGGAGGTTATTCAATTTACCAAAGTGATAAGGAATGCACTGGTGAGTGGGGCACTAGCATCATGGCAGCTCAGTGGTGTCTTCTCTCAGAGAGCTACAGCTGACCATAGATGATTCTTTTACTTGGGATCTCTAATAACCATAGAAATATTAGGATCCTAAAACTAGATAGTCCAAGTGTCAATGCTTAGTCATCACAAGCCAGATATGTTCAACAATCCTAATAAACAGCAATGTCAGAATAACAGGAAAGACCCAAAGAATGTTATGGGATATGAATTCTAACTTTACACCATCAAAATAAGTCAAGGATGAATGGCCACGAGGATGAAGGCAGTTATCCCACAAAACATCGTGATGTTTTGCTCAGTTTCTAGACCTAAGTTAGTTATTTGATTCAAAACAGATTAACTGAACTAGATATCCAGCGCCCAAAATGAAGGACTCTACATTGAAATTATATAGATTAATGATTATCTCAGTCATTCCCAAAAGGAACTAAGAGACAATTACCCCAACAACGCTGCACTGATACAAAAGGAAATTAGGAGCATACCTAAATATTTTAAGCACTGCTAGTGACAAGGTCCAATTTGCCATGAATGTCTCTAATGACTATTGGTATTTGATTCTCCATGGTCCTCTCAATTTCTACACATCTTAAATTAACTTTTGTTCGGGAATATGTTTTAAATAATGTTTATATAGAAAACAACCTTAGAAGATAGGATCTCTTTTCAGAGCAGAGGTAATATTTGTTTGCTCACCATAATAAGAATAATCTCTCTCTCTAGGGAGACATTCAAGCAAGATTTCTACCAGCCCCTTTATCACAGAGTATGCTATTTTTTAAAACCTGAGGTCCCTCAGCTGTGATGCAAAGTCATTGCTTGTGCACTATCCACCTGGTCTTGTTCTTATGGACTACCATGCCATGTGGAGAATAGAGGAAACTTATGCAGGCATGGAACTCAAGATTCCTCCTTTGTGTTGAGTAACAAAATCCTGTCTTTGACTGAGGCATCACATGCCTTCTGCTAGCATCTGTGAACTTGTGACAGGTTTGCCTATTATCTTGCAAGTGAAAAATGCCAACTTTTCTTAATTCTTGATAATCCCCTGCCCTCACACCTGCTGCATAACTCTGGAAATAAAGGGGCTAGGTAATAAGTTGAGTTCAGACCCAGTGGACGCATAAGACATAACCACTATGTTTGGTCCTTGGCCTGTGTGGTAGGAACTGTTGTAGTCTGAAAGTCTATGTGTAATAGCCTCTTAAATTATCTTCCCCACGGCCAAAATTTGAATTTGAAAAAGAAAAACCACATCTTTAAGGGAATGGCAAAAATTAATGGTACCTGAAAGAACTAAAGGGTACATTAGTGGTAGACTTAAGATATTTTGATTTAATTCATAAATCCAGACCCTGCAAAAATCGAGCAGAATCTGGAGCATGATAATTGAACATGATCATTTGAAGCAAGTGGTGACTTCAATTTCAGACACTCTACCAGACATGGTGTCTGTACTAGAGAGAAATATGGCTGGATGCAGTGGGTCACGCCTGTAATCCCAGCACTGTGGAAGGCTGAGGCAAGGGGATCACTCGAGGCCAGGAGTTCGTGACCAGCCTGGCCAACGTGGCAAAACCCTATCACTACTAAAAGTACAAAAATTAGCTGGGCATGGTGATCCAAGCTACGCAGGAGGCTGAAGCAGGAGAATTGCTTGAACTTGGGAGGCGGAGGCTGCAGTGAGCTGAGATCACGCCACTGCACCCTAGCTTGGGCAACAGAGCAAGACCTTGTCTCAAAAAACAAATAATAATAATTAGCATGATCTCAGATACATAGTATGTGGCTATAGATTTATCAAATTAATATGTTTATATCTCTATTAGGAAAGATAATCAGAATTAGCTCACATTCATTAGGAAGTTATAATAGTACACAGTTACAGTTTTTCAATATCATCCAAAGATATCTAGAGTGGACATCCCATAATATACCACTGGTACACTTAATTGATAATATCAAACAAATATGATAGGATGAGCAAGAAGTGACTAGTATACTGGTGTGTTCAGACATGCACTCCAGAGGGTGGAAAATAAAGACTCAGACCTGCTACAATGGCAAAATATTTGAGGAAAAATACCCTCCACAGGAAAAACAAATTATTTTGTCTGGCTCTTCCATCATTAAGATATCTTTGATTTATTCCTCTATCTTACTTTCTAGTGGTTGTTCTAGAAGAAATAATATCTATTTTGCCTTATCATATTTTATCTTTTCAAATAACATTACTGACTTATGATGGAGTCATGTCCCAATAAACCAATTGTCAGTTGAAAATATCATAAATCAAAAATGCATTTAATACACCTAAACTACCAAACATCATAGCATAGCCTGCCTTGAAGGTGTTCAGAACACTTATATCAGCCTACAGTTGGGCAAAATTATCCAAAACATAGATTATATTATAATGCGGTGTTGAATATCTAGTGTAATTGATTGAATATTATATTGGAAATGTAAAAAAAAGAATGATTGTATGGGCACTTGAAGTATGGTTTCCACTGAATTCACATTGTTTCTGCACCGTTTTAAAGTCTAAAAATTGTAAGTTGACATCACAAGTCTGTCACCATGTGTATACTGCCTCATGAACAATATGAAAACTTATAACAATATAGTTCCACTGATTTCTTTCCCATACTTTGTTCTTGATATGGTTTGGCTGTGTCCCAATTCAAATCTCAACTTGAATTGTATCTCCTAGAATTCTCATGTGTTGTGGGAGGGGCCCAGGGAAGGTAATTGAATCATGGGGCCAGTCTTTCCCATGCTATTCTCATGATAGTGAGTAAGTCTCACGAGATCTGATGGATTTATCAGGGGTTTCTGCTTCTGCTTTTTCCTCTTTCTCTCTTGCTGCCACCATGTAAGAAGTTCCTTTCACCTCCTGCCATGATTCTGAGGCCTCCCCAGCCATGTGGAACTGTAAGTCCAATTAAACCTCTTTTTCTTTCCAGTCTCAGGTATGTTTTTATCAGCAGTGTGAAAATGGACTAATACAGTTCTGTTGTTTCCATAGATTTTATTTTCACATATACTATAATCTGCATAGGATATATACATTTGCTTTAAAAATTGTCAGTAGCATATCCTTTGAAAATAAAACAGAATTTTGTTTCCATGACCTTTGCCCCCTGGTGCCACGCCCAAGGATATGTTACATACATGAAAAAGGGGTCTTTGCAGATGTTATAAGGTTGCAAATCACTCAACCTTAAAATAAAAAGATCATCCTGGGTTATTCAAATGATTCGGTATAATCACATAAAACCAGAAAAAGACAGGAAAGGAAGTCAGAATTAGAAGCACAAAACAATATGACCTTCTATTGTTGAAATAAAGCTAGAGGAGGTCATGTGTAAAGCACAAGGAGAAAATTAATTCTGGCAGCATTCAGGGAACCTGGAAGTGGATCCAAAGCACAGAAGATAACTTTAGCCCAGGCCGATACCTTGATTTTAGCCTAATGCTAATGAGACCCTGAGCAGAGGATTTAGCCACTACATGCCAGGCTTTTAACCTACAGCAATGATCAGATAATATATTTATGTTGCTTAAAGTGATGGTAATGTTATAAAACAAAAGAAAGTGAATTATATATATGACGTACATAATTCTGTATATTACTTATGTATACTACTATTTATGTATTATGCACTGTATGTAATTATGTATACATATATTTGTAATGCATAGAAAATAACTAATGCATCTTTTTGTGTTGTTCTTCCCTCCTACTTCTTGTGAATGTGGGCTTCCATTTATTTATCACTTCCCATTAATCTGAGGAATTTAGTGTTTATTGAAGTGCATATCCATGAGAAATGAAATTTCTCAGATAACATTTTTCAGAAAATAGTTTTATTTTACATTCATTTTTGAAGGGTATTTTACTTTGTATATAATTCTAGCTTGAATTTTACTTTCTGTTAGCATTTTAAAGATATCTTCCTACTTATTTTTAAATCTGACAAGAGAAGTCAGCTGTCACTGGTGTCATTTTTCTGTTTGTAGAATATGACATTTTTCCTTTGAATTCTTAACAATTAATCTACAATATGCCTAGCCATATTTTCCTTTTATCTGCCTTCATGTTCACTACAATTCTTAAATTTGTGGTTAGTTTTTCACTAATTTTGGAAAATACTCACATATTACATATTCACACATTTCTTCTGTCCTACTCTTTTTCCTCTTTTTTGCAGACTCTAATTACACATTATTTTAGACAATTTGATTTTGCTCCACACATCTCTGACATTTTTTTAGGGCCTTTACAAATTTCTATTTTTACTATTAAGTTTGGATACTTTCTATTGATCTGTCTTCAACTTCACTAATCCTTTCATCTGTTGATTTCATGATGTTGCTAATCGTATCAAATAAATTCTTTATTTCTAATAACATATATTTTCATTTCTAGAATTTCCATTTTTTATTCATTTTTCTCTGTAGAAATTTTCTATTTGTTTTTATGTGTTTTCAACCTTTTACAATTACTCATTGAACATATTTATCATAGTTCTTTCAAAGTTCTTATTTGGTCAATAGGCTATGAGAACCATATCTTGGTCTGCTTTTATTGACTACTTCCTCTCTTGACCTAAGGTCACATTTTTTTGCTATCTCATTACTTTTAAAATTTTATTTTATTTTTAACTTGTAAAAGCTCAATAGAGGCTGAAGCAAATAATAGTTTTTTCCCAGAAAAGGACACATCCTTTCTTCTTTCAGGCTGCCATAGGGTAACTGAGTCAATGTAATATATTGTTGTCTTGGGCCTGGACTTTGTTGCAAATTTAGTTAGAGGCAGTTTAACTGACTTCAGATATTTTGGTGGCAGAATTTGGGCTTGCTTTTTAGCAGGGCTTAGGGTCTGAGCACCATAAAGCCTTTGATCTTTCTATACTTTATGTAAGAATAAAGCCTTCAGTTTCCTAAATCATATTACAGTTCTTCCTGCTGCCAGCTTGTAAGTATCTTAATAGTTCTCATTGCTCTCAAGCCTCAATCCTCTCACCCTAGCCTCCTTGCTATTAGGTAATCTTTTTCCAGTCTCCTGTTCAGCATCAAATCTTCAGCCTGTAGAATCTTAAATGAGTTTCTCTAACTTTTCCTGGACTGTAGATTTCAACATGTTGCTACCTTTTACTTGGTATGGCAGAAAGATTCAATAGTGTCTCTCATGCTTCTCACCTCCTGCTATTTGTACAATTGTCTAATTCTGTTTGATTCAAGAACTGTAATTTCTTCTAATAAATGGATGTGTACAATGTGACAAGGCATGCATGATTACATAAGAATATAGCACCTATGTCTAGAGTCAGATCCTCTTTCTTCTTTTTCCGAATTGCTCCTTCTCCCTTTCTCTACCACTTCCCAAAGACAGCTCCTATTAATCTCACAGGTGTAAGAAAATGAAATATGCCAATGTCTGGAGGGAGCATGGATGTAGATTATTTCTCTGTCAAGACTCGGATGAGATACCAGAACTGGGGAACCTTAATTATAATCTGTGTGGTGCTCTACAGAGGAATCACATAAGCCATTCCTGTTTTGTAAAACCACAGAATCCATGAGAATCCCTGGTTCTCGTCAGTTCTCTTGTCCCATTCTCACCGTTCTATGTATTTCCTTCACACATTTGATGAAGATTTGTAAAGAGGAGTTGTTGGGCAGAGGAGGACTTGCTTGTGTTTTGGTTGTGCCTTAAATTTCAAGACTTAAGTTTAAAATCATCATAAGTTATGCTGGCCAAAACATGACTGACAAACAATATTTATATATCTGTCAGTTTCTTCCTTTCCATTCTCTATGGGATATTCTTTCTCCTTCGGCCAGTCCACCAAGTTGACAGCAGTATTGGTCTCTCCTCTGCTGAGAAAGTCTTGCCACATTCTGGAATTTAGTTCATTTAGCATTGATACTATATCTTACACAGCAGTTACAATGAGGGTAATACTTTGTTGAACTAAAGTCAGTCAATAGTAATTCTTCAGAATTTATGATAGGAAGACTATTTCTTTAGGGCTTTAATGGGATTTCTAATACGATATTTCCCTGGTATGCAATGTTGTTTTTGACTTACAATCTTGGCCAATGTTAAAGGACAGATTTAAAGGTCTCATTTGGGCTTTATACACTGTGATAGTGTACTTGTCTCATAGGCCAATATTTAAATATGGGAGTTACTTCAACTTTCAAATATGTCAATCTAAATTATAGCCTCAGGAAATGCTCACTGGGGGATTCCAGGTCTCAATGGGCTCACTACAAAAAAATCATTAGTCAGATATCTTTTATTATATGATAACTGTAAGTCTCCATTCTGTTATAACAGAGGATTCAACAGATATCAATGTCAAGTCAAACCTTGTGTTCAATAGTTTTCAACATGTCTGAATATATTCTCCTTTCCCCAGTGTATTGTCACCTGAGCAGGATGGGAATAGACTTGTGAAAGACTGGTAAAATCCATATGGTATATACTTTTCATGGAGTTTCATGATTCTTCTACTAAAGTCCTGGTCACCTCTCTTATCAATGGATTCCAGAACAGAAAATAGGTTCAAAACTCAGTAATGACCTTTTCTTTCTATGACATCCCTTAGTTTCCTTCTCCTTTATTTTCACCTTCATCTATAATTCTTCCATAGCAGAACCCTTGTTTGTTCCTTGTCTGTTACAATGCAGTGTTTATAATCATCTTCACAATGGCCAACAAATCAAGCCCTCTTGCCAGCTCTTCTAACTGGGCGTGATATTTTGGTATGTTTTTCACACTGGCTCCATTGATTAAGTGCCATAGTTTGGCATGATTTACTTTGGTGTCTTATCATCATAAGGCTAATAATAAGGTCAGCTTAATGACCACTTCTGCCTTCATCAGCCCTGATCTGTAGTAGGAAATCCATAGAATATATATTACGCTAAATTAAGGTTATATTTATACTTAAAAGTTATTGTTTATAAATTTACAAGCAAAAAACAACCCCATTAAAAAGTGGCAAATGACATGAACAGACACTTTTCAGGAAGACATTCACGTGGCCAACAAGCGTATGAAGTAAAAACAAGTTCAGTTATTCCTGATCATGAGAGAAATGCAAATCAAAACCACAATGTGATGCCATCTCACATCAGACAGAATGGCTGTTATAAAACAGAGTCAAAAAATAACAGGTGCTGGCAAGGTTGAGGAGAAAAAGGAATGCATAAACACTGTTGGTGTGTGAAAATTAGTTCAACCATTGTGGAAAACAGTATATTGATTCCTCAATTACCTGAAGACAGAAATACCATTCAGCCCAGCAATCCCATTACTGGGTATATACCCAAAGGAATATAAATTGTTCTATCATAAAGACACATGCACACGTATGTTCATTGCAGCACTATTCACGATAACTAAGACATGGAATCAGCCCAAATGCCCATCAAGAGTAGAATGGATAAAGAAAATGTGGTACATATACAACATTGAATACTATGCAGCCATAAAACAGAATGAGATCATGTGTTTTTTTTTTTTTTTGCAGAAATATAGATGGTGTTGTTGGCCATTATCCTCTGCAAACTAACCCAGTAACAGAAAACCAAATACTGCATGTTCTCACTTATAAGTGAGAGCTAACTGATGAGAACACATGGACACATAGAGAGGGAACAACAGGCACTGGAGCCTATTGGAGGGTGTAGAGCGGGAGGAGGGAGATGATTAGAAAAAATAACTAATGAGTCCTGGGCTTAATACCTGGTTGATGAAATAATCTGTACAACAAAAACCCACGACACAAATTTACCTATATAACAAACCTGCACATGTACCCATAAACTTACAAGTTAAAAGAAAATACAATAAAATGTATTGATTATTTGAAATTCAAGTTTAAGTGGGTCCTAAATTTTTTCTGGCAGACACAAGTGGATAATCACCACCAAGTATTTTTTTGATCCTTGTGTCACTCCCACCAGTTCATCCCTGATGGCATTGTTAAATGGTGAGTCATTTTGGCAATCCTAGTGAATATGATTATGTGATAGATCTTATGGCCAAATATAACATGTCCAGTCAGCAGGTCCACCTGAACTTTTTGGTATCATCCTTAATGTCTGTCACAGCAACTCAGAAATTTATACTTTGCTTAACTTGGATCATTACTTTTCTCAGGCTGCAAAAAGCCACCCTAGAAAAAGGTGTATCTTATCCCTGGAAGTCCTTGCCAGGCTATGAATTCCTGTTTTGAAAAAAAAAAAAAAATCTCATGAACATAATTTTTACCTAGTACTATGTTACAATCTCCTTGATCAAGCACCCTCTCACGTTGAATTTCGGGGATACCTTCTGGCTCATGGTGGAATATGTTGACTAGATTGTTAGCCTGTTTAGCATTGAAATAAAGGAATATCTGAGGCTGTGTAATTTATAAAGAAAAAAGCTTTATTTGGCTTATGGTTCTGCAGGCTGTACATGAAGCATAGTGCTGACTTCTGTCCCTTGTGAGGCCTTAGGAAGCTTACAATCATGACAGAAGATTAAAGGGAGCTAGCCAGCATGTCACATTGCACCAGATGGAGTGGGGGAGGGGAATGTGCCAGGCTTTTTTCAACAACTGGATCTCAAGTGAACTCTTTGTCATGGGGAAGGCACCATGACCCAAGCACCTCTCCCCAGGTCCCACCTCCAACACTGGGATCACATTTCAACATGAGATTTGGAGGGACAAACATCTAAACAATATCATGGATCTTTCAGTTACTTGAAATAAAACTACTTTCCACACCTAGTAAATTCAACATGTCCCCAGACGGCTTATGATGGTATAACCTTTATGTAGGGCCTATCAGTCAGGACAGTAGCTCTTGAGAAGGTCCCCTGGTTCCCTGTTACCCTGTAGAGGAAAAGGCCTATGTGTCATCCTACATGTGGAAGTGCTACTTCATGCCACACAGAAGTGGATGACCTCTTCCATTTCTCAGCAGCCTTCAGATAAAAAACTTTCACAGGCCTCCATGGAGATATCCCATCCCATGTTGGAGGGTCTCAGATTTTCCAAACTGTGCCTGACTTTAGGATGCCACACTTGCCTTGATAGCATTTAAACACCTCTGCAGCTCTATCACCAGGTCTTATCAGATCTTGGATTCTATACTCATCTGACTTATTGTTGCACTGCACCACAGGAGATAAAGGCCACTTTGAATGCACGCAAATTGAACATATGGCTCTCACCTTGATCCTTAAACGGTTTCACTGCCCTCAGTTATTTCTTATCCTACTATAGGACATTAATGTAGTTTAGACATAAACAGACAATTATACTGCCTTTGCAGGCATTATTTTCCCCACATCTTTCAAATATCTACATCATCTCATCTAACCAGATGAGGTACCCCCACTACTGGAATATTTTCTCAGGTTACACCTGATAAAATCTTTCGGAAATAAACTTGCCACCTTGCACACTATCAGTACTGATTTCCACTCAGAATGGAGTCATTTTTGCTTGGTAGGCTTTAAGGGAACTCGCCTTAAAGTGACCTCTTACCAGCTTGTTATCTCAGGACCAGGACCTAGACCAAGACCACTTGATCTAGTTCAGGTCCTGTAAGAAGAAACAGATTCCAGGACATGATTAGTCCCACTTGTTTTTTTGTTTTCTTTTGGAAAAAAACATCTTTGAAGGGTAAAAGACGAGAAAGAACAGCCTCTGATACCCTGAAGCTGGCCTGATATGGTCACCCTGTTAGGAACTGGCCAAGCATTCACGGTGCTGGGTATTGTCCTATTTAAATGTATCATTTCATAGAGCATCAATATCTGTCAAAGCCACTCTGTAGCCATGATCAGTCAAAACAAACAACCAACCAAAAATCCCTCGGTAAAGGTACACATAAAATACAAAAATTATTCAAGCCACAAAATATCAGACATCCCCTTTTTTCAGCTAACCTGTGGGACTGGGGCTTTATCACCAATTATAGGTTTATCCTTTCATTAGTCTAGCCTCCTCATAAATAAAATTTCTTAAAATACTCAGTCACAAGTTAAACTCACTTTCTGATGGCATTCAATCCAGAGCTAAGGTATGCTTTTTGAAATCCTCCCATAAATCACTTAGCAGAAGACAAAATTCTATTTTTTCTGACTTTCTGAAGCTAAAACTTTCAATGATTTCTTGTGATGCACATTTCATCTCATGGGCATGAAGAATAACCCCACTTTTTCAAGAACAAGAGGGTTTCTTGTGCTTTTTGCCTAGGTTAAAAGACAAGTACGAGGGAATAGGCATAGGCAGGTAGAACCTTCTATAAACAAAACAAAAAATATCCAATATTTGTGAGAGGAGAAAAAAAAAAGAGGCTTGGTCAGGAAGTCTTAGAATACAGCACAATTCTTAAAAAAATCTTATCCTGGAAAATGGGTAGTCCCCAAGCAAATATCTCATATTCGAGATGCCCTTCATTTGGCAAAAATGACTCAATTTTAGCCTGGAGCAGTCTGGGGGAAGCATAGTCTTGGTGTGATTGTTGGAGCAAATCCAAATGCCTGGCAGCTGATGGGCACCATTCAAATATGCTTCTCACAACAGCTTCTCTTGAAGGGATATCTGAGTAGTGCGCATCCATAGATGCTACAGAGAGAAAATAGGTAATAGTGATATAAATTACATCGACAATATCTTATCACTGATGAAAGACACCACATTTTGAGAATGTTAATACAAGTAATGGATGCAAGTACAAATTCAAAGATATGATTATTACAGCTTCACAATGGATTGGATATTGGGGTTTAAAGAACAGAAAGAATGAATAGATTTGAAGATGGGGGAGCTTGGGAAATGGTGAAATTAAACAAAATTACAATAAGAACAGTTTTGGTGGAGGATATAGTGAGATGCTTTTGATATTCTGGAGAACGTTATTGGTCAAAATTCCAGCAAAGTTTAAAAAAGTTATGTCTCTATGTTATAAGAGGTAGGATAATATTTTTAAAGGAAAAGAGAAAATAAATATTTGATATATATTTACTTTAAGATTATAGTTTAAATGATAGGAGGTCAAATCATTAAGATAACCAGTATAGAAGGAAGGAAATAATGCAAAGTCTAGGAAACAATATAGAAAAACAGCAAAAGTAAGGCTTAAGCAAGAGGGAGATATGCTAGTGAAAATCAAGTAAGTGTCCTAAAAGTTTGTGTAATAAGGGATGATGCATATCATGCATTCCAATGGAAAGTGTACAAATGAAGTGAAGGAAAATCACAGATTTTCAGGGAAATCAAAGACAAGAATAATTAGTTTACAAATTAGAGCATCACTGGTATCCACTGAAGAGGGTGGATATGGAGTTTGTGGAAGAGGATGATATTCTAGGGATAGAAAATGTTTTCCAAAATTCATTCAAGAGCCCACGTGGATCAGAAATAGAGGTTCCTGGGTACTCCTCAGAATAAGTATATCAAAATCTATCAGCATATGTTGAATGGGCCATCAAGTGAGTTATATATTCAATGTTTAAAACCACTAGTAATATCAACTTTCTAAGAAAGTTTGGTAGCAAATGATGAGATACAGAGAGGTTAAAAAATAGACAATCACATTTTAATAGGACTAATAAGACATTACAAAAAAATTGTGATGAACTCTATGGAGAGATGCTTCAGATAGACAATCTGATAAGTAATGAGCCAGTTAAGAACTCCCAGATGGCAGGAGAAGAGGGAATGAAACTTACGTATTTATAGTTACCCTTACAATAGAAGAGAGCCAACTCTTCATTGGGAGGGAGATATAGAAGGGAAAGAACAAACCTTGGTGAAAATAAACTCATGAGAGAAAAGTGAGTTGAGAGAACACATGTCAAGAAGTTTGAAAATAGTTTGAGCTCATTTCAGCCCTCTCAAATTACCAATATATCACTGCCTAAAATGATCAGTAGTCCTTAATCTTTCTAACTTTAGATACAATTTATTTTTGTTTCTTTGTTTTTCATACTGATGGGCATGTAAGTATGTTAAGGAAATTAAAATGCTGCAAACTGCACAAAGAGGTAATATTTACATGTGATCAGAGTGAAAAATTATTCCAGACTTGTGAGAAATATGTCACAAGGCCAAAAATAGCAGAAAGATTGGAGACTTAAATATCTATTTCGTGTTCACATCTCTATAATGGGGGAAGGAAGGGAGAGGAGTGTTTTGATAACCTACTCCAGCATCTATCACTTGGATATTCTAACAAGCCACAAGTCACAGAATCATCAATAAAGAGTACACTTTATTTTTAATATAGTGAACAGATTTTATTATAATCTGCTTATTTAATAGGGCAAAGAGAAATACTGATTTATTACAATATTATGTTTTTGGTAAACAGTGTGTGAGTGGGCATGTGTGTGTTTGTGTGTGTGTGTGTGTGTGTGTGTAAGTGGGGAGAGAAGGCACATGTATGTGTGCCATACTTCCAAATTCTGGTAATTGAGCTTTATATTTAAGCTGATTTTTAAAGCTTTGGAAATTGGTTTTCTCATCATGAAGTACCATTTAATTGAAATTAATTTTTAGAACTAAAGAAAATATTTTCATTGTCCTCATTTCACAAGATCTGTGTTGTCTAATAAAGATACCATTTACTTAGAATAAAAATGACTCTATAATATGTAATAGTAGATAAGGTGAGAATTGAAACAGTTACTTTAGAAATGGCATATGAGTAGGTGATAAAGAAAGGGATAAGAACTTGAATAATACTCAAGTTATGTACCTTTGGGTTTCACAAAAGCTGGACATTATTATTATTTTTTATAGAGACAGGGCCTCACGTTGTTACCTAGACTGGAGTGTAGTGGCACCATCATGGCTTACGGTAACCTCAGACTCCTAGCTTCCAGTGATCCTCCTGCCTCAGCCTCTGGAGTAGCTGGGACTATAGGTATATGCCACCACGCTCAGGTAATTTTAAAAAAAAATTTGTTTGTAGAGCTGGGGTCTCGTTATGTTGCCCAGTCTGGTCTGAAACTCCTAGACTGAAGCAATCCTCCTGCCTCAGGCTTCCAAAGCACTGGGCCTATAGGCACCAGCCACTGTGACTGGCTGAGCTAAGTATTAAATAAGATGAATAAGAATAAATCTGCTTTGTTAGATTTTAGCTTTTAATGTAAATAATTTTAATATGAATTATGAAATAAATGAATTTTCATATACTGTTATAATTAGATATTAATATTCAATGAAGATTAACTTTTATTCATGTTAAAATCTTTAGGTGATTATTTTATTAGAAAATTACATCTTATTAATAAAATGTTATTAACTTGTATTAGAAATATGTTTCAGACAAGTCAATACTGAGGTGTAAATTTAAATATATTTTACATAAATTTCACTCAATTTTTTTAGTAAATTAAATGTTCAGAAAAATAGTAAAGTTTAGATTTAGGTATTACATGGCACCGTGTCTTTCTTCGGTTTTAAATGGTCTGTAGTGATAAAATCTGTCAGGACCATCAGCCTTCCTGGATTTCCAAAATGTCATTTTAATTCTAAAAACTGAAAAACAGTAAAAAAAAAAAAAATCTGGATTCTTTTGCCAAAAAATTTCAATTTATGAACCACTGGGTACTAATAAAAATAATTTTTAAATATAGTGATATTAATGCTAAAGAAGATAATAATATACTGTTTTACAAAAGGAGAAAAACCTCATTTTATGACAGAAACAAATTTGAGACCCAGCTTTCAAACTTAAAAAAAAAAAAAGAAAATGATTAATTGATAAGGTTTGGCTGTGTCCCCACCCAAATCTCATCTTGAATTGTAACTCTCACAATTTCCACGTGTTGTGGGAGGAACCCAGTGGGGGGCGATTGAATTATGGGGGTGGGTCTTTCATGCACTGTTCCCATGATAGTGAAGGAGTCTTACAAGATCTGATGGCTTTAAAATGCAGAGTTTCCCTACATAAGCCCTCTTTTTCCCTGTCGCCGTCCACGTAAGATGTGACTTGCTCCTCCATGCCTTCCACCATGATTATGAGGCCTCTCCAGCCATGTGGAGCTGTAAGTCCACTAAACCCTTTTTTCTGCATAACTTACCCAGTCTTGGGTATGTCTTTATCGCAGTGTGAAAACAGACTAGTAGAGTAAATTGGTACTGGGAGTGGGTTATTGCTGAAAAGATACTGGAAACTGTGGAAGCAACTTTGGAACTGTGTAACAGGCAGATGTTGGAACAGTTTGGAGGGCTCAGAAGAAGACAGGACAATGTGGGAAAGTTTGGAACTTCCTAGAGACTTGTTGAATGGCTTTGCCCAAAATGCTGATAGTGATATGAACAATAAAGCCCAGACTGAGGTGGTCTCAGATGGAAATGAGGAACTTGTTGGGAAGTGGAGCAAAAGTTACTCTTGTTATATTTTAGCAAAGAGACTGGTGGCATTTTTACTTCTCCCCTAGCGATTTATGGAACTATGAACTTGAGATAGATGAATTAGGGTATCTGGTGAAAAAAAAATTCTAAGCAGCAGAGCATTCAAGATGTGACTTGGGTGCTGTTAAAGGCATTCAGTTTTATAAAGGAAAGAAACATAAAAGTTCAGAAGATGTGCAGCCTGACAATGTGAAAAAAAAAAGAATTCCATTTTCTGAGGAGAAATTCAAGCCAGTTGCAAAAACGTACATAAGTAACAAGGAGCTGAATGTTAATCCTCAAAACAATGGGGAAATGTCTCCAGGGCATGTCAGAGGTCTTTACAGCAGCACCTCCCATCACAGGCCCAGAGGCCTAGGAGAAAAACATGGTTTCATGGGCCAGGCCTAGGGTTCCTATGCTTTGTGCAGTCTAGGGTCATGGTGCCCTACTTCCCAGTTGCTCTAGCTGTGATTAAGAGGGGCCAAGGTATAGCTCAGGCCATGGCTGCAGAGGGTGCAAGTCCCAAGCCTTGGCAACTCCCACATGATATTGAGCCTCTGGGTACACAGAAGTCAAGAATTGAGGTTTAGGAACCTCCACCTAGATTTCAGAGGATGTATGGAAATACCTGGATGTCCAGGCAGATGTTTGCTGCAAGGACGGGGCTTTCAATAGAGGACCTCGGCTAAGTGAAGGAAAATGTTGGGTTGGAGCACCCACAGAGTCCCTACTGGGGCAATGCCTACTGGAGCTGTGAGAAGAGGACCACTGTCCTCCAGACCCCAGAATGGTAGATCCACCAACAGCTTGCACCATGTGCCTGTAAAAGTTGCAGACACTCAACACCAGACCATGAAAGCAGCTTGGAGGAAGGAAGTAGCCTGCAAAGCCACAGGGTCGGAGGTGCCCAAGACAGTGGGAACCCACCTCTTGATCAGTGTGACCCAGATGTGAGACATGTAGTCAAAGGAGATCATTTTAGAGCTTTAAGATTTGACTGCCCTGCTGGATTTTGGACTTGCCTGGGGCCTGTAGCCCCTTTGTTTTGGCAATATCTCCCATTTGGAACAGGTGTATTTACCCAATGCCTGAACCTCCATTGTATATAAGAAGTAAATAAGTTGCTTTTGATTTTACAGGCTAATAGGCAGAAGGGACTTGTCTTGTCTCAGATGAGATGTTGGATTGTGGACTATCGAGTTAATGCCAAAATGAGTTAATACTTTAGGGGACTGTTGAGAAGGCATGATTGGTTTTGAAATGTGACAACATGAGATTTGAGAGGGGCCAGGGGTGGAATGATATGGTTTGGCTGTGTCCCCACCCAAATCTCATCTTGAATAACTCCTGCAATTCCCACATGTCATGGAAGGAACCTGGTGGAAAGTGATGGAATTAAATGGGTAAGTCTTTCCTGTGCTGCTCTGTGATAGTGAATGAATCTCACAAGATCTGTTGGTTTTAAAAACAGAAGATTCCCTGCACAAACTCTGTTTTTGCCTGCTGCCATTAGTGTAAGACATGACTTTCCCCTCCTTGCCTTCCACCTTGATTATGAGGCCTCCCCAGCCACTTGGAACTGCAAGTCTATTAAACCCTTTTTCCTGTGTAAATTACTCAGTCTTGGGTATGTCTTTATCAGCAGTGTGAAAACAGACTAATATATTAATATTCAGTGTTTAAGACTTATCTATTATTTCGTTGTTTCTTAGACTTTTATCTTCCATTCTGGATACACTTAAGCATTAATTGCTTATTGAGAATTTATATAAAATAAGAGCTAAAAATGGTTATACACTGCATTGTGATTAAGAGATTTCTTTACCAAAATATTGTCTTTACTGCATATTTTTAACACTGGCTTTGAGAGATAATATTCCTGTAATCTTCAGGCTTTTATGAGGTAAAAATGTACAATTTTTAAAGACAGATAGTCCTGAAAAACTGAAATTGCTTCTGTATCCTCCTGCTTAGTTGGAAATTAATATTGTGGAATTACCATATATATTTCATGGGTAGCAGCATTTCTTATTTTCACATAGGCAGAGACTATTCATCACCATATTCATTGGTAAACTACAAATTTGAAAATCCTTTCTTGGATTCTATTACATTTATTGTGTACATATAAATAAGAAACCCTCATATCTAAGAAGTGGAATCTTACAAAATATTTGTGATTATAGAAACATGTAAATTGTGGTTACTATTAATAAATGTATTTTCATGACATTTTCATCTTTCAAACATGCTTTTAAAAGATAATAGAACTCCTGCTTTATCTATGGTTCCTTGTCTTTTGAAGATTTTAAAAGAGGCTTTGAATTCTTAAAGAATACTGTCTGGAAATGTTTTATACTTAGCATCTGTGGTTGTTAAAGTCATTAGGGTGGTGTTTTCTCTCTTATGGCCATATTTCTCCCTCTTTCTCTGTGGGATTCCTGGAAGTATTTCTTCTGTTGGTTTGAGTAACTTCTCTCATTCTGATGTTTGGCAGCATTTCTCAGGATGTGTGGGCAGACATTTGAGTTCTATTGGCTGCAAATTTTCCAAGATACAATTTTTTTTTAATTCAAAAAATTGAATATAAAAATTGTTTCTGCTTATATATTAACCTAATAGTTGTAAAAATTACTATATACCAGGGTATTTAAAATGAAAGCTTTAAAAGTAGAAAATATCTGTCTAGTTTCATTACAGATTTTTTTTTTTTTTTCTGAGATGGAGTCTTGCTCTGTCACCCAGGCTCTGCAGTGCAGTGGCCTGATCTTGGCTCACTGCAACTTCTGCTTCCTGGGTTCAGTGATTCTCCTCCTCAGCCTCCCAAATCGCTGGGATTACAGGTGCACACCACTATGCCCAGCTAATTTTTTTTGTATTTTTGCTAAAGATGGGGTTTCACCATGTTGGCCAGACTGATCTCGAACTCCTGACTTGGCGAGCCGCCCACCTCGGCCTCCCAAAGTTCTGGGATTACAGGCTTGTGCCACCACACTGGCCTTCATTACAGATTTATACACAAAGATTTGTTTATTAAGAGGGAAACAAAAGGAAGGAGATAAACCTTGCATCATTGAAGATGAAAAACATGTAATGCTAATGATTCAAAACATGTAAGATTGCATATACAGAATACACACTCAGACTGTAAATAATATAACTTGTTTTTTAGTTTTTAACTTGCTTTATTGGGTATAACCTATTTATGATTATAAATATAAAGGAAACGACAAATATCAACAATCTGTGCATATTATAGATAATTAATAGATTATCAAACAAAATTTTCCTTTTCATTTCTCTATGGCTTCATGTATATCAAATACAAATTTTTGTTGGAAAATAACAGAATCACTTATTTGCTTAAATTATTTTTTAATATTTGAACCTACTAGAGGGGTTCAGTCAAATGTCAAAAATTCATTTCATGGGCATTGTAAAAAAGAATATAATGGTGATTAACCCATTATAATATAATATTTCTTTCAGGAATCATGCTTTTACTATGGTTTTATGATGCTTGTTGTGTATCTTTTGGAGTACACAATGATATTACCAGGTCATTAATACTTTACCATTAAGACTAGTTAGTAGTATGACTGTTAAAATGGGAATATTTTCTATTAAACAGTTTTTCTATGTGTTGTGGTATGGCACAATGGAAACCTCATGAAATTTGGAATCACACAGAGCTAGGTTTATCAACCAGTGGAGGGAGTTCGTAGCTCTCTGAGCTTTCTGGATCTCAATGTTGTCATGTGTAAACATGAAAGCAAAAAATCCACCTTTCAAAGTTGAGATCATCATTAAGCAGAACAGTATGTATAAAAGGGACTAGCGTGATGCCTAGAACAACAGATCTCCAATTACAACTTTCTCCTGTTCTTGTACTTTAGTAAAACTATATTCCCATTTTTAGACTTTAGAAAAATATCCTATATTTACGTTAATTTATTTAAGAATGTGTTGTAGAAGATTCCTCCCACAAAGTATATAATATACTTTCCAAAAAGAACATTTACAAAACAATGGCAAAATACCATAAATGTCTGAATTAATATTAACACATATACATAAGACAGACATCAGCATGATTGATACACATAACTCCAAGATTTTTAATAAAGAAAACGTGTTTTTTTTTTCATACAACAGAATGTTATTCAGCCTTAAAAAGAAAGGAAATTTGAAAACATGCGATAACAAAGATGAATCTTGAAAACATTATGCTAGGTGAAATGGGACAGTCATGAATGAATACACTATTTGTATATATACTTTTATACTGTTGTGCTATATATATGTATATGTACCTGTTGTAGTATAAAAGTACCTGTTACCACTGAACTGTGCACTTAAACATGGTTTAAATGGTGAATCTTAAGTATTTTGCTTTTAAAGTACCTTTAAGTTTGCAAAGTACTTTAAGTACTTTAAGAATTTTATGTATATTTTACCACAGTTTTTTTAAAACAACAAAAGAACAATGTTGTCTCTAATTACGTCAGACATCATATAGCATACCATATGATACCCTTCAGCTTCAGCAAGTAATGACGGGGTCCAAGATTCAGTAATTGTTAAATGTACTACCCTGGTGATTTTGATGAAGAGAATAAATTAGGGGAAAATTGTGATAGTGGAAAATATCTTCAGTAGCATTTGTCCCAAGAGTCTAGTATAAATTAATATAGTTCTACTCTGTCACTACAAATTTAACATGTTTTAATTTACCCCAAAATGCTACAAGCTGCTTATTGAATCACTTCTCTGAGGCACTTATACCAAAAAGTGACATTCTATTTTTCATCGACCTTACCTCACCCATCCAACTTCACTTGGAATTGGGTAGCTGTAAGCTTTTCCTTGACTTTATAATACCAGGATTATTTTTGCAATATTTTTCCCATTAGCAGGCATTCTTACCTAAAAAACAGGACTCACCAACAAAAGTGAACCTTATAGCCAAGTCTGTATACCACAGCCATGGATGTTTAGATCACATGGGGAATGTAACCAGTGTGATCCAAACTGAGACAATCAGATGTTTTCTTTTTTGGAAGATAGTGGCTGAAATTTACAAATGTTAGAAAATCATAGTCTTTATACTGGAATCAGCATGATGCCCATAGGTTTATTCCTCATTGGCTTTCTAACAATGAGATCGCAAGCTTTTCCAGGTCATGTAGAACTATGCCAAGTCTCTGACTTTTATACTTCACCCAAACTTTTAAATCTATTTTTTTTTCATTAAATTAAGCACTCTTCTGTGTTTTCCCATCCTACTCAAATCAATATATAATCACCAGTTGATTTATAAAAGGACTGAAGAAAGTTTTTTTGGGAAACTTATGCCAGGGAGGTTGCTGTATTTCTTCGGAAAATATGGGAGTGCAGGCCTGAGAATAAGGAGAGGGAAAAAACATAAATCTGGCACAATGGTAAATGGTTGTCTCCTTATATAAAAAGCCTTATTCCAGGATCTCAACTCTGACATATTTTGAATAAATTTTATTAATATCACAGTAATTGATGTAAGGAAGGGCTTAGTTTCATGCAGTGGGTGATCATAACATATAGCACATTATGGCTAAGAACAAGAGAGCAAAGGATTTAAAATGTTTATGTTCCTTGGAAATTAAAGGAAATGGCTAAAGGCTTTGGATTGCACAGCTGATGGCACTGGCAAAAGGTACCGTGGCAGTGTCTAGCTATATCAAATTTGCAATTTGGTTCCTATTTAACGTCCTTTTTGGGAATATGTAAATTTGCAACACGCAACTGCATTTTCCTTTAATCAGGACTCTGAAACTCATCTAGTAGTACCGCTTCATGATGCCTAACTAACTGATGGATTCATATTACTTCAAAAAAGTGGATATTTACCTGACATGGCTCCCATGTTAATATCAGAGCAAGTTGTGGAAACTACTCCGAGTTTAGTCTTGCAACATTGGTGCAATGTACCTTTCAAAACTGGATGTTTCCTTAGAAACGAAGTGTCTCCCATGCAATGCCAACTCCTTAAAGAGATTATAGCAAAGACTTTCTCTAGGAAATTGGAAAGTAAAGAAAACAATTAGAAGAGTTTATACTCAAACTAAATTAAAAGATATATTTGTTTTATATTCAGTATTTACAAAAATAAGGAAAAAGGAACCCATATATGTGTATTTCTTATGCCAAGATAGAATTTCCTGGAGATTGTACCTCTTTGAGGGCTAGCAATCAAGAAAGCATTGATAGCACTGAGGAGGGAGTGCCTGCATCTGGAAATTATAGCCATGTAGTGCCAGGGCCTTGAAAAAATGATAGTGATGTGAATATTCAATTGAGATTAGGGCATTTTATAGCAGTATTGCAAGAGGAGGCAAAAACTAAAGATAATTACTAACAAAGGTCTTGAGTATGCAACAGGAGTCACACAGTCTCAAAACTGTCAATGTCTCAGGGTCTCAATGTCTCAGCAATTTTTGATTAAACAATTGCATTGAGTAAAATGTTAGCACATTAAAAATATCCAGCATGCATGGGTCTTGTTCCATGCCCTACCCACATATGCACAATTCTACTAGTGACCTTCAGTTGCTTACATCAGGACTTGAATGTCATATTGAGAATGGCAGGAGGCTGCCAAGTGCCTACGCAGATAGAGGCACGTCCCCAGTGAAACCCCACCTCCAAGCCAAAGACAGTTTAAAACCTGAAAGCCAAACTATAAGTGAAATCCTTGGACCAAAATAAGAACTTGTCTTCCTGTTGGTGCGTTTTCCTCTGATTGATCCCCACCCTTCACCTATTATACATATACCTGCCATTTCCTAATTATTTTTCTACCGTGTCATGCCCACCTTTGAGTGGTGATTTCAATTTAACCTTTTTTGCATACTCACAAACCAATCAGCATGCACTACCCATTCTGAGAAGGCCCTGGACCCAGCTAAACGAGGGACTTTCCCACTTTAGGGTAGGGAACTCACCACCCATGTCCCCTCTTTGCTAAGAGCTTTCCTTTTGCTTAATTAATTTTACTCCATTGACTCTCCGGTGTCCACATGCCTAATTCTTCCTGGTTGTGAGACAAGAACTTAGATCTAGCTGGGCTAAGGAGCAGAAAGACTGCAGCAATATGATAGTCTAAGTCTTGTTTTCTATTAACTCTGTAACTTTTCCTTTACTTTCTAAATCTTACCAGTTAAAAAGGATGCTATATTTCTTCAGTCTTTCCTCTTTACCTTTTGCTCTTTGCTCTGTAATCCCTCTCTTTCTCTTTACATTTCAATTCCCTTCAATCTTGTTCTATCCTTGTGCACATGTATAAGCCCTTAGCTAGCACACATATCGAAACCACATACTTATACCCACACACACATAGTCCTGCATTCTCACAATTCACATGAAAAAGAAGTTAAAGAAAGCACAAGTTTCTTTAAAACTGACTGAAAACATGAATGGGAAATCATGACATTCAGTTTCTATTCCCAAGGGTTTATTTTTTGCTATGTAATCTCCTGAACTTATTCAAATACCCGATTTTCTTTCCTCATAGGAATTATAATATTACCTTCATAATGATACCAAGTCACAGATGAATGAAAATAACTAAAAATTCTCCAAAAATATAAGGAATCATACAAGAATAAGGGTTAATAATGCCTATAGTTTAGCAGTTTGTCACAAGTCTTTGTGCATTTGATTTCCTAACTCAACACTATTATGTGATTGATTTCTTGTGTCTGTTTTATTGGAGTCATCCTCACCAGCAGAATAACAAAGAGGAAATGAAAATTATAATTATTTCTCACTGCATTTCTCTTCCAGTATGCTTAACATAGTATTGAAATATGCAACAAAACTAGGATCTGTTTGCTATTTCCAAGTTCAATTCCTTTGCTGAATCAAATGCTTTCTTTTAGACTCTCAACTTCTTTTCTCCCCCTCAGTAACAATCTCTGTTCCACTGAGATCATGATCTGTTATTTACATGCCAGGATTTTAAGCCACTGATTTATAGCTAGATGCTGCAGGAAATTCCAACTTATAACCTCTTGATCAGTAATGGAGGTATGCTGCTTCAATTGTGCTTTGCTCCTTTACTTGGTAACAGGCCAAATTAAAAAGCAAAATGGACTGGGAAAATACAAATGATTGCCTAAGATAGGTTACATAGTACTTTGGAATACAGAAACTCCAGCAGTGTGCAATCTGAAATTTACAGTAATGGATACCTCACTTTGTGAGACTTTGCTATTGTGGTTAGAATATGCTGTAACAGAGAATAGAGAAGGAGAGCTAAAAATAATCCATTTAATTGTGCTGTTATCTATGTGGCAGTTCTACTGTTTAACACTTCTGCCACTTAGATGTAGGAACCTTTTAGATATAGGGACCAATTAGATATAGGAAGCTTTTTGGATGGTACATAAATAATTCAGTTAGCCCCATTTCTTTTTAAAAGGCGTGATAAGAAATGAGTGAAGAGATATATGGAATTTTTGTGTGTGGGTGACAGGTAGATAGGAAGAGATCCAGCTCCTAAGAATTATCCTTGTTGAAGTGTAATGGACATAAGTATGCTGTTAACACATTTATTTTAGTAGTTTTTCTATCGAATAACATGTTTTAAAGAAAATGAGCCAAAGCTACTATATTATATGAAAACAATCACTAAAGTTTCTTACTCTCAAAAACCCCACAAGAATAATTTATGGAAATATATTTTTTCTTTATTATTCAGACACCTGATATATTTTTTAAAAATTAAATAATTGTGACAATTTTAAACGCAAACTGTTTTCATTATGTTAAAAACTTGGTTTTGAAAATCAGTACCAAGCTAGAATTTCGCATTGTGAGCACTTAGCCGAGGGCAGTGACATTTCAAGTGCATTTTATTTATTATATCATGGACTCAATTTCAAAGAGATTGGCTAATTTAATACTGGAATAATACCAGAACTTCAGTACCCCTCCACCCCTTGCCCAAGACATCCATCCATAGTGCTCTGCATAAGCATGCTCTGGTCTGTAGAGACTCTTCCTATACACAGATTTGAGAGACTCTGAGAAATCTCAGCAGAGCCTAGAGAACAGATGAATAACTTATTCTGAAAAGTTGTTGGTTCAGCGATCTAAATTATTATCTTACATTGGGTAGTGTAGGGTTTTGAGAAAGATCTTTGGAAAGATTTAGCAAAAACATTTTGTCAGCGTGGACAAAGTACTACAGTTCATAATGTTCAAGTGAGCTTATTTCAGATACACCAATGCAAAATGAACAGGGAAAAACAGTGGTCAATGTATAATGGTCAATGGTCTGGGCTCCAGTTGAAGGAGAGACAATTAAAAGCAAAAATAAAAAGAAGATGGCTGAAGACAGTTTAAAAAGTACCATAATATGATGGCAACAAGGATACTATATTAAGAATCAAGAGATGGGGATTTGAATAATTAAACCATAATTTATTTTCTGTGACAAAAAAAAAAAAAAATTGGCTGGGCGCGTTGGCTTATGCCTGTAATCCCAGCACTTTGGGAGGCCGAAGCAGACGGTTCACTTGAGGTCAGGAGCTCAAGACCAGACTGGCCAACATGGTGAAACCCTGTCTCTACTAAAAATACAAAAAATAGCCAGGCATGATGGCAGGCACCTGTAATCCCAGCTACTTGGGAAGCTGAGATGGGAGAATCGCTTCAACCTGAGAGACGGAGGTTGCAGTGAGCCGAGATCGCGCCCCTACACTCCATCCTGGGCAACAGAGCCAGACTCCATCTCAAAAAGAAAGAAAGAAAGAAAGAAAATGAATTATTCCCTTCTTTAGTTCTTGTTGTCTTCAACTATGGCCTAAGCAATTTGGAACAAGTTCACTATGAAAGTCCACCCAGAAGTTTAATTATTTATTTCTCTGTAATATCCGTTTTTATTTTTTCTTTATGAATGCTAAATTTTAAATCCCTTAACTTTATAGCCCATTAATAATTTTATATTTATAAAATAAACTATTAAAAAGTTTTAAGAAGCTTGACTTTATCAATTATCATCTAATTTCTATTTTTAAATCTTATGAATTTTATTTTATGAACTGAGATGAATTCCATAACATTGAAGGGTAATAAGAAACATAAAAGTCAACACTATACTATTTTTTAATGAAATCAAAAGTATATAATTAAAATAAGTTTTTCTTCTGCCCTTCTGAAAGATATAAAATGTTCAGGAGAACAAAATGTCCTGCAGTCATAGGACACTTGAGACTTTTAACACCCAGCAGCTGGGCCTTTCAAGCCTACAGTCATTTTTGGCTGTACTTTTGGGCATCATCCATAATGTTTTCCAGTTTCTTTTTTTTTTTTTTTTTTTATTATGCTTTAAGTTTTAGGGTACATGTGCACATTGTGCGGTTAGTTACATATGTATACATGTGCCATGCTGGTGCGCTGCACCCACTAACTCATCATCTAGCATTAGGTATATCTCCCGATGCTATCCCTCCCCCTTCCCCCCACCCCACAACAGTCCCCAGAGTGTGATATTCCCCTTCCTGTGTCCATGTGATCTCATTGTTCAATTCCCACCTATGAGTGAGAATATGCAGTGTTTGGTTTTTTGTTCTTGCGATAGTTTACTGAGAATGATGATTTCCAATTTCATCCATGTCCCTACAAAGGCCATGAACTCATCATTTTTTATGGCTGCATAGTATTCCATGGTGTATATGTGCCACATTTTCTTAATCCAGTCTATCATTGTTGGACATTTGGGTTGGTTCCAAGTCTTTGCTATTGTGAATAATGCTGCAATAAGCATACGTGTGCATGTGTCTTTATAGCAGCATGATTTATAGTCCTTTGGGTATATACGCAGTAATGGGATGGCTGGGTCAAATGGTATTTCCAGTGCTAGATCCCTGAGGAATCGCCACACTGACTTCCACAATGGTTGAACTAGTTTACAGTCCCACCAACAGTGTAAAAGTGTTCCTATTTCTCCACATCCTCCCCAGCACCTGTTGTTTCCTGACTTTTTAATGATTGCCATTCTAACTGGTGTGAGATGGTATCTCATTGTGGTTTTGATTTGCATTTCTCTGATGGCCAGTGATGATGAGCATTTTTTCATGTGTTTTTTGGCTGCATAAATGTCTTCTTTTGAGAAGTGTCTGTTCATGTCCTTCGCCCACTTTTTGATGGGGTTGTTTGTTTTTTTCTTGTAAATTTGTTTGAGTTCATTGTAGATTCTGGATATTAGCCCTTTGTCAGATGAGTAGGTTGCGAAAATTTTCTCCCATTTTGTAGGTTGCCTGTTCACTCTGATGGTAGTTTTTATTTGCTGTGCAGAAGCTCTTTAGTTTAATTAGATCCCATTTGTCAATTTTGTCTTTTGTTGCCATGGCTTTTGGTGTTTTAGACATGAAGTCCTTGCCCATGCCTATGTCCTGAATGGTAATGCCAATATATATTTACATAAAGTTTGATGGAAAACAATCCTCCTAAAAGTCAAAAAGTGATCTATAAACATAATATCCCAAGGTATATTTTTATCTTCCATGTACACTGACTGGTTACTTAGTAGCAAGTCTGTCAATCTGCTGTTCCAAATGGTTTCTGTCTTTGCCAAAGTGGATTAAAGTACCAGACCAAAGATTGCGTTCTCTTCTTGCTGTGTTGGAAGTGGGCCCACAAGTCTAAATGTAATAAAATGAGAATATATACCTCATCATCCAAAACCAGGGAAAGTATTACATTGCAGATGGCAGAGGTTTAAGGACTTATTAAATTGATGTACAAATTAATTTAAAAAGAAATAGATGAATAGCTTTGGTAGACACCCCCTGCCAATTTGGCACTCTCTATGAAGAGTTATATTAATTTTGTGGCGAGTGGTGAATATGATAATGAAAGGAAGTCACAGGCAAGGGAATAGTACATAGTTACTGAAGGGAAAAGACGTGGCAAATATGGATTTGTTGCTGAATTTAAAAGCCTGGATATTTTCATAACTACATTATTTAATAAAAAGTAAAAGAACATAAGCTAATATTTATCAAATAGTTTATATGAAGTGATATTGATTATAGTGTTTTGCTTTCATATAAAATATGTATAATATATAGAATCAATAATTTCATGGTATCTTCTATGTGTTTTGCTACCTCATTAATTAAATATTGATAGGTCAGATTTCAGTTCCATCAGGTAAAGAGCTTGGAAGTTTGCACATCTGTTCTTATAATAAGAAAAAGCTCAAGAAACTGAAACGCCATGACTTTTCTTCAACCTATTAGATAAATAAGATTACAGAGCAAACTGCCAACCCAAAATGTTGAAAGGTAAATCCAGAGAGTTACATCTGAGACAAACTAACTACCTGGAGTAATGTATGCGTGCTCATATACTATAGCCATACTGAAATGGTCATTTTAATGGACCAACTGCTGGAGGCTGAGTGTGAATTAGAATGAGATTGAGAAACACTTGGAGGTCATAGCTGTAGGAGAGCTTCCACACCTTCCCAGGCCTACCTCCAGGAGGTCCACTGCAGTCTCATGGTGAAGGACTGAGAAAGGTGCCCTTATGGTTCTGGCAGTAGAAAGGGGAGATTAATCCTTGCAAAATAAGTCCAGAATCATGTTTATAAAAAGAATTACTCTGTAAGAGAAAAGACTTTGCCAAAGCCTTAGTTAGGGGACAGGCATTTTTATCCAATCTAACCTCTTCTAGCCTTCCTGTTGCAACCTAAAATTGGGGAAACAAGATAACCAACAAGAGTTAGAGTTCAAGAAAAGAGATTCAGAATACTGTAGTCATGGAAGCAAGTAGGGGACAGAGACAGTGGGGGTGAGGGAGAAACACTGTACAACTGGAGAAACACTTTTGAGGGCCACAGCCCAAAGAGACAAGCTCACTAAAAACTAAAATTCAGGTGTACAATTATTGAATACTCTCTCTTTCCCCTGTACCTTACTACTACACCAATGAGGCTCTAGTATAAGAACAGTGGCTTACAGCTAAACAGTCTGAAAAAGGCAGACTCTCTCTATGAGAAATACTTAGAGAAGCCCAAAGTCAAGAGTTGTGACAAGAACAATGACACTGGAGGAATTTGATGCATCTGGCACCTATAGCTACAGCAAACATTAAACAGAACCCAAATTCTACTCAAATTAACATAAATCAACACTAAAAGCACATTTACCTCAGTTTCTATTATCAATACAACATGTCTTGCTTTCAAAAAAAAATTAACATACATGCCATAAGGCAAGAAAAAACAGTCTGAAAAGTCAAAATAAACACCAGCACCAGACTCTAAAATAGGAGATGTTGAATTATGGAGCAGAAACTAAAATAATTATTATTATTAATACATTAAGAATTCTAGTGGAAAAAAACATACAACATTCAAGGACAAATCTGTAATATAAAAACAGACGAAATCTCTAAGAAAGAATAAAAAGGAAATGATAGAAATCAAAATATTTCTAACAGAAATGAGGATTATCTTTGATGGGCTTATGAGTAGATTGAAAATGGCTAAGAAAAGAATCAGCGAGCTTGAAGATAAGTTAATAGAAACTTTCAACACTGAAAAGCAGAGAGAGAGAGAAACAGAAAAGGCATTATATCTGCAAAGCAACAATAAAGATTATAGCAGGTTCTTATTAGAAACCATTCAAGCAATAAGAGAAAAGAGAAATATTTAAAATGTTGAATGAAAATAATCATCAATCTAGAATTCTATATTCAGTGAAATAATTCTTCTAAAGTGAAGGAAGAACAAAGTTTTTTTCGGATAAACAGAAACCTGAGGAAATTTACTAACAGCAAAATGTAGCTGTATGAAATATATGAAGAAGTATGTCAGGCAGGAGAAAAATGTTATAGGTTAGATACTTGGATCTGTGTAAAAAATCAGAGTCAGTGAAGGAATAAATCAAGGTAAAGAAAGATACTTTATTGTTTGTAATTGATCTAAAAGATAGCTATTTAAAGTCATAATTATAAATATGTGTTGAATGATTACAGTGTATATCCATGAGAAATGTATAACAGCATTGTCAGAATACATGGGCAGGAGAAATGGGGATATCTTATTATTAGGTACCCACACCATCTATAAAGTGATATAGTGTTATCTGAAGATGGACTTAGAGTGCTTAAAATGTATATTGTGAATTTTAGGTCATTCAATAAAAAATATTTTTAAAAGTATACTTGACATGCAAATAAAGGACATAAAATGGAATCATTTAAGATACTCATTTTGCAACAAAATAGGCAGAAACAATTACAAACAAAGTAGATATAATATATTAATGATTACTATATATGTGAATAGTATAAACATTCAAATTAAAAGATATATTGTCAGATTAAATATAAAAGAAGAACCAAATATACGTGGTATATGAAGGAATCATTTTAAATGAAAAGACTTATATGGGTTAAAAATTAAGAAATAGTAAAATATATGCCATGCTAACATTAATCAAAAGAAAACTGTAGAAGAAATATTAATTTTAGACAAAGCATTTTTCTGAACATGTAATATTTGGGATAAAGATGAATATTACATGGTGAAAAACAGATAATTTCTCCAAGGAGACATAACAATCTTAAACATGTATGCACTTAATACCAGGGCTTCAAAGAAAAAAAAAAGGAAAGAGACAGAAGCAAAAATAGAAAGAAGCAGAAACATTCACTATTATAATTAGAGACTTCAACACAGCTCTCAGTAGTTGATAAATCTAGCAGGCAAAAAATGAGAAAAGATATATTTGATCTGAATATCACTGTCAATCC
Organism: Homo sapiens; assembly: GCF_000001405.40. NCBI lineage: Eukaryota > Metazoa > Chordata > Mammalia > Primates > Hominidae > Homo > Homo sapiens. Next base: position 113,783,962 of record NC_000008.11, read on the forward strand.
ATGTGGTCTTATTGACATTCATAGAATTTCCAACCAAAAACCACACAACACACATTGTTCTCAAGTTCACATGGAACAGTCCCCAACACAGACCATGTTTGAGTTGTAAAACGTAGCTCAACTAACATAAAACAATTAAAAACATACAAAGTATATATTTCCATCAGAAAGAAGACTAGAAAGCAATTAGGTGAAGATAGCTAAAAAATTATTATTAAATATTTATAAATTAATATTTATATTAATATTAAATATTAAATATTTATAAATTAAAACAATTCTGAATAATTCATGGTACAAATAATCAAGAGAATTAAAAATGCTTTGGACAAAATGGAGATATAATGTATCAAAGTTTGTGCGACACAGTGAAAACATTGCTTAGGAAGAAACTTAAAGAATTAAGTTTACATATTAGAATAGAATAAAAATCCAAAGTCAGTAATCCAAACTCTCACTTCAAAAACCAGAGAAAGGAGAGCAATTCAAGCTTAAAGCAAGCAGAAGAAAATAATAAAAATTATGATAGAGCAAAATTCACTGAAGTTGAAAAGAAGAAAATGATAGAGAATATCAATAGAACAAAAAGCCTGACCTTTGAAAAACCAATAAAATTGATGTCTCTGCTGAGAATATTCAAGAAAAAAGGCAATCGACACAAGATACCATATTAAAAATGAAAATAGGTCATTACCACTTACCCCATGGATATTAAAAGGATAATAAAGGAGTATTATGACACAATTTATGCATCCCCCCCACCCCAAATTGCTAAATTAGAGGATATGGAAAAATTTCTTAAAAGATACTATCAAAGCTCACAGAAGAATGAATAGCTAAACCAAAAGATTTAAAACAACACAATTTACAATCGCAACAAAAGGGCAAAAGCCTGACAAGCTGATCTCAAGGAAGTAGAGAGTAGAATGATAGTTATTAATACTAGAAGCTGGGAAAGGTATGTGTGTATGTGTGGGGATTGGGGATGACAACAGGTAGATTAATGGGTGGAAATATACAGTTAGATAGAAGAAATAAGGTCTAGTGTTTTATAGCATAGAAAAGTGACTAGAGTTAACAACAATATATCGTATATTTCAAAATGGCTAGAAGAGAAGCTTTGAATGTTTCCAACACAAAGAAATGCTTAATGTTTGAGGTGAGGAATATCCTAAATATCATGACTTGATCGTTACATATTCTAAGCATGTATCAAAATATCACATGCACTTCATAAATATGTACAAATGTTATATATCAATAAAAATAATTTGAGACAGCCTGACTGAAGGATAAATGATCTATTAAAGAAATTGAATCAATCTGTTAAATTTCTATTGCTGCTTTAACAAATTACCTTACACTTAGTCTCTTGAAGCAACAATTATCTTATGGTTCTATATGTTGGAAGTCCAAATTGGTCTTATTTGGCAAAATCAAAGTGTCATCAGTGCTGTATTTCTTTCTGGAGGGTATAAATAATTATTTGAATTTTTTTTGTCTTGTTCAGTTTCTAGGCCGCTCACATTCCTCATCTCATAGCCCCTTTACTTAGTGTTCAAAGGCAGAACTTACGGATTGACTTATTTTCACAACATATCGCCCTGATTTCTAATTCTACTTTTTTCTTCTATTTTCATAAATAAATAAATATATAATTCAAGACACTCTCCCCAGTATAACTCTGCTAATTTGCAATTTGAATTTCATCTGAAAGTTAATTACCCTTTGTGATATAATATTAACATATTCACAGGTTCTCAGGATTAGAGTGTGGCCATTTTTGGGGAAGCCAATGTTCCGCCTACACAGTAAAAAAATGACTTTCAAAATAAAGAACTAGGGCATGATTTACCTGGTGAACTTTACTGAACATTTAAGGAGACAATGACCCCAACTCTCCACATGCCCTTCCAGAAAATAGAATCAGTGACAACATTTCCTAAATGTTTGTCCCTTTTATGAAGAGACATTTTTGGTCACTTATATCTGTATTGCATTACCAATCAAAACAGGAAATTCTATTTATCATCATATTTTGACAAAGTATTCATTTTGAAAGGTTTCAAATTTTTGTCTTTCCAGGGCTTAATAAAGAAACTGACATGTTTTGGTTAAACCTGAGAACACAATGTATGGTGCCGTATTTAGTGCTTCAGTACATTTCTTTTAGAGCTATCAAGAAGAAATATGAAAACACAAAAATTTTAAGCCTGCATATGTTCTGAATAACCTGATTATATTTTGAGGAATTGGTCAAACTCAGTGTAATAGAAGTATCTAATTCAAAATCAAATGGATAACTTTGAGTTTAAAAAATTTTCATCAATGAGATTTTGGTAGTTATTTGATGTTGGTTGATTTAGTAGGGGATTTAAGCGTTTGGTAGGACAATATTTGTTAAATATTTGAGAGTGATACAGTTTTCTGTTTTAAAATGTTGTGAACTTTTGTTTTACTCTGCTTTATTTTGGCCAACAGAAAGTGAGTGCTTGCATTAAAATTGCATTTAAAAATGCATTTGTAGCAATTGTACTATTCTGAATTCTCATTCTCCTTTGTATTGTTTTTTGATAACCTGAAATTTTATTATTTCAGAATACTTAGAAAGGGTTTTTGTGCCTCAGCTTCCCATATTTTGTGTAGTTGGAACCAAAAAGCCACTGGTCATGTGTTCACGCATGACAGATACCCATACCAACTGTCCCTAATGAACAAATAATTTACTACCAAAAGAAAAATCTATATTTTAAAAATTAAAAAAAAAAGAATTGAGTTTTCATAGACATTTAAAATGCCAGTAGAACACAAGAGATATTTCTCTCTACTGTTGTGGGACATCAAAAGCAGGCATATAGTTAAAAACAGAGCAACCACAAAGGTTATTAAGAAATGGAAGAGCAACTCTTGTGCTTACATAGACTGAGTGGCAATCCTACTTCTTAAAGTTACCCATTCTCAACACAAAAAATATTGAGTTTATGGCTACCCTCAATTAATACCTTCAAAGAAACTGCTTGCATTTTCCCTGGCGTGGTGGATTTTCTACCCAAGAATTGTTCTCAGCTCTAGAGCATCCGTAAATTAGGAAGCTTTCTGGGAATGGATTTCTATGACCTCTGTCTTCACGGCTTTCATGCTCTTTTGTCGTTGTTATTTCTCCTTAAATTCCACATACCCCTGCCATATTTGCACCTGTTTTACTCTGGTTTCATGTTTTACCAAGCATTTTAACTGCATTTCTTCATTTCCAAGAACCCCTAAAGCAAATTGTAAGTCAAGGGATAAAATTAGCCTACCATGAGTGCCTTTTTATTAATTGTTTACATAAAACAGACGAAAACAATTTGTTATGGGAGTTGATCTAAACATAGATTTTGATATAACACATGCTAATATTTTAAAGACAATTTTAAGGTAAGTTATGAAGGAGATTTTAAGGTGAACTCCTTTGTGTAATAATTCTGGATTCTCACGAATGGGTATTCACTTTATATCCCAGACTTCTTCTTTCAGACTTACATGACTGTGGCCAACTTCTTACTTAATATGTAGACCTGGATGCCACTCAGGCATTTTAAACATAATAGTTCCATGCCAGAGACAATGCTATGTATCACTTTATTGTTTTTTTTTTTCTTTCTTGGCAGATATAAATACTACATTTTCTATTTTTTCATGCAGTTAGGTTTAGGGCTATGAAACTAAGTTCTGACCAATGGAATATGGATGAAAACAAGTGTTTTCTAGGCCAGATTCTTGAAACATCCCATCAGATCCACTGGCCCTTGAACAGAAAACTTGAAAGCTCTGTGTACCCAAAGGCATAGATACAAAATGGTCAATAAGCCAGTGTTAGGAAGACAGCTATCCAATCAGCATTGGTCTGTGAAATGAGTAAGAAATAAACTTTTCTTGTATTAAACCAATGAGATTATGGTGTTAATTTATTACGGCATCAGAGTCTTCCTTTAACTTGTGGAATGATTCCACCTTCCACCCAATTAACCCTGTTTCTACTTCTTAAACTTGTCAAGCTCTTCTCATGCATTGGGAAATTTTAATATTTAAGTTTTTTCCCCCATAATGCCAATGTATATGCCATTTTCATTGGCCAGGTCCTTTTTACTGTTATTTCCTCTACACTATTCAGTACATATTTATAATTTTATTTTGTATATTAAAATGGTTTATCTTATCTCTTTTATTAGACATAGCTCAATAAAAGAAAAAAAAAACAAGTTTGTCTTTCCGATTGCAATAACTCCAGAAATTAAAGTAAGTGCCTGTTATTATAGGTTTAATATAGATATGAGTTCAATGAATGAGTTATTAAGTGAATAAAAAACCTTTTATCCCTTTCCATGATGAATATGGTTTAATATGTTAGCACTTTCACTTTCGGCTTAACAAAAATAATGTCCCTGTAAAGGCAGAGAAGATAGCACCCACTAAATGTGACTGCCATTAACCGTAGGGTTACTGACTCACAACCAAGGTATTTCGTGAACAGAAGTGACATCAAATTCAGACTTCTGACACTGTGAGGCATAAGTAAATGGACAAGAAATATTCCACTTTTATTTTCCTTGCTATGGGAATTCAACTGATGCTTGCAATGTGGTTAATGCCATGAAGAGGAAGTCAGATTTGCTCTCCCTCAGTTATCACCACTTCAGAATCTAAGTAACTGTGGCAACGTTTATTCACCCTCAAAGCTTTTAAGATGATTGAGATTACAGTTGAAAAGAAAACCCAAATGTTTTTCTAGAAATTACAGTTACCTAAAGGAAAAACAAAAATATCTATTCATTAGAGACTGTTTTTAGTGAAATGCAATAAATTCTATATTCACCATAGTTGAAATTTCAGTTAATATTGCTGAATAATTTTCAACAAGCTTTTACTCAAAACCAGCACTCTAGAAGTTACATAGCAACCAGTGATTGATTGTCAGAAGTCAGGACTGCAATATTAGAGCTAACATGAGTACATAGAGGTTGCCGAAGAAAACGTGGTTTCAATAGTTAGCAAATAAATCACTGTGTTTAGACAACAAGGAGAATATATAAAGTTTTCTTATAGCTTGGACATGCTACATATTTCAATAACAGCTGTAATCAAACAAAATCATAATTTGACCATTCAAAATTTAACATTTTACTTTGTTTCCTGGACATGCAGTATGTGCATGGCTTTTCAATACATACATTTAGGGAGTTAAAATAATAGGTTTTCAACAAGAATCAACTGATCAGTGTGTTGTGTACTCTATTTTACTTCTTACACTGGAAAGTGTGGTCAAAGTGTCCAGTGATAAGCAATCATTTAAAAGCACAGTTTGTGAATTCTTAGCAAAAGCGAAGATACATTGCCATAGATTGGCTCTTCTGGTCTACTCACTTTGTGGAATCAGGTGTGATTATCACAGAAAAATGGATGCAATTTGCATATAATCAATAATTGATTGGTAAAGTGTTCATTTTCAATTGATTATTTTTTGTTTTCTGAGCAAAAGTATGTAGTGAGGAGGGAGTAATATTTTAAAGCAAATCTAATGTAACTTTGCCAAAGTAAAAAGAATCACATAATCTTACTTCTGAAATTTATACAATGTCAAATCAAATAAAAAATGTCCAACATCACTGAACTATGAATAGGAGATTAATGTGCAGTTTCACAGTACCTATTACTGATGTGTATCTACTGTGGAGTTAGTGTCTTTTTAATAAAAAGCTCATATATGCAAATCTTGAATGATCTGTGCACTTTCAAAGTTCTCAGATCTTCCACTAGTTGTTTCACATATAGAAACACACAACACACACACACACGCACACACACAATTTCTTAAGTTATGGTTAGGAACACCTATTATTTTGTGTAGCAAGATTGATGATTTCCCTCATTTACACATTTGGGGAATCAGATACCTTATTTTTCTTATGAGATTTGTGTTGGAAGTCTCAGTATTCCAGCTCTTAAAAGTTAAAAACTATGAAAAACATAAGGATGCCTTTCATCTAGTATAGATTTTTAAAAACTTAAGGTAAATAAAGGCCTTTTTACAAAAGCTAGACACACAGCTCAAAGGGCCTTTATATTAGCATTTGAACTCTGCTGAGGAAAAAATTGCAAACTATCAGAAAGATAGACCTGCACCTCAGTATACTTTATTATACTATATTTTAGAATCAAATTTTCCCTAGGAAGTACATGATAGCGTAAATCAAACTATGTTCAATACTAGGAAAGTTACAAGGTCACTGTTACAGGATCCTTGGGGTGTTGCTTTTCCAGCCAGATATCTCAGTGGTTGGTGGCACCTTTGCCTGAGTTTTGCTAAGGGCCACTGGGTTAGTTCTGCCCACTCGGCCTGGCAGGCTGCGGTTCACTCGCACTACCAGCCGGATCCCACACGTGCCAAGGGTGAGCCATGCACGAAGTAGTGAGGGATATGTAAACAAGTGAGCATGGGGTCCGGCCACTGCTCACAACAAAGCGCCGTAGTGGGATAGGCAGCTCCACGTGCCAGCATGAGTGCCAGGTCCCTGTGAGGCTGAGGCTGGACCAGGCATACCACAAGCAGCTTCCACAGCTGGGACCAGGGACCAGGAACACGGTGGTGCCCAGAAGCTTAGAGATGCCGGGAACCACAGAGCCCCAAAGAGGGTGTCACAGTCCTAGTTTGGAGATTCCTAGGTCTGGGCTCCCTGAAGGGCCTCAGCTCTTCTCGCCTCTCTTCTCTCCTTCTCATTGCCTGCAATATGGGGAGCAAGGGGTGTGTTTCAGCCCTGTTTTTGTTACAGTTCTCTCAACTCAGCCATTTGGCAGGTCCTGAGTTCTTGTCCTGAATCCAGGAAGACTTAGGTACTTGGACAAGTGGAGGGTGAGCAAGGTAAAGAGATGTTTTATTGCAAAAGAACAGCTCTGAGGAGACCCACAGTTGGTAGCTCCTTTCTGCAGGAAGGTTGTCCCAACGAGTATCCAGCTGTCGTCAGAGAAGAGTCCCACAGTGGGTAGCTCCTCTCAGCAGGCAGATCCTCCCCTTGTCTGCCTAAGTCTGTCTGAATGTAGGTTTTTTATGGGCTTCAAAGCGAGGGAGTGCGTGCTGATTGGTCCATGGGTGGCCATGGTGGACCGGGAAAAAGTACCGTAAGTTCTCACTTTAGTCCACCAAACTGACAGCCCAGTCCCCAGGCCTCAAGCCTTCCCTGGCCTGAAGGTGGGGTTTCACCAGGGGCTGGGCCACAACTTTGCTCTGAAATTGGAGCAGCACTAGGAGTGGAGAGAGGCCAAGGCAGCAGGAGCAGGAACTTTTGAGCCTGTGGGGCAGGGGTCTTCCCAGGCCCCCAAGAGTGCAGGGGTCTTCCCAGGCCCCCAAGAGTGCAGAGATGCCTGGGTCCGTAGCTGCAGCCCAGAGGCGCAACTGCACTTGGGAGGGAGGGCAGGGCTCCTGCCCCTCCAACTTGGAAGTGGTTGGGGCTTCTGCCTATTTCTGGCTCCTGTCAGCTCCATGAAAGCACAACCCGGGCTGCGTCTCCCCCACTGCAGCCAGCATCACGGCAGCAGCAGCTCCAGATGGGCCACGGCTGCCAACATCACTATCCATGGGAACAGGAAGAGCCTCTGAGTGTCAGTAACCAGAAATCTAGTTTGAAATCCTGCATCTTGTCACTAATTTGGGAATACTCAGATTCTTTTTAGAAGATACACTGTCACACCAAACTGTTAGATATACTGAGGTCAAACTACTGTAATCTGTCTAACTGGTCACTAGTATATCAAAAACCATCATCTTTCCAGCTGTGTTTTTAATTGAGGATAGTTTTCCGTAAATTACTAACATTCAGAACTACCCAAAATGAGATATTTGCAAATATTAATTTAAAATATTTTAAACCATGATAGAGGCTATACAGATCTATTGTGTTTTGGCCACAGAAACATTAGTAGTCTCTGCTATTAGTCTCCTTTTATGTAATATATAGCATTTAGCGTGTGAATTAATGAATGATTTAAATTCATTCTCCTTGCCATAGCTCCCAATTGACTCTGTTTCATTTTATTTTAAATTTTATATAAAGGTGCATAACTGGCATGATGGAAAATGCGTTATAAAACCATAATGGCAACCATGGGGTTTTGTAGCTAAAAGGAACCTTTGCAATCAACTGTACATGTTATGTTTCTCCCACTAGCAAATATTCAGTCTTGGTTCTATGGCAAACATTTCAAAATACATAATGAGTGTAATAAAATGTAAAACTGGTGTTCTCTCTTGAATTATTATAAATAAGGCACACTTTAAGTATTAGAAATACCTGCTCCATGAGCAGCCAAGAATATTAAAAGGCAGAGTAATGGACTATGATAACTGATGCAAGTATATAAATTGCATACTGTTCTTTAAGTCAGAAACATATTCAGATAAGAGAAAACTGTAAGAATTTCAGTAGAATGCAGAATTATTTGATTGAAAGGAAGCAAATGATAACCTGTTTCTGTGTAAGGTTTTTTTTGAAAATGTTTACTCTACTCATTACTTACAGGGGCAAAGTAAATTCCCCTACTTACTGATTCTGTGTTTGCCTATGTGACTTGTTCTGGAAGACAGGACACAAGCTGAGTGGTGTTGCTCCCTCACATCTATGCCACAACCATGAGAAAATCATGTGCAGCTTAACCACTGGTCCCAGGAGTGAGATACAATTCACTGGGAGAGTGCTAATTATTCCCATCTTTGCCCAGGCTGGATAAGTTCTGAGAATAAGTGACAGTGGGTTTCAACACACTGACTTATATGCTTTTTTAAGCCTTTTTATGGCAATTGCTAACTGATTACCCTGAACTCAAGACATATTCTACAGTTTTACAATATCTTGATACATTGCATTGGATTTCTGCAACCTGAGGTTCTCATGCCCTTTTCACAGTCTATCTTTCATTGCTCTTTTCAAATGCCACATTTCTCTGAAAGCACTCTCTTATCAGAAATTATTTGCCATCTTGTGTCTGCTTCCCTGGACACAGCTTTTGTATTCATTTGCAAACACTATTATATTATACTTTGTGTTATAACTTTATGTGTATTCTTCACATTTCTGCTACTGGAGTATACCTGTGAAATATGGCTTGTGTCATATTTATCTCGCAATTCCCTGATTTTAGAACCTAGATATTGGTTATTATGTGTATTTAATAATGGTTTTAGAAAATCCTCTTTTTTTTTCATTTAGGTAAGAGCATCTGTGAATTGAGTGAGTAAATTAATATATTTTGGAGTCCTAAACATATATACAAATCTATTATTGTTTTATTGGGAGATATCATATGAAAGTATATCAATTATTATAAGAAAAAAATAAGCATGTCTTATACATTTTGTAAGTCAGTTCTGGAATCATCAGCTTGCAGATTTGAAAGCTGGCTTAGTTGTTTCTGACTTCCCACAACCATCAATTATTTTCTTTCCCTTAATATGGTTAGAAAAACTCTAGTTTCATTCCACTGATATTAAAGAGATATCTTCTTCAATTTTTTTACAATATAATAGAAGGACACTTACTTGATGCACAGATGTTCTTACCTAAATGAAAAACAACTGAGGATTTTTAAGCTGGAATATTAAAATATCTTTAAATATTTATCCTGCCAAAACCCAGAATCCACAAGGAGCCTTGGTACATTGTTGGAGAATAACATTTAGAAACCAAGGTATGGGCTGGGCTATGAATGCTCACATTACCACTGGGTGGCCTTGCATCTGGGTGTTCTCAATATAGAGAGGGAATAGATGTATGTTTATTAATCCACACAAAAAATGTTTGTAGTTTTGCATCTAACTGCAAAAGTACATGTGTGTACATATACACACATATGTGTATATATAATGTGTATGTATATATAATTTTTATATATCACACCATATATTTATAATATTAATAACTGAATTCCAATACAATACCACAGAGTTCACTTTAGCCTTTTCCCCTTTTCTTACTTGTAAATTATTCAACATTGAGAAACCTAGTTCTTATTAGCTGTAATACATTATTTGTTTGGTTTGTTCTAGTATACATATAAGGCACTCTCAGAATTGCTAACCTATATCCCTGTGGCGAGCGTATTTATTGTATTTATATATAGAATTTTTTGTTTTTATCCCTACAGTATCCAGTCAAGATATTATTTCCAAAGTTACTTAGAATAGTTCTGTTCTTCCCCCAATTTGTGTGTTAATAGAGTATGTTTGTTAGTGTTTGTTTTCTATTTTTTTGTTTTCCTTATATTATAATTGATTTTAATTTATTTTTTAGTTTTTCTTTGGGGTATATGAAGGGTATGTGAAATATTACTGTGGTTCTAGCAGTCCAGCTATGTAAACAATATACTCAAAGAAACATCACTTCCTCCTAAACTCTGCTATCTCATTAACGATACCTGCTGTGTTCACTCATTTTCTTCCTACTCACCACGGAGAATAAACTAAACCCTTTAATGTCCAGTTTATCCTTTTTTTAGTGCTAAAAAATAAAGACATGCACTCAATAAAATTCAAGTTCATTGAAAAACACAGGAGCCAACCTGAAGTAGCCTAACAATTTGAGCAAAAATAAATAAATATCATAGTACTTGATTATAACCCATAAAACAAAAAACACATGTGTGTTTGTGTGTGTGTGTGTGTGTGTGTGTATGTGTGTGTACTACAAAGGGAAAGACAGTAACTTTGCAGTGGAGAAACTGAGCAGGCCAACAACACCAGTAACAAGACATAACATCTTGAGAACTGTGACATGATACCTTGAGAACTCAACACTGGCTCTGTGACATTCTTGACAAAAATACAGAGCAGCTTTCAGTCATGCAGAAGCATCAGACCTATCCAAATTGACTTACATTAGACAAAACACATGATCGACATATTTTGAAAGTATCAAGATTGTGAAAGACTAGGAAAGCCTGAGGAACTATTTCCAGATTACAGGAGACTAAGGAGAAGTAACTAGTTGCAATGCAGAATCCTGAACTTGATCCTGGACCAAAAAGAGACAAATAGTGGGAGAAAATGGTAAGATTTGAGCAAAATCTCTAGTTATATAGTATGCTACTAATGTTAATGGGCTTTGGTTCTGACTGCCATGCTAAGGTTATATAAAATGGTAATAAAGAAAGCTGGGAAAGAAATCCATGAAAACTCTCTGTAGAATTCTGCAACTATTCTCCATGTCTAACTTTAGTTAAAGAAAGAAAAACTTTAAAAAGATCTCTAAGTTTCCTTGGATTTGAATATTTTGTTAAAAATTATCGAAAGTGTGCTTAGCTTAAAATATCTTTCATGCCAAAATTTGGAGTAGATTCCTGCTCTCTTGATTCCAAGTTCAATAATCTTTCCAATACTCTATGTCCTTCCAAATCTTTTAGTGATATTTTTACTCAAAGCACAATTGAGTTGGTAATGCATTAAACCTCAAATCTATTGTTTGGTTATATGAAATATAAAACATATTTTTAAAAATCTGTGCATATCCCTATTCCTGGCTCTCCTAAAAATAACCTATAAGCTCATCCACTTAATTTTGTGGTTACTCAATTAGTTCTACTCTACAAAAGAGATGAGAAATCCAAGATTTATTTTTAAGACTGCAGTAGGTTGGCTTCTTTTATAGATCTTAGAATTGGAGGACAGAGAAAAGGCATTTAGAACACTTTTATATTCGTTTTTCCTATCCTAAGCTTTTTCTTTAAATTTGTTGTGCAAATTATCTCTGCAGTTCTATAATGCCCTTTCTGCTTCTTTAGGAGCACTAAAATTTATCTTTAATAAGACAAGATATATTTTTAAAATAGTACCAGTAGAGAACAAATAGTAATTATCAATGTGTACAAGACATGATATTTCTCCTTACCCTCAAAATCAACATTGTCACTCCTAAAGTCTAATTAAAATAATACTTCCTGATGCTAGATTATTAAATAATACTATTAGGAATTACTGGCTATGTCAGTGATTTTTTTTTATTTTATTGTATTTTCCAGCACCATACAGTTATCTGACTGGTAAATCATTATTTAAATGCCACCAACGACTATCTGAATATGCAGAAAATTAAGTTCCCAAACTTACAGGCTGAATTATACAAATGGTCCCGGAGTGCTATTGCTGATAGTATTGAGCAATTGATGTTTCATAGCATTTAATAAAAATAGAACTGTAAAACTGGCATATACATAAAAGTCATTGGCAACAAAAGGAAACATTGTTATTTTGGAACATATTAGTAAAATACAGATTTTATTAAATTGTCATTCCAGATTCTGAAATAATAAGCTGGCTGTGAAACCATGACATGTTTCCCTGTCCCCATAAATTTAATTTATTTCTAAAATTCAAATTTATATCATTTCCTTACATCTTGCACTATGGCAATATTATTATTTAAATCATTGATTTTTGCATAAGTTACATTTCTATTTTGATTAGCTAATTGAGAAGATTATAATCATCGTTTTAACTTGGAATTTGAAGTGCATTTGTTTATAAGAAAGATCCTGGACAGAAACTCCCAGAGACAAAGCCATTTAAACATCACATTGCTTTGAGAATCCCACAGAGCTGAACTTGATAGGAGTTGCTGGTAATGCAAACCCTGGGGACATCCTTATTAGTCTGCCCACTGAGTGGACTCTGTGTGTGTGGTGTGCTCCCCGGGCTAGCAATAGCTAATAATTTAAAGCTGGTAGAAGAGTCACTCCAGACATTTAAAATGCAATCACCTACCTTTGCTGACATTTAAAATAAAATGAACCAGTGTAGTTCCTGAAGTTAACTTGAGATCCTCCAAAGGGATCCATGAAGTTGTCATGTGGTTTTGTATTCCCAACTTTAAGTTCCATATGAACCTTTAGGCCATGAGGTGGCGGACAGGAGAATGTACTATACCATCAAATGTTTATTAAGTACTTGGTCTCTAGATGTAGAAAGTTAAAGGATTTCCTGCCTAAACTGAATCATTTCTGAAGATAAGTCATCCTCTAATAAAATAACTACCAAATGCCTGCTGCTGCTGATGATGATGATGATAAAATATTTAAAATGTAAATACCAAAAAAATACAAATAGCAGAAGAGATCTATTAAGATAGGATATAGTTGTCAGAGTTCAAAACAGGTGGACTCTGAAGACTCCTGCTCTTATTTATGACCTCAAATTTGTTTTTCTCCTCTCTTCATCTGAGTTAGGGTGTGTTAATAGTGCTTTAATGAAATCACTTCTACTAACTTCCACTAACTAAAAAGAGAGCAAGGCCAAATTGAGCTTTCTTTCAATCTGTTCCTATTTGTTCTATAGATAGCAGAGTTTCTAAATTTAAAAAGTCACATAGAATTTAAATTTGTAGTGCTTTAGAGATCAACCCCAAATTACTCACTATTTTTATTCTCTCAGTTGTTTCATTGGAGATCTTGGAAAGCATAAGTAAACCTAAGTTTTCCAGGTTACTATATTTCTTGAAAACCTATGCATTAAAGTTCCCCATCCTCCACAATGGAAGATTACTATAACATATTGTAAGTCTAGGAATCTCATAAGATATGAATTACATAGGATCTTCCAGTCCAATTTGCACAAAATTCACATCTCTTAATCAAGAACAATTAAGAAAAGTCTGACAGTGGTGCCTATATTAGTCTGCTCTCATGCTACTTATAAAGACATACCCAACACTGGGTAATTTATAAAGAAAAAGATGTTTAATGGACTCACAGTTCCAAATAACTGGGAGGCCTCAAAATCATGGTGGAAGGTGAAGGAGGAGCAAAGTCATGTCTTACATGACAACAGGCAAGAGAGAGAGTGCAGGGTAACTGCCCTTTGTAAAACCATCAGATCTCATGAGACTTATTCACTATCATGAGAACAGCACAGGAAAAACCCACCCGCATGATTCAATTACCTCCCACCAGCTCCCTTCCATGACATGTGGGAGCTATGATTCAAGAAGAGATTTGGGTGGGGACATCTCCAAACCATATCAGTGCCATTAGAAGAAGCATAAGGCAAAAACTCATTCACATCCCAGGTTTGTTTACAAGATATAGGCACAGAGACTGCTGGAATCAAATAAGATTTTGGTCCCATGTTGTTATAGTTTAATATAGTGCATAGCTGTGGAAACACAATTAGTTACCAATAAACTATGTGATACTTTTCTTAACATTGAAGAAAACATCTTGTGCATGTTTTTAAGCTTCACCTTCAAGTGAACCTAATATTTTAGTGTTGTTACCCCCAATTTCATGCTAGTCTTTGCATTTTTAAGCCTTAGTGGATTTAAAAGTTGGTGAAAAAATAGCATCATAAAAAATTGGCTTTGCTTTAGTTTGTCATTATCAGAAATAAAATTTAGTATCAATTCCTTGTGGTTCTCATGTGATAATCATGCATAATATTATGATTTCAATAGCTATATTTTTGAAGACTGACTATGCATCCAGAGCTGTGATAGGTGTTTTACTTATATTATTTCATTGAGTCATCTCAGTAGCTCTTTGATCATTTTTGTGTTCAATGAAACACAAAGTCGAATATAAATTGCCACACAACTAGTAAAGGTGGGAGATTTGAACCCAGGTTTGATAGATTGACACCTCTGTGCATTTCAACATTTCATCATAGTTTACAAAATTATGAAAAATCAGATAAACAATTAGATTGTTGGCATTCACGGTCCTTTTGATTCTCAAAGACTCGAGGACAATATTTATTGGTGAAGCGTGAATTTTCTCCCTCAATTCTTAAGAAAACATTCTGCATTTTACTTACAGTATTGCCTGCTGGACCTTTTATTCAAGCCTTGTGTTGATCAGCAGGCATAGGATTAAAGTGATTTTTCTTCACAAGAAAATTGTAGTTTCTAGACTGGTGTTTCCATAGTTCTGCAGAAAGCCCATAGTGATCACAATTCATATTGCCTGACAAACTTGTGCAATTTCTCTAGCTAAAAGGAAAATTTGCCTTTACTTCTAGTTGAATATGAGATAAAGCTATTAGAAAAGTTGTGGATTTTGGATGACTATGAAGTTTGTATTACTGGTTTATAAAAAGGCTCTCTTTAGTTTTTCTCTACTTGGAAAATAGATGCTGCTTTGAGAAATGGACTCCACGTCTATCATTTTGTTATGATTCATCACCATTGTCATCCCTAACTGTACACAAAAGTGATGAAATTTAAAAGAATACATTGAGACCTACTTTGTCAAAAAGTATCTCTACTTTCTGGCAACTTCTAAAATGGCAATTAAGAGACCAAATTGTTTGGCCTTTCTCCTACAATTCTCATAAGGTTAAAATGTAGTAAGATTCCCAGTTAAGGGTAATTCTATTTACATTGGAAACAACTATGACATTAAAATGATACTTTTACCAGATTTTGTGTAATTCACAGTTGCAGAAAATGGGTCTAAAATGAATACATAATAGTTAAATTTCATTTTAGGAACTTGTCAAGAAATATCTCAAATTGACTTTAGGACCCATTCATGAAGGAGTACTACCAATTTGGATGGAGTGCATATTGAGGGAGAAAATCCTTAGAAAGTCAGATTCTGAATTAGATAATACATACATTCTGATTTACTCTTTGAAGATCAAAGAATTGGCATTCAGATATTGTGGGTTTGGCCTCAATGACCAGTGGAAGTGATAATATTTCAATATCCAGAATGCAGTCATCAGGAAGAACATGCCTTGGAGGGGTTCCATGTTTCAGTTTAATTTAGAAATGAGTTTGGACAGTTGGTTTAATACAGAAAATCTTCCCATATGATTGAGAGACCCATAAACAAGGAGCCAGTTTGTGGATATGAGGTTATATACTGTTCAGTGCCTTGTCTTGTGGAAGGGGCATGCTGCCAGATCCTTTTTGAATTGAAGGGAATACCCAATTGTTCCTTATTAAAGTAGCGATCTCTGTGGAATTTCCATTTTTCCTAGTTTTCTATTCACCATCCCTTTTTACTAACAGGAACTAAGTTTTTGTGTGTGTGAAATTATACATTCCCTGTTAGAAAATGTTGTTTTACTTTGCTTTGCTTTATTTTGTTCTGTTGTTGTCATTGATCATGATGTTCCTCTGAAGAAAATATCATATGCAGGCTGAGATTGTTTTTTCTTCGTCTTTTTTTTTTTTCTGAGACAAGATCTCACTCTGTCACCCAAGATAGACTGCAGTGGGACAATCATAGCTACACCCTCAAACTCCTAGGCTCAAATGATCCTCTCACCTTAGCCTCCCAACTAACTAGGACTCAGGTGTGAGCCAACATGCTAAGCTATTTTTTTTTTCTTTATTTGTAGAGATGGAGTCTTGCTATGTTGCCTAGGTTGGTCTCAAACTCCTGGTCTCAAGCTATCCTCCTGCCTCAGCCTTTCAAAGAGCTGGAATTACAAGTGTGAGTCATTGCACCCTGTCAGGCTTAGTTTCAATGAATGGAAAAAAATGCCAAATAGAGGTTTAGAGTTGCTTTTCACAGGCGTGGTGGCATGCCTGTAATCCCAGCATTTTGGGAGGCTGAGGCAGTGGATCACTTAAGTTCAGGAGTTTCAGACCAGCCTGGGCAACATGATGAAAGCCCATCTCTACAAGAAAGTACAAACATTAGCCAGGTGTGGTGGCATGCGTCTGTAATCCCAGCTAATCTGGAGGCTGAGGTGAGAGGATGGCTTGAACCTGGAGGTCCAGGTTGCAACGAGCAGTGATTGCACCACTGCACTCCAGCCTGGGCGACAGGGCGAGACTCTCATCCCCCGCAAAAATTAAGTTGCTTTCACATTGGTTTACTATAGGACCAGCGAAAATGCAATTCAACTGTTATTTAAAAAATAAAAAGAGATAATAGAGTGGACCATATTCTACTACTTACTGCTTCTTCAGGTTTACTATAATTTTGATCATGGACTATCATATCTACATTCTTTTGAGTTAGGGGCAAATATTTGTTCTGAGTTAGACCAATGCAATTTTCTTCTCCTAGAATTTAAATATAAACTAACAGAAACTTATTCATTCTGGAGCTAATACTCTGATGTCCTGTAGAAATTACCTTTTTGTTCCTATTACATATTATATCCTATTCTGAGGACTACCTTATAGTCTTCATATTATTATAACAACTTTTGGGTATTTTTTGCTTAGATTGCTTTTGTTGATTGTAACACCAAAACAACCATAATCGCTTCAATCCTATATACCAAATTACTATTAATTTGTCTTTTCATTGTAAAGCTGGAACAGGATGATGCACTTAAATCTGAACTACCTCTGGGAAGATATACTGCCTTGGGATTTGTCAATTGTCCTTTGTTTACATTACATCCTAATTTCTCTGAATCTGGATTGTCCCTTTGAAAATAATCTTTTGCTATTCCAAACAAATGGTATTAACTTGAATTTTAGTGCCTTTTCCCAACCTAAATAAGATTATATCGTTTCTGGAACTCAGCTGATTTTCCATATTTGCAATTCCTGAGTTGGATCCCTTTCCATTAGAATTTTTGTGTGTAACAATAGACTGTGGTCACTAACTTAATATTCTATTTCCAAATCCAAATTTAAACGCTCTACCTATGAGTTTTGTATTATCATATTTTAAAAGGCAGTTCTGCTGATAAATAATTCTCAGCGAGTTATTTCTCTTTATATTAGTAGATAATTACTCCATTATTTTCACACTGCACATTTGATGTTTTTATTAGAAAACTGATTTTCACTTAATTAGCAATAATGGTAATATGGCTTAAATATATTTCAGATTACTTTGCAACAAACTGTATTTATTTAAAATAATTTATATTTGCTTAGCCCCTAGAAAAATGCCTAGCACCAAAAAGGCAGACAGTGTATAAATTTTATTTAAAAGAGTGAATGAATTAATATAGAAACAATATGCCTTTGTATCAGCAAAAACAAATAAAAGTTAACATTTAATTAATAAATTAAATAAATACATATAATACTAAAAGACCACAATTCAGGTAAGAAATATTTAAAATACTAGTGTAATATTAAAATATATGACTTACACAATTTTTACAAGTAAAACAATGACATGAATTTGAAGTCAATTTTTTTAAATGTGCCTATAACTTCAAAAACATTTATCTGTATTTGAATATAATTTCAATTTAAAAGTCAAAAGCACATATTGTATTCTTATCATGCAGGTTTTATTTTTCTGTTCTTTAGTTGTCTCTATCACCAGTTTGTGGGACTTTAAAAATAGGGATTATAACATTAATTTTGGACCCTTTAGTTTTTAGAGTGATGTAAAGTAGGAAACAGGCACTCAGTATGTATTTAGAGATTAAATCAATTAGCAATTATAGATACTGCTTCATAATCTTTTCTTATTGCAAAGCTGCACTGGTATAATCCCATTTTTAAATATTCTATATCAATTATTAATAACAATTGTCTTGTGGTCAGAATATAGCTTATATATGCATTTCTTAAACACATTGCATTTATTGACTCTTCTTTCAGCTTTCTGCCCACTCATCACAATATCTTCTTAGTATTCATACAGTTCATTTAGTATTTTTTTTGAAAAGAGTACACTGAATATCCTTCTTCCTTATTATTTGGTTTTACACATTTTTTGAATAGAAGGAAATGCCTGTCCCTGGATAGTTCTCCTTTTTACACTTTTCTTACCTTTCTTTCTAATTTTATTACTTGACCACAAGTTGATTTTTTATCTATATAATTTTTATGCCAATCCCAGAGATCTGTTTTCCACCCCAGGTAGTCTGTTGCTGAAGCTTTTTGTTTTAAAATACAGGTTTTATTGATATTCAAGTATGGCCAGGCCAACAGATCAGGAGACTACTGCCATTGAAAAGGTAGTTGGGTATATGCACAGATCCCAAAAGGGGCATGTCACCATGCCACAGGGAAGCACCATGGTTGGCCAGGAGGCACAGGGAGCAACGGGAAAACCTGGACATTTTTTTTTTTTTAAGAGTTGAGTTTTCACTCTATCACCCAGGCTAGAGTGCAGTGACATGATTGTTGCTCATGGCAACTTCAAACTCCTAGGCTAAGGGGATCCTCCTGCTTCCACCTCCCAAAGCACTGGAATTAGAGATGTGAGTCACTGCACCTAGCATGGCAAGATTCTGTTTTGTGGTTTTCACAGAAAGGAATTGTTAGGGTAAGCACAATTAGGATTTTCTAGTTAGAATAATTTCAGTGGCTTCTGGGACATAGGTGCTGTTCCTAGTTGCCTGATACCTGGCCCTGGCATAACTAAGGCAAGGGAATAATATCCCTGAGTATGAGAGCCTGCTAAAGTAGTTGTGGGTGAGGGTCTGGCTTGGGACCTGTCAGTATCCATATGAAAGTCACATTTGCTGGCAAGCATTTTGCCATCTGTAATAATTAGCTAACCGTGTGTGGGAGGAAATTGGGGAACGGAGGATGGTGGGCAGTATCTCCAGGGTATGCAAGGCTGCAGACATCAGAGCATCAAAAATATAGATCATAAAAAGACATGCTTATTATAAACTTTCATAATTATTTTTAAACTATGCATTTTTGATCCTTATTGTGATCCATTAGATTATTACATATCAAACCAAGTACTCACGAGATGTTAGGCAAACTTTCAGAAATCTTGTTGACTTTTACTTACCAGATTACAGCAGTTTAAGGATTCAATGAACCTGTCTTTTATTAATTCCAACATGCTGCCAACCATAGGCTTCCACATCTGTTTTTAGCTCTCTAGGTGCTTTCTGGATGCTACATAGAGATAAGCATAGCACAGTTGAAAAATCATCTAATTACAGATTAGTAGTAGAAAAAGTATACGTTTTAAACAATGGAAGTTTCTTATTTTTGGTTTGCTTTACATCTAGTAAATGTCACCTTATTTTCTTTATATTTTAATTAACAAAATTGTATATTTTTGTGTACAACATGTTTTGAAATATGTATACACAGAAGAATGCTAAAACCTAATTAACATATGCATTACTTCACATATTTATTTATGGTGGGCACACTTAAAAACTCTCTTAGTGATTTTCAAGAATAGAATACATTGTTATTAACTATAGTCACCATGTACAGTACAATAGATCTCTTAACCTTACTCTTCCTGTCTAATTTAATTTTTTGTGCTTTGATCAACATCTCCCCAGCACGACTAACCACAACACCTCCCTCACCTGCTGCCACCCTAGCCCTTGGAAACCAATATTCTACACCCTGTTCCTATGAATTTGACTCTTTTAGATTCGTATATGAGTGAAATCATGCAATATTTGTCCTTCTGTACTTGGCCTATTCACTTAACATACTGTCCTCCAGGTTCATCCATGTTGTGGTAAATGACAACATTTTCTTTTTCTCAAGGCAGTAGTATTCCATTATATATATATATGTGTGTATGTATACACATATACATATATACATACACACAAAATGTGGGTATACATACACACACACAACTCCCACATTTTCTTCATCCATTCATTTATTGATAAACACTTTGGTTGACTCTGGTTGACTCAATTCTTGGCTATTGTGAGTAGTGCTGCAATGCACATGGAAGTGCAGATGTTTCTTCCACATACTGCTTTCACTTCCTTTGTATATATACCTGGTAGTGGGGTTACTGAATTACATGGTAGTTTTATTTTTAATTTTTTGAGGAACTTATATATTGTCTATCAAAATGGCTTTATTAATTTACATTCCCACCAACAGCATATAAGAGTTCCCTCTATTCCACATCCTGGTCAATATGAGTATCTTTTGTCTTGATAGTGGCCATTCTTACAAGTGTGAGGTGATATCTCATTGTGATTTTAATTTGCATTTCCCTGATAATTAGTAATGTTAAATCTATCTATCCATATATATATATACCTCTTGGCCATTTGTATGACTTCTTTTGAGAAATGTCTATTCATATCCTTTGCCCATTTTTAAATTAGGTTATTTTTTTTCTTGCTATTGAGATGAGTTCCTCATATATTTTGAATATGAACTTCATATCAGACATATAATTTGCAAATACTTTTCCCCATTCCTTAGGTCTTCTCTTCACTCTGCTGATTGCTCTCTTTGCTGTGCAGGAACTTTTTATTAACTTGGTGCACAAATAATTGTGGTTTTGCCATTAAAAGGAATGGCAAAACCCACAATTGCTATTGCACCAACCTAATAATTTGCTGTACTCCCATTTGTATATTTTTGCTTTTGTTGCCCGTGCTTTTGAGGTTATATTAAGAAAACCTTACCCAAGCCAATGTGATAAAGTGTTTTCCTCATGTTTTCTTCTAATAGTTTTACAACTTTAGGTCTTACATTTAAGTGTTTAAACCATTTCAAGTTGATTTTTGTACATGGTGTGTATTAGGGTTTAATTTCATTCTTCTGCATATGGATGTCATCTTACTTTAATGGCTTATTCATATAAAGTTCTTTCTGTTTGGTTAGTTTGCTTGTCTTAAATTATATTTGAATTTTAACATCTTTTCTAACAGGCATTTAATTTTTTGCTAATTCAGCTTATGGTTTATCATATGTTTTGCAAAAATTTCCCGTACTTTCTTTGTTGAAGATATTTTTATACCTTCAACAAAATGTATAAAATAAATAATACATTAAAATAATGATTATAAAAGTCTTGTAGAATCTATGTTTTAGACTTCTATTTTATGATCTTGTGTTTTTAGGTTAAACTTTTGAAATGCCTTCCGTACTTTGAAATTGTAAAATTATTTAACCAGTCTTTCTTATAATAGTTTATGTTGTCCTGTCACAATTTCAATTTCACAATTTCAATGTGTATCTTTGATACATCTTTAATTTATTTTGGTTTTATAGCATCATTTTAATCATAGACTAAAATCTAATATATATTTGGGACTCTTTACAGATTCCTCATTTTCTCTCATGACATTTTCAGTTACTGTTAATATATGTTTTAGAAAATGTCAGATCCTTTATTCTTCTATTATTTTTCTTTCTCCCGAATATTTCCTGTTTCTTCTTATATGACGAATTTCCAGAAAAACTCTATAATTTTATCAATTTCAAAAAAAGATTATTTTAATTGGGATTAATTTCAAAATACTGATAATTTTGAAAGAATTGACACTGTAAATATGTGGTATTTTAACTCATAAGCATTATTTGATGATTGTGTTTTAACTCTGGTATGGAATGGTAAGATGTCTCCTCAAGTGGTATCCATATCCTAGTATTTACACTTTGGTACTTCCATCTCGTTTATCATGAGTGGGATTTTTAACTTGCTTCTAACAAATTGAAAATGCTACAAATGAAAAGATGGTACTTCCGTGATTATGTTACATAAAATTGTAGATTCTTGCTACAAGACTCTCTCCCTTGCTGGCTTGGACAGAACAAATTGTACTGTGCAATACATTATTTATAGGTCCATACGGCAAGGAACTAAGTGTAACCTCTGGCTGGCAGGCAGGAAGAAACTGAGGCCCTTAGTCTCACGGCATCAAGGAACTAAATTCTGTCAATACCAAGTGATCTTCAAAGAGGATCCTTCCTCAATCAAGCCTTGGCATGAAACTGCAACCCAGGCCAACATATGGGTTGCAGTTTTACGAAGCAGAGGGCCCAATGAAGTCATGTTGAGACTCTTGATCCATAGAAATAATAATGTGAAATAATAAATGTGTATTGTTTTGAATTACTAAGATTGTGATAATTTGTTATGCAATATTAGTTAACTAATATACAACTTAAAATTGTGTGGGTTTCTTCTTAAATACACTAAATATTTCATGTTGGTTTATTTTTGTTTTACAAATAATTTATTAACGAATTTTAAATGAACTGTTTGCTTCCATTGTATTGTATAAATGATTATTTTTATACAGATTATCGATTTATTGTATGCATCAGTTGTGTTAGTATTCCTCTTTCTTGAACGTATTATTATAATGAGTTTTCAGTTTAATCAGATTTTCATTGAAATTTTATTGCACTATTTTCAAATTATACTTTATATTCTTTTAATATTCATAATGAATATTTTTTATCTAATATTACTTAGTAATAAAATAATTTCAAATAAAAGGCATTTTCTTTTCCTTACATCAATGGGAATATATCTAGATTTTCGGCAATAGCATAGTTATATTTTGTATTGTGTGCGTGTATATACATATTTTTTGTTTTGTTTTGTTTTGTTTTGTTTTGTTTTGTTTTGTTTTGTTGAGACAGAGTCTCGCTCTGTCGCCCAGGCCGGAGTGCAGTGGCGCGATCTCTTCTCACTGCAAGCTCCGCCTCCCGGGTTCAAGGGACTCTCCTGCCTCAGCCTCTTGAGTAGCTGGGACTACAGGCGCCCACGACGCCCGGCTAATTTTTTGTATTTTTGGTAGTGACGGGGTTTCACCATGTTAGCCAGGGTGGTCTCGATCTCCTGACCTCGTTATCCGCCCGCCTCGGCCTCTCAAAGTGCTGGGATTACAGGCGTGAGCCACCGTGCCTGGCCGATTGTGTATATTTTTATTGTAAGGTAAATATCGTCATTTTCCTGATTAAAAAATACTTGTACCAGGATTAAATGTTTGGTTTTTTAACATGCCTATTGACATTTTATTGATAATATGAATTTTATTTCCTGATCCATTAATATGCTAAATTTTGTTAGCCCATGTAACACTGAAGGATAACTTTATCCCAGACCAGAGAAAAACCTTATTTACATAAAATGTACATATACTTAATATACTAATGAATTATATAAGCCAGTATTGTAGATTTTTACATTTGTATTTTACAGTTAAATTGATTTGTAAGTTTTACCCTTCTTTTTATCTTTCTAAATTTGGTATCAATGCTGGATTGGCTAATTAAAACGGTAAATGGGAAAGTTTCTTTTTAATCTTACAAAAATATATATTATTTTCTTCATTACAATTTGAAAAAGTTATGCAACTTCCGCATAACATACTCATCAAAAACTGAGACAATAATCTGTGTAGCCCTGTTTACTGATTACTCAGCATGTTTGGCATTTAGTAAATGTCAGTTAATTTCATTAATAATGCAATTCATATAGTTTTGCCAGTTTCTTCCAAGGTATTTAACTATTTAGGTTTTCCATTATAATAGCATTTTCAAAATTGGTTGTTTATATTTTGTCTAATGTTTCAAATTATTAGCATGACTTTTCCAAAGCATTTTGTTATCTTTTTCAGTTTCCTCAGCATATGGTGTAACTTTTCTTATTTCTCTTTTAGTGCATAAATGGCTTCTCCCTGTTTTAATTTTGTAGAATATATTCTTTTTACATAGGATTATTTCTTATGTATTTATTATTTTATTCATTTATTGTTTACTAATTTATTTTTTATTCTTTTATATATTTTGCTTTCATATTGTATTTAAATTCTTAAAGTATTCATAGATGATTGATTTGATTTGATTCTCTCCTTTAGTTTGGAAACTATTAAATTTAATTTTTTTCTCTTGGAACAATTTTAGGAATATCCATAAGTTTAGATATGTAATGTTTTCATCAACACAATTAAATATCTTCTAAATATTTAGAAATTTTGGTTGTAAAATTTTCATTTGGATACCAATAGTATTTTCAATTAGCTTTCTTCTAGGATATTTCTTTTCATGTCTGCTTTGTTTCGTTTTCTCTCTTGTTATTTTTACTACTTTTACATATTTGGTTATGCAATGTAGCCTGTACTATTTGATACTTTTTGAAATTTTATTGAGATTTCTTTTGCAGAGTAATACACAATCAACATCTAAAAATGTCCCATGAGGATTTGACAGGGACTTCAGAATTTGATACAAAGATTAAAATTTGATAGGATTTGACAAGAAATATAGAACTCAATATATTTTAACCCTACATTATTAGTCAAATATTTCGTTCTTCAACATCCATTTTACTTTAAGTTTGCATTTTCTAACATGAACTGATAAAGAAAAGTTAAATTTTTCTATTTCCATTGTGTTTATGTGGAGTTTGTTTTTATAGTTCCTATATTTTAAGACAGTAATTTAATTTTTAAGGATTCATGATATTTCAATCCTAATTTTGGAATTTATTATTTATAATTTTATGTTACCCTATCTGCTTCATTTAATGCTTTTTTTTTCTTGAATGCAAACTTACCTAATGTTAGTACCTTGAGCTAGGCTTTACCTCACTAATGCTTGTCTGGCAATTTTTACTTGTTTTCCACTAACCTCCGTATATTTTCAAATCTGAGTCAATATATAGTGATGGTAAGTATCTAAGTAACTATGCAGACTCAATGAGGCCAATGTGTTCTCAAGCTATCCTCTCAATGTTTCAAGAATGGCAATTCTTATGGCAATTACATTAAAGAGACGAACAATTATGGGTCTCCCTGTTGTATAATTGTATCAGGATTAGTACTTATGGGAATGCGAAGCACATTGTAGTAGTGAGATCAGCATTATTTTAAGCACTAAAATGCAACTTACCGAGGCTAAATAACCCAAATAATAGCATTCACAAAACATCCTTGGGTTTGAGGTTAGCAAATGTTGTCAGTGTCTTTGGCTACGTAATGTATTCTGTAGAATTACAAACATAAATATGTTACTAAAAATAATGTCTTATGGCATAGATGTTAAAGAAATTGATTTTAAACTCTTTACATCTTGCATCATGTTTTTCTGATGTGGTATGGTCCCACTTTTTGATGCGGTATGGTCTTAATCTAATCAAAGTGTTTGTTACCTTAAAATATAAAAAGCTACACATAGACTTTTTTTCTTTTCTTGTTTTCCCCCTTTCTCCCCTTTACTCAAACTTTGCAGAAGAAAATATTTAATGTTGCTTAGGTCACAGATGACCCTAAACTAGAAACCATTTTTATGACTAAGAGCCTATGGTGGATTGGAGCAGTGTAATTCAAGAAGCATTATGTCATTGTCTTTTTGACCAAAATGAGCCTGGCTCCATGCTTATCTGTATATGGCTTGCCTGGGTTATGTGCAGATGAAATATTATCTCTTGTCTTTCGTGGTTCAGGTGAGGATGCTCATTTCCTCCATAGATAGTTATGTTCCACTTGGACCTGTTTCTGAGGGCTGGAGGTTGGCCAAAATGAGATTAGAAGCAGCAAATACAAATCATATCCCTGCCTGATGTCTAGTCCATGGCCTAATGTCCCAGCTGCGGTATTTCTCAGGCTTACTGAAGCTGTGAATGATAGTTTTAGTAAACTCTCTGTTGAGATAAAACCAGACTATGAAACATAATGTAAGCAACCTTCTTTAAATTCTTCTTTTCAGCCTAACATTATTGCAAAATTTATTCACATTGATACATATAGCTCTGGTTAATTTATTTTCACAGCCATATAGTATTTTACTGTTTGACTATTCTATAACATTTTTAGATAGTCTTTTGTTGGCTGAACTTTTGGATTATTTACTTTATTGTTATAAAAATAGTGTCTCTATGAATATTTTTCACATCTCCCTACAAACAGGTAAAATAGCTTCTTTTTGTTATTTACTTTTATGGGTATTGCTGGATTACATTATTTGTGCATAACTTAATGAATATTTCCAAATTTTCCTAAGCAATTTTTAGTGCAGGATATTGGTCCCAGGACCTCCCTTAGATACCAAAATTTGAAAAGACTGGAGTTGTCATTCATTGACAAGAGCAATTTACCAGTGACTTACTGTACCTGAGAGCCAATTAAGAATTATCCCATGTAGAACTGGACATGGTGGCAGGTGCCTACAATTTCAGCTCTTGTGAGGCTGGGATGGGATGATGACCTGAGCCTAGGGATTTGAGTTCAGCTTGCACAACATAGCAAGACCCCGTCTCTATTTTTTTTTTCAATCCCTTAAGAGAGGAGGAATGTTCAGATATGCTACCATTTTGTTTACAGTGAAGGCATTCTGCACACAGTATACAAATAGGATATGTTAGCATATCAAATATCAGGCCTCTTTGAAGCTATTCAGAAAGAAAATCCAGAAAAAATTATGGATAACTTGGATAGCCAAGAGAGGACTCTGGCTGGGAGAATAATTTTTACAGAATAAAAACTCTTGTTTTAACTTATTAAATTTATAAGAAAGATATTTTAAAATATTTTTATACATTTAAAATAATTTCTTATTGCGGGTTATTATACAGACAAGGTATAAATGTAAACTGTATTTGCACAGATGGGAGAAGTTTTAGTTTAAAAAAGTGTGCAAGTTAGTAACAATATTTGTAAATAAATTATTGGTCAGCATGTATTTGCATATTGGAAAAAAACTAAAAGCAACAATAAATTATAAAGACCTTTGGTGGAAGTAATGATCGTTTAAGTCAGAACAAGTAAAGTAAATTTAGAAGGAATAAGGAAGATCTGACTGTTCTATGAAAAAGATATTATGAGTAAATAAGCAGAGAAAAGAGGGCAGGAAAGAATGACATAATCACCATGCCTACACATTTTGAGATAACTTCTTTACACTCATGTAGCCTAATGAACAAATAAATAAATGAGTAAATAAGTGTGCATGCTAATGAAGGAAAAAAGGTATATACTTTAATATACTACTTAGATACATTAGACAATATCATAACACAGCTCTCCTGTTGTCCTTCTTTATACTTGAGCCTTTTGTCCCAATTATTTAATTGAACCTAAAATTTTAAGTTCTCTTAGAATAAATCTTTACTTTGACAAATAGCAAGATTAACTATTTTTACTTTCGTAAGAGCAATAGCAAAATTGTCCATTTTACTAAACATACAATATACCTCCTAGATACATTGCCAAATATTCTACTTATGTCTTTTAAAATTACTTCCACTCTTGTGTCTGACATGAGGAACTTCATGATGTTAGTTTTCAGTGGGAAAGAAAATTAGACCAAATTTTGGAGGGCCTCAAGTTTGTGTTGATATAATTTAATTAATTCTAAAACCCTTTGCTTACATCCACAGCTCTGTGTGAAATTATATAAGAGACACAAGTAGATGTGACACACATCTCTGTCCTTAAAGCTTCCAAACTAGAAGGGTATGTCAGACTATATGGTACATAACTCTTTTTGTTTTTTTGTTTTTTGAGACAGAGTCTTGCTCCGTTGCCCAGGCTGGAGTGCAGTGGTGCGAGCTAGGCTCACTGCAACCTCTGCCTCCTGGGTTCAAGCGATTCTCCTGTCTCAGCCTCCCGAGCAGCTGGGACTACAGGTCCGTGCCACCACGTCGAGCTAATTTTTTGTATTTTTAGTAAAGATGGGGTTTCATCATTTTAGCCAGGATGGTCTCGATCTCCTGACCTTGTGATCCACCCGTCTCAGCCTCCCAATGTGCTGGGATTACAGGCATGAGCCACCGTGCCCGGCTGGTACATAAGTCTTAAACCTTTTTATTAAGAGACTGCCACTGGCAAAAGTGGTTATTTTTATTTTTATTTTTGAGACAGGGTCTCATCCTGTTGCTCCAGGCTGGAGTGCTGTGGTATGATCATTGCAATTCAACCTCCCCCAACTCAAGCAATTCTCCCACTTCCGCCTCCTGAGTAGCTGACACTGTAGGCACATGCCAACATATCTGGCTAATTTTTGTACTGTTTGTAGAGACAGGGGTTCACCATGTTGCTCAGGCTGGTCTTGAACTCCTGCATTTAAGCCATCTGCCTGCTTCAGCCTCCCAAAGTGCTGAAATTACAGGTGTGAACTGTGGCATCCAGCAAAAGTGACTGATATTATTTTTTAAACAAAAGAAATCACAGATATCATGCAGAAATGGAAATCTAGGTTGGGTCCCAAAACATGGATAAAGCTTTAGCTAAAACTGATGAGGGCAGGAAGGGCCTAATAAAGAGGGGGAAAAAAACATAAACAAAGCAGAATTGAGGAAGAGAATGCAGGAGTGTTCACTGAGCATTGAGGAGTGCCACAGAGATCACTTGGGTAAGAAAAGGCAACAAGTGTAGGGCCATATCATCAAAATTGGGGATATTAATTTGATATTTAGTTGGGCCTTGGAAATGAATTAGGGTGCAAGTCAACGTTTTCACTATGAAGTCATGTGATGGGCCATTTACTTGGAAAAAGTTATCCTTTTAAATTTGTTGGAAATGGTTTTAATGTGTTAATATTATATAATATAATGCAGCTATTAACATTTGTATTTTATTTTCTATTTTTAAAAATCTATATAAGATTAGTTAATTCAACAGTACCATCCTCCTCATTTATTCACTCATTAGACAATTGCTGACATGCTATACACCAGACATTGCTCTAAAATGTATAAGAAAAACTCATATTTCTGAATAGATCACAATCTATTAGAAGATAAAGATAACATTAAAAGAATTGAATTCAATATCTCCAAAATATCAAAAATTTCAGAAAATCTCCAGAAATAAAATGCAAAATCTTATGGGACTTTAAATAAATCAAAAAGTACTTCTAACACTATTTGATGATTCATTTCACAGCTATGTCCTACTTCGTAGTGAAGAACAAGTCTCACCCCTAGCCCAAGCAGCATTTGTTAAGATAAAAAAATAATATAAGTATCTTAGTGAGTTTATAAGAGTCAATTTTTTTTGAAGTTTTATTTTCGGGAAGTACATACACAAGTTTGTTCCATGAGTATATTGCATGATGCTGAGATCAGTGGTACAAATGATCCTGTCATTCAGGTAGTGAGCATAGTATTCAATAGGGACTTTTTCAAACATTATCCCCTCCCTCCCTCCCTTCTCTAATAGTCCCCAGTATCTGTTGTTCCCAAATTTATGTCCATGTGTACCCAATGATAAGCTCCCACTTATAACTGAGACAAGCAGTATTTAGTTTTGTTTCTGTGTTAATCCACTTAGGATAATGGCCTCCAGCTGCATCCAAGTTGCTGCAAAAGACATGATTTTGTTGCTTTTTTATGGCAGTGTCACATTCCATGGTGTATATTTATCACATTTTCTTTACCAATCCACACTGTTGATGGGATGCTAGGTTGATTCCATGTCTTTGCTATCGTGAATAGTGTTATGATGAACATATAGGTGCATGTGTCTTTTTGATAGAACAATTTATTTTCCTTTGGGTATATACCCAGTAATGGGTTTGCTGGGTTGAATAGTAGTTCTACTTTTAGTTTTTTGAGAAATCTCCAAACTGCTGTCCACAGTGGCTGAACTAATTTACATTCCCACCAATGGTATATTAGCATTCCCTTTTCTCCACCATGTCACCAGCATCTGCTGTTTACTGACTTTTTTTTATTATTATTATACTTTAAGTTCTAGGGTACATGTGCACAATGTTCAGGTTTGTTACATATGTATACATGTGCCATGTTGATGTGCTGCACCCATTAACTCATCATTTACATTAGGTATATCTCCTAATGCTATCCCTCCCCGCTCGCCCCACCCCACGACAAGCACTGGTGTGTGATGTTTCCCACCTTGTGTCCAAGTGTTCTCATTGTTCAATTCCCACCTATGAGTGAGAACATGCAGTGTTTGGTTATCTGTCCTTGCCATAGTTTGCTGAGAATGACGGTTTCCAGCTTCATCCATGTCCTTACAAAGGACATGAACTCATCCTTTTTATGGTTGCATAGTATTCCCTGGTATATATGTGCCACATTTTCTTAATCCAGTCTATCGGTGATGGACATTTGGGTTGGTTCCAAGTCTTTGCTATTGTGAATAGTGCCACAATAAACATACTTGTGCATGTGTCTTTATAGCAGCATGTTTTATAATCTTTTGGGTATATACCCATTTACTGACTTTTTAATAATAGCCAGTCTGACTAGTATGAGATGGTATTTCATTGTGGTTTTGATTTGCATTTCTCTGATGATTAGTGATGTTGAACATTTTTTCATATATTTGTTTGCCACTCATATGCCTTCTTTTTAGTAGTTCCTGGTCATATTTTCTGCTTACTTTTAAATGGGGTTGTTTTTGCTTGTGAAATTGCTTAAGTTCCTTAGAGAATCTGGGTGTCAGGCCTTTTTCTGATGCATAGTTTGCAAATAAATGCTCTCATTCTGTAGGTTGTCTCTTTACATTGTTGTCAGTTTCTTTGGCTGTGCAGATGCTCTTTGGTTTTATTAGGTCTTGTATCAATTTCTGATTGTGTAGCAATTGCTTTTGATGACTTAATCATAAATTATTTCCAAGGCAAATGTGCAGAATGGCATTTCCTAGGTTAACTTCTAAGATTTTTGTAGTTTTGGGTGGACATTTAAGTCTTTAATCTATTTTGAGTGAATTTTTGTATATAGTGAAAGATAGTGGTCCAGTTTTATTCTTCTACATATAGATAGGCAGTTATCTCAGCACCATTTATTTAACAGGGAGTCCTTTCCCCACTGCTTATTTTTGTCAACTTTGTTGAGGATCAGATGATTGTAATTGTAGGTGTCTGGCTTTACTTCTGGGTTCTCTATTCTTTTTCATTGGTCTATATATCTATTATTATACCAGTACCATGCTATTTTGGTTACAGTGGTTTATAATACAGTTTGAAGCAAGTAATGGGATGCCTATGGTTTTGATCATTTTGCTTAGGATTGCTTTGGTTATTCAGGGTCATTTTAGGTTCCATCAAAATTTAAAATTGCTTTTTTTCTAATTCTGTGAAAAGTGATATTGGTAGGTTTGATAGCAATAGTGTTGAATCTATAGTTTGCTTCAGGTAATATGGCCATTTTAATGATTTTGATTCTTTCAATCAATGAGCATGGAATGATTTTCCATTTGTTTATTGTCATCGCTGATTTTTTCAGCAGTGTTTTTTAGTTCTCCTTGTAGAAATCTTTCAGCTCTTTGGTTAGAAGTATTCCTAGATATTTTATTTTATTATATTTTTGTGGCTATTGGAAATGAGGTTGCATTCTTGATTTGGCTCTCAACTAGAATGAGATATTGGTGTATGGAAATGCTACTGACTTTTGGACATTGATTTTGTATCCTAAAACTTCACAGAAGTCATTTATCAGTTGCAGGAGACTTTTGGTGGACTCTATAATATTTTCTAGTTATAGAATTATACAAACAGTGAAGAGAGATAATTTGACTTATTTTTTACTTGAGTGTCTTTTGTTTCTCTTACTTGCCTGATTTCTCTAGCTAGGATTTCCAGTACTATGTTGAAGAGGAATAGTAAGACTGAGGATTATTGTCTTGCTTCAATTCTTAAGGGGAATACTTCTACCTTTTTCCCATTCAATACGATATGGATTTGTCATAGATGGCTCTTATTATTTTCAGGTATGTTCCTTTGATGCCTAGTTACTTCAGAATTTTTGTCATGAAGAGGTGTTAAATTTTATCAAAGCGTTTTCTGCATCTATGTTGATCGTCACATTGCTTTTTTCTTCTAATACTGTTTACGTAGTGAGTCGCACTTATTGATTTGTATACATTGAACCAAACTTGCATCCCAGGAATAAAGTCTACTTGGTTGTAGTGAATTAACTTTTTGATGTGCTGCTGGATTCAGTTTGCTAGTATTTTACTGAGGATTTTTACATTCATGTTTATCAAAGATACTGGCTTATAGTTTTCATTTTTCATTGTGTCTTGGTCATGTTTTGGTAGCAGGATGGTATTGGCTTCATTGAATTAGTTAGGGAGGATCTGCTCCTCCTTGATTTTTTTGAAAGTGTTTTGGTGGGATTGGTATTATCTCTTCTTTGTATCTCCCATAGAATTCAGCTATGAATCCATCTGGTCTAGGGCTTTTTTTTTTTTTTTTTTTTTTTTTTTTTTTTTTTTTTGGTTTGTAGGCTTATTACTGATTCCATTTGAGAACTTATTATTGGACTGTTAAGGATTTCAGTTTCTTCCTGATTCAGTTTTGGGAAGTTGTGTATTTTCAGAAATTTAGCCATTTTTTCTAGACTTTCTAATTTGTGTGCATGTAGTGTTCACAATAGTCTCTCAGAATCTTTTTTGTTTCTGTGGGATCAGTTTTAATGTTTCCATCATTCTAAGCAAACTATCACAAGGACAGAAAACCAACCACCACATGTTCTCACTCATAAGTGGAAGTTGAACAATGAGAACACATGGACACAGAGTGGGGAACATCACACACCGGGGCCAGTCAATTGTATTTTTAAACTCTTTTAATGAGTTTTTAATTCCAGAAAATCTGGTTAATTTTTAAAGATATGTATCTCTTCCTTCATTTCCTGGATTGCTTTAGTAGTTTCTTTGCATTGATTGTCAACTTTGTCTTAGATCTCCTTAAGCTTCCTTGTAATCTCTGCTTTAAATCTTTATCTGTCATTTCTGAGTTTCCATTTTGGTTAAGGGCCATTGCTGAAGAGCTAGTGTTATCCTTTGCTGGTGTCACAACATTCAGATTTTTCATGGTGCCAGAATTCTTACACAGAGTGGTTCCTCTCATCTGGAGAAGCTGACACTTTTACATTTTATAATTATTTGGGGGAAGATAGGATTCTTTTTCTTTCCCTTTCCCGCCCTCTCTAGGGTGTGTGACTATAGATTATATTGTGTAGGTCCTTTGGCTTTATTTCTATAGCCCTATGCATTTCTATTAGCAGGTTTTATATGTTGGGCTGTGCAGTTCAATCTAAAAGCCAGTAGATGGTACTTATGGGTAAGAGTCAGCTGAGACACAAGCAAACAGGTATGTACCTGATCTTTGTTAAATGGAAGTTGCTTTCTGTTTTTTCAGTTGGTCAGCTAGATGGTGGAGTGCCTGGTGCCCTGAGCCTCCTGTTCCATGGGGATGGGAGCACACAACTTTACGGAGCTGAAGCCCTTGGCTTGCCACAAATACTCCAATGCCAATTGCAGGCACAAGCCTTGACAAGGGTGGCTAAGAACAGCTCCTGGTGAAAGGTGCTTAGGTCTCTCTGTTGCCTGGATGTGTTGGCAGGCTGCACCTGCTCTCCATCATAGATATACAGGAATAGGATATGTTTCTCTGTCACACCCCTTTTCTGGGGGTCATTACCACTAGTTCAGATGCATATTGTAGTCCATTTCCAGACCCCAATGCAATTGAGAACCATGGGAAAAATATTTTGAAAATGCTTAAAATTCAATGATGTAAGAAATTATCGGGTTTTGGCAAAGACACAGCAAAAAAAAAAAAGTGAAAAATACAGGCCAATATTCTTGATGAATATGGATGCAAAAATCCTCAGAATACTAACAGATGAAATCTAGCAGCCCATCAGCAAGTGAATTCATCATGATCAAGTAAGCTTTATTCCTGGATTGCAGGGTTGCTTCAACATGTGCAAATCAATAAATGTTGTTCATTACCTAAACAGAATTAAAAACAAAAACATATAGTTATCTCAACAGATGCAGAAAAATCCTTTGATAAAATCCAAAATTTCTTCATGATAAAATCTCTCAGCAAACAAGGCATTGAAGGAACGTACTTCAAAATAATAAGAACCATCTATGATAAACCCACAGTTAACATCATATTGGACAGGTAAAAGGTGGAAGCATTCCTCTGGAGCACTGGAACAACACAAGGATGCCCACTTTCACTACTCTTATTACACATACTACTAGAAGTCCTAGCTAGAGCAATTGGACAAGAAAAAAAAAAGCATTTAAATAGGAAAAGAAGAATTCAAACTATCTCTCTTCACTGACAGTATGATTCTATGCCTAGAAATCCTAAAAACTCTCCCAAAAGGCTCTTGAAACTGATAAATGACTTCAGTAAAATTTCAGGTTACAAAATTAATGTCCAAAATCAGTGGCATTTCTATATACCAATAACATTCAGGCTGAGAGACAAATCAAAAACACAATCCTATTTTTCAATAGCCATTAAAAAAATGAAATACCTAGAAATATATCTAACCAAGGAGCTAAAAGATATCTACAGGGAGAGTTACAAAACAGTGCTGAAAGATAGCAGATGACACAAACAAATGGAAAAATGGTCCACGCACATGGATTGCAAAAATTAATATCATTAAAATGGTCATAATGACCAAAGCAAACTACATGCTATTGCTACCAAACTACCAAGATGATTTTTCACAGAATTAAAAAAATGTTTTAATACTTATCCAAAAGAAAAAAAAACAGCCCAAATAGCCAAAGCAATCCTGAGCAAAAGTAACAAAGCTGGAGGTATCACGTTACTTGAAATCAAACTATAGTACAAAGTTACTGTAATCAAAACAGTATGGTACTCGTACTAAAATGGAAACATACACCAATGTAAAAGAATAGAGAACCTAGAAATAAAGCCAGACAACTGCAGTCATCTGATCCTTTTCAAAGTTGATAAATAAGCAATGGGAAAAAGATTCTCTTAATAAATGGTGCTGGGTTAACTGGCTATCTATCTGCAGAAGAATGAAACTGGACCCCTACTTTTTTTTCTTTTTTTAATTTTAGGTTTGAGGGTACATGTGAATGTTCGTTACATAGGTAAACATATGTCACAGGGGATTGTTGTACATGTTATTACATTATGCAGGTATTAAGCTCAGTACTCAGTAGTTATCTTTTCTGTTCCTCTCCCTCTACCTATCCATTTTCCCACAAAAGACATGATGTTATTCTTTTTATGGCTGCATAATATTCTGTGGTGCATATGTACCACATTTTCCTTATCCAATCTGTCATTGATGGGCATTTAGGTTGATTCCATGTCTTTGCTATTGTGACCAGGGCTGCGATGAACATTTGTGTGCATGTGTCTTTATGGTAGAATGCTGTATATTACTCTGCATATGTACTTAGTAATGGGGTTGCTGTGTCAAATGGTAGTTCTTTTTTTTAGTTTTTTTGAGGAATCACCATGCTGATTTCCACAATGGGGATTTAAACTCCCACCAGCAGTGTATAACGGTTCCCTTTTTCCACAATCTCACTAACATCTCTTACTTTTTTTACTTTTTAATAAAAGCCATTCTGACTGGTGTGAGATGGTATCTTACTGTGGTTTTGATTGGCATTTCTCTAATAGTCAGTGATAATTGAGCTCTTTTTCATATACTTGTTGGCTGCATGTATGTTTTCTTTTGAGAAGAGTCTGTTCATGCCCTTTGCCCACTTTTCTATGGGGTTTTTGGTTTTCTTTTGTAAATTTGTTTAAGTTCCTTATAGATGCTCGATATCAGACCTTCGTCAGATGTGTAGTTTGCAAATATTTTCTCCCGTTTTATAGGCTGTTTACTCTGTTGATAGTTTCGTTTGCTATGCAGAAGCTCTTAAGTTTAATTAGATCCCACTTGTGAATTTTTGTTTTTATTGTGATTGTTTTTGGTGTCTTTGTTATTAAATCTTTGCCCACTCCTAGATCCAGGATGGTATTGTCTAGATTGTCTTCCAGGGTTTCTATAGTTTTGGATTTTACATTTAAGTCTTCAAGCCGTCTTGAGTTGGTTTTTGTATATGACATAAGAAAGGCACCCTACTTTTCACCATATGCAAACATTAACTCAAGATGGATTAAAGATTTAAATGAAAGATCTCAAACTCTAAGGATTCTATAAGAAAACCTAGGAAATGCCATTCTTGACGTTAGACTTGGGAAAGAATTGGTAAGTTTTCAACAGCAATTGCTACAAAAACAGAAATTGACATTTGGGACCTAATTAAACCAAAGAATTTCTGCACAGCAAAAAAAAAAAAAAAAAAAAAAAAAAAAAATCAACAGAATAAACAGACAACCTACACAATGAGATAAAATATTCACAAACTGTGCATTGAACACAAGTGTAAAACCTAGAATCTATAAGAAAATTACACAATTCAATGAGCTAAAAGCAAATGACACTGTTAAAAAGTGAGCCAAGGACATGAGCAGACATGTCTTTTAAGAAGACATCCAATTAGACAACAAATATATGAATAAATGCGCAATATCCCTATATATCAGAGAAATGCAAATCAAAACCACAATGAGATACCATCTTATACCAATCAGGCTTGCTATTATTAAAAAGTTAAAAACAACAAATGCCGGTGAGGTTGTGGAGAAAAGGGAATGCTTGTACATTGTTGGTGGGAATGTAAGTCAGTTCAGCCACTGTGTACAGCAGTTTGGATGTTTATCAAAGGAGTTAAAACATAACTACCATTTGACCCACTCTCATTACTGGGTATATATACAAAAGAAAATTAATCATTTTACCAAATAGACACACACACTGGTATGTTCATCACAACACTTCACAATAGCAAAAACATAAATCAAAGTTGATGCCATCTATGGTGAATGGGATATAGAAAATATAGTATATATACACCATGGAATACTATGCAGCCATAAAAAAGATACTTTTTGTATCTTTTTTGCAGCAGATACTTTGCAGCAACTTGGATGCAATTGGAGGGCATTATCCTATGTGAATTAATGCAGGAACAGAACACCAAATTCTGCATGTTCTTACTTATAAATTGTATCTAAACATTGGGTACTCATTGATATAAAGATTACAACAATAGATACTAGGGACTGCTGAGGGGAGGGAGAGGAACAAGGTTTATAAATCTAACTATTACATACTATCTGGTTGAGAAGTCATTCCTATCCCAAACCTCAGCATCAGGCAATATAACCAGGTAGCAAACCTGCACATGTACCCCCTGAATCTAAAATAAAAGAAATTATAAAAAATAAAATAAAATAAAAATATTTTAATAAAGAAATGACCAGGCTTAATTATTATAATGCATGTTTTGTTTTTATCTGATTTTTCAATAATACATGGACATCTTACAATATTTAAAAGTCAAAAAGAAGAAGTTAAGTACAAAACAAAATTGCCAACTCTCTTACGCTACTCAGTCACAACCACTATTAACATTTTATTTTATTTATTTACAGGTTTAACTTAAGCGAACGATGTATATGTTGCCATTTTCAATTTTTACTTTTTGTTTTTTATTAAATTAGGGGTCACTATGAATGTGGATTTTTTCATCACGCATTATTTAGAGAGAGTGTTTTCA
Source organism: Homo sapiens (assembly GCF_000001405.40). Classification (NCBI taxonomy): domain Eukaryota; kingdom Metazoa; phylum Chordata; class Mammalia; order Primates; family Hominidae; genus Homo; species Homo sapiens. Next base: position 113,821,979 of record NC_000008.11, read on the forward strand.
TGTCAAATAGAATGTTCTAAACATATTTTTGAAGGCTCTTCAAATTTTCATTATATAGATTGTAGTTTGTTCAATTCTTAATCTTAGTTATAAACCCTGTTTTTGATTTTTGTTATTATAAAAGATAATTATTGGTATACATTTACGATTATGTCAAATGTGGAATAAGATAAATTATCAAATGTGGAATGTAACTCCAAAATAAAAAATAAAATTGAAACATATGTTGCCTATATGCATGTATATATGTGTGTGTGTTGTATGTATGTGTATATATATATAAAGAGAGAGGGAAAGAGTCTATTTATTAAGGCTAGGCCAATAAATAAAGATGCCTTTATATTTTACCATTAACCAAAAGTATTTTCAAGTATTTCACATATTAGTATAATGTTGTAACTCAAACTTTTCAGTGACCTATGGTAAGTTAAAATAGGAATGTGAAGAAATGTGTGATTTTGCTTATAGCCTCTGGATATTTTGGGATAAACCTCATTCAGAAAACAAGTAAGAATTTGAAATAAAAACAATAACTTCTAAAAAGGAGAAAAAAGTTGAAAGGGCATTGAGGAATTACTGAACTAGAAGATGACAGGAATCTAGATATCCATATAGTGAATCTGAAATCAAGGTCCTTTTTTTTTGTCAGTGTTTGTACGTCAATCAAGAAGAGGTAGTTGAAAAGTCTAAATGAAAATTATAATGGAAAATATGTTACAGATGTAGCTCTGACTAATCTTTCAATTTATTAGACATGTAATATGTGACAATAAGAGGTAGCTGCTTTTGTGAAGCTTACAATCTGAGATAATACATGAGGTATAATTATTTAAAATAACTTATGATGGAAATTGTTATGATTTAAATATCAAATTAGTGTTCTGCAAAAGACAATGTAGCAATAGTTGCATAAGGTTTTTCATTGTATTTTTGTAAACTGTATGGAAAGCATTCAGACCTTCAAAGGTTCTCAAATGTGAATGATACCAATTGCAGTATAATAAAGCATTTTATTTTAAAATTGGGTGGCCTTTTATAGGTGCAGGAAAAAGAAGTCTCAATATGTTTATCCCATGAAATTGTGATGTATTATTCAGAAATAAAACCAAAGAAATTTGACAAAATAGCCAGCTACAGTTGTAATAATATATTCACAATGGGCTAGCAAGTCATAATCTTGTATTCTCAACCTAGGTGTTTTTTTCATATTTACTTCTTCAAGGAAACTGAACCATCAGATAAAATAATATATATTATAAGCTTAAAATAATATATTATTTTATTTGATGCATTGAAACCCTTCTTATTGCTAATGTACTCATTCGCCTGACATTATTTTGGAATTGGGTGATTAGCAATGTCCACTACATTAGACTTTTTCATAAGACCCTGTTTCACACATAATGAATCAAAGTACCTCTTTTTATTATCAGGAAATTTTAAAAATCAAAGTGCCAATGAAACTGAATTATGAGAAACAAAAAAAAGTTTGCTTTTTCTGTAAGTTAAAAGAATTACTAGAATGATGTATAAAATAATAAATTATCAAAAGCACTAATATATCAAAGTTAGTTATATTGTTAGCAGTGTATCATTTATTGAGTATCTATCACTGTATGTTACATAGAAATGTCTATAGCTCTGGCATGAATCTATTCCAATCTAATAGATTTATCTATCTCCTCTCCTACTCAGAAAACAAATTATAGAGCCTACACATTCAGTATCACTAATACTAGTACCCATAACAATAATAACAAAACTTATAAATACTATAGTACAAGGATATGTTCAAGCATTTTACAAATAGTAGTTCAGTTAATACTCATAATGACCACTTGAGTAGGTGTTTTTGTGAAACCTGAATTCAATTCCAGTACCTGGATTCAAAGTTCATGTTCTTAACTACAATATTATGCAATATCCACTAGCATAGCTTTTTTTAAAGGATAATGAAAAAAATGAATATTTTAAAATTTCATTGACAGTTAGTATATAATTTTTAAAAATACAAACACACTTTTTCTTCTCCAGATTTCACAATTAAGAATTCAGATCTATGTACATCCATGCTTGAGTACTTTCATATAGTTTTGTGTTGAATATTTAAAAATTTTGTTTTCTAATCTAAGTTTATGCTGATTTATTTTTGTGAGCAGTGGATAGCATATTTCTAAGACTACTTAATTATGTGTATATCTGAGGCTAATATTTTTCCCTGTAGAGAGAAATTTCTTTGATTCAAAGAGGCCCCTATTGAGTTATAAAGCTATAGTATTCATAACGTTATTCTAGCAAAAAATCTTGAATTTAAAAAGAATTACCTTTTCTCTGAGTGCTACACTATAGTAGTACTTCTTTTTCGAAAATGCAGGTAAGAAATTTTAAACCTTTCTCTATGAAAATATAAATACAAGAGGATATTAAAATATTTGTGATTTAATTTTTAAAATCATGGTATTTTCATTAAATATAGCAGGATATCTTTAATGGGGTGGTTTTTATTTTCTTCCGGTAAGTGCACAATACAGTTTCAAGCATTTAAATCCAGATATAATGTATATCATAACTTTTATTAAGGCTGTAATCCTTTTTGCATAATAATTATTCTTTCTGTACTTTTGGTTTTCACTTGTGGGAACTTTTGTTTTATTTCCCCTTCCCAATAAGGATTTTAAGAGTTTTTTTCCAATAACAAATGCTCTACTCACAGTGAATTTAGTTATCCCTATGCTTAAAAATAGGTGCTATAGTTTCTGGTTCAAAGTCATATTTGAAAGAAAAACTCCACATTTTTTGTCCAAAATAAGCCACTCTTGAGAGTCAAAAGATTGCTATTAATAATTAGCAAACTCTGTGCAGTACCAATGGTTAGATGCCCTCTTCTATACGCCTGAGGCGATTCTCACAAAAGAGCAAAGCCAGCATGGTGAACTTGGCCACTTTCTCCAAGAAGTGCCTAGTGCTGAGCGTAATCAATCATTTTAATCTTCACTAGTTTCAAGGGTGATAAAACAACCTCTTTTTAATTGTGATTCTTTAATTCTGAAAGTGAGGATTTGACATATTCATTTTTTCTTTCTCTGAGATATCAAGTGTCCCTTCTCTGTTTTTATTTAATTATCTTTCTTCACTGTCTGAATACCTCTTTTTTAAACCACCTGAAGAGAGATGATCATACCCATGTATTATCTGATTTAATCAGTGCAATGTCTGTTTGTCACATTACATTTATCACCCATCGAAAGCACACTTTTTCCTCACTTGGTCACTAATATTTATACTGTCTTTCCGAGTGCCTAGAATAAAGTAGGTACATGATAAATATTTTTAAGTTATTATTTCAATGTAAAGTTTTTAATCAAACTTAAGCCTCCTCTACTGCAAGATGCAGAAGTATTTCATGTATGATTAAGAAAAAATTGTCAAATTGTCAATGATACAATGACTATCTGTACTAAACTCCTTTTAAATACATACTGTATTAGTTAATGTTATCATATATTATACTCATCATACATAAAAAGGGCAACATAAGGAAAATAAATTAGTTGATTCATTTCTGAAAACATTTTCATATTTAGGGTAATATTTACATCACTTTGTAAACCACTAGTGATGCCTTTGCCTTCCCACACAATATAAATATAATTCTGTGTCCATGATGAATATAGGTGAAGTTTACTATTAAAATACAAATTAACAAAAAACTTTTATAATGCAGTTAAAAGTCATGAAGTTGGTTTCTTAGGCTGGATTTGCAACTAAGCAGAGTTGGTTACATTTTCAACTATGTTTTATTGCTATATACCATCAATAAAATGAAGTTCGCAACTTCTAAATGTACAAAAGTGAATGTACTTTTTTAACTACCTCCCAGAACAGGCAGAATTCTACTTCCTGTTTCTTCTCAGTCATTACCTTCAATAGTGATAAACCATCTGGTTTATATCGCCGTAGATTAGTTTTGCCTGTTTTTATATACATAACATACACATGGAATTATCCATCAATATGGGATCATATCATCTGTTCTCTAGTTCATTTGTTTATTTTTTTACAGGATTAATCCATCCATGTGTGTGTAGCAATAGTTTCTCATTTTTTATTGATGCATGATGTCCTTTGTTTGAATATATCATACTTAATTTGGATTTTCTATTGATAATGGATATATGGGTCGTTTCTTGTGTAGAACTAGTTAATTTTCTCTGAACTTCTTGTAAATTGTTAAAGGCACATGTTCATGTTCCATATGAATTCCAATTCCTGGGCATTCTAACCCACGATGGGTATTGTGAATTATTTAATAAGAGCTATTATGTTGATTTTAAAATGACATCATATAGTGTTTTATTTTACATTTCATTGATGATTATGAAAACTGAATATCATTTTATATGTTTATTGATCATATTCTAACCCTAATAAACATCCCATACAGACATATTAGGCGTATATCTATTAGCTAACCTGAAAAAAGACAACTCATGGATCCCATACTTAAAGTTAGAAAATAAGTCCCAGATCACTGTCCTTTTATATGCTCTGGTCACACTTTTAATGGAAAGGTCCAGATGGATAAGTCTTTTTTAGGGGAGGCTGAGCTGTGTATGTAGGACGTTTAGCAGCATCCTTTACTCCTGTTGGTAGATGACAGTTGTACATGCCTTCTTCTTTTACCCCCAGGCTTGAAAACTCGCAATCTCCAGATACTGCCAAATGTCTCCTGGGAGCCAAAATCACCCAAAGTTAGAAACTGCTACCGTAAATAAAAGATTCAATCAACTTTACATTCATCACTTGGAAAAACAAATCATTTGAAATTTTATCTTGACAAAATATCATGCTTCAGGCACATTCTTAAAAAGGAAGGGTAGAATACTCACCAGAATTTTACACTCTATCAATAAAAGGGGGTATTTCTTTAAAAGATTCTAACCATGACAAATATCTTGAATATAACAGATTTCACCAAGGAGAACATATTTCTAATACCCATTTTGTGAATTAACAAGGCATTACATTTTATTAATTACAGACAATTTATATTGTAAATGCAATTGCTTATTTTTGAAGGAGAAAGGAACAGAATTTGTTCATAGTAAGCATTTCTGAAATGTAGTTTTTCTAATCAAATGCTAAATGGCCATTTTGGAATATTGATTAATTATTAAATATTGGGGCAAATAACTGTCCCATAAAGTAGCCTAAATCAACTAAGACATATGTAATATCCTAGTGTTTCTTTAAAAGTAAATTACATATACCATAATAATTAGTTAAAATTATACCTCAATTATTTATTTGTCAGTCAGGGTTCATCAGAAGCAGAATCACTTGGATATATGTATAAATAGACATTAATTTGTTAGAGGATTTTATGTTATAAAATTGTAGTGTTGGTTAAGCAGTCTCTGTAAGGCTGTGGATTCATGTCTGATGCTGAAGCCTAAATATACAAGGCATATAGTTAATAAGGAAATATATGTTGGAAAAAATAGATTTCAGGGGTAAGCTGAATCTCATAGCAGGAGCAGAGTCAATGAGGACACTCAAACTAAGCCAGTTCTCAAATACCGCTGGATTTTATGGTGTGAATGTCCTGAAGGAACTGGGCCACTTCACTGTGGAGCTAAACATACACCCCTGGCCCAGCAGTCAAAGAAGCTGAAAGAAGCTCTAGGATCAGACAGAGCAGGTATTGACCAGCTGCTGCCTCATGCCAATGAAATCAGGCAGTAGATTTACAATAAGATGGATGAACTACAGAATAGTTGATCCTTCTCTCCCTTCATCCATCTCTCCCAAGAATCTCCCTTGTGGTCCACCGTAAATAGAAACATACAAGAATGGAAAATCTGGATAATGTAGTTCAAGCTAGCCAAATTGAACAGTACAGAATAGCCCCAGTTTATATTATAACTTGATGTGTCTTGACTATGAAAAACATTATTATTTTACTGATAAATAATGAATTAGCTAACTTATACCATCTACCCTTTCTCTTCTCAGTCTTTTTCCAACTTGTTCTCTATTGGTTACCTTTGAATCCTTAAATAAGATGCTTAAAACCTATTTCACATTTCATGAATTATAGCAATTATATCTCAAATACCCATGGTTGTGCTCAACTTTTTTTTCAACCTTCTTCTTTCCCTACCTATATATTTGATCTTCCATCATCTGCCATTTATATTTTACCAAGTGCAATTTAAATGATGATAATCTTGGTTTCCCCATACAAAACCTTACTTTAGTTACACTTGCTTTATTTTTCATAACCAAGAATAAGTTTAAGTTATAACAAATATCTAAAGATTCATTGTTAAATAGCCACAAATATGCTATCATCATATTTTCTTTCTTGAATATATATATTTAAAAATAATGGTGATTTCAATTGTCTTTACTTTTTTTATCAGTTTCTCTGTGTTTATCATGTCTGTACATTTTTCTCCTACCTGGTTTCTGTAATGTGCTCTTATCCCAACTACTTCCTTTCTAGAGAACTCTGCTCTGGATAGGTTGCTCTCTAGGCTGGGTACAATTCCTAGGTTGGATCCACAGTGTTCCGTGTCTTATGTCTTCTTCCTCTTTTGTATATTCCTCAGTTTCTGCAGGAGGATGCCCTCAAATAATGTGCTAAGAAATAAATTGCAGGACGTTAAACTTCTGAGAAATTAAATTAATTAATTAATTTATTTATTTATTTATTTATTTATTGAGACAGAGTCTCACTCTGTTGCCTAGGCTGGAGTGCAGTGGTCCGATCTCCGCTCACTGCAACCTCCACCTCTCAGGTTCAAGAGATTGTTCTGACTCAGCCTTCCAAGCAGCTGGGACTACAGGCATCTGCCATTAAGCCCAGCTTATCTTTTGTATTTTTAGTAGAGATGGGTTTTTGCCATGTTGACCAGGCTGGTCTCGAGCTCCTGACCTCAGGTGATCTGCCTGCCTTGGCCTCCTAAATTGCTGGGATTACAGGTGTGAGCCAAGGCACCCAACCCTGAGATATTAAATTTAACACAAACCTACACCCCTACCTCTTTATGTTTTTTTGCAGTTGGTTAATAATCTGGCTATGTATAGCATTCTAGATTTAATGCTATTATCTGAAAGAGTTTTTAAGTATTTGCTCCGTGGGATTCTAGCACCTGATGTCATTGACTAAAAGCCTGAGGATAGTTGGATTCTGGTAATTTTTCAGGTGTCAATTTATTTTTTTCTTGTTAGAATATCTTATACGCTTCTCTTTTTTCTTGCTGTTTTAAAATTTTATAGTGTTGCATTTAGGTTTAGCATTATTTGTTTGTTTGTTTTTTTGGTTGGTTGGTTGGTGGTTTTTCATCTTTCAAAACATCAAAAGACACAAAAAACATGAAGAGCTGGGAAATACGCTATTTATTCTTCTTTAATTTTCTTTAATAATTTTGATTGGTTTCTTCTGGAAACCTTATTAGTTAGATGACTGTATGTTGACCTGATTCACTATGCATATTTTATGTTTTTATCTCATATTTTATATTTTAGAAGAAAATAGGTTGCATCTTTAATAGTTATATTGTGCTCCTTAAATTATCTTTATTTTTGTGTCTTCTAATTTTTGTTGTTTACTGGTTGTTGCTGTTATTTATTGCTGACATTGTGCACATGCATGTGCACCTGGATTTTTCTTTACAATTTATACTGCAGCTACTGGAACCTCTGTGAGTGGTCTATTTTAATTAATGTCACGCTTGTAATTAGGTGAGTGAGAAGAAAACTGGTCAAGTTTGAGATATCACTAAGTTTCTAATAAGAGAGGGTCTCTTTTAAGCTTAAACATTTCTACTGTTTAATCCTATACAGTTTATTCAAATCTCATAAGTAAATGAAACAAAAATTTTATCATTATATATTTTTGTTTTGTTGTCTTTATTGTCTGGAAAGTAAACAATTGGTAGTTGATCTTTCTGTACATTAGCTTTTGAGAAGTAGAAACATAGCTATTGCCCCATAGGCGTAATATTTATAAATGTTCCTGACTTTCACTCATTGCTCATGATTTTTGAGGCTGATTTTGATTTCTTCACGTTATCCTCATGAGCTATAAGGCTTTCCATGAAGAGTAGGTTGCTGGGTCCTCTGCTTTGATTCAGCTACCAATGTGCATATTTCTACCATGAGTGATAAATAATTTTATGTGTCAATTTAGAGAGTGTTTTGAAGGAGATTGACAGTTAAATTGATAAACTTTGAGATAAAGCTGATTGCCTTCTATAATGTGGGTAGGTGTTAGTATGCATAAATAGAAAAAAGAAAAAGCAGAAAAAACCAGCCTCCTCAAGCAAGAGGGAATTCTCTAGCTGATGGCCTCTGGACTGAAAACTATAACATTGGCTCTCCTGGGTCTCCAGCCTGCCAGCCCACATTGCAGATTTTGCAAACTCCAGGCTGCATAATAATGTGAGCCAATTCCTTATAATGAATCTCTCTCTCTCTCTCTCCTTTTTCTCTCTCTCACACACATACACACACACACACACACATCCTATTGGAGAACCCTCATTGATACACAATGTTTTCAATTTTATTTTATTTTTGGAAGTAGCCTATTCACTGAATGTCTTTCCTTTCTTTTATTTAATTATACTTTAAGTTCTGGGATACATGTGCAGAATGTGCAGGTTTGTTACATAGGTATACATGTGCCATGGTGGTTTGCTGCACCCATCAACTTGTCATCTACATTTGGTATTTCTCCTAATGCTACCCCTCCCCTTGCTCCCCACCCCTCAACAGGCCCCGGTGTGTGACGTTCTCCTTCCTGTGTCCATGTGTTCCCATCGTTCAACTCACACTTATAAGTGAGAACATGAGGTGTTTGGTTTTCTGTTCTTGTGTTAGTTTGCTGAGAATGATGGTTTCCAGCTTCATCCAGGTCCCTGCAAAGGACATGAACTAATTCTTTTTCATGGGTGCATAGTATTCCATGGTGTATACATGCCATATTCTCTTTATCCAGTCTATCATTGATGAGCATTTGGGTTGGTTCCAAGTCTTTACTATTGTGAAAAGTGCTTCAATAAACATACGTGTGCATGTGTCTTTATAGTAGAATGATTTATAATTTTGGGGGTACGTACCCAGTAATGGGATTGCTGGAACAAATGGTGTTTCGGGTTCTAGATCCTTGAGGAATCACCACACTGTCCTCTACAATGGTTGAACTAATTTACTCCCCAGTCAACAGTGTAAAAACATTCCTATTTCTGCACATCCTCTCCAGCATCTGTTGTTTCCTGCCTTTTTAATGATCGCCATTCTAACTGGCATGAGATATTATCTCATTGTGGTTTTGATTTGTATTTCTCTAATGACCAGTGATGATGAGCTTTTTTTGTATGTTTTTTGGCCACATAAATGTCTTATTTTAAGAAGTGTCTGTTCATATCCTTCTCCCACTTTTTGATGGGGTTGTTTGTTTTTTTCTTGTAAATTTGCTTAAGTTCTTTGTAAATTCTGGATATCAGCCCTTTGTCAGATGGATAGATTGCAAAAATTTTCTCCCATTCTGTAGGTTGCCTGTTTACTCTGTTGATAGTGTCTTATGCTGTGCAGAAGCTCTTTAGTTTAATTATATCCCATTTGTCAGTTTTGGGTTTGTTGCCATTGCTTTTGGTGTTTTAGTCATGAAGTCTTTGCCCATGCCTATGTTCTCAATGGTATTGCCTAGGTTTTCTTCAAGGGTTTTTATGGTTTTAGGTCTTACATTTAAGTCTTTAATCCAACTTGAGTTAATTTTTGTATAAGGTGTAAGGAAGTGGTCCAGTTTTAGTTTTCTGCATATGGCTAGCCAGTTTTCCCAACACCATTTATTAAATAGGGAATCATTTCCCCATTTCTTGTTTTGGTCAGGTTTGTCAAAGATCAGATGGTTGCAGATGTGTGGTGGTGTTATTTCTGAGGCTTTTGTTTTGTTCCATTGGTCTATAGATCTGTTTTGGCACCAGTACCATGCTGTTTTGGTTACTGTAGTCTTGTAGTATAGTTTGAAGTCAGGTAGCATGGTGCCTCCAGCTTTGTTTTTTTTTTATTTAGGATTGTCTTGGCTATACGGGCTCTTTTTTGGTTCCATATGAAATTTAAAGTAGTTTTTTTTTCTTCTAATTCTATGAATAATGTCAATGGAAGCTTGATGGGAATAGCATTGAATCTATACATTATTGTGGGCATTATGGCCATCTTCATGATATTGATTCTTCCTCTCCATGGGCATGGAATGTTTTTCCATTTGTTTGTGTTCTCTCTTATTTCCTTGAGAAGTGGTTTGTAATTCACCTTGAAGAGGTCCTTCACATCCCTTGTAAGTTGTATTCCTAGGTATTTTATTCTCTTTGTAGCAATTGTGAGTGGGAGTTCACTCATGATTTGGCTCTCTGTTTGTCTCTTATTGATGTACAGGAATGCTTGTGATTTTTGCACATTGAGTTTGTATCCTGAGACTTTGCTGAAGTTGCTTATCAGCTTAAGGATTTTTTGTCTAGGAAAATGGGAAATATCTAAAATCGACACCCTAACATCACAATTAAAAGAACTAGAAAAGCAAGAGCAAACAAATTTAAAAGCTAGCAGAATACAAGAACTAACTAGGATCAGAACAGAACTGAAGGAGTTAGAGACATGAAAAACACTTTAAAAAATCCATGAATCCAGGAGCTGTTTTTTTGAAAAGATTAACAAAATAGATAGACTGCTAGCCAGACTAATAAAAAAGAAAAGAGAGAAGAATCAAATAGACACAAGAAAAAATGATAAAGGGGAGATCACCACTGGTCCCACAGAAATACAAACTACCATCAGAAAATACTATAAACCACTCTATGCAAATAAACTAGAATATCTAGAATAAATGGATACATTCCTGGACAAATACACCCTTCCAAGACTAAAACAGAAAGAAATTGAATTCCTGAATAGACCAGTAACAAAATCTGAAATTGAGGCAGTAATTAATAGCCTACCAACCAAAAAAAGCCCCGGTCCAGACAGATTCACAGTCGAATTCTAGCAGAGGCACAAAGAGGAGCTGGTACCATTCCTTCTGAAACTATTCCAAACAATAGAAAAAGAGAAACTCCTCTCTAACTCATTTTATGAGGCCAGCATCATCCTGATATCAAAACCTGGCAGAGACACAACAAAAAAAGAAAATTTTAGGCCAATATCCCTGATGAACATCGATGCAAAAATCCTCAATTAAATACTGGCAAACCGAATCCAGCAGCACATTGAAACGCTTATCCACCACGACCAAGTCGGCTTCATCACTGGGATTCAAGGCTGCTTCAACATATGCAAATCAATAAACATAATCCATCACATAACCAGAACCAATGACAAAAACCACGGTTATCTCAATACATGCAAAAACGCCTTTGATAAAATTCAACACCCCCTCATGCTAAAAACACTCAATAAACTAGATATTGATGGAACATATCTCAAAATAATAAGAGTTATTTATGACAAACCTACAGCCAATATCATACTGAATGGGCAAAAGCTGGAAGCATTCCCTTTGAAAAGTGGCACAAGACAAGGATGCCCTCTCTTACCACTCCTATTCAACATATTATTGGAAGTTCTGGCCAGGGCAATCAGACAAGAGAAAGAAATGAAGGGTATTCAAATAGGAACAGAGGAAGTCAAATTGTCTCCATTTGCAGATGACATGATTGTATATTTAGGAAACTCCTTTCTTAATGTGGAATTTAAAAAATCTGCCATTATTTTAATACAGCTTCAGAGGGAATGATATGCATGCAGGTGTGTTCTCAGTCCGTTATCTTGGATTAGAAACAAAGCTTGTCTTTATAAAGGATTCTCTAGTAAATATGGGAAAAATGGGTAGGTGGAAATCAGGATAGAATGAAGGAGACAAACTGAAACACTTTTGCATTAAATCATGTAAGAGTGGTGGCTTAGACAAATGAAATTTCAGTGGATATTAAAAGGCTGAGTTAGATCTAGAGCATATTTTATATTAAATATCATAGACCACTTTGTGGTGGCTTCAGCTTGATTCTTTATCTAGGTTTGTTGCAATTTTCAGTTACTTAATTTATCTGTCTCTTACTTTTTTCTTATGTACCTCAGGCTGTCCTACCTGGTCACAGAGTCTACTTATTTTTTTTTAATTTGATAATAGTTCCAATTGAGCAGAAAATTCTGTCTGTTCTTGTCCTCCAGTTTTCTGTAACTCCAATGCTCTGGCCTCCTGTAGTCCTTATCATTAACCCAGTCTCTTTCCATTGCCTTATGTATTTATGTTTGTTTACTTATTTTAACTTGATGACTGTTGGGTCCCTTCCTATTCTTCTATAAAATGTGGTTATTTCACTTATTGTTTTAAGCTAACATACATTCCATATCACTGTCAATAATTTTAATTTCAAAGGTAGAGGCTATAAACTGTTTTATCCCAGTTTTCCTGCTAAGAAAAACTAAAATAAAATTGTATATACTCTTTTTAAGAAATATCAAGTGACTTGCCTATTTTATATTCCTATGTCTATATTTAAATAGGCTTGTTGAATAAAATCATATGCTATTTTCAATCTATATCTACATATTTAGGATATTTTCAAATATTCACCATGCCTTCACATACATCCACTAGAGTTCAACACTGTAGAATTTCAGTAGTAGAGTGATGGGGACTTTATGTAAAAATATGACATGAGTGCCCTCTTGCTGGGATTGCATAGTGAGATGGCATTGCCTACACAGGCATTCAGGTATAAAGGAGAGTTAAATATGCTAGAGTGCTGTTTATATAAGTCCTTGTGGGTCCTCATTAATTTGTTTTTGACAGGTTTTCACTTAATTCTAGGTACTTGCTTTCTCCTTAATTTCGATTCTTTCATTTGTGTTGGTACTTTTGTCTTTTCCAAATTATGCTTATGTTTTGTCAATTTGGCTTGAACTCATGGCTCCCTGGAAAGACTTTGGCTTAATTGATCCCCTTGGCTCCTACCACTTAAGCTTCATCCTAATTTTATCCAATTTTGACCAATTTGGAGACAATCCATGTCCCTGCCTTATTAGGCCATGATCTCAGCTTGGCCTCTCTTCACCCCACATGAAATGCAAATTCAAGTAATAAAACCCATGATGATCAGGATTCCAGGTAGTATATCTGTTTCCCTGGGTTCTATATGTAGGCACACACAGTCACTTTTTGGTATTTGTCTTATATACTATGGCCCTAATTTTATTCACTCACTTAATTCAAACTCTTTTATCCAATTTCCCAGATAACTAAACTCTAGCCATCCCGAAATATCTCGTTATTGCAACCATTGTATACTAATAAATATGACAATTAATGGAATGCATACAATTTTTGACACTGTACTAAGCACTTTATGTGAAATACTTAATGGGAATTTCACAGTACTATGAGATAAGGGATAATTTTAATTGCATTATTTTATGTATGAGAAAATTTAGGTTTGGTGAAAATAAGTTATGTAGTCATGATGCTTTAGCAGTACTGCTTATTTTAGATTTTATAAGCAAAGGAAACACATTTACCATTACCAATTTCTATACTGGCGTGTATAGCTTAAGCTTATATGGATACGGAGGTAATAAAGAGCTTCCAAAATACCATTACCATAGTATAACAGAGGATTGGCTTCTCATTTATGCAATAAGTTCAATGGATATTTCTAGGAAATTCTTTCCACATAGTAGTTCAGAGACCCAGGCTGACAGAAGATTCACCACCCACACAGCTTTACAATTAACCCCTGATGGGAAAGAGAGAGCGTGGATAGCTTATTTGTTTTGCCCCGTAACTGGCATATGTTATATTCACACACACCCCATTTGCCAGAATTAGTAAGTAGTCTTAGAGCACTAGAAAGCATAGTCTTTTGTATGCTCGAAAAAATACAAGGTATCAGTGATCATTAGTGATGTCTACTTTAACAGCATTCCCGGAATTCCTAGCGATATCTGATCCTAAGGACCAAGATATTAATTAAGCACTGGGTTATCTTTTTTATCTTTCTGGGTCTAATAAACAAATTTGATAGAAAAGTATACTAATTTAAAATTGCTTAAAACATACAGAAAGCAATGTGGAAGAAAGAATATTAATAGCTGTAACATCTGCTGTTAATATATGAAAGTACGTGTTTTTCTTATGCTTCCTATACATAAAATTATAATATGTAGTTTTAAAATTATCCAGTTTTGTATACTGTATTTTTCACCCATTATTATTTTTCCAAATTTAAAGTATTTGAAAAGATTATATTTAAAAGTTTGAGCTATGCCAGAAATACCCTACTTAACTAATATGCTGTGTTGGATATTAAGTTGTTTAAATGTTTTAGTATTATTTAGTAGCATACCATTTAATATCAAGAAATTAAAAGATTTATATTATAGGTATATCTTGATATTAAATGGTGTATTTATACTTTTAATATAAATTTCTAGGTATACCAATAATCAATCTTGTGATTGAGTATAATTTTATTTTTCATAAAATAATGATACATTTAGTTTCCCATTTTTACTCTATTTGTGATTTTACTCTTTTTACTTGACTAAATTTATCAGAAAATTGTTTATGTTTTTAAAAAGACAAACTACTTTACTACTAAAAGGAGACATTTTCAGTATTAATCTGGTAATTAATTAAAAATTGGATTTTAAATAATAGAGACTTCATCAAAAACTCTTCAGGGAATATTTGCCTTTCCCCAACTCAAAGTACATTGTTTTCCACAAATTACCGATTTTAGTGACTTATTTTGCTATCAGTAAGATCTTGTTTGATGTGTCTTTTTGAGTTCTTCCTCTTTTTGGTGTTATCCTGGTGATTGTATGAAAGGATAGTATTTTTTTCCCCTCAGATGGTTTTGGAGAAAATAGTAATTTTCAGAATAGATCTGAGCTCTAAAAATTGGCTTTGTATCTGATAAAATTAGAAATCCATAAAACTTTCCAAGTAGAAAGTTAAATAAGCTCCTATACTTCAACACCTCAAGACTTCCAACATTATATAATCTCATCAACTCTGCAGGTACAGCTTTTCAGAACTGCGTGTTCACACAGTAGGGACAAGTTTTTGTGCCAGTAGAGTTCAGAAGCTAATTTTCAGTGGCAGTCTTGTAAAGTTATACCAAATATATTTGGAACAGTGTTGTTAATATAGAAATAATAACACTTATTTGAAGAACATTCATTTTTTGAATATTTGCCATGTTATACTTTTGTATTATTTTAGAACTCAATTTTGCCTAAAAAATCAAGTATTTTCTAATTATAAAAATTGTCAGGCTGCAAAATGCAGTTCTAAAGTAATACATGTGCCAAATGTACAGAGGAAGTATAGTAGTAAAAAAAATACCACCTTTCAGTGTTATTCTTGAAATTTAAAAATTAATTGATATCCTCTGGTATCTGTAATGTTTCATTTAGAAGGCTAGCATTTCACAAACACCATTGTCAGAAGATGATCTACTTTGGAGACAATAATTGCTTTCTCTTTAAGGTACCCTGCAATGCAAAACTGTAAGTGTAGAAAGCTAACATTTATACAGAAAAGGAAATGTCAGTCTTTCCTCCAAATATATACGTTGTTGTGTAGTGTCATTTTAAACATGAATATATTTTATACATAGAAGTTGAGAAAAAAAACTTGACGCTTTGAGGACACACTTAATATCATGTCTCATATGTTATTCTAAAAAGCAATCACATGTTTACAAGCAGACATAAAAGCTTAGCTTTAAAAATACCCATAGAATTGATTCTTAAGCAGTCTGTGCTACAGTTATAACAAGTATTTAAAATACTTTTGATAACATTTCCTTTTGCTTGCACTATAGTCAGCTTAATTGAATGACCGTTTTTGCGCCATAAGAATAAACAGAAACTTGGCCGGGGCATGGTGGCTCACACCTGTAATCCCAGGACTTTGGGAGGCCGAGGTGGGTGGATCACGTGGTCAGGCGTTCAACACTAGCCTGGCCAACATAGTGAAACCCTGTCTCTACTAAAAATACAAAAATTAGCCGGGCATAGTGGCGGACGCCTGTAGTTCCAGCTACTCGGGAGACTGAGGCAGGATAATGGCGTGAACCCGGGAGGCGGGGCTTGCAGTGAGCCGAGATCGTGTCACTGCACTCCAGCCTGGGCGACAGAGCGAGACTCCGTCTCAGGAAAAAAAAAAAGAGAGAGACAGAAACTTTAAT
The DNA here is from genome assembly GCF_000001405.40 of Homo sapiens. NCBI lineage: Eukaryota > Metazoa > Chordata > Mammalia > Primates > Hominidae > Homo > Homo sapiens. Next base: position 113,838,238 of record NC_000008.11, read on the forward strand.
TCTCTCTATATCAATACCAGAACAAACATAAATAATAAAAACAATAACCTCTTAATCCTATTTTTTAATGTTTACTTTGTAATGGTGCTAATGATACCTTGATACTCTCTACATTTCCAAAATAATTATGTAACAATAGCCAACCAATGTTGTGAGCAAAATGTCTCATTTAGACTTCTCAGCTACCTAACAAAATGCTTACAATTTATCTACTACTTAATAACTTGCCTTGACTAAACAGGCTTCTCTCTTTCCCACAGAACCTTGAACTTTTTTCACTTGCCCGTAAGTTTAAATAAGCACAAATGTGCAGAATACAGCCTACCCTCACCATTAAATGCCCTTTTCAAAAACTTCTGACCAGAGGGAAACATTTCCTATTAGAACACCTCAATCATTCTTTCCATTCATTACACTGTTCCTGTCCCCAAAACTTCTGCTAGTCCTTCTTACATGTCCTTATAAAAAGGGACCTTTTTCTGTTTAATATTGAAATGATTGCAGATCTTGTGGTCAGAGCTTTCTCTCTATTACCACAGCCACTTATTTAAGTATTTATTTTTATTTATTTATTTATTTTTTTGAGATGGAGTCTTGCTCTGTCACCCAGGCTGGAGTACAGTGCTGTGATCTCAGCTCACTGCAACCTCTGCCTCCAGGGTTCAAGTGATTCTCCTGCCTCAGCCTCTCTAATAGATGGGATTACAGGCATGTGCTACCACACCTGGCTAACTTTTGTATTTTTAGTAGAGATGGGGTTTCACCGTGTTGGCCAGGATAGTGTTGATCTCTTGACCTTGTGATCTGCCTGCCTTAGCCTCCCAAAGTTCTGGGATTACAGGTGTGAGCCACCGCTCCCAGCCAAAATTTTCTGTTGAATATTGAGGTGATTGCAGATCTTGTTGTCAGAGCTTTCTCTCTATTACCACAGCCTTTTAAAATAAAATTTATCTTTACTTAAGTCCAGGATTGTTTTTATTTGTCATATTTACTGTTGTTATCATTATTCTTAATTTTTAACAATAGAAAACTGCATATTACAGAAATTAATTTAGCAAGTATTACATGCATAATAATGTTGATGCTAGAATTTTAATATAGGTCTGTATCACACAGATTTCCACTCATCATATAGGCTATTATACTGCCTCAAATGTGATAATATTTATTAGAAAGAGTTATGTGCTTTAAAACACTATGCAGCATTTTCCTTTAAGCTTTTACTATATTCACCACCCTTGTTAATTGTGGAAATGGGTCTTACCAAGCCACCATTGAGTAGAATTGTTAGGCATATATAATTTTTTGGGCACTTGACCACATGTGTTGATAGTATTCAAATAGTAGAGACCATGTTCCTCTGACACTCAGTGTACAAATACTCTCTTGGCTCTCTGGCAGACGTGTCTGTGATACCCCATCCTCAACAGGGAGGGTGGTTTGGGTTGAGCCCTTCATCTGGCCCCCCACCTGGCATTTCCTCCCTCATATCCCTAAAATGTGATCTAATAATCACACTCCAAAAATGTATTAAAACTTAGGAGACTGGAAGGACACAATTCTTAAATCCAAATTAATGAACTTAAATCCCATTGGATGAAATTTCAGGAATTTGAGCAAGTAAGGCTTCTTAGAAATGAGAGTCTTCTATTTCCTCAGTTCAAATTATACTACAGAAGTGAAAAAAAAGTCAAATTATCTGTAGTCTTTGCTTAAGCATCGGTCTCCAAAATCCTACTACTTTGCACTTTTATTGCAGGCTAAGTGAATTTGTGCCTCTCGGTTTTTCAGCTGTATAAGAAACCAGCAAAGATAAATTCCCTTCTATGGGAAACTTTAGGATAATTTATGATCACCATTTTTGTTGCTGATTGTTGTTTAATATATTTGCCTACAAAAGAATTACATTTTTATGAATAAGTCATTAAAAATCTTTGTATAACAGTTCAAAATATGCTAGCTGATGAAATTATTTATCAGTCTAAAACCACATGGTTCCCTATGAGTGCTGTTTTCATGATGTAAACCATGTTATATGTAGTCTGAGCTTCCTTTAGTAAAATAGGAGATTTGGGCACAAAAAGAGGGAGATATACCTTAACAACAAAATAAAAATAATTTTGGCATTCTGAGGTTAAGGTGCTAACTACAGTTATTGAGCCTTTCCACAAGTAAGAGAACTGAGCATCTATTTTTACTCTGGGATAGAGAGGCAGTCATTGATGTATGACTATGTATAAGGATTAGCAATGGGAAACTACTTTTTCAGGTTATGCAAAAAAAAAAAATCAAGCATAAGTTAATGGAAACTCTATTGCCATTGTGTTGTGCCCCTTACTTTGAAATGTGTATTGGTATTCTCCAAAAGTTGAGCGTGGTCAATAAACTATGGAATTATGAAGTATCTTTGGTAAAAGTTTTGCTAAAATTAATATAAACAACTGAAGTGCAAAAAAACAAGTTAAATGAAGAGAAACAGGGAAAAAAGGTGAGAAATGAAGCATTCAGTGGTGGAATTTCAGCTAATTAATAACAGCTTCTTTAGGCTGATTTTATTATCCATTGAAACAGACAATTAAACTTTGCAACTTGAAATAAATTTAGGTTTAAAAATCTGAGTCAAATTTTTGAAAAAATATATATTATATAAACTCTTTGTCGTCTCAAAAAAGAGCACATGTATAATAAGTATATATCTATACCCATATACTTCTGTATATAATGTAGATATATATGATTTCATAAATTAAAATAATATATATCTATACATTGTTGATAATCTAGCTTTAACTATATTAATGTAAGAAATTATTTTTAATTTGAAAAAGTTGTGGCTCTATATTGAATATTGAAAAAATACATAGTTGTGCCTTACCTAACAATGGAGATACACCCTGAGAAATGCATAGTTAGGTGATTTCATTATTGTGTGAATGTCATAGAATGCACATACACAAACTTAGATTGTACAGTCAACTGCACACCTAGGCTATATAGCCTTTTGCTCCTAGGCTACACACCTGTACAGCATGTTACTACATGGAATATTTTAGGCAGTTGTAACATAATGGTAAATATTCATGTATCTAAACATATCTAAACATATAAAAGATACAGTAACAATATAGTATGAATGATTTTAAAAATGATACACATACATAAAACAGCTCCATTATAATATTATGGGACCACTGTTGGGTATGTGGTCTATCATAGACTGAAACGTCATTATGCAGCACAGGAAAGTATCTTTTCTAATTTTACTTTAAATTTTTTTCCCTATTTTTAATATCTCCTACTATCATAGTTTCCCCTTCTCATACTCACCTCCTTTAAAAACTATTATTTCACTGGAATTCTAAATTTAATATTTATAAATTTACCAAGTCCTACTTCTTCAGCAGAACGAGAGAAAAATATTTTCAGGAATCACATCTGTAATCTGTCTTCAAGTTTTTCTGTGGAACCCCTATTTTGAGTGAGCGGTGCTTATTTTAAACATTTTGGAACTAATTCAAGAGGCAATATGTGGCAGCTTACTTGTCCAAGATCAGATCATTCATAGTATGTGTAAAATTAGAAAAAATAGCAAATTCAGTGTTTATGGAAAATAAATTAAACATCTTTTTATTGTCTCTAGATTACTGTTTGTTTCTTTTCAGTTCTTGGTTAGGTATTAGGAAGGATTCACATGCCACTAACAAAAACAGATAATGTAGGTATAGACAATGTATAAAATGTGAATAAAGGTATTAAACATATATACAATGACTTGTATTTTGACAGATTTACTATAAGGTTGATAAAGAACTCATAGGTACATCTACCCAGACAGCAGTTGGAAATACCAGCTTATAGTTCAGGAGATAATTTTCTTCCATAAATGTTAAATTTGGGAATTGCATATTTGGTCAGTAAGGCTTTATTGCATGTTTATCACCATTTTATATACTAGAGATAAAGCTGCATTGAGGTTTGACAATCTTTCTCTGATTCTAGGGAATTGAAATTAATATATATATACAAATGAAAAGATAAATACATTAAAAGGTGAAGTAATTAAAATTATATAATTAGATGAAACAAGTTATCTGTTAAAGAGTGACTGGGCAAGGAAAGAGTTTTGTTTGGGTGGCCAATAACTTCTTTCTACTTTCTGTCTAAAAGATGACTTTTCAATAGAGATCCAGCTGTGTGAAGAATTAGGAAAAATATATTAAAATTAAAAAAAATATATGATAGGAAGAATTCAAAATGGCCCCAAGAGCCCTGCCCCATTATATACATGCCCTGCATAACCCTGGGAATGTGAATAAAATAGATTTTATTCAGGTAATTAGGTTTATTTATGGCACCATTGATTTTTAAAAGGTAGATTATGTGGGTAGGACTGGTCTAACTGCATAAACCTTTTAAATCTTGGTCTGGAGGTCAGATATAAAGGAATTGAAAGATTGAATCAAGAGAAGGATTCCATGATTCATTATTATATTTGAAGTTGGAGGGAGTCATATGGCAAGGAATGTGAGCAAATTCTTGGAGTTGAATGGCACAGAGTGAGAGCCGGCAGGGGAACAGGGATCTCAGACCTATAGCTGCAAGGCAGTAGATTCTCCTGGCAACACAAATACACTTGGATATGCATTCTTTCTTTCTCAAGCCTCTAAATGAGAATACAGCCCACCATTACCTTCATTCCTGGCTTGTAATATTCTGAGCAGAGAACTTTACCCACTGGGTTGGACTTCTGACATACAGATTTGTGAGCTAATACATGGGTGTTCTTGTATTCTGTTGTGTGTGTGCTAATGTTATGCAGCATTAGGACACTATTATGGAAGGCTACTAGAAAGATCTCATAGTAGAACTTCATCCCAGCAAGTTCCATGAATGGAAAAAGGGACAGTAGGGCTGGAGAATGGAGAGTTATGATAGGAGTAGAAATTGGAGTCATAAATACAAAGGCACTAAATAAAGACCTGCTGACAGATAAGATTCCCTTCAGAGTTCTGGAGCGTGAAAAAAAAAGAAGAAGAAATGATATAGAACAGCATGCTGTTAGGAACAGATAGAAGGGAAATAACCAATGAAGGAGCCTAAGTTTTGTTAAAGTTACTTGGAAGAAAATTCTTTTTTTTTTTTTTTTTTTTTTTTTTTTTGAGACGAGCTTCACTCTTGTTGCCCAGGCTGGAGTGCAATGGTGCGATCACAGCTCAAGGCAGCCTCCGCCTCCCTGGTTCAAGTGATCCTCCTTCCTCAGCCTCTATTATATTTAATCATTTGGGAGTTTTAATAGTCAGTTTTATGACACTTTCTCTTATTATCTGTTTGTTCTATTTTAACCCCTGCATGAAAGCAATAAACAGTACAAATATTCAAAATTTGGAGAGCATGTTAGGAACGGTCTGACTTAAAATGTACAGAATATACTGTCGAGTTTTATTTTGAGAGGTGTGCATAGGTGTGAGTAGTGTGCGAAGGTTAGAAATACTTTTAGGAGGTAGAAAGAACATCTGCAACTTAAGTAAAATGAGAGGCCTTCAGAGACTTTCAATATGTATTAAGAATACATAAAGAAAAATTTAAAACCAGCAAATTCTGACTTCAAATATGGAATCAATATTGAAAGTTACTAAGTAAGGCGCTATGAATTTCAGCAGTTTATTATTAGATAACTAGATAATTATGTCACATGCTCCAGGATTAGTTGCAACAGAGATTTTATTCATTGCAATTAGTTATATGCCTGAAATGACAAAAGGTCAGCAAGCACTCAATAATCTCAGTGGAGGGTTATGTTGATTGGCTCTGTGTCCCTACCCAAATTTCATGTCAAATTGTAAGCCCCAAGTGTTGGGGGAGAGACCTGGTGGGAGGTGATTGAATCATGGCGGTGGTTTCCCCGACATGCTGTTCTCATGATAATGAGTGAGCTCTCACGAGATCTGATGGTTTAAAAGTATTTGGCAGTTCCCCCACCTTTATCTCTCTCCTGCTTCACCATGGTAAGACGTGCCTGCTTCCCCTTCACCTTTTCCCATGATTCTAAGTTTCCTGAGTCCTCCCCAGACATGCAGAACTGTGAGTAAATTAAACCTCTTTTCTCCATACATTACCCAGTCTCAGGTAGTTCTCAATTGAAGTGTGAAAACAGACTAATACAGAGAATGCTAAATAAGATGAAAAGGGAAATTGGTGTAGATAACAAAGAGCCGATGGACTTTGTGTTTGCAATACAGAACAGAAACCCTTCGGAAAAACATTTTGCCAGAATAGCGCACATTAAAAAAATATCTAGATGAGCAGATATCACAGCTGGTACTATGGAGTGGATGTTTTGTGTCTTTTCAAAGTTCATGTGTTGAAGCCTAATCCACAATGTCATAGTATTTGGAGGTGATGCCTCCAAATTAGGTAATTAGGTCACAGGGTAGAGCCCTTCTGAATGGGATTAGTGTGTTTATAAAAAATAGAAATGAGAAAGCTTGCTTCCTTTGCTTGCATTCTTCAAGGTAAGGATATAATGAGAAGATGGACATGTGTAAACCCAAAAGTGAGCCCTCACCAGGCAAGAAATATTCCAGAACTTGGATCTTGAACTTCCCAGCCTCAAGAACTGTGAGAGAGGAAATGTTTGTTGTTTAAGCCACTAAATCCATGATATTTTATTATAGCAGCCCAAGCTGACTAAGACAGAGGGTTTTATATTTTCATGTGCAGAATAAATAACTTATTGAAATATCAACCTGACTATATCACTCTATACCACTTACCAGCCCTACGACCTTGGCCAAGGTGTGTAATCTTTCTACATCTCGATGTCCTAATTCGTTAAATGGAGCTATTAATACTTAGGCTTTAATCTCTAAAGATTGAAAATATAATACATAGAAAACACTTAACCTGTGGCCTAATATACTGGCTTTCTCAATAAATCATAGTTATTAATAATATTAATAATAGCATATACTACCTAAAAATCCTCAATACCCTATCTATAAGTGAAGTAGCCAAAAGCCTGATGGGTACAACAAATGAAGTTATTCTTATGGAGTGGGAGTGCATTGGGCTGGGAGTCTCTTCCCATATCAGTGTCTAGATTCTTCTTTAGGTGGCCCACAGTGCCCCAAGCAGCACAAATAGAAAACCATTGTCCTGAGAAAGCAGTCAGTTAACAAGCTATCTTTGTAATGGTGCAAGACAGAAGAATGTTAAGTACAACCCCATGTCAGTGACTCAAGTCAGTTACTATAGTGGAAATAATTTGTGCCAATCTTATTACTATTTTAATCTTTCTTTTTCTTTTTTAAAATGTTAATATATTTATTTCATTATCTGCAGACTCTGGCATTGTACTCCTTACAGAATCATATATACAATTTAAACAAACCTATCAAAATGACTTCTGGCTTTTAAAGTGATATGTTACGATCTCTGGGTTCAGGTGCATAGTGTAGTTCTAAATGTTTGCTAAAAGGTCTCTAAATTTGTCTCAGCTTTTTCCTTTGGGCATTAAGACCTGACTTAGCTATATATCCCAATGACACAGACTAGAGCTTTTACAGACAATGTTTTCTATTAAATGCAGCATGGTCTAGGATAAAGTGTCTTAGGTGATTTCTTATTAGGCTTTTTACTTTGGTTGTCTTTTCTTCTAAGGAGAAAGAAAGGAGATAGCAGAAACCTATTTCTGCATGGGCTTTGTTCCACCCTGTGGTATTTCTGGTCCAATGAGAGATTAGTTGCCTACCTGAGTAATTAAGTTACTAATTTGGCAAGGCATATTGTTTTTATCCTTTTTTCTATGCTTTTTTTCCTCCACTATATTCCCTAGGCCTTTCTTAGGAATGGCTTCATTAACATTGAATTGGTTTTCTTTATGAAGGCTGGAGCTCCAAGTAGCTTTTTAAAGATATTTTACAAGCTGTGCAGCCTTTTGCTAATTGATTTTTTGCCCTTTTTTAAAGCAGTCTTAAACATGTGGATCAAGCAAAAGATAAAATATTTTGAATCTAATACTGAATAATTATACAAAAGTAATGACTTCATGCTGTTGTTATACATTTATTAAAATAAAACTTATATGCAATGTTCAAAATTTAACATGGCAATTTAAGTTTATAAATTGTAAAATGTGAGTAATTGTTTTTAATCATATTTGAAATAAATAATTATTTCCTCAAATGCTTTAACTAATTGATAAACTAATGCGATTGAACCATTAAATATCAACATTGAGATTTGCTAGATGCATATTGGATCAGATTATAATAGACTGTGGATAAGAATTAAGCCATGGACCTTGCCTTTAAGAAATTGAAATTCCCTTGGTGGAGACTAAACTAATGCCTACTAAGCTTCAATAATTGAGATGATCGCTAAATATTTACTAAATGTTGTTTTCCATAGTACCAACCCAACAAAGGGATCAGAGAATATATAGATTAGAAAAAAATACATTGTTAGAGTATATTCTTTCAGCAAATACTTATGGAGAAAGTGAAAGTTGGTTAGACAAAACATGAATGTGAAAGTTAAGAGACCAGTGTTCAAGGCAAGATCTTGGATTGAAATGAGGAGAACAGAAATCAAATACAGAATGAAGAATGAGAGATGATCATACTTGAACTTGGAGCACAGGCTGAGATTTTAGGTCTGTAGTTTGGACTATAAGAGGTGGCTATTTCTACAACTCTAAGGCGTCACAGGTACCTAGGATTTCTTTGTGGCTCATTGAGTTCTGTGTCTTGTTGCACAGTAAAAGACAATCTTATTGAATGACTTAACTTCAAGATCCACAGGACAATTTGAAGGTCAGGATACAAAAAGAGTACATAAGGCCTCTTGGGAGCTTGTTGGTCCATAAGATTGCTGTGGGGAAGAGCTGTGACTGAGACTTAACTCATAAAGAGTAAGTATTTAGAATTCTTAACCCCATTGCATTTTTAATTCTCTTACCTTTTACAATTTATATGACAAAAGAAATCTTTCATTTTTTTACTATAGGACTGACATGTTATGTTGAATTGACTGCCTATGTCAGAGATACAACACAATGACTGGGCCAAATCCACACATATCAATACTAACCCTGAATGTAAATGGACTAATACCCCAATTAAAAGGCCAAGAGTGGAAAGCTGGATAAAGAAGCAGACCAAATGGTATGCTGTCTTAAAGAGATCCATCTCACACATAACGACACTCACAAGCTCAAAATAATGGATGGAAAAATACCTACCAAGGGCGGGGCCTGGTGGCTCACTCCTGTAATCCCAGCACTTTGGGAGGCTGAGGCGGGCAGATCACGAGGTCAGGAGATCAAGACCATCCTGGCTAATATGGTGAAACCCCGTCTCTACTAAAAATGCAAAAAAAATTAGCTGGGTGTGGTGGTGGGCTCCTGTAATCCCAGCTACTCAGAAGGCTGAGGTGGGAGAATGGCGTGAACCTGGGAGGCAGAGCTTGCAGTGAGCTGAGATCGCGCCACTGCACTCCAGCCTAGGCGACCGAGCAAGACTCTGTCTCAAAAAAAAAAAAAAAAAACCTACCAAGCAAATAATAGTGAGAATCGTTAACACCTCACTGACAATATCAGACAAATCACTGAGAGAGAAAATTTACAAAGGTGGTCATAACCGGAATTCAATACTTGGTCAAATGGACCTGATAGACATCTGCAGAATTATCCACCCAAAAAACAACAGAATATACATTCTTCTCATTGTCACATGGCATACACTCTAAAATTGACCACACAATCAGGCATAAAACAATTCTCAGCAATGCAAAAGAATAAAAATCATACCAAACACACTCTTGGACTACAGTGAAAAATAAATAGAAGTCAAAACTAAAATAATCACTCAAAAATTGAAATTAACCTGGTCGTGAATGGCTTTTAGGTAAATAACGAAATTAAGGCAGAAATCAAGAAGTTCTTTGAAATCAAAGAGAACAAAGACACAACATACCAGAATCTCTTGAATACAGCTAAGGCAGTGTTAACAAAGGAAATTTATAACACTAAATGCCCATATCAAAAAGTTAGAAAGATCTCAAATTAACAACCAAACACTGCAACTGCAAGAATTACAGAAAGAAGAGGAATCCAACTTTAGAGCTAGCAGAAGACAAGAAATAACCAAAATCATAGCTGAACTGAAGGAAATCAAGTCTCAAAACAACATTCAAAAGATCAATGAATCCATGAGTTTTTTTTTGAAAAAATTAATAAGATAGGCCACTAGCTAGACTAATAAAGAAGAAAAGAGAGAAGCAATTCCTAGCTCATATAAAACATATTTATTAGGACATTTACAGAAATGATAATTTAATTTTTATTATTTTTGACTATTATTTTAGGTTCAAGGTGTACATGTGCAGATTTTTTGCATAGGTGTTTGCATGTCGCTGTCACTGAAGTTTGGTGTATGAATGAACCCAACATTCAGATAGTAAGCATAGTTACCAATAGTTTGTTTTTTTAACCCTCATTTCCCCCACCACCACTCTCCCCATCTAGTAGTCCCCAGTGTCATTTGTTCTCATGTTTGTGTTCTTGTGCACTCAGTGTTTACCTTCTACTTATAAGTGAAAACATGTGGTACTTGGTTTTCTGTTCCTGTGTTAATTCCCTTAGGATAATGACCTCAAGCTGCATCCAAGTTGTTACAAAGAACAGGATTTTATTCTTTTTATGGCTGCATAGTATTCCATGGTGTATGTGTAACACATTTTCTTTATCTAACCCACCATCGATGGGCACTTAGGTTGATTCCATGATTTTCCGATTGTGAATAGTGCCGTGATTAACATACAATTGCATGTGTCTTTTCGGCAGACTGGTTTATTTTCCTTTGGGTGTATACCCAGAATGAGATTGCTGAATCAAATGGTGGTTCTAAGTTCTTTGAGAAATCTTCAAACTGCTTTCCATAGAGTTGGACTAATTTACATTCCCACCAATGTATAAGCATTCCTTTTTTCCCCCACAACCTCACCAGCATCTGTTATTTTTTTGGCTTTTTAATAATAGCCATTCTGATAGGTGTGAGATGGTATCTCATTGTGGTTCTGATGTGCATTTCTCTAATGATCAGTGATCTTGAGCTTCTTTTTTCATGTTTGTTATCTGCATGTATATCTTCTTTTGGGAAGTGTCTGTTCATGTCCTTTGCCCATTTTTTAATGAGGTTATTTGTCTTTTTACAGTCTCAATACTATTATTATCAAAATACCAATGTAATTTTTTACAGAATTAAAAAAATATTTTAAAATTCAAATGGTACCAAAAAAGAGGCCAGATAGCCAAAACCGAATAGTATTGGTACAAAAATAGACACATGGACCAGTGAAACAAGATATAGAGAACCCAGAAATAAAGGTGTACACCTACAACCATCTGATTGTCAACAAAGTTGAAAAAAATAAGCAATGGGAAAAGAACACTCTATTCAATAAATTGTGTATTGATAACTGTCTAGCCATATGCAGAAGGCTGAAACTGGGCCCCTATGTTTTACCACACAGAAAAATTAACTCAAGATGGATTAAAGACTTAAATATAACACTAAAACTATACAAATCTAGAAGAAAATTAAGGAATTATCATTCTGGACATGAATCTTGGCAAATAATTTATAACTAAGTCCCCAAAAGCAATTGCAGCAAAAACAGAAATCAATAAATGGGACTTAAACTAAAGAGCTTCTTCACAGCAAAAGAAACTATCAATAAGATAAACAGACAACCAACAAAAACAGGGAGAATATTCACAAACTATGTATCTGACAAAGGTCTAATACTCAGAATCTATAAGAAAGTTAGACAATTCAACAAGCAAGAAATAATCTTTAAAAATTAACAAAGATATATTGGTACTCACTGTGATATCATTAATAATAATCATGGTTATCATTTTGAATAGTTTTGTGTAAGCAGTGTTTATTCATATAAACTCAGTCACAAAATATGAAAACATTATTAAATGTGGATCAAAGTTGGAATGTAATAAAATAATGTGTCAAATACATATATTTTATGATTAAGTTAAATTAATTATAAATATTTGATAGACAAAATAAAAGTATAAAATATTAATAACTGTAAAGTATTGCTTATATTGTGAACTTAAGGTTGGTAGATTCTGGCCATTCATCCTATGTAACCCTACAGCATTATTTAAATTTTAAATATGATTTTAAATAAATACACATTTGTTTGAGCCTTAAAGAAAGGTTGATACTATAGCTAAAATCAACAAATGCTCAATAAAAGCAGTGAATATTATTTTTTCAGTAAATTTGAAAACTGTTTGATTCAAAAACATTTCATAACATTATTGGATGTTACTTTAGATGTATACACTCTTAAAAGAGAACAACTACACAAATAACTCCACTGAGTTGAATCAATAATCAAAATCTATGCCAAAAGAAAAAAATAATTTATAAAGTATCTTTCCTTATCGGATGTTTTAACATATAAAATATAGTAACAAAATACAGTTGTGTTCTATTTTATTTGTCTTATTCGAATGGAGAATGGTAGTGTTAAACTTACATTATTCTAATCTCAGTTACCTCTACTAAATACCAATTTAGTCTTAAAATAAATACAAAGTATTGATATTTTTATTCAAATCCTCAGAGTTTTATTCTAGTTTCATTCTTTGAAGGATTTTGCCCAAAGAAATATGTACATAATTTGTAATAAATAAAAATTAAGAATGTTATTAATATTTTAATGTTAAACTAAATTCTCAAATAAATTTGGAACATCAAATAGTAAATTATATTCATATACCTTTCAATTTTAAACATATTTCAAACATGTAAACCATTCCTATTTCTAAATAAGTTTAAAATATCAGGAGAATGCAATAAATTTCTTTTTAGTTACACTTAAGATCAGTTATTCTCATCAGCTAAAAATGTGTTAATTTTTAATATGCTTTTCACTGGGTTTCATGAATTAAGATTCTTTTCTTTCTTTATTTTATTTTATTTTAGCTTAGTTTAGTTTAGTTTTATTTTTGAGACTGAGTTACGCTCTTGTTGCCCTGGCTGGAGTGCAGTGGCGCGATCTCAGCTCACCGCAACCTCCGCCTCCCGGGTTCAAGGAATTTTTCTGCCTCAGCCTCCTGAGAAGTTGGGATTACAGGCATGAGCCACCACGCCCAGCTAATTTTTGTATTTTTAGTAGGGACGGGGTTTCTCCATGTTGGTCAGGCTGGTCTCCAACTCCCAACCTCAGGTGATCCGCCCGCCTCGGCCTCCGGAAGTGTTGGGATTACAGGCGTGAGCCACCGCGTCTGGCCTTTTCTCTTTTTTCTTTGACATTTTTACAACGTCCTCTATTCTTCTGAATGCATGCGCCTTATCCCAAATAGAAATTATCTTTTCAAACTACCACTACCTAATTGTTTCCGAAAACAAGTACCAATGTTATTTGTCCGTGAAGTATTGTGATGCCAACTAATAAAGAAAATAATGTTTCACTAAATCCAAAGACTAAATGTGGAGAAATTATTTGGGTTGAAAGACTTGTTTATATTTAACACAGTCTTAAGTCTTTGTTAAATATTTCTCATTGCCTCACAAAATAGTTGTCACCCTAGATTTTACACTGAATAAGAAAAAAAATCAATGGTGGTCCACAGAGCCTAGCTTACACTTGCAAAGATACTTCTCTAAATTTCCTGATACAACACTGCATACTTTATCTAACAAAGTGACAAAAAAACATCAGTTGAAAGAAGAAAGTATGAAGTAGAACGGATTATCAGTAGGTTTTTACTATAATTGATTATGAAGAATTAATTCAAAGTACATATTCATTTAACCCAGTTATCAATAGAAAGTGAAATCTATGATGCCACTCACTGCTTTATAAATATATGCTTTTATGCATCTCCAAAATTCCATTTGCTTCTCACTGTGATAACTTCTGGAACTCAAACTCTGTTATTAAAAAAATTCCCTATGCCTTCAAAAATTTCCTGAATATTACCCTTGCTTTTTAAAAGATAAAATGCAGTTATTTCTTATGATTAATTCTGCAATATATTTTGAATTGACTTTTGTATATAGTATGAGGTATAGGTCCAATTTTATTCTTCCACATATGAATATGCAATATTTCCAACACCATTTATTGAAGAGGCAATCCTTTCTCCATTGTGTGTTCTTGGCACCTTTGGCAAAGATAAATTGACCATAAATGCACAGATTGATTTTTTGGCTCTCTATTCTGTTCCATTGGTCTACATGTCCGGTTTTATGCCAGAATCATGATATTTTGATTACTATTGTTTTTACTATATTTTGAAAACAGGTAGTGTTATGATGCAGCCTTGTTCTTTTTACTCAAAATGATTTGGCCATTTAGAGTCTTGTGTGGTTCTATAAAAATATTAGGACTTGTTTTTTCTAATAGTATTTTGGTGACATTGTTAGGGTTTTCTATACATAAGAGCATATTATCTACAAATGGAGACATTTGATTTCTTCCTTTCCTGTTTAGATGCTTTTTATTTCCTCTTTTGCCTAATTGCTGTGGCTAGGACATTAAGTACTGTATTGAACAGAAGTGGCAAAGGTGGACATCTTTGTCTTAGTCTTAGAAGAAAAGCTTTCAATTTTTTATGATTTAAATATGATATTATCCAGGGGCTTGTTGTATACTAAAAACCAGCAACTGTAAAACTACTGGAAGAAATCATATGAAAAAAGTTTCTTGACATAAATCTGAACAATGATTTTTTAAATATAATGCCAAAGCACAGGTAACAAAAGCAAAGTAGTCAAATGGGATGGTCTATTGAACCAAAAAGCTTCTGCACAGAAAACAATTGGCAGTATGAAGATACAATCTACAGAATGAAAGAAAATATTTTCAAACAATCCATCTGACAAAGGATTGATAACCAGAATATATAAGGAACTCAAACAACTCAATGGAAAACTAACAAACTATTTGATGAAAAAAATGGGTAAAGTATCTGAATAGACATTTCTCAAAATAAAGCATACGAATGGCTAACAGATATATGAAAAAATGCTCAACATCATTAATCATCAGGGAAATGCAATTGAAAACCAAATTAAAAATGGGTTTATCATGTCACTCCTGTTATAATGGCTACTAATAAAAAGACAAATGATAATAAATGTTGGTAAGAATGTGGAGAAAATTGAACCCTTACACACTGTGTGAATGGAAATTAGTATAGCCATTATGGAAAATATTATGAGAGATCTTCAAAAAATTAAAAATATAAGTACAATATGATCCTGCAATCCCACTACTGGGTCTATATCCAGAGGAAATAAAATAATTGTTTCAAGAAAATGTTTGCATTCCCATGTTTACTGCAGAATTATTCACAGTAGCTAATATATAAAACCAACTTAAGTGTTGATAAACAGATGAGTGGATACAGATGATATGTATACAAAATGGAATACTATTCAGTCACAAAAAAAGACAAATTCTGTAACTTGTGCTAACATAGATGAGCCTAGAGGACATTATACTTAGTGAAGTAAAGCAAACATAGCAGACACAGAAATATTTCACTTATATGTGGAATATGAAAAATCAAACTCCTAGAAGCAAAGAGTAGAATGGTGGTTATCAGGAGCTGGGGACAGTGATGGAGATATTTTGGTCAAAGGGTACTGAGTTTTAGTTAGAATGAATGAATTCTGAGGATCTACTGTACAGTTTGGTGACTATGGTTATTAATCAGGTATACTTAAAAATCACTAAAAGATTAAATATTCTCACCACAAAAAACATATATAATTATGTGAGGTGATAAGAATGTTAACTTGATTGTGGTTGTTTCAAAATATTTACATATATCAAAACCACATTATAAATTTATGCAATTTTTATTTGTCATTTATATCTCAATAAAGCTGGAGTAAAGGAAAAAAAGATAAAAATTATCTAAAGAGAAAGTAGTTTGGCTTCCACAAATGTCTTTGTAAAGCACTAGCCTGAAACTTGTAACTCATTGCCTCACTAAAAAAAAAAAAAAACGTTATAGGATATGTAGGCTCTCAGGCTAAGCATCAGTGGCTTAATCAGGCTTTTAATTTAGCTGATATATTTATATTTACAATAAAATTGATAATAATACTTTAAAAAATAACTTTCCTAAACAGAATCTATCCATACTGTTTTTCTGTTAATGAATTTTTTTATGCACACCTCACAAATTTCTGTCTTGAAATTAGATCAGATCCTTCCTTGTTCCTCACAGTCTCTTCCAGGGTCCTATTCCTTCCATCTTTCCTGACGTGCTTTAGTTCTTTTGAAACATTGGCTCTGGTTTATACCAGCCACTAAACCTCTTTTTTATCCTGATGCTCTCAGTTATTCCTTTAGTTCCATTCCTTTAGCACCTGGCTAACTGCACACTACACATATTTCTAATTATTATTTAGGGTAGGATCAGCATGCCTGAAGATAACTCACCTAGTACCATAGCCACTCAGTTATCTAAGATTTTCACTAAGATCTTATGTTCCACTCAACTTCTCTCACCGAATTCTATGATTATGCTCAAGAATTTGTCGTTACCTATTATATAATATAATAGTAACTACTTATTCTTGAATAAGTAGTTACTATTTGAATTTGAATTTGAATAGTAACGACAAATTCTTGAGCATAATCGTAGTAGTTATATAGTAACTACTATATTTAGTTATTTAGTAGTAGTTATTTAGTAGTTATATATAACTACTAAAACACCTATATTGATAGCCTCATCCTCTGGCTACCACTTCCTAAATTCTATAGTATATTTCCTCTTAGTGCTATCCAGTCTAATAAAACTTCAAATTACTAAAAAAGCTAGTTAATTTTATCCCCTTTTACTGTACATCAACTCCCTGTAATTAACTTCCCCTTTTTCTGATTGATCTCTCATAATTCATCATTATATCCACATGCTTACCCCCACAATTTCTTTACCCTCCAAGTCTCCTTCAAAAGACTTAACTTACATTAAAAATATAAACTAAATAATATCTGCCTGCTTTTTGATAAATGTAAAAGCTGATTATGGTTAGAAAAGAAGAGGAGGAGAAGATTTCCAAGTGGTAAAGGGGGTGGGGAGTGAGGATAATTCATGTGAATCTTTTTACCTGGAATGTATAACTTCAAAAGACTCCTTGTAATTTCCTGGCGGTCCTTCCATATTTTCTTCATCAACCCAGCTTATCAATCTGTGGTGGCTGTTTTAAAACTTTTCACTCTCTCAATTACAAATAGTTCCTATTCTTCATCTTCACCAATAACCATGCTTTTAGCAACAGAACGACCTTATCTTTGAGCCTCCAAATAGGACAGCTTACCGTATATATAAGCTGTCTATAGTCTTATATTCTGTATAGCACCTATAGTCTTATATTCTCTTTATTAGCATGCATGAATATCTCTGATCTTACCTAAAGCTAACCCTCCAACTGTGCCATAGATTCCAATTCCTCTTACCATTTCAAGGTATTGCTCCTGAAATTATCCCTTTTCCCTAGATCTGTAAATTCAGACAGTTATTAAGTTTTTTCTCACTGTGTATATCTATTCTGTAATGTCTCCCATCCTTAACAATTTCTATGTCCTCCACCGAAATATTTGTTAAATGAGGGAATGATTAAATTAATGGTTCCTGGAAATAGTCGTCTCTTGTTTCTAGTGGCAAAGATAATCACTTCTCATCACCTAACCCCATTCCCTCTATTCTCCTTTCCTCATTCACTAATCTTTGGAAAAGAAAACTTAATTTTTCCAAACTTTCAGGTTCCTGCTTCTAGGAATGTCCTAATATGGCATTAAGCCTGAAGTAGAAGAGGAATAGTGTGCATTCATTTTCTTAAATTATTCTCTCTTACTTGACTGTGAGGACTTTGCTTTATGACATTTATAACTGTGAACACATATCCACTAACAAATGAATCCCCTAAAGATAATACAAATAGTCCTTGCTTGCAAGTGTAGAATAATAAAAAATATAAGCTAAAATCATGACAAGTGATCAGAACAAACAGTGGGAAAACCTATTGCTCCATGAATTTGAAACTGTTGTAACAACATTGAAAAGTCTTTCTATTGGTACATAATCTCAGACAAGCAAAATATAGTAAAATCAGTATTCATTTTGTTTGCTGTAACTAAAAACATTAGAAGCATAGAGAATTAAGTTGATTTTTTGGTAAAGACTTAAGAATACTTTGAAGCAGTGTTTGTTTTCTAATTATATAACTTACAATACAGAGTGAATACTTTTTCTACACATTGGTGAATTTTCACACAAATTCTAAGTTTAGATAATATTTCAAAATTTTATTTTTAGAGCTTTAAATGCCAAGTAATATCTCCAATAGTTCCCTCAATGCTAACTTTTTTCTGGCTTCTAATATCAGGGACATATGCATACATTTTGTCATAACCTTCCTCATATAGCTTGATAAGTTCAATGTCACTAAATTCCTTTGATAAAGAGTGTACTCATGTCAAAATTCCCACCATTTACAATTTCTTCTATAACTCCACTTATGTTCTATTCAAACTTTTTCACTTCTAGTATTATCACTTTTGTTTCTTTAATGATCTTTTATCTTTGTTGGCCAGATACCTCTTTCTATGATCTATTTCTATAAAATGTCATGTGTGTTTATTACTGGGAGATAAGGAGGCAATATAGCTGTTTTTTGCTCTCTGTACATGAACTTAATAATATATGCACAGTAACCAATTACTTATAGGGTTATTACTTATAGAAGTGATGTAATCAGTCACTAATCTTGATGCACAGAGTGATTTGTAGACAGAAAAGCTTGTAGCAAAGTTTTCCTTATGTAATTTCTCACAATTATTATAGTTCAGGAACTGAAATGTGAACAGTATTGTTTGAGGACCAGTGTTATTTCATTCAAATGCACTAACATGCAAAGACAAGACTG
This sequence comes from Homo sapiens, assembly GCF_000001405.40. Taxonomy (NCBI): domain Eukaryota; kingdom Metazoa; phylum Chordata; class Mammalia; order Primates; family Hominidae; genus Homo; species Homo sapiens. Next base: position 113,857,218 of record NC_000008.11, read on the forward strand.
CCTTACTCTGTCATAATTTTGAAAGCTTTTTGTTGAAGGGACAATATTGAAAATATTACTGCTTTTTTTTCATGATACATTAAAGGCATGTTATACTCTTGTAAAATCTCAGCTAATCACAACAGGCAATATAGTTTTTATGGCATAGGCATCTTAATTTTCATTTTGGACTGCAAGGATCTTGTTCTATTGTGGTAGATGTGTTTCTCTTTCCTACTTTTCTGCATGAAATCAATAGAGTTTTAAAGTACAATATTATATAGTCTTTATGTTTTTATACAACCCTTTCACCCATTGCTTTGCATAAAAGAAATACATAACCACTAAAAGTGCCTAAAATTTAGGACTGTGAGATTATTTTTAAAAAGAGATTTTAAGCCTTAGGTTTACATTGAGAGATACAGTAAAAATAGTGCAGTTCACCTTTATGAGATGTTGAGTTATTCTAAATTGGCATTTGATGGATAACTATAACTTTCTTACAGCATCCGGACCTCTGCCATTGGTGTTTTTAATTAAATTGTTATAGTAATAACAATTATAATTTAAAATATGCAGGAGGCAATTCAACTATGTAGTTTAATTGTACAGTATCAGCATTTAGAATATTAGATAATTCACATTGTCCTATAAATTTGTTATCTTATTTAGTTTTCTTTTGTATACCTGATTATTAAATTACTTTGAGTAGTTTATAGTTTTTCTTCTTTAAGTTTAGCATTAAAATTGATGTAAGCTGGGGATTGTGGTTCACACCTGTAATCCCAGCCCTTTGGGAAGCCAAGGCAGGAGGATCACTAGATTTCAGGAATTCAAGACCATCTGAGCAATGTAGTGAGATCTCATGTCTACACACACACACAAACACATGCACACACACACATAGATTGGTGTGGTGGTATGTGCATGTGGTCTCTGATACTTGAGAGGCTCAGGTAGGAGGATCACTTGAACCTCTGCAAGTGAGCTGTGATCACACCACTACATTCCAGCCTGGGCAACAGAACAAGACCCTATAGCAAAAAAAAAATACATAAATAAAGTAAAAAATAAAGTTGATATAGATCTTGTTCAGGCATGAGGTACACCATGGCTATGACAAAAATGCTAATTATCTAGAGTTTGTATACAATCATGGTCTATATCTGTACAAATATTTTATATTAGGGGTCATCTAACAAATGCAAGTTTCTTTTTGGTCCTGAAACACAACCCGCAAAGTAAATAATAAAATAGAGCCCTCATTGTTTTGAAATAAATTAATTTACCTGAATAATCAGTACACTAATTTTAGTATTTTATATTAGATTTTATATGTTTTTAACCTACTTCAGGTAGTAGAAAAATAACTGGTTTTTTTTTCTGTGCCATTTTGTCCTATACCCTCTCACCCAAACAAGCAGAAACATTTTTAAAAACCCTCAATTTAAAAATCATGAACTTGTCATTAGCAGTTGATTTGGAAAGCTTGTGTGTAAAGATTCCTTTAGAAAAAAAGGAAAAATAGAAAGGTAAATAATTAGGAGAAGAAGAAAAAAAAAGAGATTTAGTATGGTGGATCTCAGGTTGTTGGACCTTTTTTTTTTTTTTAGAAATCGGAGAAACAAATTGAGCTTGTCAATGAGAGATACTGAGACCTTTTTCATTCTCCTACAGCACATTCTGAATTGGAAATTTTGGCTACAATAATTTAAACTGTAAGACATTTATAAAGGGACAGAGATAACAAAATATAATGAAAACTCAGAAAAACCGGGCCATTATCATGACTAATGTTATGTTGTGAAACTACAAAATGTCAATGTTTCCAAGACATGACGTTGGGTCAGTTGGCTATGCCATAGAAAGAATGAAATGAAACTTGACCCCTTTGTTACACTGAAAGATGAAGGAGGCAGATGAGAGAAGGACCCTGGGGAGTCTCCAAACCTCCGCACAAGTGTTTACATCAGATGCTTTTGTGCAGATGAGGGAACCTGCCCAGGGTCTTGCCTGCACATGGCCACAGCAGACTGGGGGCTGCCTGGGCACTGGGAGAGTAGGGTGGAGCCACAGGCAGTTCATGCCTTGTGCAGGGGGAGGAGCCTGGCCTCTCTTTAGCTTGTGTGCGTGGTGGCCTAGTATTCCATCTGTGAGGTGGCAGCCTATTGGCAAGACCCCTTCTTTTTTCACTGAAGTCTTTCTTTTAATAAATCTGCTCCATTCACCTTTCAATGTGTCCTCAGGCCTAGTCTTTCCTCGTCATGTGACAAGAACCCAGATTTTAGCTGAACTAAGGAGCAAAAAATCCTGCATCAAAACCACTCTAAATAATTTGTGATTATAAATGTGAAGTACTTAACATTATAGATCATAGATAAAACATAGAAAAAACGTGACACATGGAAATTGAGGCAGGAGAATAGGGTCTGGAGACAAGATAACCTAAGGCTGATTTGCACTGACCTGCTAGAACTGAATCAAAAGGAAAACCCTAACTTTCCATGTCCAAGTAACAAAAGGATCAGAGACTACTGCTGTTGCAACCCCCTGCTTTCTGTGTTTCAGATGAAAAATAGAAAGTATCTCTGACTGATCTCCTCCTGCAACCAATCAGACTGGTCGCAGACCTAGTCTTCATTTGCATAGGGTGTAAATTTGTAACTTCACTTCAGCTTCTGCTTTATCACGGGACATTCCTTCATTTACATAGGGTGTAAACCAAGTAACCAAGGGGAAGCCTCTAGAGGGTATTTAAACACCAGACAATTCTGTAAGCAGTGCTCTTGAGCCACTTGCTGGAGCCTGCCTCTGGTCTGTGGAGTGTACTTTCATTTCATTAAATCTATGCATTCATTGCTTCATTCTTTTGTTGCTTTGTTTGTGCATTTTGTCCAATTCTTTGTTCGAAACACCAAGACCTGGTCACCCTCCACCAGTAACAGAAATAATTCTTAATTAGGACATAGGAAGATGTAATTTTTAAAGGTTTATTTAAAGACCAAATTTATTTACATAAGCTATCAAGCCAGACTGGAGTGAGATATTTTTAACACCTAAGCTAGCTTTTATCCAGGATATGAAAATAAACCTTACATATGAATATAAAAGGATGATTAAATTTTTAAAGTGAGGAAAAGGATTGAACAGTAGCCATATTACAGAAGACTGATAAACGTATTGTACTTGGTCTTCAAGGAAATACAAATTCAGTCCACAATGAAATGCACTATACGTCCACCAGAATAGTTTGATAAAAGAAACTAACAATTTCAAGTGTTAGGACTGATGTGGCACAACAGGCCTGCTGTCATTAACACCATTGTGGGTAATTTGGTAAATAATCACAGGAAAAGATTCTCAACACCATTAGTTATCAGAGAAATGTCAATGAAAACCACAGTGATAGTTGAAATTGCTACAATTAAAAAGATTGACAATAGCAAGTGCAGGTAAGGAGATGAAACAATTGCCTCATACATTGGAGATAGGAATGAAAAATGATACAGCCACATTTGAAAACTATGTAACAGTGTCTTATAAAATTAAAGGTACTCTCACCATACAACCCAAGAGGTTCACTCATTTGTATTTAACTAAGAGAAATGAATGCATATGTCCTATGGAGGCTTCTGAGATAATATTTATAGTAGCTTTATTCTTAATATCCCAAAACTAGAAATAACCCAAGTGTCCATCAACCAGTAAGTTGAAAAAAAAATTGTCATATGTCCATACAATGTAATACTATTTTTCATCATAAATTAGTACTTGTAACAATAAGATCAATTTCAAAAAAGCATGCTATGTGAAAAAAGTGGGATTATTATTATATGATTTTCATTTTGATGATATTCTGGAAAAAGTAAACTACATGACAAAAGACATCATACCCCATGTAAAAAATATTTGATCTGGCCCTAAATCTTTGAGATATATATTAATAAACATACTAATCTTCAAATTAAAGGAAAAATCATTTGGCTAATCAGGCAAAATATTTAATTAATTTCTTATAGAAACAAATTAAAGTGGCCTCAGGTTTTTTCACATCAGTATTCAGCACATAAGAACAGTGCTAAAACTTTCAGATTAAGATTTTCAGTTTAAGAAAAAATTTGTTGAATATTTTATATCTAGCTAATCTCTCCATCATTTTAAATGACTACAAAAAGTGGAACAAAAACAAGAAATATATTTTTCCACAGACCTTCTTAGGTAAGTAGAATGTGCCACTAAACCAATCAAGAAATGACTCAGGAAGTCAAAGAACTAAGAATGAGCATGGAAGCAAAATGGGGATTTAGGGTGGCAGAAGAGAATGTAAAGAGTTTATGCGATAAAATGATAGAAATTATCCACTGAAATAATAGGAAAGGAAGAAGAGAAGAAGTTGTGATATATTTGTAAATACGCCCTATGTGAGAAACTTTCAGTGGATAGTTGGTATGCAGAGGAAAAGCAGGAAAGAGAAGCAAGCAACAAAGGAAAAGATCTTCAAAGTGTGTACTAAAGGATCACAATGTACACTATGCTATAATCACAAACACTGAAGATTATATATTTATGTTTTACAAAGTAATTTTATGTATAAGGTATAAATTATAAAACAGTATGATTTTTAATGTCATTTTACAGAATTATGAATTTCTGAAGATCAAAGGCATATCACTTAACATTCATTTATATTTTGTTTTTTATAATTTCTAATGTATAATAATAACTCCTTTTATAGTTTTCTTTTCTTCTGTTTGTTGCTAAGTCTAATGGCCTCCAGCTCCATCCAACTCCTTGCAAAGAACATGATCTCATTTTTTATGGCTGCATAGTATTCCATGGTATATATGTACCACATTTTCTATATTCAGTCTGTAAGTGATGAGCATTTAGGTTGATTTCATGTCTTTGCTATTGTGAATAGTGCTGCAATGAACATGTGTCTTTATAATAGAATAATTTATATTCTTTGAGTATATATCCAGTAGTAGGATTGCTCCGGGTCAAATGATATTTTTGTCTTCTGGTCTTTGAGAAATCACCACACTCTCTTCCACAATGGCTGAACTAATTTATACTCTCAATAACAGTGTATAAGCGTTCCTTTTTCTCCACAGTCTCACCAGCATCTGTTAGTTTCTGGGGTTTTGATAATAGCCATTCTGACTGTTGTTAGTTGGTATCTCTTTGTGGTTTTGATATGCATTTCTCTGATGATCAGTGACATTGTGCTTTTTTTCACATGATTGTTGGCCACAGGTATATCTTGTTTTGAAAAGTGTCTGTTCATGTCCTTTGCCCCGTTTTTTATAGGGTTGTTTAATGATGAGAACACATGGACACATACAGTGGAGCAACACACACTGGGGACTTTTGGAGGGTGAAGGGTGGGATGAGGAGGAGGATCTGGAAAAATAACTAATGGGTACTAGGCCTAATACCTGGGTGATGAAATAATCTGTACAACAAATCCCCAGGACACACGTTTGCCTGTGTAACCAACCTGCACTTGTACCCCTGAACTTAAAGTAAAAGTTAAGAAAAGAAACATTACTCTCCCCCCAAAACAATTTCTTTTTTTGTGTATATTTTCAAAGCAATTAGCAATTTTATAATATCATAATTCAAAGTCAATTCCTACGATTTTGTTTTTTCTTATTTGTATAAAGAAATAAATTTTAAATCAACATTTAAAAAATTAAATTGATTTGGAAAAAGAAAATACCTCTGCCTCATATCCACATTTATGTATATTTATTTGATAATATTACTCAAAGTGCATATATATTTAATCCCACTTCAAAGTCAAATATACAAATTTCATACAAGCAGTATTATAAAACAAAAATTCAATTAATAGTATTTTAGTAGAATAAATTATGTTGGTTTGAAAATGTTAAACAAATAATTTATTTTAAACATTGACCCATTTTTAATAGGCCAGGGAAATAATAGCAAAAAACAAAATTATGTATTTATATATGTATAAATATATATTTTTATATATGTACATATAATTCCTCATTGTTAATTTTCCTACTGCTTATGCTACAAATTAACTGTTGTATCAAATTGGACTAACTTAACATATCAGCTTTCAATTAAATATTTGCTAAATTGAAAGTTATCTTTTGCATTTGGCATGATTCTACCATGGGATGTTTATAACTATAATACACCTTTTACTACACTTTTATTCATAGGGTATTAGATGATGCCATGGAGTTTTACTTGGAGTAAATATGTATTTTTTAATGATGTCAACATGAATTTCAGTTCTAATGATGGACAATTGTTTTCATTTGCACATTAGGGCAAAATTAGTGCAGTGAGAGGTACTTAACAAAAAAGTATAAATTAAAGCTGTCCCTTTTTAGTCACATAAAAATGGTGTAATTCTAAGCCCAAACTTCAGCTCTGAAGTTGAGTAACACTGAAAGACTATGAGGTTGGTTATCCTTTTTCCGAAATTCTTGGGACCAGAAATGTTTTAAATTTTAAACTCTTTTTAGATTTTGAAATATTTGCATATATATAATGAGATATCTTGGGGATGAGACCGGAATATCAACACAAAATTTATTTCATATACACCTTATACATAGAGTCTGAATGTTATTTTACACAATATTTTAAATAATTTTGTACATGAAACAAAGTTTTGACTGTGACCTGTCACATGAGGTCAGGTGTAAAATTTTCCACTGGTGACATTTTGTCTGTAGTTAAAAACTCAGAATTTTTTTTTTTTTTTTGAGACAGAGTTTGGCTCTTGTTGTCCAGGCTGGAGTGCAATGGCACGATCTCGGCTCACCAGAACCTCCGCCTCCCAGGTTCAAGCGGAATTTTAAACTCTTTTTGGGTTTTGAAATATTCGCATATACATAATGAGATATCTTGGGGATGAGACCCGAATATCAACATAAATTTTGTTTCATGTACACCTTATACACATAGCCTGAAGGTTATTTTACACGATATTTTAAATAATTTTGTGCAGGAAAAGTTTTGACTGCGTTTTGACTGTGACCTGTCACATGAGGTCAGATGTAAAATTTTCCACTGGTGGCATTATGTCAAATTTTTGAAGCATTTTGGATTTTAGATTTTCATATTAGGGATGCCCAACCTGTACTTGTATCGATATGCCTTATGTTGCCATCAAAATAAAATGTCATTTATCAAATTATTACGAAGTATTTAAAAAGACGTGGATCCTTGAAAATGTATCCTATAGTGAATGTCATTAAATAAGATCTTATCTATGGTTAATACTAAATGCAACACTTTATAATTAATTTTTAATGTACATAGTGTATTTAACTACTTTTCAAAAATAAATCAGTCAACATGCCCAAAATAATTTGGCTATATTAATTGCCTGTAAATTTTTTTAAATTATTTCATAATATATCTTTATTTTCTAAGGCCTATCTTGAAAACTCAGCCTTCCAAAATGCTCAAACTATTTCCAGAAAAAAAATAACAAGGTGTGCTTATTCCTGGATCTTTGGTGTCACTATTGTCTGAATCCTAAAAATCCAACCTTAGAAGCAGCCTTACATTTTTTACCCAGGGTCTTATTACCTTGTAACTACTCATCCACAATTGTTTACATGAATAATTACTCTACTTAAAATACTGAAATGTCTGCAGAGCTTTATCTTCCTATCTTAGACAAAGTTCATATAATGGTGAATATACAAAACTGTATTAAAATATGTGAGCAGCTTTTCTGTATGGAGGAATAGTATTGGAAACACAACACTGGAACCTGGATATTTTACCACTTACATGAAATTAAGGTAATTCCAGGGAGATTAAACTAAACCTATTGTATAGTTCATTTTCTTGGTACCTAATTGCAGGGGTGCTGTTACATATTTGAAAATAATATAGAAACCTCAATAATTTTACACAGAGGTTAGAAAAACAGTATTTTCAGGTTTTATCCCTTATATGCATAAAGAAATGTCAAGGAATATATTGTGGCTTAACAATAGTACATAGTTGCTTAATATGTATGGCTCTGGCTTCATAAAAACACATTTCCAAAAACTAAAAATTAATTAATTTGAATTCAGTGTTACTAGTGGAATTTTCATTCTTATAAACAAAAGAGATGTTCCTATAAGAGGAACAAAATAATAGAATCAAAGAAAATAGATAATGCACTAGAAAAAGAAGCATGTCTTGCAAAAAATACCACTTACTTGAAATCTTGGTAGCTGTTTGAATTCATTTTTCTTCTTAGCAGAATCTAAGAATATCTAAACACTTGGTAATAATTTAAGGGAGGTCTTTTCTGTTTCTCTCTCTAGATTTTCCAAGGACGTTATGATGTTAGAACTTCAATTCTTAAGTTCAAAAGATTTTCTGAGTCCTCAGGCAGCTTTTGAAAGGCATCTTAGAAGGATTAGGACACAAGTCCGAACAGCTGAAGTCAAAATATTGTCTTAGATATATCTCTATTCCTCTCCTATTAAAGCAAGGGGAGAGCTACTCGGTGAGGAAGAATGAAAGTCAACAGACAGGAGGTGTTTGGTGGCCTTTATTTGACTACTATGCAAATGCTTAAAAGCATTCTTTTTATAGCGCTTGGGTCAATTACTAAATATGACGTGAAAGGTCTAACTTTTACAAAAACTAAGCTTAGGATTCAGTGTGCAGCATTATGGAACCAAAAGCATAGCCAGGACTCAGCATGGAGCGTGATGTTGCATAAGTAAGAAAATTGAATTACTCTCCTGTATTATGGATTTATTGTCTGTGAGGAAATGACTTTCACTGTGGAAATTATCAAAGCGAAGTGTTGCCCACTGCAAGGAATAGCAAAATTGGAAGGAAAAAAAAAAACTCTTCTAAGAGTGTTATAAAGCTAGGAAAACATTAGGATATTTTGTAATGTTAGATTTTTTTTTTTCATACAGAGAAAAGGCAGTTTTGAACACAGGGTCAAGCGAATATAGAGATTATCTATTTGCAAGAAAGCAAATGATTGGCTCTTTTTTTAATTTTATGAAGTAGAATCTCATATTAATGCCTAAATCCATAGTAACCAAGAGGTCAGGTGTTGTGGGAGGTCAGTAAGATGTACAAAAATAAGCACAGATTTTGCAGTCATACAGCCTGGTTTTGCCTGTTGGGGAGAGTTTTTGGGAAACTGACTGCCTCTCCAAATCTCAGGTTTCTTATTTTTGTAATGGTATAATGACACCTTCTTCACTGTATTGCTGTCATGATTTATTGAGATAATACGTAAGTATTCTGACAATTTGTAGATATTCAATAAATATTTGTCTCATTTCACTTTCATAAGAAATAGCTTAGTGCATTGAATTGTGGGCCAAATTTGATACCAAAAGATATTATTGGATGTTACCATTTTCTAAACTGTGTTTTTTCTCTTTCTAAAAAGTGAGTAGTTAAAATGCCTGACTGGCCAATCATATAAAGATTTCTGATAGTCAAATAAGACAATACATTGTATGTTTTTTCAAAACCTGTAAGGGATGCAAGCAATGCAAATTATTCTCTTAAAATAATAAAAATTGCAGGTATACAAAACTACATAAAACATACTATTTTTGAAAAATACGAAGATTTTATGTAAGCACAATTTACTTGAAGAAATAAAAACCTAATGGAAATCATATGCGTGTCTTTTCCTGTACACATCCCCATTACTCACAAACCCTCTTGCCCATATACACAAAACTATGAGCCTAATTTGTTATTTGTAATTATCATTAATTTCTTTATACGTGTAGGTCATAAGAATTTTTCTAAAAATATTATCTTACAATTTTAATATTTTGTTCAAAGGTAGTATATTATACTACCTGTATTTTTGTATAATTTGCTATTTCATTCAAACTTGTTAGACCTGTCTTGTGGATATATAGAATTCAAATTCATTCACTTTCCACTATATTTTTATTAATTTTATTGAAAAACAAAATACATATATAAAAATTCATAAATAAAAACCATGCAGACCAACAATTTTTGCATAGTGAACTGCCTTAAAAATCAATACCTCTTTCAAGAAATGAAACAGTAATAACAGAATCCCAGAAATACCACTAGTGCTTCCTTCCCCTATCTGCCATCTGGCTCCCTCACAAAGTAGACAGAACCCTGACTACTTCTACTGCCACTACAACCCTTCCTCTTCTTCACCTTTCTCCTTCTCCTCCTCCTTTTATGCTAGAGTAGAAAGTTGCATAGCATACAATTAACCAATTAATTATTTTTAAGTGTACAAGTCAGTGACATTCAGCATATTCACAATGTGGTGCAACCACTACTTCTCTATAGGCTCAAAACATTTTCATTATCCTAGAAGAATAACACATATCCTTTAAGTAATTTCTTTCCTCAATGTTTTGCAGTTTTCAGTGTACACGTCTTTCACTTCCATAGTTAAATGTATTCCTGGGTGTTTTATATTTTGAGTGCTCTTGTAATTGAAATTGTTTGAATTAGTTTCATTTTTTGATTTTTCACTGCTGCTGCACAGAAACACAACTGATTTTTCTATGTTGATGTTGCACCAAATCATGACATCTGCAAATAGATATAGTTTTTCTTCTACCTTTCCATTTTGAATGCCACTTATGCCTTTTACTTGCCTAATTACTCTGGATATACATTGTAATATAATGTTGAATGACAATGGTGAAAACAAGCATTCTTGTCTCATTTCTGATCTTAGGAGAAAAGCTTTCAGGCTTCCACCATTGAATGATATTAGCTGTGGTTTTTAATAAATGTTGTTTGTCAATTTAATGAAGTACCTTTCTATGCCAAGTTTATTCATTGTCACTACTCTGTAGTATGGTATATATTTTAATGAAAAAAGTTATAAATGTTAGTGTAGTCTAATTTTTATTTTTTCTTTCCTCTCATTGTCATCTGTTTTTGTGTCTACAAACATTTGCATATCATAGGGTCGTAAAGATAGTATCCTGTTTTTCTTTAAAAAATAAAGAAACAAAATTGCATTACTTGCCCATTTCAGTCAAAAATCACATAGGAATATATATGTGTGTGTGTGTGTACGTACATATGTATGTGTATATATGAACACTCTATGCATACAGATATGTATACACATATCTGTATGTATATATACAATATGACATTAGATTAACATTCTTGTTTTCCATATGCTATCCATTTTACCCAAGGTGATTATTGAAAACTCCATTTTTTTTAATCACTGCACTGCACTTTCGCCTTTATTGTAAGTCAGATGACTTTATATGTGTATGTTTGTTTATGAAATGCTTCAATTTCTTTGGACTTTTTGTTGTTGTTGTTGTTGTTGTTGTTGTTTTTGAGATAGAGTCTTGCTCTTGTCACCCAGGCCGGAGTGCAGTGGCCAGATCTCTGCTCACTGCAACCTCCGCCTCCTGGGTTCAAGCGATTCTCCCGCCTCAGCCTCCTGAGTAGCTGGGGCTACAGGCGCACGCCACGACACCCAGCTAATTTTTGTATTTTCAGTAGAGATGGGGTTTCACCATGTTGGCCAGGATGTTTTCGATCTCTTGACCTCGTGATCCGCCCGCATCAGCCTCCTAAAGTGCTGGGATTACAGGCATGAGCCATCATGCCCGGCCCTCTTTGGACTTTTAAAGTGCTAATATGGTACGTGTTACTTACTAAAACTTTAAAATAAGACACACTACTTGCATTGTAAGTACTCCCATTTTAATTCTTTTTCAAAATTTCCTTGGCTTTTATTTTTTCTCTGCATTTTCACATAAATTTTAAAATCAAGATGTCAATTTCACAAGCAAAATAATTTTGATGGGATTTTAACATGAATTATGTTGAATCAATGAATCAATTTGTGGAAAATAGAAATTTTACTATTTTAATTCTTCTAATTGACAAGGAAGGTACACTGTTTTCATTATTTATTAGGTTGAATCATATAAAACAATTTTTTATTGGTCAAACATGGTTAAGTATCAGTAATCTCAGTTCAAGTTAATTTTTTAAAAGTATTAACTCTATAATGTTATGTAAATTTAGGGTAGAATAAACTGCACACATTTTATTGGGGTTATTTTAAGGCCCTTGATGTTTGGTGCTATTGTAGATGCTACCTTTTATGAATTTTATTATTTAACATTTCTTTATGGTTCATTTTGTTGAATGATTTTTTTCAACAATCTTCAAAATCACTTACCTATTTTAGCACTTCATCTACATAAACTCTTGCATTTTCTATATAAATAATGTCATTTGTGAACAATAAATGATTCATTTCTTCTTTCCTCTTCCTGTTGCACTGTTGTGTTTCCTGCTTTATTGCAGTGAACATTCCATGCAGTAGAATGTTGACTAGAAATTGTGGTAATAAACTTTGTTTTCTCATTTTGGATCTCAAGCAGAAAGCTCTCAAAATTTCATCCCTAATTATGATGTTTGCTATTAAAGTATGTTTGTTATGAAATATTTTTATTAAATAAAGGAAACTTCTATTTATTTCTAATATGCCATGAAGATGATGATGATAATTATTATCATTACAGTGGTTGTTGAATTTTTTCACATGCTTCTTCTGTACCTATCATGATGAACTTTTTAAAAAAAAAGTTTTGTTACTATTGTGAATTGTATGAATTGATTTTTACGTTCAATACCCTTGGATTCTTACCACTTGTCCCAAGTGGTAAGGATATTTTATGTTTTTACGTGTCACTGGATTCAATTTCTAATATTTTGTTTAGAATGTTTGCACCCAAGTTCATGAAAGAAACTGATCTTTTTAATTTTTTTCTTACATTGTCCTTGTGAAAGTTAGTGTCAAGATTATATTGGTAACAGTCAAATATATTTTCTTTTTCTGTTCTCTGAAAGTCTTTTTTAAATTTGGTGTTATAAATTTTTTAATGATTGGCAGAAAGCACCACTGAGCCAACTTGGTCATTTGTTTTCTTTATAGAAAGACTTAAAATTATATAGCAACCAGTAGATTTAGAAACATTTATATTTTCTGTTTTTTTCTTATTATTTTGCTAGGGGTGATATGGCATTTAAGCGTTAATTTCATAATCGCTGTGTTCTTTACTCTGTATTGTATATATCTTAGAAGAATCATATGGCCATTTAAAACATATTGCTGACAATCATGTATATTTAACCATTGGAAAATTTCATCTATTTAACATTTAATGTTATTATTGACAAATTATTTGGATTATATCTACCCTGTTATTATTTATTTTCCGCTTGTCTCATCTATTTTGTGGTCCTTTTTTCTGTACTTTCTAGCTTTATCTTAAAATACGTAATTTCTACTCTTCCAGCTTTTTCTTCTATTTTTTGATAGTTATGTAATTTATGTATTCAGTATTGGCTCTAGAAATTAAATATTCATGTTTAACTTACTACAGTTCAATACAAATTACACCACATCAAGGTAATTATAGTAAACTAAAGTTGCTCATCCTCACAGTTTGCCTTATTGTTCTCATGAGTTTTAATTATACATACATTTTAAAACCCAAAGACATTACTGCTAATGTATTCCTTAGTCACTATCCAGTCAATATTCATTTGTAATTTACCCTTTTCTAAAATTCATTGCTAAAAATTGTTTCCTCTACCATCATTTGCTCTGCTTGTAGTACCTTATTTACTGTTAAATTGTCAGTAAAAAAATTATCAGTATTTGTCTGAAATCATCTTTACATTGATTTTTGAAAAGTATTTTTACTAGATATAAAATTTAGAGTTGACAGGCAATTTTATTCAAAACTTTAAAGTTGTTACTCATTTGTTTTCTGACTTTTAAAAATTTCTGTTGAGAAGTTGGCTCTATGTCTTATGTTGTTTCTTTGAAGCGAATTTGTATTTTATTTTTTCCCTAAGCTAGGTTTAATAGTTTTCTTAATTTTTAGTTTTGATAATAATATACCTTATTGTAGTTTTATTTTATTTTATTTTATTTTAGTTCCAGGATACATGAGTGGGATGTGCAGGTTTGTTACATAGGTAAACATGTGCCGTGGTGGTTTGCTGCATCTGTCAACCTATAGCTAGGTATTAAGCACCAGCGTGCACTAGCTATTTATCTTGATGCTTTCCTTCCCCCCGACCCCCCTCAACAGGCCCCAGTGTGTGTTGTTCCTCTCCCTGTGTCCATGTGTTCTCATTGTTCAGCTCCCACTTATAAGTGAGAACATGCAGTGTTTGGTTTTCTATTCCTGCATTAGTTTGCCGAGGATAACGTCTTCCAGTTCCATCCATGTCCCTGCAAAGGACATGATCTCTTTCCTTTTTATGGCTGCATAGTGTTCCATGGTGTAAATGTACCACATTTTCTTTATCCCATCTATCATAGACGGGCATTTGAGTTGATTCCATGTCTTTACTATTATGAACAGTGGTGCAATGAACATATGCATGCATGTATCTTTACAGTAGAATGATTTATAATCCTTTGGGTATTTACCCAGTAATGGGATTGCTAGGACAAATGGTATTTCTGGTTCTAGGTCTTTGAGGAATTGTCACACTGTCTTCCACAATGTTTGAACTAATATATATTCCCACCAACAGTATAAAAGCATTCCTATTTCTCCACAGCATTGCCAGCATCTGTTGTTTTTTGACTTTTTAATAATTGCCATTCTTACTGGCCTGAGATGGTATCTCATTGTGGTTTTGATTTGCATTTACCTAATTATCAGTAATGTTGAGCTTTCTTTCATATGTTTCTTGGCCATATAAATATCTTCTTTTGAGAAGTGTCTCTTCAAGTAATTTGCCCACTTTTTAATGAGGTTGTTTTGTTCTTGTAAGTTTGCTTAAGTTCCTTATAAACTCTAGATATTAGACCTTTGTCATATGGATAGATGGCAAAAATTTTCTCCTATTCTATAGATCGTCTGTTCACTCTGATGATTGTTTCTTTTGCTGTGCAGAAGCTCTTTAGTTTAATTAGATTCCATTTGTCAGTTTTTGCTTTTGTTGCAATTGCTTTTGAGGTTTTCATCATAAACTCTTTGTGCCTATGTCCTGAGTGGTATTGCCTAGATTTTCTTCTAGGGTTTTTATAGTTGTGGGTTTTGCTTTGAAGTGTTTAATCCATCTTGAGTTAATTTTGTATAAGGTGTTCAAAAGATCTTCTTGAATGTATGGGTTTATATCTTTCTTCAGTGTTGGTTAACACTCAGCCATTATCTCTTTTATGTATTGTTTCTGCCCCACTCCTTCTCTTTTCTTTTTTTTTTTTTTTTGATGCCCACAGTATGTATTCCAGACAATTTTAATACAGACATATTTAATAACATGCAAGCTAGACCTGTTCACTGACTTCCACATTTCTTGAACTTTATTAAACTACAGTAATGTTCTGTCTCTGTATTCAGTTTGCATGTTTTCTCAGGGAAACATCTTCCAGGGCATTAATGCTCTCTTCTACTGTGTCTACTCTGCTGTTAAAGGTATAACATCAGTCTTTTAAATTTATATATTTGCAGCAATTTTGAACTTTTTTCTTTTTATTATCTAGAACAAATGTATCATAGTCACATACAGTCCTTGTCACCTAATTCCAATATCTGAACCACCTGTGTATTAGTATCCACTATCTTTTTTACCCCTTGGTGTTCGGTAACGTAATTCTGTTACTTGCCTTACCTAGTCATTTTTATTTAAAGGCAGCCATTGGTATAAATTATGTAGAAGCCTCAGAGTAAGTGATCTTTATCTAAAGAAAGTTCATACTTTCCTCTTTTAGGCAGAAATAGAGGCTAGTAACAAATTTATTCTAATCAAGAGCTGTTACATTTGAGGCTATTTTGCAGCTCTGGAGAGGTTCTGTTTGCTTCTAGTTCATCTGTATCTTCCTAGGTTTTCACATGTTGCATCTGTTGTATTTTGTAAGTTTCTCTCTCTTCAGGATCATACCAACATCTGGCTATCTACTAGGCTTTGCACCAGATTCTCAGTCTGCTGCTGGCAATTCTAACTTTTGTGGATTTTCAAGGAGTGCCTACTTTTACTTCCTGGATACAGGGGCTGGCAAGATACTGCCTGTGAGCCAAATCCACCATCCTTGTTTTCCTCCCCTCCAGATTTTGGTGACTTGAGGGTTAAGAATTGTTTTTGTATATTCTAATGTTGAGAAAAGATAAGTGAGAATATTTCAGGACACATAAAAATGAAGTTAAAATGTCAGTGTCTGTAACTATAATTTTGTTGGAACTTAACCACACTTGTTTTTTTTAAGTCTTATCTAAGACTTCTTTCTTGCTACATCAGTAGAAATAAGTAGTGGACACAGAGACCGTATTGGGTGTCTTCTCTTTGCACTGCTGCTCATGGCACTACAAAGCTAGTGAGGATACTATGACTTGACAGAATTGCGTGTGTCACATGCGTCACCTGTCCATGTGAAAATACATTTTCGTAGATGTGATATGTAAAATCTATTTAGGGATTGTTATTAGCAGATGAGCACTTGCAACCAATGTTTTAAGCTGAGGGACACAGACTTTGAACCCCAATTAAGAGAAATATTATCCTTTTAAAAAGAATTCCATTCTGATATTCAGTAGATTTGAATTTCCACAAATACTCTATTATTATTACTATGGTATTTTGAATTTCATCTTTTTTTGATATTTGTTATTTTTCATTCTATATAAGTTTCTCTATAATATTCTTTATTTTGCTTCTTGGTCTATGAAGAATAAAATATTTACTCTCTTGCCCATTGTCCTATTTTTCCAAAATTATTATGTCATGTGTATACTAACTGTATGTTTTTAGGTATAGTATGTTACCCTAATCTACTGGGAAACTGAAACTGGGAAGGAATAATAAACTCCTACTCAAACTCTCAAACCCAACAGCTAAAGACAAGTTATCATACAACTTGTAACTACATAAATGTGTTTGATGAGGAGGCATTGACTAATTCCTCAAGTAGCATATTTTAGTATAATATTATTTTTCCTTATATTTTTGAAATGTATTACTATGCAACAATCACCGTTTGAAACTCCATCTTTCATTTAAAGCATAATAGAGAAGATTATACGTTATTTGTTATTTTCTGTGACAGATTTTCAACAATTAAAAGCACGTCTTATTCTATTCTTTCTATTCCACATCTATTTTCCTTTAGATATGACTTCTTGTCACATTGATATTCTAATCTGGAATGCATTGACACACCACTCTAATTCATATCCCTCTAATAATAAGCCAACCAGATCCACCAGATACTCACAGGCATTATGGAAAGGGTTGTAATTATATTACTAGAGGACCAGAATTTTGTAGGATAAAATGAAGCATGAATCATGGAGTGCCTACATAAGTACATCATTATTTATCGCAAAATAGCAGTGGTGGTCTGGGTACAAGAACTTCCTAATCTCTAACTGCACCCTTAAAATAGAAGCATATGAAATGATCAGCATCTGATTTGCATCTTAAATCTAACCTCTGTGAACGTAATGCAATGTGAACTCTTGACACTCTAGTGTACACGAGTGAATATAAAAAATCTCTTTCAGTCTTTTCTTCTTCTCTATGTCTCACACACACAACCTAGAGATGATGTTTTTTCAATGTTGGTGCATCCTTTCAATATAGAAAACATGAGATGGAAGTGATTACTCTCAAACCCGTTTATTATCCCTGATTGTAATTGGGCCAGACTTTTTTATTTGGTACAGGCCTCACGGAGTAGTTATATTTCAGCTGGTAATTCCTAAGACAGTGAAATGCTATCTACAATCTCTCACAGTTTCTACATTAATAATAGAAAAGAGGATCTCAGGACAAAATTACTAATTATGTTACAAATGCATAAACTGGTTATCTTTTGCTTTGCTTTATTCCTCTTGCCACTTTTCCAATAATATCTACCTATTTCATTCAAATTTATTCATTGGCACGTTTGAATATTTTAACATTTATTTTAGGTTCAGGGGTATATTTGTAGGTTTCTTTATATGAGTAACTTGCATGTCATGGGGATTTGGTGTAGAGATTATTTCATCACTCAGGTAATAAGCATAGTACTTGGTAGGTAGTTTTTTTGATCCTCACCCTCCATCGTCTAGTAGGCCCCTGTGTCTGTCATTCCCTTTTTTGTGTCCATGTGTACTCAATGTTTAGTTCCCACCTATACATGAGACCATGCAGTATTTGGTTTTCTGTTCCTGTGTTACTTCACTAAGGATAATGGTCTCCAGCTCCATCCATGTTGCTGCAGCGGATATAATCTTGTTCTTTATGGCTGTGTGTGGTATATATTCCATGGTGTATACGTACCACATTTTATTTATCCACTCTACCATTAATGGCCAGTTAGGTTGATTGTATATTTTTGCTATTGTGAACAGTGCTGTGATGAACATACACATACACGTGACTTTATGGTAGAATGATGTGTTGTCCCTTGGGTATATACACAATAATGGAATTGCTGGGTCGAGTGGTAATTCTGTTTTGAGGTTCTCTCAGAAATTGCCAAACTGCTTTCCACAATGGCTGAAGTAATTTACATTCCAACCAGCAGTGTATGGTATTTCCTTTTCTCTGCAAACTCGCCAGCTTCTATTTTTTTTTTTTAACTTTTTAATAGTAGCCATTCTGACTGGTATGAGATGGTTTCTCACTATGGTTTTCAATTTGCATTCTCTAATAATTACTGATGAGCATTTTTTCATAAATTGCTGGCTGAATGCATATCTTCTTTTTAAAAAGTGTCTGTTCCGGGCCTGGCGCGGTGGCTCACCCCTGTAATCCCAGCACTCTGGGAGGCCGAGGCGGGCGGATCACGAGGTCAGGAGATCGAGATCATCCTGGCTAAAACGGTGAAACCTCGTCTCTACTAAAAATACAAAAAAAAAAATTAGCTGGGCGTAGTGGCGGGCGCCTGTAATCCCAGATAGTTAGGAGGCTGAGGCAGGAAAATGGCGTGAACCCGGGAGGCGGAGGTTGCAGAGAGCCGAGATCGCGCCACTGCACTCCAGCCTGGGTGACAGAGCTAGACTCTGTCTCAAAAAAAAAAAAAAAGTGTCTGTTTCTCTCCTTTGCCCACTTTTATTTGTTTATTTATTTTAATACGGAGTCTCGACCTGTTGCCCAGGCTAGAGTGCAGTGGTTTGATCTTGGCTCACTGCAACCCCTGCCTGCCAGGTTCAAGTGATTCTCCTTCCTCAGCCTCCTGACTAGCCGGGATTACAGGCATCTGCCACCATACCCAACTAATTTTCTGTATTTTCAGTAGAGACGGGTTTCACCATGTTGGCCAGGCTGGTCTTGAACTCTTGACCTCAGGCGATCCACCCACCTCGGCCTCCCAAAGTGCTGGGATTACAAGCGTGAGCCACCTGCACCTAGCCCTTTGCCCACTTTTTAATGGGGTTATTTGTTTTTGGCTTGTAAGTTTGTTTAAGATCCTTATACATTCAGGACATTAGACCTTTGTTGCATGCATAGTTTGCAAATATGTTTTTTCCATTCTGTAGGTCATCTCTTTACCCGTTGATAGTTTATTTTGCTGTGTAGAAGCTCTTTAGTTTAATTAGGTCCCATTTGTCAATTTTTGTTTTTTGTTGCAATCGCATTTGGCATCTTCATCATAAAATCTTTGCCTGGTCCTATGTCCAGAATGCTATTTCCTAGGTTATCTTCTAGTGTTTTTACAGTTTTGGGTTTTACATTTAAGTCTTTAATCCATCTTGAGTCGATTTGTGTGTATGTTATAAGGAAGGGGTCTATTTTCAATCTTCTCATATGGTCAGCCAGACATCCCAGCACCATTTATTGCCTAGGGAATCCTTTCCCCACTGCTTGTTTTTGTCAACTTTCTCAGAGATCAGATGGTTATAGAGGCATGGCATTATTTCTGGACTCTCTATTCCATTCCTTTTCATATGTCCTTGTGTAAATGAGATTCCATCATCCTCATTTGGCTTGGGAGACAGTAGAACTAAGTGTGAATTTCCCAGACTTTGGAGTTGAACTTCCTGGGGTTCAATCTGAGTTCTACCAATGGCAAGCTATTTAACTTTTTACACATGATATAATCACCTTACTCCCCAGCATACATATTTTTAAAAGGAAAAAAATACTATCAAATCAAATGCTTAATAATCATATTATTAAACATTATATGCTTAATTATATGTATTATATCTTAAGTATTATATGCTTAATTATATATATCTTAAGCATTATATGCTTAATTACATATATTATATTTTATGTATAGTATCATATTAAATGGCATATAAAAAACCTTCAACAATTTTTGACAGATCGATTTTTTTAAATTTGGTAATTTGTTGTTTATTTTCATAAAGAGAAAATCGAATCTATTTTAAGAACAGGAAATTTTAAATTATGAGTATTTGATGGTCACTTTCTATTTGACTAACAAGGTCTAATAAAAATCTCCAATTAAAAATATATGTAATTTTAAGCAATAGCATACATCATCAGAGAACAAAACTATGTTAGCAGTAAGTCACTGGATGATGAATGTGTCCTATAATGTTAATCTCATTACATTCTGAAGTTTATTAAATGTTTTGCAAAAGTATTTTACAGTACCCCAAGGCCATAAAAACAAGGCATCCAGAGATCCTTAGAATAATTGCCATCAAATATAATCATATTTTTTGTCTATTTATTCATTCTGTAGGAAGAATGAATTCAGTTTGATTTTCTTACAACAGCTGAACCCTTAAATTCGTTTCTCTAAGAATAACTGTCTCTTTCAAATTTGTTTTTCTTTCTTGGAAGTTTAGCTAAAAACTTCTCCAGTAATTATAAAGCCTACAATTACATTGACTTTTTAATTGTTTTATTTGAAAATGCTTGAGTACAATAGCATTTAGATCGTTTCTATGTTTCAATAAGTTACCAATAAAGCTGAGTTTACAAAGTTTTCCTTGCATCACCCTTGGTCAGAGATCAGCAAACTTTTTCTTTAAAGGGCTGGATAGTAAAACATTTCAATATTTTTGGTCGTAAAAAATTGTAGGTCTGAGGCAGGGTGCGGTGGATCACGCCTGTCATCCCAGCACTTTGGGAGGCCGAGGAGGGCGGATCACGAGGTCAGGAGATAGATACCATCCTGGCTAACACTAAAAACACAAAAAATTAGCTGGGCATGGTGGCGGGTGCCTGTAGTCCCAGCTACTCGGGAGGCTGAGACAGGAGAATGGCGTGAACTCGGGAGACGGAGCTTGCAGTGAGCCGAGATCGCGCCACTGCACTCCAGCCTGGGCGACAGTGCGAGACAACGTCTCAAAAAAAAAAAAAAAATTGTAGGTCTGTCTTTTGCTTTATTTCGTATTGTTTTAGATCAAAATAGATAATACTTCTTTGCCTTCTTGGAAAAGCAACAATATCCCTGGGATGTTACCGTTTCAGGGGTTAATAAAGCAACCTCTTATTATTCGGAAGTCTCTAAGTCCTCGAGAACCTTAAATTTCCCTGTGATTCTACTTTTGCGCAGTATCTGAATGACCATGTGTCACTTTCTAAAAAGGAGAAACATGTAAGGTTGATCTCACTTATACTTTTAGTCCAAAAGGGCATACATTTCCCCCGAGAAATAAAACAATTTTATCAAAATAAAGTGTGTTATCTAGGATGTGATTCATCCAGAAAAGTCAGATCCTTTATTCCTGATGCACTATGAACCAGTTCAAAACTTTCCCAGAACTGTAATTAAGAGTAATTCAGAGATTTCAGGGTGACCCTAGCTATTGTAGACAATAGGTTCTCAACTTTTCTGAAATCACCACACAGCTATGTAACTTAACCTAAGTTGTCTATAACCTAATGTCTTCCCTATAATCCGAACATTTGCACAATCCTTCATGATTTAAAATCAAGAAATGAATCCCCTTTACAACAGCTGCAAAAAATAAAATAAAATAAAATAAAATACTTAACAAGATACTTAACCAAAGAGGTGAAAAATCTGTACAAGAAAAACTGTGAAACGCTGTTGAAAGAAAACATAGATTTCACAAACAAATGAAAACATATCCCATGCTCATAGATGAGAAGAATAATTATTGTGAAAATGATCATACCGCCCAAAGCAATTCTACAGACTCAATGCAATTCCCATCAAAATACCATCATCATTTTTTCACAGAACTAGAAAAAACAATCCTAAAATTTATATGAAAGCAAAAACAGAGCCCACAAAGCAGAAACAATACCAAGCAAATACATTCCCACCAACAGTGCAAATTTACTTGTAAATTTGTTTAAGATCCTTATAGATTCAGGATATTAGACCTTTGTTGGATGCATCGTTGCAAATATTTTCTTCCATTCTGTAGGTTGCCTCTTTACTCACTTGATAGTTCCTTTTGCTGTGCAGAAGCTCTTTAGTTTAATTAGGTTTCATTTGCCAATTTTTGTTTTTGTTGCTTTTTATCACTCTTTGTATAGTAAGACTGCATTTCTGCCAGTCTTTCTACCATTCTATGCGTAGTAAGACTGTATAGGCCCTTAAATTTCCATTTAAATAGATGAGGATCATCATATACCAAGAGCATGTTACAGCCTCTCTTTCATGTATTGACAAAAGCCTACTCACCTTATCTAGGGGAATAGAAACAGCAGCTAATCAATCAGAGGCCTCTGTCATTTTGGTTTAAGACCTTCTCTGAATATGACAGTCTTCATTCTGTAAAATATTTTTTGCTCACTGAAAATACACAGCTTTCTTTGTAAGTAGCCTTATTTTCTATTAAATTCTATTACTTTTTCCTTTATGCATTTTCATTCATTGTTACAATACTTAACTTCCTGCCACAGTTTTTCCATTACATGAAGAAACAAAAACAGTGATTCACTAACTTTTATTCACAAGCTATCTACCTTAGAGAGATGTATTAGAATCTTCTTTAGAAAAGCTGAATTACTTTTGTTTCTTAAGATCAAAACAAGACAGTATCAGAAAGGATAAACAGTATTCACCTAATCCCTAAATTATGACCCCTTGCTGGAAACAAATCTGCCCAACTATTGAAAATCATTGCATTCATTTGAATTTGTCATTTAGGAAGAGATAGGAGGTTTAATATATGCACTGATAGTGTAAGGGTTTTAGGGCAGTCCCTATTTTTGGAACGCTTTGGAGACAACAAAGAATTCTTCAGTTCAGCAAGAACCTCCAACTAAGGATGTTCAGTAATGTAAGAAATGCTCAAAGTATCTAATTTGTGAAGACATAAACATTTTAAAGGGAGGGGCACAAGCCAAAACAAGTAAGATGTATTTTTTTAAAACCCTAGGTGAAAAGTATACAGTAGAGTCAGACCTCCCTTTATTAAAGTCCTACTTCTTGTGAAACTCCAGTTTCATTGAGACTTTACTGTCTAGATTCAATGAGATCATTATGGAAAGGTAGACAGGTTTAACTCTACCTAATTGAGTCTGTTATATAATTTCAGCAATTTATTCGGAAAATGAATTCTAGGAGAACTCTAGATAAAATTTCATAAAAATATTTAGAATAACATAAAGATTCCACCAAAAAAACTTCTTAGAACAGATAAAGAAATTTAGTAAAATTGCAGGGTACAAAATCAACATAAAATCAGTTGCCTTTCTGTATACTAACAGCAGTCTGATAAAGAAACCAAAAAGCAATCCCATTTTCAAAAGCTATAAAATATCAAATACCCAAGAATACATTTAATCAAAGAAGTGAAAAAATCTCTACAAGGAAAACTATAAAACACTAATGACAGAAATTGTCATTATACATTATTAGAAAATAAAAAGATATCCCATATTCATGGATTATAAAAATTAGTGTGGTTAAAATGTCTGTATTACACAGTGATCTTGAGATTCAATGCAATCCCTATTAAAATACTAATGACATTCTTCACAGAAATAGAAAACCAATCTTAATATTAGTGTAGAGCCATGAAAGACTCCACATACCCAAAACATTGCTGAGCAAAAAGAATAAAACTGTAGGTATCACACAGTCTGTTTTTAAATTATGCTACAATGACATAATAGCCAAAGCAGCATGGATATTGGCATAAAAACAGACACATACATGCATGGGACAAAATAGAGAACCCAGACATAATCCACACCTTTATAGACAACTCATTTTCAACAAAAGTGCCAAGAACATGCATTGAGAAAAGGACAGTCTCTTCAATAATGTGTACTGGGAAAATGGATAACCATATTAAGAAAAATGAAATGAGATTCCTATCTTTTACCATACACAAAAGTCAACACAAAATCCACTAAAGAGTTAAATGTGAGACCAGAACCATGAAACTATTAAAAAACAAACATTGGAGAAAATGTTATGAGACACTGGTTTAGACAAAGATTTGTTTGAATAAGACCTCAACAGCACAGGCAATAAAAGCAAAAATAGGCAAATTGGGAATACATCAAGCTAAAATGCTTCTGCACAGTAAAGGAAACAATCAGCAAAGTAAAGAGACAATTACAGAATGGAAGAAAATATCTGGCAACTATCCATCTAATAAGGGAATAATAACTTGAATGTAGAAGAAACTCAACTCCATAGCAAAAAACAAAACAAATAGTCTGATTAAAATCGGGTAAAAGAACTGAATAGAAATTTCTCAAAAGAAGACATACAATTGGCCAACAGATGAAAAAATGCTTAATATCATTGATCATTAGGAAAATGGAAATCAAAACCACAATGAGATATAATCTCACCCCATTTATAATGGATGTAATCAAAAAACAAGAAGTAACAAGTGCTGACTAGGATGTGGAGAAGGAGGAACATTTGTGCACTGTTGGTGGAAAGTAAAATAATACTAGTACAGGCACTATGGAAAATTATGTGGAAGTTCCTCAAGAAACTAAAAATATAACTAACATATGGTGCATCAATCCCACTGCTAGGTAAATATTCAAAAGAAAGGAAAACAGTTTATCAAATTTTTATTGTACTCCTATTCACAATAGCCAAGATATGGAATTAACCTAATTATCTATCAAGAGAAAGATGGATAAAGAGAATGTGGTATGTATATACAATAGAATATTACTCAACCATAAAAAATCCTGTTATTTGCAGCAACATGAGTGGAATTGGATGTCATTACGTTAAGTGAAATAAGCCAAGCATATAAAGACAAATACTGCATGTCCTCACTCATATATGGGATCGCTTGACTTGCTTCACCTTGTCAATCACTTTGAAGATTCACCCTCCTTACCCTGCCCCCCTTGTCTTGTATGCAATAAATATCATCGCGCCCAGCCATTCGGGGCCACTACTACCGGTCTGGGTGGTAGTGGTCCCCTGGGCCCAGCTGTTTTCTCTTTATCTGTTTGTCTTGTGTTTTTATGTATTGCAATCTCTGTCTCCGCACACGGAGAAAACACACGCTAAGCCCCGTACGGCTGGACCCTACAACTACTGTGCTGATTGTTTACAGTATTCAATGATGTAAATTCCATTGGAAATCAAAGATTATCTTTCTGTGATGTTATATGTTACACGTTTCTGTTCTTGGCTTATTTCACTATGCCCATGAGTGGATCTCATGGGCACAGAGAATAGAATAATAGATACCATAAGGTGGGAAGAATGTGTGAGAGGGACAGATGCAGAGAAGTAGGTTAAGGGGTACAGAAATACAGAACATAGAAGGAATTCTATATGTGTACTAATATCTGATAGTACAGTAGAGACAATTACAGTTAATAATTTATCGTCTATTTCAAAATAGTGAGAAGAGAAAAAATGGAATGTTCCCAACACAAAGAAAAGTGTTTTAGGTAATAGATAGCCTAATTACTCTAATTTGATTATGACACATTGTATACAGGTATCAAAATTTCACAGGTTCCCCCAAAATATGTATAACTAAAACTCTTGTTCTCTCCAGATGGCAGCTTAATATTGCAAGAAGAATTAATGTAAAGTGCTGTAATAATTTTGCAAAAAAATAGCATTCAAAGGAGAAAAATTCACCAATAAATCTCAGTGGAAAAAAATGTACTAAAACTTTTTAGTAAATTTTCAGTGTTTATCACATCTGTCATCAACATAAGCCTTGCAAAATTGCAAAGGTGCCACATGGGCAAGATTTTGAATCCAAGGGCTCATTTGAACATCTCTAAGTGGATATCAAACACTATAACCCTGCAGTGGGTTTTGTGAATCTGGTCATTACCTACTGTTGGGATGTATGTGATGCTTTCCTTGATAGAGAGCTGTGGATCTAACAGTGGCACAGGTAGTTACTGAACAGTGCATTCCCACTTTGAAGAATGTCAGTATCTGGTGACAGAGATACCCAATTAATTGAGGCTATTATTAAAGAGTTTTGAGAAGTGTTCAGAGTTTATATCTAATTCATTATAATAATGTCTGTATTACTCCAATATTCAGGAAAGTTAGAAATAACAAATAGGATTCTGTAACTCAAATTAAGTAAGCTGTCAGAGCAGACCACCATGGCACATGTATACCTATGTAACAAAACTGCACGTTCTGCACATGTATCCCAGAACTTAAAGTTTAATTTAAAAAAAAAAAAAGAAAGCTGTCAGAGACTATGATGTTTTCATATTTAACTCCTTTGGGAGTGAAATTATTGTTAGCCAACCCAATGGTAATACCTTAGATCATGAACTCCTTTGGAATTGGGAGTTAAATTATTGAAAGTTTGTTAACTCTATTCATAAGTGAGCTACAGCCTACTCATACATATAAGAATGTCATCTCTGATTTGGTACTCCTAATTATTGTAAGACAACGTAGCTAAGTATTGAAAAGAACTAATTAAATTGAGCATTGTTTTTTTCAAGAGCTTACAAAATAACCTTTTCATGATGTACAACCTGGATTTCAATTTGATCTCAAGGGGTAACATCACAGAAAGCTAAATCCTTGATTTCCAATGGAATTTACATCATCGAATACTATAAACAATCAGCACAGTAGCTGTAGGGTCCAGCCCTACGGGGCTTAGCGGGTGTTTTCTCCGTGTGCAGAGACAGAGATTGTAATAAATAAAGCACAAGACAAAGAGATAAAGAGAAAACAGCTGGGCCCGCGGGACCACTACCACCAAGACACGGAGACCGGTAGTGGCCCCGAATTGCCAGGCGCGCTGATATTTATTGCATACAAGACAAGGGGGGCGGGGTAAGGAGGGTGAATCTTCTAAGTGATTGACAAGGTGAAGCAAGTCACGTGATCACAGGACAGGGTGCCCTTCCCTCTTGGTAGCAGAAGCAGAGACAGAGAAGGCAGTATATGTCAGCGTTTTTTTCTATGCACTTACAAGAAAGATCAAAGAGTTTAAGACTTTCAGTATTCCTTCTATCGCTATCTACTACGAACTTCAAAGAGGAACCAGTAGTACGGCAAGAACATGAAAGTGGACAAGGAACGTGACCATTGAAGCACAGCACCACAGGGAGGGGTTTAGGCCTCCGGATGACT
This sequence comes from Homo sapiens, assembly GCF_000001405.40. Taxonomy (NCBI): domain Eukaryota; kingdom Metazoa; phylum Chordata; class Mammalia; order Primates; family Hominidae; genus Homo; species Homo sapiens. Next base: position 113,884,681 of record NC_000008.11, read on the forward strand.
GCAGGCAGGCCTGGATAATATCCAGCCTTCCACAGGAAGCTTGTGGAGCAGAGTGTTCCCTGACTCCTCCAAGGAAAGGAGACTCCCTTTCGCCGTCTGCTAAGTAATGGGTGTCTTCCCAGACACTGGCATTACCGCTTGACCAAGGATCCCTCAAGTGGCCCTTATGCGGGCGTGACGGAAGTCTCACCTCTTGCCTTCTAGGTCACTTCTCACAATGTCCCTTTAGCACCTGACCCTCTACCCGCCGGTTATTTCTAGGTTATATTAGTAATATAACAAAAAGTAATATTAAAAGCTAATGATTAATAGTGATAATTGTCCATGATCATCTCTATATCTAATTTGTATTATGACTATTCTTATTCTAATTATTTTCTTTATTATACTGAAACAGTTTGTGCCTTTAGTGTCTTGCCTCGGCACCAAGGTAATCTTTTGCCCACAGTTGTGAATCTCCAGAGGTTTGATCGATGGATTCATGTCTCTCAATTAAAAAGACACAAACTTAAATCAAATCTCTGTAGAATTATTCTGACCAGAAACATTTAGTTGACTGTTTTTAGGAATTTTGAGAAGCAGACATTCCTCTAAAGGAGACGGATTCAACCTAAGACCTCTGTACCAAATTTAAGACTATGTAAGAGATACTCAGCTACTGCTTCAATCTGTGGAACAAGACCACAAATTTTCATGCACTAATCTACATTCTTTGGTTCTTTATTTCTCAAGATATCTTTTCCTGTATTTTACAGGTTTAAGATTCTCTAAGTGTATCACCTACAAGAACCCCATTTTTAACATCAGTTTTTGCATGTTTAGGCACACTTGATATGAGTCCGACACCTGGCTATAATTTTTACCTAAACTATCTAAAGCATAAAATCAAAATCACTGTTTGCTGGGCTTGTACTCATTTCTATTTGGGAAGTACCTCATTTCTTGTAATGAATGAGTTTCCTAGTAATGAGGATCACCCTGTTGGTAATGAAACAAATATGATGACCTTTTCAAGGCAAACATCACAGAAGGCCAAATGACCAACTATCTAAAACCTCCTGCATTTCATACTTAGAAGAATTATACTTTCAATAATTTAACTCCCAACTCCAAAGGAGTTCATGATCTAAGGTATTACCATTGGGTTGGCTAACAATATCTCTCTAGATAGATATTCTTTTCCTGTCTCCAGAAAAACAATAGCTGCCAGCTTTTCAGGCTTTCACAAAAGTTAGCTTTTGTAACCAAACATTTGCAGAAAAGGAAACTGGATGAGAACAAAAGGCTTGTATTTGCAGTCAATCTGTCTTTTCCACATCTTACAAGATACATTAATCATTTTTTTTGCCTTATATCTACCTAATGACCTCAGTTCTACACGTTTTATCACCTGACCATTGTACTACTCTTAATTTGAGGGGTCTATCTTCAAGTATTGAAAGAGTATTTTGTTATTTTTATTTATTAAGTGTCATTTTATCATTTGCTGCAACCATCAAATGAATCATAAAATCATTATATTGAGTGAAACACAAACTCCTATGATGCAACTGATTTCTAACACTAAGAAATAGAAAAGGTTCTTCTAGAAGTTTGAGGCCAGCCTGAGCAATATAACAAGACTTTGTCTCTAAAATAAATAAATAAATAAACAAATAATAGAAAAGCCTATTTTGCTAATAAGACGAATCTGAGAGGTTTCTTTCATATTTTAATTAAACCGATTTTATTGTGAAGTGTAACCTACAGAGAGAAAAAAAGTACATATTGTAAATAAAGACAAGTTGGTTTGGTTCTATTTTTCGTAGCTCCCACATTCTCATAACAAATTGTCCCATTTTCTGTTTGTCTGAAATTTTTTTTTTTAATTTTTCCTCTATTTGTGAATTACATTGTTACTGAGTGCTGAATTTTAGGTTGGCAGTCATTTCATCTCAGAACTTGAAAGATGTCATCCCATTGTCAGTCTTATTGTTGCTCCTTGAAAGTATGTGTCTTTTTTCTCTGACTGCCTTAATAGCATATCTAACTTTCATTTTCAATAATCACATTATAATGTGGTTTTTTAGTATTATTTTTCTTTTTGCATACATATAACTTTAAAGTACAGTTTGAATAGGTATCACTGTTTAATTCTCATATATTACCCTTTGCTCTCCACAGAACCATCATTCTCTCTTCTCTACATTTTTGCAAATTTAACATGTTAGAATTTTTCATTTTATTTCATATTTTTCTTATGGTTTCTTATGAATTTTCCATTCTTTTTCTTTTCATTATTTTGTACTTGTTATTCTCTAGTAAACTATTTCCCAATTTTAAACTCCTCTCCATAGTGTTCAATTTGCTGTTAAACTTTCATTGAATTCTTAATTTTAATTATTACATTTTGTGGTTTTAAAAGTTTTACTTGTTTTCTTATGGACTCTACATGATAAAATTTTTCACCTTTCGTATGTTTTCCCCAGCATATTCAGTGAGTCTTTTTCTGTCAATTCTAACAACAAAGTCATCTGTAGTTCTATTTCTATTGTTTGTTTCTCTATTGTCCTTTTTTCTTGGTTTGCATCATTTTTACTTGATTTTTTTGACATCATAACAAAAATTTTTGGAGAACCAGATGTTGTCACTCATCTTCCTGATGAGATATCACATTATCCTCTCATAAGTAGAAAGAGTAGAAGACAATTTTCATTAAATAAAGGTTTGAACTGATTTAAGGCTTTTTGCATTTTGCTAAGGTTCTATTTACCTTCATTTCACACCTTCTGCTAGGATATAGCACTCTAAGCATCACAAATGAGAGTATTTTGTAATTAACAGATAGATCCACCTTATTTTCACCATGAGACTACCTTTAACTCCACTGTGCTTTTTAAGAAGTTTTTGGTTAGCTTCATAATTTCTGGCTCTGTGCAGTTTAAAAATTAACAAAAAAGCCAAGAGAGGAAACTATAAAGTATAAGAATTACATCTGTGTTGCTCTTTTCTCTCTTGATAGCCTTGGGAATGCAAACTTCAATATTTTTCCTTGCCAGTCTTATAAGTTTACCAAAAGCAATGGTAGATTTTTCTGGGTTTAGCCATAGTCATTTCTGTTGATTCTGAGCTTCTTGCTCAGTGTTGAGAATCAGCAAAAGTCCTGATGGAGAATCTCTAATGAAGCCTTCCCTCCTCTCCACATCATAGCCCCTGAAATACTGGTTCCCTTCGTCACTCTCTGATATTTTCAAACTAGGTTCTTACGATTCACTTCAAGCTTCTCCATCTTAGCTGGAAGATGAAGCTGAGGGTTGCACTGACTCTGTCCTCTCCAACTGAAAAGAACTAGTCCTTCTCAGGTATTATTAAGGCCTCATTTTATTTTATAGAGATCTGATAATTAAACTGCAAGATATAAAAAGACCCTGGTTCTTGCTACAGGAATACTTTAGCAACAACGTGTATATCAGTAAGACTGTAACTATAAAAAGAGGATCTAAAATTATCATTAAGATAAACATTGTACTTCTAAATTGTAAAATAGTAATTTGTGCAAATATTTGTGCTAACGAAGTTAACTCTATTTAAACAAGTCACTCCATGTAAACTCAGTTAATGTAAGTTGATGGCCCTAAAATGAATATTTTTTGAGTTTCTGCTTATGGCTTTCCCAAACAAAATTGCTTCTTTAATCATGAGAAAAATTCACATATTATCTAATTAATGTGTACAATTTTGAATTCTCCTTCTTGTATATCAAATAAGTAAACCAGTTGTGTTTTTTAAAGCAAACTAAATACTACCTGCTAAAACTATTTGTTGAAGGCCAAATAATTAAAAAAAAAATTAGAGCCACTTTAGTAGAAACAAGAATAAAAGGTTGAATCTCATAGTAATTTAGCAATATCTACCATGGACAAATGAAGTAATGGAACCAACTGTGATGCAATGAACTGTGCATTCTCGCTGACTCTGCATCTGCATCCTCACCCTGCTCTTATCAAAAGGTGACTTCGAAGTAAAATGATGTTATAGGAACTGGCCCTTAACGTCAGGTGCATTGTCCTGAGACAGGAAATCTGGCAACCGTTGTAAGTGATGTTTCTATAAAAGTGCAACCAAACTGTGGAAGAATAAGAAAGGAACAATTTTTTTCAGTGTAAACAGGTTCTCTTATTTTATATGATCAGAATCTATAATAAGTCATTGGTACAAAAACGAAGAAAAGAATCAGAATGCAAAAGATACATGAAATGTTTAACTTTAAACATTAAATTATAATAATTCCTAAATCTGTTGATGAATAGTCAAGTATCCCCCTTTTTTATTAGTAGCTGTGTCATCTTTCTAGAATCAGTCGTACCTATAATTCTTTATCTATAATTTTCTATTTAAATGTGTTTAAAGTCGAGGGAGTAGAGACATTTTCAAAACAATCTTTGCTGAATTCTTGTAAATGTCTACATTTTATCTGATTAGGACAGAAACCAATTTTTTACCTAAGTTGTTGGTATTCTTTCAGTAATATGAATATAACATGATTTTTAAAAAGCACTCAATCCATTTTCTTTAAAAATGGCAAGAGTATTTTCACATGGAGTTATATTTGTTTATTCAATATCTAATTATAATTCATAATTATCTTATAAAATACAATTTATAAAATTCACTTCAGAAATAAAATCAGATGTCTTTTGGGAAGTATTCACTTACCTTGTGTGAGTATGTCCACAATCATAAAATAAAGTTCTGTTACTTCCAAGGTATATGTATGCTACAGATCAATCAGTGTTTTCTATAATTCATGCAAATCCTGAAGTGTTTCTTTATGTAATAAGGTATACAATGAGCCACTGTGTTCACAGGGCTAGTTTTCTGAGGAAAGAATATGGTCACTGGACTGAGTGGCTTGCAGAGGGTGTTGCTTGGGTTAAAAAGAACAAGGAACAGAGACAGGTAAGGAAAGTAGGGGATATTCACATGTGTGCCATCTTTGCAAACCTTAAGTGTTCATAAGTTTCCCTTTATTCTGTAGTCTGGAACATTTATTATAACTAGAATTTCTACTTTTATTTCTCTACATAAATGTTTTAAACATGGCCCTTGTATATTGGCCTTATATGTCATTAACTTCATATATATCATTTACTTCTTCCATTTTCACAACCAAACTCAATTTTTCACCCATGCAATTGTTTTAAATATAGCCCAAATAAGCTGATGTTTAGCAATTTAGAGGCTGCTGGCTTATATATACTGCACAAATGTACCAAACATCTTCTAGCCACAGAGAAGATAGGTTCTTGAGCTATAAACAGTCCCAAGATGTTGCTGTTCTTTGGTGCTCTGTGACCCAGAGACTTCATTATGCTGCTGAGTGAAATCATCTAGACACATGAACCTCCTCTTGGTTTCCTCCTCTCCACTGGGAGTTCCTTTGCCCTCTTTTCTTTCTATGTGGTAACCATGTGCTGGCTGGCCATTCTCTCTGGAAGACCTCATGCTGTAAGGGACTTCCCAGAATGCAAACCTGTCAAAGCACCACCCAAATAAAGCTTATTCTATTCTACAACCACCACATGGTCATGCATTTTTCCTTGATCCACCCCTAAATCTCTTAAACTCACAACATTCCATTATGGAAATGCCATTCTAAAGTTTGAATTATGTTCCATACTGACTGATGAGTAGTGTTTGATGAAGAATGAAGTTACTATCATGAGTCTAAGAGATAACTTTATCTATTTCATATGCTGAGTTTCACCCTGGATCTTCTTAGCAAATACATGATATCACATAGAGTCACTACTGATTATTGAAAAAAAAAAACAGAAGTTTCAGAACACTGGAAGCACAAAGCCATACATCCAGGCCAACTTAAATAAGAGTGTAAAAGGTCACACCCCTATGAGGTTTGTTGCCATTGTACCCACTGGTTTTCCTTCAAATTATATTCAGAAAATGAATTCTGGTTTAAGTAAATATAAAATGGCCTATATCAAACAAACTCTCATAGTGAAAAATAAAACTTTAGAACCAAATAAACACCAAACAATAACAAACAAAATAATACAACTGTGTTATGAGAAAGGAAACACAGGTGATTTGGCCATAGAAATAAGACATCATTAGACGAAGTCTACATCTATAAGGCACCTTTTTCCTGATGTCATGCTCATTCCTTTTTCAGTGAAGGGGAATTAGAACTCATACAGAAAGCTCTGGTCATACTAGTTGGAAGAGTCAGGCAAGAAAATTAGGTATGTTAAGCCATTTGGAAATTAAAGGAGAAAAACAGCTATGAAAAAGAAGGCCACAAAGGGAGAGACCAAAATATGAATGAAAACACCCTTTAGATTCCAAATATTGGACACAAAATTTAACAAAACTTAAAAGTAAGTAGAGAAAGAAAGTCTATTACATACAAGGAAAACAAAACAAACAAACAGAAAAACAAGAACATCTGACTTAACAGAACCAACAGAGGGCAAAGTATAGTAAAATGATATTATTAAAGAGGCCAGAATTTAGAAAGAAGACACCGGTAACTTAGAAATTGATATTCAGTGAGAACATCAGTCATAAATAAAAGTGTAATATAATATTTTGGATTAAAGAAAGCAGAGGGAATTTGTCTCCACCAGACCTTCACAAAAGAAATACTAAAGAAATATCTTTAGAATGAAAAGGCATGATAAGAGATGGAAATTAAAATATCCAGATACGAAGAGGAAACACAAGAAATAAATACAGTAATCCCTTCTTATCTATGGTTTCACTTTCCTTGGTTTTAGTTCCTCATGGTCAACCACAGTCTAAAAATATTAAACGGAAAATTCCAGAAATAAACAATTCATAAATTTTAAATTTCATGCCATTCTGAGTAGTGTAATAAGTTAAATAGGCATCTTTTCATTCCTAGAGCAAACACTAAAAATATATAAAGTAGTAGAGCTAAAAATCAAAAAGAAGAACTATCAAGGCATAATTAAAATATATGCATTTAACTCCCAAAAATAAAGGAAAAAAGAATTTAAAAAGGACAAATAAAAAACTAATAGCAAGATGGTAGGAATAAAAGTACCTCTATTAATAATTACAGCAAGTGAAGTGGATTAAATATTGCAATTAAACTTTAATTTACAATTGCATTCAATTGTAATTGTATAACTAAACAAAATGAAGACAACCATATGCAGTCTAAAAGGGATACTAAAAGCATGGCAAAAGATAGACCGTGCAGATAACAATCATTGGAAAGTTGCAGGCTGCAAAACAAGAAGTAATATGAAAGATAAAAAGGTATATTCCATATGTCTGAGAGTCAATTAGCATATTAACAGTTTTGAAAATATACACAGCAAAAACTGGCAGAAGTGCGGGGAGAATTACTGAGACCTACAATTTGATGGAAAAGTTTCAAGTTTCTTCTTTTATTATTTTTGTAACATTAATCATAAAAAAATTTACTCTATGCCATGGTCTAAATGTATGTATCCCTGCAAAATTTATATATTGAATACTAACTCTCAACTGATGATACTAAGATGTGAAGCCTTTGGGAGGTGATTAGGTCATGAGGACTCTACCTCATGAAAACAATTAATGTGCTTATTAAAGAGGCTAGTGGGGTTCTTTGCCCCTTCTGCCACATAGGATGTAGCAAGAAGACACCGTCGATAAGGAATAAACCCTCACCAGACACCAAATCTGTCGATTCCTTGACCTTAGACTTCCCAGCCTCCAGAACTGTGAACAATAAATTTCCGTTGCCTATAAATTATCCAGTAGAAAGTATTTTGTTATATCAGCCCTAACAGACTAAGACACTGCACCTCTAAAATCCCTCCAATGGTTTATGTCTCACTCAACATAAAAGCTAAGCTCTTTACTGTATCCCCCAAACAAAAGACAACATTACCTTTCCCCCATTCCACCTCCTCTTAGCTTCTACTTCTCTCAAAATACTCCATACACTTGTTAAGAAAAACACCTCCAGCACACTCCCGTTTCAGGGATTTGGTATTTTTCATTGTCTGTCTGTGGAACTATCTTCCTTCAGATATGTGCAAGGTTTGTGAACTCATTTTCCTCAAGTCTTTGTAAAAATCTTGTATGTGTAGTATGGCTTTCTCTGTTCATCAAATTTAAAATCTCAATCACTTCCTTCAGCACTATGCATTCTTCTTTCATCCTTAATTTTACTCAGTTGTACTTATCATCAGACACCATCTCCATATAGTTTACTTACCTGTTTATTATTTGTTTATAGGCACTAGTATGCAAATGCCATGAGGGATTTATACATTTTATTCCAAATCATATTCTTAGTGCTTAAGAGTGCTTGTCCATGTTGTTGAATGAAAAATGAATATATTTATCTAATCCAGTGAAGGACCTAGTATCTATATACCCTGTAAGAAAACAAAACACAGATCTAAGAAATTTATGAAATAAAATACAAAAAAGGTATAAGAGAATATCCACAACATTCTTCTCATTTTACCATTGAGAAAACAGATCTGGAGAGATTTTTCTAACACATAACAAGACTGAGTGGCAGGATATACCAGTCTACACACCTGTTTTACTTCACTGTTTTGGCCATCCCAGAATGTGGGCTCATTGAAGATTTCTGTTTGTCTGATGCAGATTTTTTTAAGTGATTTGGTTGCCAATGTTTAAACATTAGCATATTACTCATACGAGTCTAAAAACCAGCTTCTCTTGAAAAATTGGAACATCTAGCAAACACGATCCATATTTCCATGTGGCAGTCATTTCCACTGCTTAGACAGGCATGTGTTCTCAAGTCTGCTTTCCTCTTTTACCACATCTTTCTGGTTCTTGTGGACATCAGATTTTGCTGCCTTGAATTTATCCCTTATTTTAATATTTTTATGTATTTACACATAAGATTCTTGATTCTGGTAATTATGGCATAATAAACTGAGGAGAAAGTAAATTAGTGTTACTGAAAAGAAATTTAAATGATACTATGGTTCAAAACCTCTGCCCCACATATTTTGACAAGTAAATATTCATATATCTCTACTTAGGTGTACTTTTCATGTTTCTATCACCAAATGATATGCTCCTGAAACAGTCAACTGGGGAGATAATATATCCGTCATTTATACTTTATTATAAATGACCTTACTAAATATTATACATTTTTATCATGTGGTAAAGATGGACTTTACTGATTACACGTCTTGATTGAAAGATGGAAAAAATATTTGTTTGTTTGTTTTTAATTTGAGATGCTATGAAGAAAGCTTTTAAAGCCAGGTTAATTGCATGAGAGTAGTTTCTGATGGTCAAAGATATGTCCATTCCTATCTATAGAGTTTCAGAATTAAAAAAGGAATATTAAGAGGTGTGACAAGTATATAAGGAGAAGAATGGGTTAAATTTATGTTAAATTTAACCTCAATGTATAGTTTAGTGATTGTCCTTGTTGTACACGGCTAATGCTATACTATTATATTAATCTCCAAACACAGGGTTGCATTCCTACTTTATGTACTATAGGTGGAATTCTAACATAAACAAGTTTTATGTTTTTATGTTTATCTAATTTCTTGTATCAATCTTGTCCACTGTTTAATTGTTGATAATATCAAAAAAATATGTAGAGCGTGTTTGGCTATTGGTTCTAAAGTTGACTATAATATACAGTTTAAGAAAAAAATAGGACTTAAAGAGAAGCCAAATCTTTGCCATATTTTCCTCTGTTTTAATGATATTGTAAATAATTCTCTATGGTTGTTTTATTTTTCTTTAGTGCCCACACAACCTCCTACATGGCCAAATTCATTTCTTGATGGCATGCTGGTGACTGAACACGTAGGTGCTTACTAAAATAGATGTGCTGATGGGACATATGGGCACAGTTTTCTTCCAGCTAGTTTAATATTTTTCTTTGAATGTCTGCATATTATTTTGATTTTCTAAACCGTGTAACTGGCATTGATAATTACCAATTTTGCAGGATTCTTTTCCTCATTCTCAATATTCCTGTTATCATCTGCCATGTAGGTTGATGTTTTACTTCATTGCCTTAAGAAGATTAAATATAAAATTTATATTCAGGCCATTGCAGCAAAAAGTCTGAAATATTCTCTTTCTCAAGTTCTCTCTGTACTTTTCTTTCCTTAAGAGAAAATCACCTACCTAAGGGTACAACAAACTTTTATTCCAGAGGAAACTGTTCTATCAGCTGCAGGTTGTAGGCACTGACATCATGACAGCATAATACAACTCATCTGAATAGAGAAGGACATTTTCAACTTAAAAAAAAATTTTGCACCAACACATTGTTATTGCATTATTAAAATATAGTTGCTTATGTTATTCCTAAAATGATGGTAACATGATTTTGGAAAACATTAATAGGTTTTAGTTATGAGGATTCTATAATTTTTTCCTATGTAAAATATTCTGTGTAAATATATGGCTAGCCCACTCTAGGCTTGTTGTAAGCACGGGATAAAATGCACTATGCTCTCTTCTAGGAGAGGATGCATTTACACACAATGCTTGAAATGCTAATTCTTACAGCCTATTGTGAATTTTCTTTTTATTGCTACTATGTTTTGTCAAATTTTTTTTAGTTTTTGTATTTGATGTTAGCAATTTGCATCAAAACAGATAATAATTTGGGCTGGAAATACTAAGAATGCATTTCTAACACTGTATAGACCTATTGTGGAGTGCCAGAATATGAGTGTTTGAAGTGCAGAACGTACTGGCAAGAAATAAACATGGCTGATGCTACATAGGGCCCTTGTTGCCTTTCTTCTTTCATAGAATTCTCTAATTAGTGCTCTTAGTTGATAATGTACAAAAGTATTCTGATTTCAGATAGATATTTCTGATTCAATTGTAAAACTATCCTTAATGAAAGCATAGGGAATCGCATAGCAAATAGAAGTTCTGGACTCATTGAAAAACTCTGGTTGAGATTTTTTTAAAAACCTAAAGCTTTTATGTAAAACAGGTTTTCATTCACTCATTTATTAATTCACGTATTTGTTCATTACAATTGTATATATGTAGTATTAAGAAAAAAAATTCTAGAACCAGATTGCCTGGGTTCAAATGCTACATTTGCTACTTACTAGCCATTTAAACTTGGACAATTACATTCTTTATAGGTGGCAGGACTTCTAAATCACAGGTCTTTGGTAAGAACTCTCAAATGTGTTATGAGAAAGTATTTGTAATATGCACAAAAAAATGCTCAGTAAATATTTGTCACCATTAATAGTCAATATTCATCAAAATTCATCGTTTTATTAAATATCCAGATCCTGTGGATACAAATTAGAAATGACAAAATATTTACTGTCAAGTTAGAACCCAATAGAAATGCAAATCATGAAGTTGGGGGTAGAAATAAAATCAATTTTAATATATTATGTTGTGAATAGATAGGTATAGATGAGATAGATAGATAGATGATAGATTAATAATATAGATATCAATGATTTACAGCTGACCCTTGAACAACATGGGTTTGAACTATGCAATACTACTTATCTGAGTATTTTCTTCCACCTCGGCCACTTCTGAGACAGCCAGACATACTCCTTCTCCTCAGCCTACCCAATCTGAAAATGATGAAGATGAAGACCTTTATGATGATCTATTTCCATGTATGGAAGAATAAATAAATATATTTTCTGTTCCTTGTGATTTTCTCAATAATATTTTTTCTAGCTTACTTTATTGTAAGAATACATATAGTGTGTAATACATATATATGATGTGTGTTAATTTACTGATTATGTTATTAGTAAGGCTTCTGGTCAACAGAAGGATATTAGTTGTTAAGCTTTCAGGGATTCAAAAGTTATATGTGGATTTTCAACTGTATGGGAGATTGGTGGCCTTAAACTTCCACATTATTTTATTTAAGGGTCAACTATATATATATATATATATATACTCTATCTATATTGATACACACACATGTCATATTCAGAAGGTTAAGAAACAAAATAGTAAATTCACTTTATTGTGAGGGTCTGGAAAGATTTAAGATGAGGCATTTGGAAGTCATTAGATGAACAAGAAAGGAAAGATAACCCAGACACAAGGAACAAGATATGTAAAGCCTTATAAGGTAGCAAAATAAAATCAATGGTAGCAAATACATAGGTTTGATGGGAAAGAAAGTAGGGCAGAAAAGAAATGAGGATAAGATCAGGCAGAACATAATGGCTGCTATAGGCTCTGCAAAAATGGTTGATTGAGTCTTTAAAAGATTTTAATGAATAGGGCAATGATATGATTTAACTTCCATTTTAGAAAATGATAGAGGTGCTGTGAATAGATGCAGGTATGAAAAAACGAGAGATAAATACTAGTACTTGGGAGGATTTTGCAATGTCCCAGGTGAGATCGTAGCTGAGCTGAGTTATAAGCAATGCCTGTGAAAAAGAGGGACTAAATATATGTAGGTTTTTGAAATAGAATCAACCTCACTCACATACCGTGTAGTAAGTTGGGAGTAATCTGAGTTAGGCCTGATATTCACAGGAAAGCATTTTTATAAGTAAGAGGATAAGTCTTATTTTTATTATATTGAATCCCAGTTGCCTCATCTGTTAGACATTTGGGAGTTACAACAATGAGATACACACACACACACACACACACACACACACACACACACAGATGCAGGGTGGCAGGATCAGAGAACCATTCAGTGAGTAATCACCTTAAAATGGTAACTATAACCATGATTGTGAATGGGATTATCTCGGGAAGTCCCAGAGTAGCCTGAAGTTGTATAGAATTCACAAAGGAGATATGGTACACTAGCAAAGAGGAAGGTCAGTAGAGCGAGTAATAAAAAATAAGCACTGCTAGAATCTGAAAAGTGTCCTTTCTACTGGGACACAGCAGGATAGTTTCACTGGCATATTAACTGTTTCAAACAGTATGTTGATATGGTCATATTTCTGTTGAAATATTTGTTTATATATGCACATAGGAAAGGATGCATATCTTTTATACATAAATGTTAAGAATGGTCATTTTTAGTGGAGCTATGGGTATACACAATTTTTTAGACCTTTTCTAAGGTGTTCATTTTTATGGTACACACGCATTATTATAGAAATTAGAAAATACTATTTAAAATTAGCTATCAAGGAAAACAAAAGTAAGAGCTAAAGTGGAATCCAGAGTCCAAGGCGTTGTACTACATTGTAGACATATGATTGTGTTTACATGCTAAACACAAGGAGTCAGTGGTGAGAGGTGACTGAATACACAAGAAAGGACAATCAAGGAAAAAGAAAATTCGGAGGAGGAGAGAGAGGACCAGACGCAACAACAGGATTCATAGTTTGGAAAAAAGATCAGCCTTTCATAGAAGGATAGTTTCTACTTAAACATTATAGGAAGGCATTCAAGATGGATGTGAGCTGAAGAGGATGATGCTTATGGAGTTGTAGGCTATCTACCACTATGAACACAGGTTCTTTTCTAAAAACCCAGTCACCTAAAATAAATGGTAAAGACAGTATTAGTGCAAAAATTCTCTCTGATATTAGGTGTTGGTAATATTTATTTTAAATTGGTTCAGTTCATTTATATGAGCCAGGTAGATAAAGCTAATATAGGACTCAGGTGAGAAGTAAAACAATAAGAAAGAGTAGAGATTATCATTAAAACTTAATTTAGCACTTTTATATCTTATGGTCTGGAGATCAGAAGTCCAGAAGTGGGTCTGACAGAGAAAAGTCAAGGCATTAAGACTGCTCTGTACCTTCTGGAGGATGTAGGGAAGACTCCAAGTCTAAGGAACACTAACTACCAGCATTTCCTAGGGTGTGGCTCCCTTCTACCAATGGCATCAGTGACTGCTGCTTCCATTGTCACATCTCTCATCTCCCACTGACTCTGATCCTCCTCCCTCCCTCATATAAGGACACTTGTGATTACACCAGGCACACCTGCATAACCCAGGATCATCTCCCCATCTTAGAGTCCTTAACTTAATCCCGTCTGTAAAGTCTCTTTTGCCATGTCAGGTAAGCATATTCACAGGTTTCAGGGATTAGAAGGAGGACTTCTTTGGGAGCTACTATTCTGCTTACCATAACCACCATTTTGTTTTGATTTGTTACTTGAAAATAGAAAATGGATACACCCTTGTTCCCCCAGCCACCCAGTTCTCCACACAGGCAGCAAGAGTTACCAGCTTCTTTTGTATCTCTCCAAAGATATTTTATGCATATACATAATTTTCTCTTTTTCTTCCTTTTACCCTCACACAAGTGGTAATTTACTAGAAGTATTGTTTTTCCTTTTTTCTCATTTAATAATATAGTTTGAAGATAACTCCATATCAGAATAAAAACTCACTTATTCTTTTTTACAGCTGCATAATAGTCCATAATATGGATATGTAATAATTCACCCTGTCATTTCCTTACTCTTGGGTGTTTGTGTTGCTTCCAGTCTTCTGCTTTTTCAAATAATTCTTCATTTATTTTCACAGAAGGGGGTCGCTGGCCACTGTCATGCCTGAGAGGGCTTCAACTGAGAGACAGTGGCCATGGATGCCAGATTAGAAAGGGATATAGAACTAGTGAGCAGGAAACAAGTGGGTTGACCTCACAGTTTGACTGTGCTCTATAATTTACAAAGCATTTTGCGGCACATTTTGTATACATATATATTTAATACTCATTCGCTTATGAGACATAGGCATCATGGAGTATCTCTAATTTGTGGGTAAGAAAATTCAGACACAGAGATGTTGCCTGAGGGTCCACAGTGGCAGAGCCAGATTTCAAACTAGGTCTTCTCTGTCTCCAAATCCCAGCCATCTTCTTGTGTCTTAGCTATTTCTTAGGTCTAGAAGATGGGACCCAAGGGAAGAGGAGAAGCAGGACAGAAGCAAACTATGATTAAATAATGTTTTTATTTTTTAGTGTAAAAAAAATAAAAATAATTATATGGGCCCAACACAAATCTGAGCCACACAAATATGCGGTATCTTCTGCCAACAGCCTTTAATTTTCCAATCTATCAAAAAAATCACTCAATCCACTGATCGTATTGAAATCACTTTTTTCTAGAAAGTATTTATACCGTGTGCATAAACTCCATCTAATAGAAATATGACAACCAAAGTTCCCTTTATTTACTTCCATGTAGATTAAGTTCCCTAACTGAAAATGTATAGACAGCCTTATATTTTCTTAAATAGTTTTACTTTTGACAGCTTTCTGTATAAAAATTCATGAAAATATAAATTTATGAATATACAAATTCATGAAAATATAAATTTATGAATGTACAAATTCATAAATATGATCATTCTTTTCAAATTATACATACATTCATTTCATAGCATTTTTTTCTGTGCTGGCTTTTAGCTAAATAAGATTTCAAACAAAAAGAAGACAACACAAATTACAACAGAATTCATTTTGAACAAAATGAAGTGGAATGTAAAATATAAAACTCTGAAAATAATATCCGAATATATTTGGAAATCCATCAGATTTTTCTTTCTTCTCATGACTTTTTTTGTAACATTAGAATGAATTGTTCCTACGTTCATGTTTTGAGACAAAGACTGTGAGTTATAATACTTTACACAGAGCAAGTTATAAGCTTGCAGACACTACAAATTGAAAGGAAGTAATTTTTGCCAGTCTATTTGTGTTATTACCTTCTAAAAGGAAAGAATTGGCCAAGTATTTCCTCAATTTTTCATCATATTAAAAAACTTACACTTTTATATTTGCTATCCAGTTCAAAGGCACTGTGTATAATAACCTATAAGCATTTTTATTTTTGGTAAAGTGGGGAAAAGACAAGAACATTCATTAATAGGCTTAGATTATTTTTAAATGAGTTGAGATTTCTGCATTGAAGGCCAGAAAAAAACAGTGCTTTGAAAATAGCACTTTACTGCCTTATAAGAGACAATGGATAATGTTTATATATTTCTATTGCACTAATGAATTTTTAATTAGCTATTATTTCAGTACTTTGTCCAAGAAAAGCATTTTTCCTGAGATTTATTTTCTGAGATGAGCTAGTCACAACTGTACAAGTAGTTTATGGTAATAACTTGGCCATTTGTTTTCTGTATATCAGAATCAAACTCTGAAAATAAAAAATACATGTAAAATAATTGTATTTTATTCATTTCTTAATGAAATTGCATGTTGTAAACAATATGGCATATCCTTTTATATTCTCCATTAACGAAAAGGAACCCCTAAGTAGCAAATAATTAATATATTAGATTCAATTTGTAGGCAACTCTACATACTGTCAGTAAATAACAGTAATTTACATATCAAGATGCTTATTTTGTATTTATGAATACTGTTGTCAGTGCATCTTAATTTGTCAGTTCTTGGAAGAATAGTTTGTTTTTTTTTTTTTTTTTTTGAGAGGGAGTCTGACTCTGTCCCCCAGGCTGGAGTGCAGTGGCGCCATCTCGGCTCACTGCAAGCTCCGCCTCCCGGGTTCATGCCATTCTCCTGCCTCAGCCTCCCCCCGAGTAGCTGGGACTACAGGCGCCCGCCATCACGCCCGGCTAATTTTTTTGTATTTTTAGTAGAGACGGGGTTTCACCATGTTGGCCAGGATGGTCTCGAACTCCTGACCTCGTGATCTGCCCACCTCGGCCTCCCAAAGTGCTAGGATTACAGGCGTGAGCCACCGTGCCCGGCTGAATAGTTTTTTTTTTTAAAGAGTTTATCAAAATTTGTAAGGAATAAAAAAGTTACGTATAGGTAGTTTCATTAATTTTAGTTATGATCATTTTAACTAATACTAATATCTAGTACTAATTTTAATGACTAGTAATAACTCTCTTGCTACAATTACTATTTATATTTATGCATATTCTAGTTTTTTCCAAGTGTCTAAAATATATTGTGTTACAAGTTAATAACTCAGGGATTCAATTATTAATTAAATTAAGTCAAAAAAGTGTATGACAGTTCTTTAGAATGGCTCACTTCAGGAATAATAACATAAGACTACATGGTTATATGTTGCTAACAGATTATTATTATTTTAACTACTAACAGATTGCTGGACGATTTAATCTCTTTGTATTATAAGAATCAGGTGAAATTAGAAAATTATTGATACATATGTGGGAGTCTAAAGAAACAATTTCAGTTTGCCTTGAAAAATATGGGTAAGACAAATAAATAAAACCTCAAAGTAATATCCCTAATTTTGGATAACATTTCTATAGCAAATGCAATGCTTATTATACACAATGACTTAAAATATTAATATTTACTATGTTCTAAGCACTGAGCTAAGTAAATAATTACATTGATTATCTAATTTAATTTTTGTCACACCATCAGAGATAAGTAATATTTCCATTTTTCAGATGAAGAATCTGAGGCATTCTTACGATCACAAACCCAGTAAGTGCTGGATCCAGTATTTGAACCTGGCAGCCTGTCTTCAGGGCCCACATTTTTACCCACAGGGTTATGCTTTCAAATAGTGACCCTTTCCACTCATATGGCAAATACTGTGTCTTATAACTGAGTGAAGGTAAAATTTCTCCTTTGTTCTCCTGGCATTGTGTTTATAAAATTGTATTTGTTTTTGCTAGTCTTTTAGCAAATGCTTTATTTCAGACATCATATATATCTTCTGCATCACTGATGTTTTTTATCACATTTAAAAATAGTTGTCTATCAAAAATAGGTAAAATTTAAGTGGGGGGGCAACACTAATCACATATGCATATATAAATACTATATTATGCATCATTTATATTGCTTAGTATGTATTACATATATTGCTTATACATGTGTATATATGCTTTTATATATGTATATCCACAGAGTTTTTGTTTCTCTTTCTTGTTTTGGAGCTATCACTAGTGTTTGCCAGCATTACAAATTCTCTTAAGATCCCCTAGAAGCAGGCTAAGAATTAGATTTAATTTGTCTATAGCAAACATGAAACTGTGAACTTTAAGATTTATGTCCTTTGTATGTTTGTTCTTATAAAATGTAATTGTTTCTTCACTGCACAATAAATGCTTATCAGTGGCTGTATGCAACAGAAAAGAAATAAATTGGGAAATTATTTGCCATTATATTTCAAATTAAAATTTTTTAAAATCAATGAAAAAAACAAAGTTGATTTCAAAGCCTTCTGAACTAAATTCACCTTGGGGCATGGGGCATTAAAGGATGGTATGAGCAAATCAATAAGATGTCTATGTTTCAAGCATTGGGACATTGCAGGAGCAGTCCAGATACATAGAACTCTGGCAATGGATTTACAGAAAAAATAACGCAAGTACGCAAGGAAGATCCCAGTAATGGAGTTTAGAGTAGCAAACAAAGTTCAGTATCGGGAAAATCTGCTGAGATATGGGGCTAAGAGTAACAGAAAAATTAATTATGATAATACAATAAATTGTGCTGAACAGCATGTCTTTTTTCAGTGTCATTTCACAGACCAGGCGAGCCCTGGCTAGAGGGCATCTTAAAGGTAGTAGGTGACCCTTAGACAACAGAGCCTAAAAAGGTAGCAGCATAGGCTGGGCGCGGTGGCTCACGCCTGTAATCCCAGCACTTTGGGAGGCCAGGCGGGCGGATCATGACGTCAGGAGATCTAGACCATCCTGGTTAACACGGTGAAAGCCCGTCTCAACTAAAAATACAAAAAAAAAAAAAATTAGCTGGGCGTGGCGGCGGGCGCCTGTAGTCCCAGCTACTCGGGAGGCTGAGGCAGGAGAATGGCGTGAACCCGGGAGGCGGAGCTTGCAGTGAGCCGAGATCGCACCACTGCACTCCAGCCTGGGAGACAGAGTGAGACTCCGTCTCAAAAAAAACCAAAAAAGCAGTAGCAGCATAATGCAGTTATTTATGTGCACTTGTTGCTAGAAGCATGTAACAATCATCCTAGACTAGGTGTTGCCATGTAACAATTAAGTAGCCCTATTTGGGCTTGTTTTTAATTCGTTATTGCTATTAAAATAATGGTTAGTTTTAATTTTAACTAGAGAAAGATGTTACGTTTAAATGTGTTGGTCACATAGGGCCTATGATTTACATTGATGTAACTTCATTACTTATGTTTCCAGATCAATGCACTTAAAATGTGTTCTCATATTTTTAAGTCTCATATTTTTAAGTCTAGAAATAATGGCTACAACAATAAATCTACTTGAGTTTGTTAAGAATCTGACAAAGTTTTATTTTTATTTGTGGAGATCCTATGGTAGAAAACATAAACTAATAGACATTAGTTAATACTTGGTATGTGTTCATTTGCAGACATACATTTTCATGTATACTAAAAATATTTGTTATATTGTGGGTACTTTTTCAAAAATACACAAAACTGCTTAACTCCACAAATCCTTACTTTAGAATAAATGAACAGTAAAGCAGAAACTGGCTTTACTGTTCCTGTAGTCTAATCTCAATTCTAAAATTGAAGAACCGGGGTTCCCATAATGTGAAGTGACTTGCTCTGAGCGTTAATACCAGTGTCTCATCACAGTGTTCTTATCTCTGTCACACAAAACTTTTGAATTGCTTTAATGATAACATTGTGAATGTTCCCATCAAAATATGTTAACTACTTTAGTTAAGAAGTACATCTTATTCTGGATTGATTATTCCATTCAATGACCATTGTTATTTAGAGAACAAACCTAGACATTTATTTCCACTGGAAAAAAAGAAAATAATAAAAATCAACTAGGCTGTTATTTCAAAGTTCTGGCTTGGTCTGAAATCCTGAATTATAATAAATCATGTTCCTTTTTACTCTCCTGAATCTCTTTTTCCTTTCAGAACTACTCTTTTTACATACGGCCCTTTCTCCACCACGGAAGTGGATCTGTGACCCAGATATGGGCTGTTAGTGAATTATACCAACACATGTGTCTTGTAATAGAGCATGTTATAAGAGAGAGAGATAGAGCATGTCTTTTCAGAGATTTCACTCTAAGGAATGATTTAGACTTGATTCTGCTGAAAGTAATTTTGATGCATGTGGAGTGTTTTCATGCAAATAAACAGAAATAGGAATAAAGATAGAGATAAAAAGTAAACAAAGACAGAGCTTTTGAAAATTTTGAAGCTCCTGATCCACAATGTCTGAATCCAGTTCTGCTCTTTGGACCATCTAGTCCATTAATAGTTCACCAAACATTTGTGAGAACCTATTATATGGTAGCTATATTAAAATCAATGGCTACACAACAGTGAGAAAAAAAGTCTCTGATGGCTTACATAGTAATGAAAGATTTCATAAACATCATTATGTAAGATTATAGCAAAAACATCTTGAAAAAAGAAAAACGTAAGGCAAGAAAAATGAATGGGAAGTACTGGTAGTGGAGGTGGGACAGAATTAAAAACAGGATCACTAGAAAACATATTTTGATGGGAACATTCACAATGTTATCACTAAGCAATTCAAAAGTTTTGTGTGACAGAGATAAGAACACTGTGATGAGACACTGGTATTAAAGCTCAGAGCAAGTCACTTCACATTATGGGAACCCCAGTTCTTCAATTTTAAAATTGAGATTAGACTACAGGAACAGCAAAGCTAGTTTCTGCTTTACTGTTCATTTATTCTAAAGAAGGATTTGTGAAGTTAAGTAGTTTTGTGTATTTTTGAAAAAGTACCCATGTTTCATAAACATCATTATGTAAGATTATAGCAAAAACATCTTGAAAAAAGAAAAACACAAGGCAAGGAAAATGGGAAGTACTGGTAGTGGAGGTGGAACGGAATTGTAAACAGGGTCATTCGAAAAGGCTTATTTGGAAAGGGTATCTTTTGAAAAATAACCTAAAGATTTTATGGATCCAGACAGGTGGAGGATGAACACTGAAGTCAGTGTATGTCATGCAGAGTGAAATAGGTGGGCATTAATTTTATTACTGTCTGTCATTCCTCAGAGGAATGTAAACTCCATGAGGGCATGTACTTTTATTGCTTTGGTTCACTCCTACGTTCCTAGTCACCACATAGTTGATACTAGCACATACCATATTTTTTGTTGCACTGAAAAAAAATTAATGACCATTATGATGAGATGGCCACTTGCCATGTTGCCATCTCCCTGTCTTCCTCTCTCTCACACACACCCACAAACACACACACACATACAAGTTTTATCTGATAATGAAGACAAGTAAAGGTAAGCAGAACTAACTGGGAAGTTCGGAAAGGAGTTCCAGATCAAGCTATACCAGAAAACTGCTTTATCTCCAGTACTTCCCAGTTACATGAGTCCGTGAATTATTTTTTCATTCTGATTTGACAGATTTGAATTATCTTTCTGTAGCATGGTACTGAATGAGTCCTGAGTAATATACTGAGTATATTTATCCTTAAAAATGACACTTATTTTTAGTTGGGTATTAGTGGTTTACAGGGTATTTTAGAGGTCAGGTAAATGCTTAAACTTTTAACTTTTCCACTGTGTGTTTTTTGTTTTTTGTTTTTTGTTTTTTTTTTTCAGAGAAAAAAATCCTACACACTGTAATTAGGGATAAAATTCATTTATCTTCACTGATGGAAATTAGTATTTCAATAAACTCAAAAACCTAAAAAGAAATCTACTTTTCGATTTGAGAACTGTCACAAAACATTTTTCTTTCCTTTTTTTTATTATACTTTAAGTTTTAGGGTACATGTGCACATTGTGCAGCTTAGTTACATATGTATACATGTGCCATGCTGGTGCGCTGCACCCACTAACTCGTCATCTAGCATTAGGTATATCTCCCAATGCTATCCCTCCCCCCTTCCCCCACCCCACCACAGTCCCCAGAGTGTGATATTCCCCTTCCTGTGTCCATGTGATCTCATTGTTCAACTCCCACCTATGAGTGAGAATATGCGGTGTTTGGTTTTTTGTTCTTGTGATAGTTTACTGAGAATGATGATTTCCAATTTCATCCATGGCCCTACAAAGGCCATGAACTCATCATTTTTTATGGCTGCATAGTATTCCATGCTGTATATGTGCCACATTTTCTTAATCCAGTCTATCATTGTTGGACATTTGGGTTGGTTCCAAGTCTTTGCTATTGTGAATAGTGCCACAATAAGCATACGTGTGCATGTGTCTTTATAGCAGCATGATTTATAGTCCTTTGGGTATATACGCAGTAATGGGATGGCTGGGTCAAATGGTATTTCCAGTTCTAGATGCCTGAGGAATCGCCACACTGACTTCCACAATGGTTGAACTAGTTTACAGTCCCACCAACAGTGTAAAAGTGTTCCTCTTTCTCCACATCCTCTCCAGCACCTGTTGTTTCCTGACTTTTTAGTGATTGCCATTCTAACTGGTGTGAGATGGTATCTCATTGTGGTTTTGATTTGCATTTCTCTGATGGCCAGTGATGATGAGCATTGTTTCATGTGTTTTTTGGCTGCATAAATGTCTTCTTTTGAGAAGTGTCTGTTCATGTCCTTCGCCCACTTTTTGATGGGGTTGTTTGCTTTTTTCTTGTAAATTTGTTTGAGTTCCTTGTAGATTCTGGATATTAGCCCTTTGTCAGATGAGTAGGTTGCGAAAATTTTCTCCCATTTTGTAAGTTGCCTGTTCACTCTGATGGTAGTTTCTTTTGCTGTGCAGAAGCTCTTTAGTTTAATTAGATCCCATTTGTCAATTTTGTCTTTTGTTGCCATAGCTTTTGGTGTTTTAGACATGAAGTCCTTGCCCATGCCTATGTCCTGAATGGTAATGCCTAGGTTTTCTTCTAGGGTTTTTATGGTTTTAGGTCTAACGTTGAAGTCTTTAATCCATCTTGAATTGATTTTTGTATAAGGTGTAAGGAAGGGATCCAGTTTCAGCTTTCTACATATGGCTAGCCAGTTTTCCCAGCACCATTTATTAAATAGGGAATCCTTTCCCCATTGCTTGTTTTTCTCAGGTTTGTCAAAGATCAGATAGTTGTAGATATGTGGCATTATTTCTGAGGGCTCTGTTCTGTTCCATTGATCTATATCTCTGTTTTGGTACCAGTACCATGCTGTTTTGGTTACTGTAGCCTTGTAGTATAGTTTGAAGTCAGGTAGTGTGATGCCTCCAGCTTTGTTCTTTTGACTTGGCGATGCGGGCTCTTTTTTGGTTCCATATGAACTTTAAAGTAGTTTTTTCCAATTCTGTGACGAAAGTCATTGGTAGCTTGATGGGGATGGCATTGAATCTGTAAATTACCTTGGGCAGTATGGCCATTTTCATGATATTGATTCTTCCTACCCATGAGCATGGAATATTCTTCCATTTGTTTGTATCCTCTTTTATTTCCTTGAGCACTGGTTTGTAGTTCTCCTTGAAGAGGTCCTTCACATCCCGTGTAAGTTGGATTCCTAGGTATTTTATTCTCTTTGAAGCAATTGTGAATGGGAGTTCACTCATGATTTGGCTCTCTGTTTGTCTGCTGCTGGTGTATACGAATGCTTTTGATTTTTGTACATTGATTTTGTATCCTGAGACTTTGCTGAAGTTGCTTATCAGCTTAAGGAGATTTTGGGCTGAGACAATGGGGTTTTCTAGATATACAATCATGTCATCTGCAAACAGGGACAATGTGACTTCCTCTTTTCCTAATTGAATACCCTTTATTTCCTTCTCCTGCCTAATTGCCCTGACCAGAACTTCCAACACTATGTTGAATAGGAGTGGTGAGAGAGGGCATCCCTGTCTTGTGCCAGTTTTCAAAGGGAATGCTTCCAGTTTTTGCCCATTCAGTATGATATTGGCTGTGGGTTTGTCATAGGTAGCTCTTATTATTTTGAAATATGTCCCATCAATACCTAATTTATTGAGAGTTTTTAGCATGAAGGGTTGTTGAATTTTGTCAAAGGCTTTTTCTGCATCTATTGAGATAATCATGTGGTTTTTGTCTTTGGTTCTGTTTATATGCTGGATTACATTTATTGATTTGCATATATTGAACCAGCCTTGCATCCCAGGGATGAAGCCCATTTGATCATGGTGGATAAGCTTTTTGATGTGCTGCTGGATTTGGTTTGCCAGTATTTTACTGAGGATTTTTGCATCAATGTTCATCAAGGATATTGGTCTAAAATTCTCTTTTTTGGTTGTGTCTCTGCCTGGCTTTGGTATCAGAATGATGCTGGCCTCATAAAATGAGTTAGGGAGGATTCCCTCTTTTTCGATTGATTGGAATAGTTTCAGAAGGAATGGTACCAGTTCCTCCTTGTACCTCTGGTAGAATTCGGCTGTGAATCCCTCTGGTCCTGGACTCTTTTTGGTTGGTAAGCTATTGATTATTGCCACAATTTCAATCCTGTTATTGGTCTATTCAGAGATTCAACTTCTTCCTGGTTTAGTCTTGGGAGAGTGTATGTGTCGAGGAATTTATCCATTTCTTCTAGATTTTCTAGTTTATTTGCGTAGAGGTGTTTGTAGTATTCTCTGATGGTAGTTTGTATTTCTGTCGGATCGGTGGTGATACCCCCTTTATCATTTTTTATTGCGTCTATTAGATTCTTCTCTCTTTTTTTCTTTATTAGTCTTGCTAGCGGTCTATCAATTTTGTTGATCCTTTCAAAAAACCAGCTCCTGGATTCATTAATTTTTTGAAGGGTTTTTTGTGTCTCTATTTCCTTCAGTTCTGCTCTGATTTTAGTTATTTCTTGCATTCTGCTAGCTTTTGAATGTGTTTGCTCTTGCTTTTCTAGTTCTTTTAATTGTGATGTTAGGGTGTCAATTTTGGATCTTTCCTGCTTTCTCTTGTGGGCATTTAGTGCTATAAATTTCCCTCTACACACTGCTTTGAATGGGTCCCAGAGATTCTGCTATGTTGTGTCTTTGTTCTCGTTGGTTTCAAAGAACATCTTTATTTCTGCCTTCATTTCGTTATGTATCCAGTAGTCATTCAGGAGCAGGTTGTTCAGTTTCCATGTAGTTGAGCGGTTTTGAGTGAGATTCTTAATTCTGAGTTCTAGTTTGATTGCACTGTGGTCTGAGAGATAGTTTGTTATAATTTCTGTTCTTTTACATTTGCTGAGGAGAGCTGTACTTCCAAGTATGTGGTCAATTTTGGAATAGGTGTGGTGTGGTGCTGAAAAAAATGTATATTCTGTTGATTTGGGGTGGAGAGTTCTGTAGATGTCTATTAGGTCCGCTTGGTGCAGAGCTGAGTTCAATTCCTGGGTATCCTTGTTGACTTTCTGTCTCGTTGATCTGTCTAATGTTGACAGTGGGGTGTTAAAGTCTCCCATTATTAATGTATGGGAGTCTAAGTCTCTTTGTAGGTCACTCAGGACTTGCTTTATGAATCTGGGTGCTCCTGTATTGGGTGCATATATATTTAGGATAGTTAGCTCTTCTTGTTGAATTGATCCCTTTACCATTATGTAATGGCCTTCTTTTTCTCTTTTGATCTTTGTTGGTTTAAAGTCTGTTTTATCAGAGACTAGGATTGCAACCCCTGCCTTTTTTTGTTTTCTATTGGCTTGGTAGATCTTCCTCCATCCTTTTATTTTGAGCCTATGTGTGTCTCTGCACGTGAGATGGGTTTCCTGAATACAGCACACTGATGGGTCTTGACTCTTTATCCAATTTGCCAGTCTGTGTCTTTTAATTGGAGCATTTAGTCCATTTACATTTAAAGTTAATATTGTTATGTGTGAATTTGATCCTGTCATTATGATGTTAGCTGGTTATTTTGCTCGTTAGTTGATGCAGTTTCTTCCTAGTCTTGATGGTCTTTACATTTTGGCATGATTTTGCAGCGGCTGGTACCGGTTGTTCCTTTCCGTGTTTAGCGCTTCCTTCAGGAGCTCTTTTAGGGCAGGCCTGGAGGTGACAAAATCTCTCAGCATTTGCTTGTCTGTAAAGTATTTTATTTCTCCTTCGCTTATGAAGCTTAGTTTGGCTGGATATGAAATTCTGGGTTGAAAATTCTTGTCTTTAAGAATGTTGAACATTGGCCCCCACTCTCTTCTGGCTTGTAGGGTTTCTGCCGAGAGATCCGCTGTTAGTCTGATGGGCTTCCCTTTGAGGGTAACCTGACCTTTCTCTCTGGCTGCCCTGAACATTTTTTCCTTCATTTCAACTCTGGTGAATCTGACAATTATGTGTCTTGGAGTTGCTCTTCTCGAGGAGTATCTTTGTGGCGTTCTCTGTATTTCCTGAATCTGAACGTTGGCCTGCCTTGCTAGATTGGGGAAGTTCTCCTGGATAATATCCTGCAGAGTGTTTTCCAACTTGGTTCCATTCTCCCCATCACTTTCAGGTACACCAATCAGACGTAGATTTGGTCTTTTCACATAGTCCCATATTTCTTGGAGGCTTTGCTCGTTTCTTTTTTATTCTTTTTTCTCTAAACTTCCCTTCTCGCTTCATTTCATTCATTTCATCTTCCATTGCTGATACCCTTTCTTCCAGTTGATCGCATCGGCTCCTGAGGCTTCTGCATTCTTCACGTAGTTCTC
Source organism: Homo sapiens (assembly GCF_000001405.40). Classification (NCBI taxonomy): domain Eukaryota; kingdom Metazoa; phylum Chordata; class Mammalia; order Primates; family Hominidae; genus Homo; species Homo sapiens. The sequence goes on from NC_000008.11 coordinate 113,911,138, forward strand.
GAGCCTTGGTTTTCAGCTCCATCAGCTCCTTTAAGCACTTCTCTGTATTGGTTATTCTAGTTATACATTCTTCTAATTTTTTTTCAAAGTTTTCAACTTCTTTGCCTTTGGTTTGAATGTCCTCCCATAGCTCAGAGTAATTTGATCGTCTGAAGCCTTCTTCTCTCAACTCGTCAAAGTCATTCTTCATCCAACTTTGTTCCGTTTAGAAAAAGAAAAGGCAGATTACTTCAGGCTTACCAATTTTTGTATCCTAATAAAGGTAAGGCTACTCTAGATGTTAGAACTGGAAAGTTGTCAGAAATATATATTTCACCCCTAGTATGAAAGTCATCTAACTCAATATTTAACCAAGTAAAGAGATAATGACTCCAACTGCAGAGTTAGGTAAAATTACAGTAAAACCTCTTGAGAGTCTATGGACAGAATAATAACCAAATAACCAAAGAAGGGCACTGATGTATAATGAAATGACACAAAGCAAGAAAAATAGATTCTAAGGATTAAAAATATAGAAGGCCAGCAAGCTGTAGGTGTTAGAAAAAAAGTTCATCATCTCACTATCTACAATTACTTATAATTTGTCCTCCCAAGTAAAATACAGCCTCCCTGCAATATAACATTAACTATTGCAGTATGCAGCTGTCCTCCTACCCAAAGGGCCTTTAAATATTAGTTCATGACTTCAAAATCTAGGGGCTTTAATTATCTCAGACATGGGGGACAAATCTTCCAATGTCCACATCTTTTGATTTAAATTCTAGGAAAGTCTGACTCATTAAAAATGTTGTCTTTCTTCTTTCAGGTATTTTATAATTTTTTTGCCTTGCTGAAGTTTTCTTATGTGATATATACCATGCTCTTTTATTCTAGTATGTGCTTCATTAATTTGCCTGGACAGTCAAATATTGACAACAGGGAGTTGGTGGTCTCTAAATTCTAAGAACTTGAATTGATGATAAAACCAAATATAGGAAAGAATGTTGTTTTAGTTTTAGAGCAAAATATAAGAGATGTAAGAAGTAGTCTTTGGGTCGTTATTTCAAAGATCAATAGTTGTCTTATTTTTAAAAATAGAAGAATAAAAAGGGTGGAGGGAGGGCAGCTGCATCTCTAACAAGTAACTAAGAGCTTTTCTTCATCCTGAGTAAGCGTTTTCTGGACTGAACTACTGGTTTTGGAGTAGCTGAAGGTGAAATGCAAATTAGTAGAAACCCGGAAGCAATGCTCCAGGGAAAAGCTGAGTATAAGAGTCTCAGGTTTGAGAAGCAAATAATTCTTTAAGCATTTTGTGGGTATCAGATTCTGGAAAATATTTTTCTGGACTGGTTAAGTACTTCGATCTGTAAGCAAGAGACTTGGAATGAAGGCAACAATACGTAAGAGAGGGATTAAAGGAATTGTAAATCTCCAGGTTTCCATATGCAAATGTCAACATTCATACTTGTGGCATAATTTTTAAATGGTTTATATAAAATATTTTGTACTCTATGCTCCCAAATCCTTCTGATAAGACCTCAACTATTGCATTCCAAGTATTCATGTAGATTTCTTGCTTACCTATGTGTTCATGAACATTTTGATTCTAAAGACTTTACTCATCTCTACACCTACAAATTTAGCGCCTGTGCTTGCCTAGATTGAGCACTCAGTTAGAGAAGTTAGAGAAGATAAATGAATTAACAACAAGCAAATCTTCTTGAAAGAGCAACTGCTGGTATGGAAGATGCCATAGTTTTACGGTGAGTGGGCTTTTGTCCAGAACTATAAAAGCATCAAACAAAGAGACGAACCCTAATAAATTGTAGTTTTTATTATCCATCTTAAAGTAAAAGCAGAACTTCAAACAAAGATGGAGAAAATATTTTTTTAATTCTTAACATCAATTTCACAGTGCATTAAATAAAGTTAGTTACCATTCACCTAATTGAACATTATGTCATGTAATAATATTAAAATAAGTGTATGTGAAGTAGCTGCATACTAATAAATATTTATGAACAGCTTTTATTTAATGTGCAATGCTAACTGAGCTCACAATATATTAATTTATAATACCTGAAACAGAAACAATTAATGCTTAAACATTTAATTTTCTCACTCATTGATCAGGAACATATACATATACACACATGACTATACACATGTTTTTTCACACATATGTGTATCCGTATGTGTACATATGAATATACACAAAAGAAAGAAAAAGTCTGGATCAAGGCATATTACAATCTATGAGAATCTATGAGAATTATTCATTAATGTAACAAACTACAGCTGAAAACCAGGAATAAAATCTCATTCATTTGGCATTCAGCACATACATTAAATCTAGTTTTTATGGTTTATAGAGTTTCTAATATTGGTAATGTGCTGATTTAAGAAGACACATATATTTTCCAGTATGAATTCCTGCAACCTTCTTTTCTAAGAATTTCTGACTATAGCCCTGATATTGACATTTTGTGAAGTAGCAACTCATTTTTTAGAAATACCAGTATAGTAGTTCTAGAGCCATTAAGTTGACAGAGAACACTGTAAATTATAATATAGTGATTAATTCTAACCCTGATTTTCCTTGGAAATTAATTAAATTAATTTTCAACATGTTATAGGTTAAATAGACTATTAACGATTGTAAGGCATTTTATGTGTTACACATATTAAATCTGTCCGTACATAAATAAATCGACCTATTTAACTATGTGTATGTGCCTGTATAGATACATATTATTTCTTAATAAAGTAAATTTTAATATTATTTGCTATATTTATCTTTGAAAACTGCAACTTAATATTTAGTCTAGCATAATATACTTTTACTTAATTGTCAGAAAGGCCAGGGTTTAAATCTTGGTTCTGCCATTTGCTATCAGAATCCTATAATGCACTCAATAAAACTGTTGAATAATTCTTTTCAAATCAATTAACTTTTCCGTACCTTACAAAAGGAGGACACACATTCTTCTCATGTACACATGAAGTATATAAAAATTATGTTCACCAAAATGACAAAGTAGAAACAATCTGGCTTCACTCTTCCTCAAAGGAAACCAGAACCAAATATACAGTGCCCACTTTATCACCAGCGATATCGATGTCTAAAAGCTGAGGATCATGTAATCCCCAGAGCCACTGAGAAGTGAAAAACTCTGAGAGGATTTTAAAAGAAATGGACTTCTATGTCTATGATGCTCCTTTCCCAAGCCACCAGGTACCATGTAAAAAATACCTCTTGGAATCATGGTTTCTACACTGGAAAAAGATTGAAATGGTCAACTTTCTCACCATTTTGGGTTCTTTCAGAGGAAAAATGTCCCTACTTCAACTTACAGGAAGCATGATGAGTGCCTGAAAATAGAGAAACTGCTGAGGCAGCTTGATACAAAGAGAGAAGGCAAGACTTGCAACCCTCGCCTGCTAAATGCACTGTTTATCTCAGCCAAAGGCGATGCCAAATCAGAGTGGCTGCTCAGTGGCAACACACTGTAGTAGAAGCATTCCATGAGCGCTCTGGGCATGAACTCCTAGCCGGACTTCTCACATAACCAAGGTATCTCCTTTGTAATCCCCTCACCGTCTGGAATGGGTAGCGCTCCAAACAAACCTGGACTTAAAATGCCATCTAGAGCTGAAAAGGAAACAATAACCTACGGTAAAGAGGATTCAACCTATGAATTGAAAAAAAAAAAAAAAACCTCTAAGGAAACATACCCCAGTGTTACAGTAGGTAGCCAGTCAGACATGAGTAGGGCAGGAGAAGGGCCCCTGACCTCCAACAGGAATGTCAGGCATCCATCAGGTGATTGTCAGGAGATTGCTAAACTTTCTTTATAAAATAATAATTAGTCCCAGCTGGTGCCAGGGAAAGACAGTCTCCCAACAGGTAGGAAAAAAAACTGAAACTGGTGATCAGCAACCTCCTGATAAGATCTCAGGAATTGGGCGAGTGGGCTCAAGCATGCACACTACCTGGCAAAATGAAAGAGTTTAACTGGTATATGACCTTCCTGTAGCAAAGCTAGACTAGTAAGGGAAGAATGTTTCAAGTGAGCATGTATATAACTCCAGTAAATACACTGCATTTGCGGCCCCTCCCAAGTGCTGGCCGGACAGGGTGCATGCAGATAGCCCACCCCAAGGGAAGAATCAGGGGAAAAGGGATGCAAGACCCCGGAATAATGGAGACATGTAAAACCCAGAGTCAAAGGTCCAACAGTGCACTTGATATCTCAAGTCGCCTGCTTGGCCCTCTTCCAAGGGTACTTTATTTCCTTTCATTCCTGCTCTAAAGCTTATTAATAAACTTTCACTTTTGCTCTAAAACCTGCCTCAATCTTTCACTCTGTCTTATGCCCCTCGGTGAAATTCTTTCTTCTCAGGAGGCAAGAATTGAGGTTGCTGCAGACCCATACAGATTCCACCATTAACACTGGAAAGACCAAAACAAGTGGACAGAGAAGACTGAAATAAGTAACTAATCCCTCAATGTGATGACACAGATGTATGTCCACAAGAGAAAAATGGCAAACAGGGAAACATGACCTCCCCAAATGGACAAAGAAGCCAGTAACTGACCCTAATGAGACACTGACATATGAGTTCTGAAATCAAGATTCAAAATAGCCGTTTTAAGTAAACTCAGCAAACTACAAGATAACACAGAAAAGCAATTCAGAAATGTATCAGAGAAATTTAACAAAGACATTGAAACTTAAAAAAAAAAAAGTGGAAATCATGAAACTGAGAAATACATTTGCTGAGCTGAAAAATGCATTAGGGACTCTTAATAGCAGAATGGTTCAAGCAAAAGTAAAAAGACTATTTGAAAATATGGTCAGTGTGAATTTGTTCCTGTCATCATGATGCTAGCTGGTTATTTTGCAGTCTTGTTTATGTAGTTGCTTCATAGTGTCACTAGTCTTTATACTTCACTGTGTTTTTGTAGTGGCTGGTAAGAGTTTTTACTTTCCATATTTAGTGCTTCCTTCAGGAGCTCTTGCAAGGCAGACCTGGTGGTGACAGATTCCCTCAGCTTTTCTGAAAAATATTTTATTTCTCCTTCACTTATGAAGCTTAGTTTGGCCAGATATGAAATTCTAGATTGAAAATTATTTTCTTTAAGAATGTTGAATATTGTCCCTGAATCTCTTCTGGCTTGTAGGGTTTTTGCTGATAGCTCCTCTGTTAGTCTGAAGGGGTTCCCTTTATAGGTGACCTGGCCTTTCTCTCTGGCTGCCCTTAACATTTTTTCCTTCATTTCAACCTTGGAGAATCTGATTATTATGTGCCTTGGGGTTGACCTTCTCATGGAATATCTTACTGGGGTTCTCTGGATTTCCTGAATTTGAATGTTTCCTGAATTTGAATGTTCCTGTCTTGCTAGGTTGGGGAAGTTCCCCTAGATAATATCCTGAAGTGTGTTTTCCAACTTGGTTCCATTCTCCCTGCTTCTTTCAGGTACCCTATAATCACAGGTTCAGTCTTTTAACGTAATCCCGTAGTTCTTGGAGGTTTTGTTCACTCCTTTTCATTGTTTTTTTTCTCTCTAATCTTGTCTGCCTGCCTTATTTTCATCAGGATACTCTTCAAGTTCTGATATCCTTTCTTCTGCTTGGTCTATTTGGCTATTGATACTTGTGTTTGCATTGTGAAGTTCTCATGTTGTGTTTTTCAGCTCCATCAGGTCATTTATGTCCTTCTCTAGACTGGTTATTCTGATTCATAGATCCGGTAATGTTTATCATGGTTCTTAGCTTCTTTGCAATGAGTTAGAACATAATTTTTTAACTCAGCGAAGTTCATTATTACCCATCTTCTGAAGCCTACTTCTGTCAATTCATCCACCTCAGCCTCAGCTCAGTTCTGTGCCCTTGCTAGAGACGTGTTGTGATCATTTGGAGGAGAAGAGGCACTCTTTTTGAGTTTTCAACATTTTTGTTTTGATTCTTTCTCATCTTCATGGGCTTATTTACCTTTGATCTTTGAGGCTGCTGATGTTTGGATAGGGTTTTTGTGGAGTCTGTTTTGTTGATGTAGTTGTTGCTTTCTGATTGTTTTTCTTTTAGCAGTCAGGCCCCTCTTTTGTAGGGCTGCTGCAGTTTGCTGGGGGTCCACTCCAGACCCTGAATAATTAAAGCAATCTTGAGCAAAAAGAGCAAAGCCCCATTAAAAGGTGGGCAAAGGAGATGAACACACACTTCTCAAAAGAAGACATTCATATGGCCAACAAACATATGAAGAAAAGCTCAACATCACTGATCATTAGAGAAATGCAAATCAAAACCACAATGAGATACCATCTCATGCCAGTCAGAATGGCAATTATTAAAAACTCAAGAAACAACAGATGCTGGCAAGGTTGTAGAGAAATGGAAACACTTTTACACTGTTGGTGGGAATGTATATTAGTTCAACTATTGTGGAAGATGGTGGCGATTCCTCAAAGGTCGAGAACCAGAAATACTATTTGATCTGGCAATCCCATTACTGGGTATATTCCCAAAGGAACATAAGTCATTGTATTACAAAGATACATGCATGTGTATGTTCACTGCAGCATTATTCACAATAGCTAAGACATGGAATCAACCCAAATGCCCATCAGTGATAGACTGGATCTAGCAATCCCACTGCTGAGTATATATTAAAAAGAAAAGAAACAAATATATCAAAGAGATATCTGCATTTTCATGTTTATTGCAGCACTAGTCACAATAGTCAAAATATGGAATCAAACCTTGTGTTCATCATCTTATGAATATGTAAAGAAAATGTAGCATATTTACACGATGGAATATTATTTAGCCATAAAAATGAATTTTTTTTATTTAGAACAATATGGGTGAAAGTAGGGGACATCATATTTAAGTGAAATAAATAATCTCAGCAAGGAAAGATAAATATAGCATATCCTCACTCCTATGTGGAAGCTGAAAAAGTTTATCTCATGGAGATAAGAGAATAGTATAATAAACACCAGAGGCTGGGAAAGATATGTGAAAAGGAAAGGATGGGGAGAAGTTGGTTAAGAGGCACAAAAATGCAGTTAGATAGAAGGAACAAGTTCCAGTATTTGATAGTACAGTAGATAAATTACAGTTAGTAATGTATTGTACATCTCAAAATAGCTAGAAGATAACATTTTGAATGTTCGCGATGTGAAGAAAAGATAAATGTTTAAGGCAATGAATGTCCAATTACCCTGATTTGACATTGACACATTGTATGCATGTATCAAAATATCACATGTACCCTAAAATATGTATAATAATTTTTTATCAATAACAAAGCAAAAATGCAAGAAAATTCAAATAAAAATATTAGAATTAGCAGCAAGAAACAACAAACATGGATGAGTATTACTGATATAATATTATGTGACAAATATCTGGATAGTAAGCAAAGAATGTCAACATTATTATTAAACAGTAATTGATGAAAAACATTAAAATATATAAATTATAGGTGTGCAAATTATGACAGTGGGTCATTAATCAAAACCATTATTAGTAAGTTCTATACAATTATGGCTCAATTAGAACAAAGAAAGAGTGAGAATTTTTGTGATATAATGGGATGCAGAGATAAGTCTAAATGAAAAACAGAGACAAAGAGAAGTCACTATGGTTTCTGAATATACATGTGGATGTATGCAATAGGTAGTTAATTCATATGGTATCATGGTATAATAAAATAATATTATTTCTGTTTTGTACTGTATGACCACTGTGCATGTCTAAATGTGTCTATGTAGGTGTTTGCAGATATAAATATATGCATTTAAAAGACTTAATGGATAGAGTGATATTATCCTATACATATGTAGCAATTTCCAAATAGTGTAGAATATTAATGAATATTTGAAAACTGATTAGTTGAGAATTCTCTATGATTGAGGAAAGATATGTTTGTAGAACAAAATTATATTGTGACCTAAGAAAAAAAAGAAACATAAATTTATAGTCAGATACATGATAAAGAAAAACAATGACAATTCTGCTTATCTAAAAATAAATGTTGAGTGAATTAATAGCACATAGTTTGTGTATATGAAGTTAGAAACACTATATATTTTGCAATGCTAAATAATATTATCACATTGGAATTTTATAAACAGATAACACATCTTTAAAGATTGAGGCCAAAAGAAACACATTTTTAGAAAGGTGATATGAGCATTTACCAGGCAAAAATACTTTAAAAATATTATTGTAAAACTCACTTAAGGAGACAACAAGTTAAAGATAAATTTGACACATCAAAACCAATGTAATTTATTTGTAAATTGCATCTATTATTGAAAGTAAAGTAAAACCAAAGAAAAAAAATTTTAAAAATAGGAAAATACAATTGACTCTCCATATATATGGGCTTCATATCCATGGAGTCAACCATATGTGCACTGAAAAATTTGGAGGAAAAAAATGGATGGTTACATCTATGCTAATCATATACAGACTGATTTTTCTTGTCATTATTTCCTAAACAGTACAATATTAGATCTACTTACAAAGCATTTACATTTTTAGGCATTATAAGTAATCTACCGATGATTTGAATTATACATGAGGATATGCATAGGTTATATGAAAATACTATGCAATTTTACATATGGGATTTGAGCATCCATTTTGATATCCGCAGGGAAAAGTCCTGGAAGCAATTTCCCACAGATACTGAAAGACAAGTACACTTCAATGTGGACATTTGTCATGACATTTGCCATGAAAGAGATAAAAGTTATTTGCCATAAAAGAGATAAAATATCTTTTATTTGCCATAAAAGAGATAAAATAAAATCAGAACTGCTCTCATATGCCAATAGTCAAATATACAATCCCATTGGCATATGTTTCTCCATTTTAATCCACCAAATTTAGATCATTTTTGACAATATTATTTCATCCTCTCTCTTAATTTCATCTGTCAATATAATTTTATCACACATTTTTTACTTACATCAGTATCAAATGTGAATATGTAAAATTTTAAATTTAAGGATCAAATAATGAACAATTATCATATTCATGTAATTTTGTCCTTAAGTATATCAGTTGGCTAATTTTTTCATTGCTTTGGCTTTTATGTACCTATCACCATATACTTGGCGTACTTCCATAAACAGATCTTGTCCAAATACAGACCTCAGATATTCACTTTTTGTTCCTTTCTTTCCTCCTGGGGCTGCCTCTCTTGGTGTTACATTGGGTTATTCCTCCATTGGATGAAATCGCTCCCATATGGTCCTTCCCTTTGACACTTTTCTGTATTAGATTACATATCTTCTTTCTTCTTTCCCACCCCAGACCTTAGTTTTCTGGAGAACAGCTTCCAGTAATTTTTTAAGAAAGAAGAAAGCGATTTGGTAGGTAAAATATTGAGCCCCTGTGTGCTTCAAAACAACTTAATTTTTTCTTTATATGCATAACTTACATATTTCCCTAGAACATGAAAGTATTTTATTCTTTCATCAATGTTGCTATTGAAAATCTGATACTGCCTCATTCCTGCGTGGGTGATTTATTGTGGTTCTCTGTGTGTGTTTCTTTCTTTTCCTTTATGGGATATTTAAAATCTTATTTTTACCTGGCTTTCTAAAATTCCACAATGGTGTGTCCTGTTTTGAATCATTTATCTTATTGTACTGGGCTCCCAGTGTGTCCTTCCACTCAGGACACTTATATCTTCACAAATAGACAAGTGTTTGATTGTTCATTTGTTTTAATTTCCACTTTCTGTATAAATGAGTTGAGGCTTGATGATCTATGTAAAATACTTAATAATTAACAGTGAGAATTTTAAATAGCTGGTACCATGCCCTTTGTGAATGGAGGAGCCTAATTAGCCAGTTGACACTAATAGATAATCTGGTGATGGTTTGCCATGCTATTCATCTTGGAAACTTAAGGACAGTGTCTGGAGCTTTTATTCTTCTAGGCCTATTGAGTTTTCCAGTGGTAATACATGAATCTATTATGGGGAAGGGTAGGATTGGGAAGACATGTATATTATCAGAAATCTATGAACAACCTGACTGAATGTTTGTTGGGACTCTTTTCTGTAGTCACCTAAGTTACACTATGTCTATATTTAGCCAAATTAAGTCTTATATTTCATTTTCCTAAAGTGGAAAATCCCATCCATTATTGTCACTTTTCCTATTCTCTTTGTCCCTGTGAATTTACAGCTTTTTATATGTCATTTCTATCATTGTAACATGGTTGCATTAAAGAAAGAAGATAAACATAAGTGGTCAATTGATGATGTTTCATCATCCAGTTGGCATAAAGTGCAAGCAGGTTCATATTTTCTTTTTCCCAATGATGATATAAGCCTTGGTAGTGTAGACAATTGACATCTAAAATGTCTTTTGAAGTAATTAATTATTCGACTAAGCATGTATAGATATGTTAGGTAAATTAAGTAAAAATAGTTAGGATTGACACTGAAAATAGTGATTGACAGGCAAGTCTCAACCTAGAAGGCTGATGTTATTAAACAGTTTTCAATTGAACTTTACCTTTAACTCTGTCCTTTTCATATCTTATCAGTAGATGGGTTAAGATAAAAAGGCACAATAATAAAAATTTAGCATGACCTGAAGCTTGTAATGAAAATTTATGTGTCAACTGAAAGATCAAGTTGCAGAAAGACATATCATAAAGTAAAACAATGTGCCTAGATCATAAATATAAAATTTAATGAGTTTAAAGTATTTCTTAATGTAAGTTAAACAACTGAAGAATAATTAAAGCACTTAAGATCAATGGATTGATAACGGTTCATGTAAAATGACATGAGGATTTTAAATGGTCTCTTTAAAAGAGAAGAGAAAATATTTCCACTGCACAATAATAATAGAAACATATTTCTATTTCTCACTTTGATAAAATAACTTATACTACAGTTGCCATTCCATATGACACAACTATAAAGCTAGATAAACTATATCAGGCACTTCTCACAGTCTTTAGGCAGTAAATTATACACAACTGTGTTTTTTGAAAGAGAAGAAACACACAATTTAAGTTTTACACTTGACTTGAATTTCCACCCAGGACCTTTTTTCTGGACCGTGGTACAGGAAGGTCGAGCTAAGACAGAGTACAGAACACTTTTTTGAGATGGGTCTGGGGGAGATCAGAATTTGAAGATAACAAAACACCTGGAATGTGAAGGATTGGTATAGGGTAGAAAGAAGTTGTACAGAGTAGTTAGTGGGTTAGCTGTTGATCCTTGACTGCATGTAAAGGGTGATATTCCACATCTCCTAAAAAGTCCTGCGATCCTTAGAACTGATCAGACATAGCTGACTAAAGCCCAAATTAAAATAGATCAACTCTAACAAAGAATACAACCATCATTATTGGATCAAGTGAATTTGTAAAAATTAACTGTCTGCCAGAACAAAATTCAACACCCCTTAAAAGAATACAACATATTCCAGACTTTTCACAATGTATAAACCATAATGTACAGCATACAATAAAATATATGAAGAAGTAAAAAAAAAAATATGGCCCACAATCAAGATAAAAGAAGCCAATGTAAGAACCAAGATGACATACAGGTTCACATTTTTAGGCAATTGTATAATACACACATTATATGTATGTCAAAGCATTTAATATACAGATGAGAAAAATGAACTACCAGATGAAATATTTCAGTCTCAGAAGAAGAACTGAAAGTGAAAAAAGGGAGTCTGGACACAGTGGCTCATGCCTGTAATCTCAGCACTTTGGGAGGCCAAGGTGGGAAGATTGCTGGAGCCCAAGATTTCAAAAGTAGCCTAGGCAACAGAGTGAGACCTCTTCTTTACAAAAAATTTAAAAAATAGCCAGGCATTGTGGTATGTGCTTGTGATCCCAGCTACTTGGGATGCTAAAGTGGGAGGATCATTTGAGCCGGGAAGGTCAAGGCTGCAGTGAACTATGATCCCACTATTGCACTCCAGCTAGGGCAACAGAGCAACACCTTGTCTCTAAGAAAAAAATTTAGAAAGGAAAATCTAAAATAAAAAATTACAGCATATGAAATTGATATATTAAAATGGAAATAGCAGCAGTTTGAAGATGACAGAAGAAAATATTAGTAAATGTGAAGAAAAATAATAGAAATTTCAAAATCTGAAGATGCAAAAAAATGGCTAAAATTAAAAAATAAAAATAAAAAGAGAGAGCCAAAATGACATGTGAGACAACCTAAAACAGTCAAATCTATATGTAAATGATTTTACAAAAAAAAAAGAGATGAGAGAATGATTTCTTTCATTTCAAAAATGCAATATTTTTTAAGATTTCAAAAATACAATATTTTTGAAAAAATAAATGTTGAAGATGTCCCAAATGTAGTGTAGCATAAATTGCTATGGTTTGAATATTTATGCCATCCAAAACTCATGTTGAAATTTAATTTACCTTGTGACAGTATTAAGAGGTGGGATCTTTAAGAGCTGATAGGTCATGAAGGCCCCACCCTCATGGGTGGGATTATAAAAGGTCCAGTTCAGCTTCTTTTTGTTTCTTTGCCCTTTTGCCTTCTACCATGTGAAGATACAGTGTTCCTCCCCTCTGGAGGATGCAGCAAGAAGGGGCTTGTCAGATCCCAGTACCTTGATGTTGGACTTCCCAGCCTCTAGAACTATGAGAAGATGAAAATTTGTTCTTTCTAAATTATCCAGTCTCAGGTATTCTACTATAGCAGCACAACTGGACTAAGGCATCAACCTACTTATGTAACTTTAGTGAACTCAAAAAAAAAAAAATTAAAAAAAAGCTAAAAAATTACAAACAAGCCACAAACCCTATATATATTATTGTAAAATTGCTAAATACCAAAATTAAAGTAAAATTATTACATGCAGCCAGAGAATAAAGATCTATTATGTCTAGGGTTTGTCAGCCATTTAAATGCGTGACTACATCTTCATCTTAATTGAAGAGAACATAGCATACTGAGAACTTTACTAACAATCTCTACTACTTTATTTTCTTTCCCACAATATCTACTCCAAGACTATACTTCCTTGAGGCTCCTTTCTTCTGACACAGCAGGGATAATAGTGCTGGGTCACTCCTGCATGATGAAGGACTTCTCTAATGAGCAATCTTTGCTCACAAACTGCTTACCAAGCTAGTCAAGACTTTCTTAGAAACCTCCTGCTGTCTAATATTCATATTACCCAATTCTTTCTCTCTATCTTTTCACATATGTCAGACTTATATTATGGTCTATAGGTGTTCTTCATCTATGAGCCGCTCCCTCTCAAATTATTCTTCATAGGCATTTCTCCCAAATAATCTCTTAAATGCCTATTTCCTCTTGACATACATTTTCCTGGGACCCAAACTGACCCAGGGGAACAAACTGAATTTTCATTAGAAACAAAGAAGATTAGAAGATAATTGAGTAATAGATCTAAGATGCTAGTATCTCTGAAATCAATTCATTCAGAATAAAATGTCTGAAATATTATTTAATAATTAAATTGATTTGGATTTTATACATTAAAAAACATAGCATACTAAAAAAAAGGCCGAGTAATCAGCAGAATTATACTAGAAACATTGCTTAAGCAACACTCCTTAGAAGGAAAATGACATTATTTGAGAGATCAGATGTATAAGGACTGAAAAGCCTCATAAATCTTAAATATGGTAATCAATACTAAAAATATTTTAAAATATTATCTTTATTTTAAAGATAATAAAACTTTTTTTAAAAATAAAGGAAATATAAAGCATACCTAAAATTGAGAATATTTAAGGCAAGTTAGTTTTTGAAAAGATCCATAAAATTTTTAAGCCCCTAAAAAGCATGATGAAAAAGGATAAAAAAAAATAGCAAATAGCAGTAATGAAAGAAAGGTATTGATACAGATTGTATGAATATTAAAGAATAAGGGGAAATTATTAACTAACTTATGCTAATAATTTTTAAAACTCGATGAAATGGACACATTACTTGAAATCCAAGTTATAAAACTTGCAGAAGAAATAGAAAACATGAATAGGTTTATAATCTTGTGAAGAAATTGAGTCCATAACAAAAATCTTTCTCAGAAAGAAAGTCCCAATTCAAACAGTTTTATTGCTGAATTTTTTCAACCAATACTCCTAATGATAGACATAAAAACTATTAATACAATATTAGCAAACTGAATATAATAATGTATAAAATAGATGATACATCATAACTATGTGAGGGTAATTTAAATAGTATAATATTGGTTTCCAAATGTTCATTCTTGTAAAAAAATGAAGGACATTATTTCAGAAAATACAGAAAAATAGATGACAAAATTCAATGTCTAACCATAGTTAAAACTCGCAGGAAACTAGAAATTGAATTTCTTTAATATGATTTAAACAATCTGACAACAACTCTTTAGGTATCATCATGCATATAGCTAATGTAATACACAAAGGTGAAATATTAAACTTATTTCTCTTGAAATTTAGCCCAGGCAAGATGTCCATTCTTCATTTATATTCAACTTGATCCTCAAAGTCCTAGTCAGCATAAAAATGGCAATTAGTCCATCATGCAAGTTATAAAGTTTATAAATTAAATAAAGTTTATTTATTCAGAGTGCAAAATTGCTTATCTAGAATAGTAACATGAATATTAAGCTACTATAATCAATACATTAGCAACATTGTAGCATGCAAGATCATTATCCAGAAATAAATTGTATTTTACTATGTTGACGGTAAACAATAGAAATATTACATTTAAAAATGTAATTTACATTTTTCATAAAAACATAAATAATAATAAATTTAACCAAGTTGAAGTAAAAACTTTCTTCTTGATAAAAATTAAAAGACATTCCTAAGAGAAAATAAACAGGACATAGAATAAAAAGAAAATATGTATGTAATGGTCATATATGTGAAAGCCTAGTTTTGTTAAGATATCAGTTCTTCCCAAATTGTTCTGTAGTTTCAGTACGATCTCAATGAAGTTACATGGCACTGTTTTTTAATAGAAGTTAAAAACTGATTTTAAAACGTATATGGAAATGCATGGGGCATATATTAGCAAGCATAATTATTGAAAATAAAAAACAAAATTTGAGGAAATACACTACCTGATTTCAAGGGGCAAGAAAACATCACAATATTCAGTGGTATATGGTATTACATTAGGATAGACAAATCAATGAAAGAAAATTTGACCCACAATATAAAATTATTTTTCTCAATGAAAAAAAGCCTCTCATCACATATGCTGGAAACATTGAATAATATATTTAAAAATACAGCCCTCAGCTCCCACATATTCCCATATATATACTAGAATTAATTTAAGATGAGTCATCAACATGTATGTAAAAGTTAAAACTATAAAGCTTCTGGAAAAAATATAGGAGAAAAATGTTTGCAGGAATGGTTTTTTAAAGAAGATCAAAAATCACTTTATAGAAAAGAAAATGGGAAACTCAGCCTTTATCAAGATTAAAATGTCTTCTGATTAAACAACAGTGTTAAAAAAATGAAAAGGTAAGGCACAGACTGGGTGAAAAGGTTTACAATGCAATATCTATTAAAAAACTTGAATATATTAAAATCAAATTAATAAGAAATAAAAGCCTGATTACTCAATAGAAACTGGCAAAAGATGTGACTAGGTTTTTCAATGAAGAGAACATAAAAATGACCAATAAGTACAAGAAAACTCCCCAACACTATTAATTAACAGGAAAATATTCATTGAAATCACATAGAAGTATCCCTTTATATACACTAAAATGGCCAAATTAAAAAGACCAACAATACCACATGTGAGTAAGGGAAATATACAATAGAATAACCAATTTGAAAATAGGTATGGGAGTTTCTTTTACAGTTACACATACAGCATTACCCTATCATTCAGGATTTTCATTCCTAACCATGAATCCAAGAGAAAGAAGAACTTAGTACCATGAAAATCTTGTAAAGGAAAATTTCCGGCATCTCTGTGAAACCCCAAACTGGAAACAAAGTGAATGTCCTAATAGAAGAGTGGTCTAATTTAATAACGGAATAGTAATAATTGATAACAGAATAAAACTACTGATAACATGCAAAAACATGAAATAATCTCCAAAATATTATGTAGAACAAAATAAGTCAGACACAAAAGCATATATACTGTGTAATTTTAGTTATATGAGTTTCCGGAGAAAGAAGCTGTGGTGGTAGGAAAGGGTTGGTTTCCTCTCAGTAGGGAGAATTGACTGGAAACCACCTAATGGGTTTCTGTAACAGATGCTTAAAATCCACTTTTCAATTAAAACTTCAGATTTCATGGCAGCAGAGTTATATCAAGTGCTTATTATATGTCAGAACCTATGCTAAATGCTTCAAATTTATCAATTTACTCTTCATAGCAACCCAATAATTTAAATGGTACAATTATCCTTATTTTAAGTAAGTGAGAACTGAATCTTAGAATTTTTAGGTAACTTGTCAATGACTGTAGGGCTCATGTTTGGCAGAGTCAGTTCTAGTTAACACAATCTAGTTTAATAGTTTTCCTTTTACTTCTGTGGCATTCTATCTCTTAATAAAGCATAGGGATGTTTTCCATGAGTTTACAACTGCATTATATATTTTTAAACCTTAAAGTGTCTGTCTTTGCTACTGTTTTCAAACACTTTAGTAAATAACTGTAGCTCTTGAAATTGGCAAGTAGCTAAAACAGTGCCCAAGGTTTTCAAGTGTATCAGACTAACAATATCAGAACCTATTTTTATGTTACAATGACAATGAATTTTTTTGGCATATAGCTGGCTAGAAAATTAATCCTAATGATAGAGGGTTTTCTCGTTTTGTTTTTTGAGACAGGGACTCACTTTGTCTCCCAGGCTGGAGTGCAGTGGTGTGAACATGGCTCACTATACTGTGGACTTCCTGGGCCCAAGGGATCCTCCTGCCTCAGCCTCTTGAGTAGTTGGGGCTACAGGCATGGGCCAATTACAGCATTTTTTAAAAATCTAGGAGTTAAAATATCAATAGTAATTTTTGCTAAATATCCAGTAGTTTCCTATGGTATATTTTTCTAATGAATATAAATGGACATTACAATCTCAGTTTCAGAATAAATTTCTCAACTATGGTGGATTTGGAAAAACATAACATTATTTGCAATGTACCAGATTGAAAAATTTGACAGCACAGCCTGGAAATAATTGCTGATAACTTTTATCCACAGTCTTCTAAATTTGCTATTGCTAAATACAATAACAAATTTTTAAAATCCCTTAGGTACAATAAGCATTATCTTTCTTGTAGATTAGATAAATGCACAGGAAGCACTATAAAGGATTACTCTTTGTTTACCAGTCTAGTGAATTAAATTAAGGAATATGTAGCTCCCATTCTGTAGGGTACTCTGGAAGGCAGTCATGAAAAGTTACCAGGACACTTAGCCACTTCTGTGATTTTACAAGTCATATGCTTTATCTTGACTTATTTCTTATAAACTGAGTAGTAATATGGAACTACACATTGGGTTCAGGCATATTAATCTGTGTTTTCCATCTCTGCTTGTAATATAAGATCTTTGATTATTGATGACAGGTTGTGCCTCTGTGTTTTATAGTATCAGCTGCTTTTAAGTCAAAATGGCACTGAATCTCCTCTTAGTTTTGCAAATCCATATTTTTGTGATTCTTGGAGAGGAGAAAATTTCTCTTCAGAAAGAAGCCAAGGGAACATAATTCCTCCTTATTCATTGGCAGCAATGGTGAGAAAGTGTTTTCTAGGTTTGGCCAATGAGATGAGTCCACCAAGAATTTGAATCTTCCTGTGACTCACAATAAATGGAAAATGAAATCAGAATCTTAGTGGTGGTGTTGCAGTGAGGTCAGTGCTGTTCTTATCAGTAATGTACACGTGCAAGTAAAGACAGGAGTAATTATTAGTAGCAGCATTTATTTTTGTGTTCTCTATCTTGTGAAAACTGTAAGTTGAATTTATTTTAGTACAAGTGGTTTGAACACAATCTTAACCTATTGAGCCAGTCATATGAAACCACTAAATGCTAATGACTGTCCTCTTGAAGCTGGGAAAAAAATAAGACATGTTCCTTTGGGGAAAATAAATATGGTATATGATGAACTTAGAGAATAGCATAAGACAACTAACAATATGCCAAACAAAGACAGAAAAGAAATTAGATAATGGATCTGAAGCACGAAACTGAATATCTACTTGTCCTTAGTAAATTCAGTGTCTAAAAAACTGGGTAAATAAAGTCAGTCTATTCTTGAAAGAAGTGACTTTAGAATGAGTTTGTGTTTTTTAGAATGAGAAAAACACAGGGCATAGTACTGAAATGATGTGTATCTAAATGCAAGTTGACGATGGAAGATACTAAGATCAACTATTATGAAATTTCTAAGTACTGAGAATATCTCATCTTCTTACTGCACACAGTTTTATACAATATTTTTCTTCCTGTGCATGATCAGTTGATTTTACATTTTGGAAGTTCTATACATACACAGCTATGTGTCTAGGGAGAGGAGAAGGTGCTTGTATATGAAGCTCCATCCCTCTGTTTGACACGTCAATAAATATTCTATTAATTTAAATTAAAGGGGTACCTCCTTTATTTCAAGGTATATTTGCTTAGAAAGGTGAATATATGAAGATAATGTCAGGAAATAATAATGTGTTTGTGTAAGAGATGAATGTTTGAGAGGAATTAATCATGATAATGTTTTGAAGAAAACCACAATGAAGCTCATAATTTGAAGAAAACATAATTACATTGTAAAGCATTTGTAGAAAACATATAAGCCGATTCTGGTAAATATACTAAAGAAATCAGGAAAGTCACGTCAAGTTCATATATTATTGAGTAAAAATAGCATTTATATATTTGAGAAACTTCTAATATTTTAAAGTAATTTTGATAGCATAATTCCATAAAATCAGTCATTTAAACACTAAATCAAATGCCTCATCAATTTTGATAATAATTCAGTTGAGTTTACCAAATAATATTTTATTGGAAGTGACAGCAGTCAATCTCAAGACCAATATCAAAAAATGTCAATATGTTTTAGGGATAATTAAAATTCTGGTGATAGCTAAATGTTTCTCACTGCAATTCATAAGCTTTTTGTATTATCATGAGGTCCCCTAGCTAGCTGTGCAACACCTGCATTTTAATGCATGTTATACAAAGAGTCTAGATATTACCACACTGTTGAAATTAAGAATTATATTTCTTGCCTTTCTCTGAAGTGTGAAAAAACATTTATAAGAATTTTATGATGGGACTTTTTAATGTCAGACCTATATAACTAAATTATCAACTCTTTACTAAGAGATTCTATACTGAAATTATAACATCTCTACCAAAACAGAGTTATGACATATAATATAAATGGTGTAGAAGAACTTACTAACTTTATCACATTTTAAAAAAAGGAGGCAATTTAACAATATTTCCAAATTTTGAAATTTATATGAATACATTAGTAAATACTATTTATGTATCATTATTTTCACCTCCCAAAAAATAACTTTAAATTATGCATATATTGGGATATGACATATTTACCACAGCTAATTCTACTCTTGTATATTGATTCATGGTTTTACTTATTAATGTACTTGGATCAATTTGATTTTCTTAGAAATAGTGATCATACATATTTTACTCTAATATTTTTATGACAATCTTTTGAAAATAATTTATGATATTTAAAAATGTATGTATATAGCAATATTTAAAAATAATTATTTTTGGTATTCTGTGAAGAATTCAAATAATATTTTTAATTTAATATTATAATAATTGTAATATATATTAAGAAAAAAGTCATTAAAACTTTCATGTTTACTCAGTTATTTAAGAATTCTAATTTAGGAGATATTTTCAGTGGCCAGCTAATATGTTTATGCACCTACCTTCATAAACACAAAGAGCCTATTGAAGAAATTCATTCTCTGTCTCATAGAGCTAACTTGTTTTAGAAATAAACAAACAAAAATCAGACAAAAATACGCAAAACACAGAAGAATAGTTTAACTGTTGAGGGAACCCATGAAGATCAGAGTTTATATACATTTTTCACAAGAGAGTCACTAGATTCTTGCTTTTTCATCAAACCCTTGTGTTCCTTTAGTTTAATAGTCACTTGGATGTAAAGATGAATAGGGATAATCTATGTTCTACATGAGTTTATTAGCCAGTTGGGGAAAGAGACCTGTAATATAAAGGAAAAATATATATAAGATAAATGGTAAATAGAGCTTTTAATAAAACAGGGTGGATTACAAAGGAAGGTGTTATTAATTATGCTCCAGAGGTTAAGATAGAGCTTTTGGGGGAAAATATGTTTTAATATGGCCTTGAAAGAGAGGAGGAGTTAGCCAGTCAAAAATGGGAAGGATACCCTAAAAGAAGGCAAGTCACATTGCAACAGTTCACACATGTGAAACATCAGGAATAACTGGAGTACATGATGATGGATCCAAATAATTTCTACAACTAGATTTTATTTCTTTAGCAGTTTTAGGACATTTGTAAAAGCTCCTTGATTTAAACAACTGCCTCTAAAAGACTGACATTTTCCCAAGGTATGTCTGAAGGAATATAATTTATAAACACATATATTAAATTATAGAAAAATAACTCTCAGATAATTAAAGTTGTTTACTGCAATATAAAAATATATGGAAGGCACCTAAACAAAACTTTTGAAGAATTTATTAAGAATAAGTTGGGAATACTAAGGAAAGGAAAAGATAACAACAGGGAAGTTTTCAGAAGTTTGCTAAGTAATGATCTCTCCTCCTCTTCCTCCTCCTCCTCCTCCTCTTCCCCATCTTCTTATTTTTGTTTAAACTAATATTTACATTGTTGCATGGAGTGGGGAGGAGTAGTCTTATACTTACAGTGTCTTAAAAACATTGTGGTAGAATTTGACTTCCTCTTATTAATAAGTTCCAGGATTATTTTTCAGGACCGGAAAACAGGAGCTGGAGAGGGAAATGGGGAGGAGGAGGAGAGGGATAGCTAAAAAGAGAAGGAAAATAAAGGAAAAAGAAAAGAAAAATAGTCAGACGGCTGAATTCTCTAGACAATGAATTTCTGGTTCAATAGAATATATATGTCTTAACAGCTTGAGTCACATTAAATGTCTTCCTCTCAAAACCGTGTGAGAACTGAAGCTGTTGAATCAGAAACACATTTCTGGAGTGAAGTTGGGCAAGGTGACCTCGTACATTCTTGTTGTTGTTGTTGTTGTTAAGTTACATTGTTTCAAAAGGCCAGTTTGGAAACCATAACACATATGGTGTATATGGTGAACACACTTTTGGTGATTATGATTATAAATACTATTGGTCTTTTCCGTTAACTTTAATAAAAATGTCTCTTTAAAAGAAAATAAGAGGGGAAACTGACTGGTGTGTTTGTTTATTTTCATCCATAAGGATTCCATGCTTTAAGAATCTTAATTGCCTTCCTCCTATGTCTGTGATTTGAGAATGCAAGAGCTAAGTGAATTCTAGAGAGGAGTGCTTCTCCCCACTCTTTCCTGTTAATAGAAACTAAAGGAATATTGTATTATTTGTTAAACTATCAGTTTTGTAAACTCGGCACCCACTGAGAAAGATCTTAAGGCTCTTATCTTAAAATTCTTAACTCAAAAATATAATGTCAATAGCTTATACTTTGTAGGATTGAGGATTAGATGTGATAATACAAGTTAAGTGCCCTTTAGTATGCTTAGCATACAGTTAGGACAACGTTAGCAAAATGCCTTAATTATTGTTGTTATTTTCATCCCCGTATTCCCTTAATATAATTAGATTATAATTTGAAGATAGATATAGATATAGATATAGACACACACACACACCTTCTTTAGGAATATAGCCGAATGTTTTGAATGTAATGTTAATTCAAATATATATATGTGTGTGTGTGTGTGTGTGTGTGTGTTTATATATATTTCCACACACCCTCTAACCACACTGGCATATGCACTAAATACTGTTGAAGGAAGGCAAAATAATTGGTAGAGAATAGAGACTGCAAACGTGCTTAGACCTAGCATCTATTTCCCATGATTGAATTAGAGAAAATAAATTGTTATGAAAAGCCAATCAGATAGGAAAAGACATATTTATGTTTCATTGGACAGATATGTATGGGAACAAAACATCATCCAACCTAATAACAAATACGCACTATTTTATTGGCATAATGGTGAATTTAGCTTAAACTAATTCAAAATGATATTATTATAACTTCTGCCACATTTTATAGTCAACTTGAAACTTAAATTTGTACTCATTGTAGTTATTCCATCCTCACCACACTTTTTTTCTCCCATTCTTTATGATACTGCTGTAAGGTTATTATTATTATTTTGGGTTTCCACAACATTTTCAGAAAATTATGTTTTTCAAAGTCCTGTGAAAAAGGCAAATGGAATCATTTTGCAGGAAACTTAAATAAAAACATTGAAGCATCAAATAACAATAAAGTTTCATAGCTGTGACTCTTGATAAATTGTTTAGATTCTAGGTGACTTTTAAAATTCTATTTTGGTATTGCTATCTCGATCATTTTCTGTGCAGTATTGGGTCTCCAGGACATTATGATCATCTATGTGGGCTTTTTCTGTTTTTTGTTTCTTTAACTGCTTATGAAAGATTTGGCTGGCTCTGCACTGCTTGCAGATTATATTCTGCACACAGGGACATACCATTAATTCCTGTTTTATTTGTCTATATTAAAGCCAACACCTGCATCTTGTTTAGCAATTAACCTGCAGAGTAGGATAAATTGAAGTGATTAAAAGGATGTGTGAGATTCAGTCCACATTGTCTTTATATTTTCATCTCCCTAATATCTCAAATCAATCAATTTTTTCTTAGTATCACTGGTATTTGAGTGTAATGCATGCACAAAACTTTACTATTTTGGTGATTTGTGATACTGTTCTGTTCAACAATATCTATTCAGTTTCTGCTATATGTTAGACGATTTCTATGTTTTCTTGGAAGATAAGCAGTAGAGTTCCATTATACAGATGGACAAACTGAATCTGATGTATATAAAATGCTTTGATCACATCTATGTAGGCACAAAGTGATGAAGTTCCATTCTGTTTGAATTTCAAATACTCTTTCCATTAAGTCTAAATTTTGTGATTGGGATTGTATTAGGGCTCTCCAGAGGGACAGAACTAACAAGATTATATATACATTTATATATATATGGGAGTTAAGTATTAAGTATTTATATATATAAAGTTATATATATATATATGGATATATATATATACACATATATGCAGATATATAAACTCACACTATCAAAAGGTCCCACAATAGGCTGCCTGCAAACTGAGGAGCAAGGACAGCCAGTCTGAGTCCCAAAACTGAAGAACTTGGAGTCTGATCTTCGAGGGCAGGAAGCATCCAGCACGGGAGAAAGATGTAGGCTGGGAGGCTAGGCCAGTCTCGTCTTTTCACATTTTTCTGCCTGCTTTATATTCTAGCCACACTGGCAGCTGATTAAATGGTACCCACCCAGATTAAGGATGGGTCTGCCTTTCCCAGCCCACTAACTCACATGTTACTCTCCTTTGGCAACACCCTTACAGACACACCCAGGATCCATATTTTGCATCCTTCAATTCAATCAAGTTGGCACTCAGTATTAACCATTACAAGTCCATCCCTCCCTTTTCAACTTGAACCCATACACATCTCCTAAGATTATGCATAACCTTCAAATAAAGACAATAATAAAGTCATAATTATACCTAATATAATACAACTATCCTTCGTACAACCAGAAACACACCAATCCCCAAATCAAATACTATAACACAAAGTTAACAATACTTAAATGCTGATGTGAAGTCAATAAATCTTATGTCGCATGATAAAGGAAAAGAAAATAAAATGAAGATTGTTTCTTAATACAAATGTGTACTTGCACAAACATACTTTTAACAAAAGAAAGAGGAAACACTCATGACAATCACAGTCCTTGTTTCTGCCACTGGTCATGTGATCATAGCTGGTATTGATGACTACCTTCTTCTACTACCCATTCTGTATTCCCTTTGCCTTCAGCAAACACCTCAGCAGGTTGTGTTTTTTTTTTCTTTTTTTCCTGGTGGAATGACCCAAACCTTCATTCCAGAAGGGTCTGGACCATTTGTAGTCCTGCCTGGTTGGGCTGTTGAAGTTTCCCATTGACCTTAATCACAGTGCATGGCAATATTAAGAGATGCCCTACTGGATCTCCTGTATTCCATGCATACTCTTCCTTACCTCCACTGTGGAGCAATAGACTGATTTCATCTTGATAGTCTGGGTCAATCACCTCAGTCAACACTGTAACTCCTTTCTTAGACTGTTGAATACACCAACAGCGTTCAAGCGGAGAATCAAATCAAGAACTCAATCTCTTTACAATAGCTGCAAAAAATAAAATAAAATACTTAGGAATATACCTAACCAAGGAATTGAAAGATCTCTACAAGGAAAACTACAAAACACTGCTGAAAGAAATCACAGATGACACAAACAAGTGGAAACACATCACATGCTCATGGATGAGTAAAATCAATACTGTGAAAATCACCATACCGTCAAAAGAAACCTACAATATCAATGCAACTCCCATCAAAATACCACCATCATTCTTCACTGATTTAGAAAAAATTATAAAATTTATAGGGAATGAAAAAGAGCCCTCATAGCCAAAGTGAGACTAAGCAAAAAGAACAAATCTGGAGGCATCACACCCCCTGATTTCAAACTATACTATGAGGTCATGGTCACCAAACAGTATGGTACTTGTATAAAAATAGGCACATAGACCAATGGAACAGAACAGAGAACCCAGAAATAAACCCAAATACTTACAGATGATCTTTGACAAAGGAAACAAAAATACAAAGTGGGGAAAGGACACCCGTTTCAACAAATGGTGCTGGGAAAATTGGCTAGCCACATGTAGGCAAATGAAACTCTTGACTTAAAGGTATCAGGAGCCCAAAGTGTCCAGGTGGCACTCTTCGAGTTTAATAAAATTGTTGTTATGTCTCCTGGTGGGAGTGTTCCTCCCTCTGAAACTAAGACCTCTAGACCAGCACAACATTATGTCCTGGGAACAGGAAGCAAACTTTTTTCTAGTGGATCACTAGGGGTGACGGTGAGTGGTGCCATTACCACTTCCACTCCTTGATTCCTGTACCCATGAATACTACGGGAGAAACAGTACCATATATTGGATGCTGATTCAGAGCATACACGGCCTTCTGGAGAACTTTGCCCCAGCCCTGCAAAGTATTGTCACCTAATTGACATTGTAATTGTGACTTTGAAATGACATTCCACAGTTCTATCAATCTGGCTGCTTTAGGATGGTGGGGAACCTGGTAAGACCAGTGAATTCCATGAGGAGCATGAGCCCACTGCCGCATTTCTTTAGCCATAAAGTCGTAAAGTGAGAGCCTTCGTCAGAATTAATGCAGTGTGGAATACCATGACAGTGGATAAGGCATTCTGTGAGTCCACTAATGGTAGTCTTGGCAGAAGCATTGCATACAGGAAAGGCAAGCCCATATTCAGAGTGTCTATTCCAGTGAGGACAAACCTCTGATCTTTCCATGGTGGAAGAGGTTCAATATAATCAACCTGCTATCAGGTAGCTGACTGATCACCCCAAGGAATGGTGCCATATCAAGGGCTCAGTGTTGATTTCTGCTGCTGTCAAATTGGACACTATAGCCATGTCAGCCTTGGTGAGTGGAAGTCCATGTTACTGAGCCCATGTGTAACCTCCATCCCTACCACCATGGCCACTTTGTTCACGGTCCACTGAGCAATGACATAGGTGGCTGGGAAAAGAGGCTGAGTGGTGTCCACAGAACAGGTCATTCTATCCACTTGATTATTAAAATCCTCCTCTGCTGAGGTCACCCATTGGTGAACACTCACATAGGATACAAATATCATCACAGTTTTTGATCACTTAGAGAGGTCCATCCACATACCTCTACCCCAAATTTCTTTGTCACCAACTTTCCAATCATGCTTCTTCCAAGTTCCTGACCATCCAGCCAAATCATTGACTACAGCCCCTAAATCAGTACATAATTGCACATCTGGGCATTTCTCCTTCCATGTGAAGTGCAGAGTCAGATGCTCTTCTCAAAGTTTTGCCCATTAGGAAGATTTCCTGTCACCACTGTCCTTCAGGGATGTCCTAGAAAGGGGCTGTAGTGCTGCAGCTGTCTGCTTTCAGATGGTGCCTGCATACCGTGCAGAACTATCTGTGAACCAGGCCCTAGTCTTCTCTTCCTCTATCAACTGATCATAGGGAACTCTCCATGGGGCCATTGGTGCAGGCTGGGGAAGAGAAGGCAGACTTGCAGGAGTGGAGACCATGGGCACTTGAGCCACTTCCTCATGTAACTTACTTGTGCCTTCAGGACCTGCTCGAGCCTGATAATGTATATGCCACTTCCATTTGATGATGGAATTTTGCTATGCATGACCCATTTTATGGCTAGATGGGTCAGAAAGTACCCAGTTCCTGATAGGCAGTTCAGATCACATGGTGACTTGATTACCTAGAGTCAAACATTCAGTTTCCACCAAAGCCCAGTAACAGGCCAAGACCTGTCTCTCAAAAGGAGAGTAGTTGTCTGAAGAAGATGGCAGGGCCTTGCTCCAAAATCTAGAGACTCCTGCTGTGATTCACCAGTGGGGGCTTGCCAAAGGCTCCAAACAGCATCTCTTTCTGCCACTGACACCTGAAGCACCATTGGTTCTGCTGGGTCATATGGTCCAAGTGGCAGAGCAGCTTGCACAGCAGCCTGGACCTGTTGCAGAGCCTTCTCCTGTTCTGGACCCCACTCAAAACTGGCAGCCTTTTGGGTGACTCGATAAATGGGCTGGAGAAACACACCCAAATGAGGAATGAGTTGCCTCCAAAATCCAAATAGGCCCACTAGGCCTATTTTGTGCCTTTCTTGGTTGTAGGAGGGACCAAATGCAGCAAATTATCCTTAACCTTAGAAGGAATATGTTGACAGGCCCCACACCACTGGACTCCTAGAAATTTTACGACCCCTAGAAATTTTACTGAGGTAGAAGGTCTCCGAATTTTAGTAGGATTTATTTCCCATCCTCTGGCATTCAAATGTCTCACTAAGTCCAGTGTGTTTGTCACCTCTTGCTCACTGGATCCAATTAGCATAATGTCATCAATGTAATGGACCAGTGTGAATCTTGTGGAAGTAAAAAGCAATCAAGGTCTCTCCAAATAAGATTATTACACAAAGCCAAAGCATTAATAAATTTCTGAGGTAAGACAGTAAAAATATATTGCTGGCCTTGCCAACTGAAGGCAAATTGCTTCTGGTGGGCCTTATGGACAAGAATGGAGAAAAAGGCATTTGCCAAATCAATGGCTGCATACCAGGTACCAGGAAATGTGTTAATTTGCTCAGATAATGAAACCACATCTGGTACAGCAACTGCAATTGGAGTCACCACTTAGTTAAACTTATGATAATCCACTCTCATTCTCCGAGATCCATCTGTCTTCTGCACAGGCCAAATGGGAGGGTTGAACGGGGATGTGGTGGGAATCACCACCCCTGCATCTTTCAAGTCCTTGATGGTGGTGCTCATCTCCACAATCCCTCTAGAGATGCAATATTATTTTTGATTTACTATTTTTCTAGGTAGATGCAGCTCTAATAGCTTCCATTTGGCCTTTCCACCATAACAGTCCCTACTCCACCAGTCAGGGAGCCAGTGTGGGGGTTTTGCCAGCTGCTAAGTAGGTCTATGCCAATTATGCATTCTGGCAGTGGGGAAATCACCACAGGATAATTCTGGGGACCCACTGGACCCACTGTAAGTCAAACCGGTGCTAAACTGCAGTACTTACCTGTCCTCCATAAGCCCCTACTTTAACTGGAGGACCACAAGGATATTTTGGGTCCCTTGGAATCAAAGTCAGCTCAGAGCCAATGTCCAGTAGTCCCCAAAATGTCGGATCATTTCCCTTTCCCTAGTGTACAGTTACCATGGTAAAAGACCAGAGGTCTCCTTGGGGAAGGATGGGAGAAAATTAACAGCACAAATTGTCAGTAGTGTGGTGGGGCCCTTCCTCAAGGGAACCCAGCCTCCCATTCATTCAAGGGGTTCTGGGTCTGTAAACTGACTCAGGTCTGTAAACTGATTGGGGGGCTGTGATTCTCTGTTTTTATAATTCAAATTAGTCTTTTGTCCATTCAACCTGGAAGTTTTCTGCTTATATAAGGTAAATAAGAATGCAGTAGGCTTCCTATCAATTTCACTTGTAGGAACAGCATGATTAATTAGCCAATGCCAGAGCTCTACACAAGTCTGACTATTCTGATTGCTGCTTTGCCTCTTCTGTCCATTAGGTAGCTACAACGACCTTGCAATTGATTGTCGAGTGTCAACACTTGGCCCCTGCCACCTCAGGATCTAATTATTCCCATTGTATTTAAATTTTGCAGTTGAGTGACTGTGGTCTCCGTCCCCTGTTAGATCTGAAAAGAGCAATTACAGGGTTCTTCAAAGATGCAGGTGCTGCTCTCACAAATCTATTTTGCAAAGCACTGATCATGGGTATGTCTTCTGGACCCTCTCAGCTGGAATAAGTAAGTCTAAAGTGACTAATCCACTCTACCATCCCAATTTCCCTAAGCCTTTGGATCCCTTACTCTACATTAACCCAAGGGAGATCAGGCATTTCCAGCTCACTCACAGTGGGCCGTCTTTTAATCCATATTTCAGCTAACGAAAGCAAATAAACTATTAGAACCTTTTTTTTTTTTTTTTTTGTAACTCCCTGAGCTGCAACGTTAAAAGCAGAGTTCCTACTTTGTGGGCCCAAATCAATAAATTCAGCCTGATTCAACTCTATGTTCCTTCCACCTTCACCCACACCCTTAATATCTATTCCCATGCCTGTTCTACAGATTTCTGTTTATATAATTTCGAAAATCCAAGCAGTTCTTTTCAAGTGTAGCATACCTCCTCATGGGTCACACTCTCAACCTCACCTCTAGGGGCCCACGGGGACTTTAGTTATAGATCTAGAAGCAAATGAGAGGTGTTGGGGGTGGCTTCTGAGGAGAATCAACATTGTCTTGCCTGGCAACTGCCTCAGGGGAGGCCATCACTGTTGCCTGGGGCAGTGCAGGTTTTATCTCCTCAGACAAAGTGGAAAGGCTGATGGCAGCATGGGTCAGGGAGGGGATGTTGCCACTAGTGGGGATGGGGAAACTGTTCCTTCTGGCAAAAAAAAGTTCGTCAGAATTTACAAACTCAGTGTCCCAGCTTCATCAGGGTCTTCCTACACATCCCCATTCCACGTTGCAGGGTCCCATTATTTTCCAATCAATGCCCTCACTTTAACAGTAGACACCTGGTGAGGCTGTGCATCCACCTTTCGTTGCAGGTCAGCCACTTGCATGATAAGAGCTTGTGTCTGTTTTTCCTCAATTCCAGCTCTTTCTGTACAGTAGATAAGACTCTCATTCAGGGCAGTCTTAGCAGATTTGAGGCTCACTATCTGCTTCTGAAGCTGGGAGATATTATCCCTGAGTTCATCATTTTCTTTCATCACTTTGTCCACTGAACTTAGGAGCAAACAACCAGCTTCATTATGTTCCTTGGTTCTCCACATATGGTCAAAGGTAATATGTATAGAGTCACTAAAATCCTTGCCTCTCATGAGTGAATAATCGGAAGTTTAAGTTGCATTTATTTACATAACTCTGTAAACAGTTCATGCCAAGGACTATCAATGTTTGCCATACTATTAGAAGTAGAGTCCTTAGCATTTTGGGGTCTAATAAAATTAAGCAGCCAACTCTAGAAACCCCAAAACCAATGAAGGAACTCCATCCTTAATATTCTGTTTCTCTAAAACCACTCCTGATATCAAAATCTGCATTAGTCAGGGTTCTCTAGAGGGACAGAACTAATAGAATATATATGAGAGTTTATTAACTCACAGGAGCACAAGGTCCCACAATAGGCTGCCTGTAAGCTAAGGAGTAAGGAGAGCCAGTCTGAGTCCCAAAACTGAAGGACTTGGATTCTGATGTTTGAGGGCAGGAAGCATTAAGCTCAGAAGAAAGATGTAAGCTGGGATGCTAGGCCAGTTTCATCTTTTCACATTTTTCTGCCTGCTTTATATTCTAGCCACACTGGTAGCTGATTAGATGGTGCCAGCCCAGATTAATGGTGGGTCTGCCTTTCCCTGCCCACTGACTCAAATATTAGTCTCCTTTGGCAATACCCTCACAGACACACCCAGGATCAATACTTTGCATCCTTCAATTCCATCAAGTTGACGCTCAGTATTAACCATCACCAGGATAGCATCCTGTGTTTCTGTTTGCAGAAGTGCTTGAAAAGGACACTATCACAAATCCATAAATATTTCTATCACCTTGAATTTTTTTGTTTGTTTTTGTTTCTGTTTTTGTTTTGAGATGGAGTCTCTCTCTGTCACCAGGCTGGAGTGCAGTGGTGCAAATTCGGCTCACTGCCACCTCCGCCTCCCGGGTTCAAGTGACTGCTTCAGCCTCCAGAGTGGCTGAGACTACAGGCACTCGCCACCATGCCTGGCTAATTTTTGTATTTTTAGTAGAGGTAGGGTTTCACCATGTTCGCCAGGATGGTCTCGATCTCTTGACCTCGTGATCCACCGCCTCGGCCTCCCAAAGTGCTGGAATTACAGGCGTGAGCCACCACGCCTGGCCCATTGAATTACTTTTATATTGTGTTCTAAGAAACGAAAATGGAAATAACACTGAGGAATTCTAAGTCTACGCCTGTTAGTCAGTTACTATGAAGTGTACTGAACAAATCCCTTTGACTTACTTGTTTCAGTTATCTGTAAATATGGGATCCATTACAGTTAGATCTTAATTTTCATGAAATTATGTATTTAAAAGAACACAAGGTAGGGTAGACTAATTTATACTTCATAGTTTAGAGGTATTTGTGTGATATTAGGCTGTTTTTTTTACTCCCCAACAACAGAATGGAACAGAGTTCCAAAAAGAGAGTCAACAAAATTAAACACACAAGTAAATAAGTAGGTTGTATTCTATTTAACAGCTAACTGCTTTTGACCAGCGGTGCTGTTTTTCTTGCCCCACTGACTTAAGAGAGTATAGTTGTGAAAAATGTAAATATTGTTAAACTTCTAACATAGTGACATTTTGAAAAAACTACCACAATTCTTGAGACTCTTCTGCTCTCATTGTTTTCATTTTTACCACTGCCATTCCTTTCCTGACCATATCAATACTGCTCTGTCTGCACCCCATTTCACTGAAACTGTTCTCACTTTGCTGATTCTTCCTATGTGCACAGCTCTATTTTCATCTTAGACTTGCATCATGGTTGCCACTTTTACCCTTTGGAATCTATTTTCTCATTGCATTTCCTGTTGAGTTTTCTTTGTTCTCTACATCTTTTGGATAATTCTTTCTCTGTTTTTTTTCTCCATATTCTTCTCCTTTAATTGTGTAGGTCTCCAGGTGCCCATTATCAATACTCTTGACAGTCTTTTGTCAGTGATACGCTTGTTTTATTTTTTTGAAATGGAGTATCCACCCAGCTGATTAGACACCTACTCAACTTTGAAATCAGATTTTCCATCCCCTACTGCCATTAAAAAGAGCTGTGTCCTTGTTCAGTACTTTTTTTTGTCATACCTAATTAGACCAAAACCATATATACATCCAAGCTGAGAAAACGTGACTCTCTCTCTCTCTCTCTATTTCTCTCTCTCTCCTTCTCAGCAAAATTCAGACCCAGAGTTGGAAGGCAGCCAGTTAGTTTTTGCTTTTTGACAAAATAGTAACAGGTAAATTTAGATAATGAAGGTTACCAAATGCTTGTAGGAGGATGGAGAGGCAGAAAAGGCTGGTGAGCAGTGTTAGAAGTCATTTAGCAGATGCTAAAAAAACAAATATGAGATATAGAAATAGAAAGTGCTTTTTATGTTTTTGATCTCCCTTCAAGTCCTGATTTCTTTCCTGGAATTTTGGGATAAACATTTTCTAATGTATGTGTGTTCACTGTATTCTCTTAAACAACAGACTATTTTATTAAATGCACTGAAAACGACCTTAACATTCTAGTGTTTTCAACTATAGTTGACATATTTTCACACACACACACATATATATCTGGAATATATAAAAGTAATTATATATACAACCTGGACTATAGGTTATTTCAAATGGAAATGTCAGCAATTCAAACTTAAAGATGCTACTAAATTTTCTCATTTTTCTTTTTACCTTCATCTCTCCCTTTGTAACTACAATCCCTTTGCCCTAAATGGTAATGCCTTTATTCAGCCCAATAGAAGAAAATTTATGGCCATTTTCATATTAAGAGAGTGGCCTGAATGTTTTCATAGAAGGTCAGAGAGAGGTGATGAAGCTGCAGATCTGTATCAGAAAAAAAGAACCCACTTCCAGGATTACTAGCAACTGGCTGCATACATTTTGCAAATAATAGTTGTGGAAACATTGTCTGAAATATAAAACTTATAAAGAGTGTACTTAAAGAGAAGTTGTAGCAAGGTCAAACAACAACAACAGAGTTTAGTATTTTCTGCAATTAATAGAAAAACAGATATCATCTATGTTTCCACTACTCTTCTATAACCGCATCACATAAAAATGGAAAGAAGTGACATTTAAGATGGATTCACCTAAAATACAGCTTCTGTGTACAATATACAAAGCTAATTTGGGTGCCCTGATAGAGGTGGCTTCCCAACAAGTTAGGAATATGGAGACTTTTACATGGGGGATTGAAGACATTTACAGGCATATTAGAAGAAAAAGCATGTAGAGGGTCATGTCTAACAGAAATGACTTTAATTCATGCCATTTTCCAGTAGGATTTCAAGGAAGGAGATTGCCGTAGAATTGTGAACATGCCCTTCTTATATATATATATGTTATGATTCAAAGAAAAATAAATCCAACATATGAATGCCCTGTCTTTTGGGTAAAATGTAGGAGGCAGCAATTCCTAGTAGAGCTAATGAGGCTAACATAAAAGGGCATGTAGATTGTTACAAAATGGAAAGCTCTTCTGCTATCCTGCAAAGGAAGCTGGCATATAACCTCAGCTGGGTTTGTTCAAGAGAGGAAGCTTTTTCCCTGCTTATGTTGTACCCTCCAATGTTCCTGTAATGACTCATCAAGTTCAGTGACAAAACAGTAGAAGGAAAGGTTTAAAGGCTTCCAATTCAACCTCACTAAAGGACACAGGAAGAACATATACCAATTTTTAGAATTTTGTTATTTGTCTCCCTGAGCTGGAATCTGTTTCTGGACTCCCATTTCCCTTCCCATCATTTTTAATCTGAGCTCCAATTTTCCTTCTCATCAGTTTTAACCTCTAAACAGGTGACTTATGCTACTTTTAAATTGTAAATCTGCCTTTTCTACCCTGGTAAATCCTGATGG
Source organism: Homo sapiens (assembly GCF_000001405.40). Taxonomy (NCBI): domain Eukaryota; kingdom Metazoa; phylum Chordata; class Mammalia; order Primates; family Hominidae; genus Homo; species Homo sapiens. The sequence continues at coordinate 113,944,679 of NC_000008.11, forward strand.
TCTTGAGGTCTCCCCCTTTATTTTTTTCTTTCTGGTCCACTTTACAGACTAAGCAAATACTTGTTGAATAAATTGGTAATTTCACAGGAGGAAAAAAGCATAGGCAGTTATCTTGCACAGTAGCTGAAAATAATTCTAGGGCATGCTTATCAGGATCTGACTTAAGACAGACTTTATGTGACGTATACAAAATGAAGTTTCTGGAAAACTTGGAAGCACTTCACAAAGTAGACATTTGTCATCTAGGGTAGTCAACTGCCTGTGAGAGGTTCTTGTAACATACTACATGCATTAGATGGCTGTGATTCTGAATTTCAGATACTGATGTGTTTAGGCTGCCTCAGACAGGGACAACTCTCGTTAGAATACTACCGAGGGAACTGTAATAGAAATTTACTTTACTTAATGATGGCTACCTATCTCCCAAGTCCCAAGTCATACTCATTAGAAATAAGTATCTTGAGTGCAAAGCTAGCATTCTAGTTCAGAACCAGAACACAGGAGCTATACAGAACTAGCCTACTTAGTTATATCTCTATATAAGCTATATATCTATTTATATTTTTAGTATTTTTTCATTACAAAAAAAGTGTTTTAAGACATCTCAGGCTAAACTAGAATAAAGACAATTAAGTGTTTCACAAGTTTATTGTAATGAGAAACTCACTATATGTCATTCAGTATTTATTATATATATTTTATTTGTAAGTGTGTCTATGTTTACTATTTCTACGTTACTCTATTTTTAATAGAAAATACATTTCTCAATGCTTTTTAATTGCTTTGATTAATAAGTATATAATAGTGCCATCCAAATATTAACATTCATTACAGCTAATATATAAACCTGAACTGATTGGGACACACTAGAATGTCTATACCATGTGACGACACTGTCCATATTGTTGTAATTAGGTTATACGTGTCTGCTCATACTACCTATTTTGATATATGATAATTTGTTAATGGGATGAAAGCTCATAGAACTTATGAATTTTATATATTAGCAAACAAATATTGGATGAAAGTTATGAAAGCCAGTTTCAAAAACAATTGTAATTATTTTAGAAAATGTGTTTAAACATTTTGAAGTGTTTTCAGCTAAAATGCTTCCAAAACTTTGTTTTCCATTTAACATTTATTAAGTATCTAAGTCAGATTAACTTTCAATTTAATGTTTTTATTAATTAAAGATCTCTAGGAAGCTTTCTATTATGAAGCTGTTTAGCTGCTTAGGAATCAATGGATATGGTTAAGTATAAGGAAGAGGTACATGTATCTATCGTTTTCTACATGTTAAACTTTTCATATCTGCTCACCATTTTCCTCTTTATCTAAAATATGCTACCAGCAGTGATGAGATATATGGTATACATAACACATTTATAAAGAATCTTAGCTTTGGGAATATACTCTAATGTTTTCAAATAATGATATTACTGGGTTCTATTGGTAGTTAAGAAAAAAGTTGACTTATGTCATATACATGGCTGTAACTGGATAATTATAAACATTAACATTTCTCAGAATAGGATTAATTATAGGATTATTGGCCGGGCACGGTGGCTCACGCCTGTAAACTCAGCACTTTGGGAGGCCAAGGTGGGCAGATCAGGAGGTCAGGAGATCTATACCATCCTGGCCAGCATGGTGAAATCCCGTCTTTAATAAAAATAAAAAAAATTAGCTGGACATGGTGGCACGTGCCTGTAATCGCAGCTACTCAGGAGGCTGAGAAAGGAGAATCATTTGAACCGGGGAGTCGGATGTTGCAGTGAGCGGAGATTGCACCACTGCACTCTAGCCTGGTGACAGAGTGAGATTCTGTCTCAAAAAAAAAAAAAAAAGTAGGATTATTATATTTTATAAATTTTATCTTTTTTTGTCATCTTCACATTACAAACAAGGTTTTAGCTAATGTAATGTTATTTTAATCATATCATGCAACATTGTCAGTAATGTAGATGTGATTATAGTTCATTTTTTCTTCTCCAATTATGGATGATATCAACAATAATAATTCTCTGGAGAGAAAAATGAAGCCTTCTCAAAGTATGAAGTGGTAGTTGTCATTTAACTTTTCGACTAAGTAGTGGGGTGGAATATAATGTTTAATAACCAGTTATATAGATTTAAATTTTTCTCAAATGATGATGCAATTGAGTGACAGCCCTGACTTTCATCAGAGTCAATTTTTGCCCCATCCTTGTTTCAGAGATAGCTCTTTCTGTATGCAATGCTAATTTCCTAATTAAATATTATGAGGACAAAATTGTGGTGAAGTAAAAATTGCACAGTATTTAGAACTCCAATATCTGAAATACAACTCAGTTTTGTGATTTTTCTAACAAATCCAAATATTTCTAAGCCATAGCTTCTTGCTTTGTAATATTGGGGATGCTGGGGCTTACTTTACCTGTTTGCTTTGGTTCTCAAGTAAAATATTATCAATTTATCAATTCATAATTTTTTTCTTTATTTTAAATTAGCTTATTCAATCTATGTTTACTGAATACCTATATTGTAACAAGCACCATATGAAGTTCTAGGAAAACTAATATGAGACATCTACTGAATAACCTAATACTAATTAATATTATAAATTCATAATCTTAGAGGTTATATATTAAAAGGCCTAATTTTTTCCCACTTAGGGCAATGGAGAGCATACCACTATCATTAAATGGATTATCCTATGGTTGATATAATGTAACCCAAAAATTTAAACTAATTGTATTTCTCTGGCTGTAAAAAAAAAAATAGAAAATAAAATCACCTGAGAATTCCACGAAATACTTTCTGCTCTCTTATAATGTGTCAAAGAGTTTAGTGAAAGATTTTTAATGCACTTGAGATTTTGTTAAACAAATTTGTAACAATTGGGCAGCCATCCCACAAAAAGAAATTGGAATTAATATATAAAAATGGTATTCATCCTTTTTATGGTTTTCTAGATGGGGTTTGCGTATAAATTACATTAAAAGTTGATGCCTATTCATTTAAAAGCCAATATTCTAAAAGGTTCCACTATATATTAGAAATAGTAAGTATGGTGTATTATAGCATCATCATGATGGAGATAGAAAATGTCATTTATTATGGTAATAAGTCAAATAATAACATATAACCTATGTTGGAGCTTGAGGATTAAAATATATTTTACATCAATTTAAAACAGTAAAATCCAGACATTTAAAGTTTATGCTAAACTAAGATAGAGAATTAACCTCACTAAGAATAAAGTGCAAAGTCTTGTCAGGAGTTCAGTAGAGCTAAGAGAGTTGAGCTGCCAGTTGTTGAAGTTGCCAATTGAGCAAGCCAGAATGAAAGTAACAGTCAAGCTTTTAATCACTTACTGTATTAGTACAAGTGATAGCAAAAGAGGCCAAACCAAAGAAAGTGCCGACTTCTCCCCCTTCCAGTTCCCCACAACCCAGAACAGCATGAAGTCAAGGGTCAGGTGGATGAGCACAGTGGAAAAGTACTGAGTATACGGGCATACCCTGGAGATAGTGTAGGTTTGGTTTAGACTACTGCAGTGCAGGTTTGGTTTAGACTACTGCAATGAAGTGAATATCCCAATAAAGCAAGTCAGACAATTTTTGTAGTTTCCCAGTGCATATAAAAGTTATTATGTATTCACTATGCCATAGTTTATTAATGTGTAATAGCATTATGTCTAAAAATGTATACATGCGTATTTTTAAAATATTGTTTAAAAAACTGACACAGAGACATGAGCATGTGCTATTGGAAAATAGCACCAATGTAGGCTTGCCACAAAAACCTTCAATTTGTAAAAAACACAATATCTTCAAAGCACAATAAAGCAAAGCATAATAAAGCAAAGCACAATAAAATGAGATGTGCTTGTACTGTCAGGGTGGAGGCAATTTCAAGTTTCCCTCTCTCACCCAGTAATAAGGTCTCCTCAGGGGCTCCCAAGGAAGGCCGTGGCCAGCAGAAAGCTCCAGATACAAAGCCTTCTGAACCCGGCTCCTAGGTTAGGAATGCAAATATGTGTAAAAGGAAGGGCAACCAGGGACACCCGAGTCCTTGACTGCAACTTCCTTCTGAGACTACAACGCATTGGCTGAATCCTTTGGGGTGGGAAGGGCCAGTTCCCTCAAGAGCCCTGCCAGGTAAAGCCTTTGTAATTGTCTGTTTGAGCTGGAAAAAATCACATATAGGTTTATTCAAGCAAGGGCTGCTCAATACTGTTTAATCCCTGGAGTCCTAGAGATTCATACATGTCACTGAGACTCCTTGCTTATATTTATACATACCATGCTATGGTTTGAACTTTTGTGTCTTCTCTGAAATATATGTTGAAACTTAAATCTTCAGTGCAACAGTATTAAGACATGGGGCATGCAGGGGAGTAATTAGGCCATGAGGGCTCTGCCCTCCTAAATGGGATTAGTGTCTAATAAAAGGCTTGAGGGAACTAGCTAGGCCTCTTTTGTCATTCCGTCCCATCTGCCATGTGAGGATAACATGTCCAAAGCATCGTCTTAGAAGCAGAGACCAGGCTATCACCAGAAACCAAAGCTACTGGCACCTTGATCTTGGACTTCCCAGCCTCCAGAATGGTGAGAAATATGTTTCTATTATATATAAATTACAGTCTCTGGTAACTTGTTATAGCATACAAATGGACTAAGACATACCTAATTCTAATTGTCTTTCTTGTTTATAGCACACATTTGTTGTCCAAAAGGGATATTCCTGCATATTTTTAGAGAGATACCATGATCCTACTTCCTAACCTTGCATACTCATGAGAAAAGGTCAGTTCTGTGTGGCAAAATCGCTTTGCTATATTTCCATTCCACTTCTCACTCTTTTCCCACTGATTGTTTTGATTGTTTACAATTTATCTATTTATCTTTTTTTTTTTTCGGAGTTAACCAAGCAACTGACTGAATTTAGTCTAAAGTCCTCAAAGAGGTACCATGAGCCTAGGATTAGTGTATTGAGGTCATGGTGTGGCAATTGACAGAATGATAAATGAGACATAACTTAGTTTAAGTCTCAACATTCATCACACATTTCTCTAGTTCCTCTCATGGAAACTACTAAATCGTTTCATATTTGGAAAAAAAAAAGTCTATCTTCTCATATGAACCTTAAACTCTTTTGATCCATCAGTGACACTCCAATGTATTTAAAATAGAATTCCAAATACTTAATATGCCCTACAAGGCAATATATCAAATGATTCTGATCAACCTACTTAAATCATACTATTCTCAGCCTCTCTCCTATGCAACAACACTGGACTAGGAGATAGTTAGCATTCAGTAAATATCTATTATATATTTAATGAAAAAATAAATAAAAGTAGCATAATTAGTGAAAAATTCTGTGTGATGTATGGAACATACCTGCATATATATTTATTAAATTTCATAGGGATGACTTCAAAGATACTTCACCTTATTTGGCAAAATCTTCAGACACTAAACTTACTATAAAATTAAGCAACTGAAGCTGAATTGTAAACATAATTGCAAAATTAAGGTTATTTTATTAATATTTTTATTTTTAGATAATTTTAGATTTGCAAACAATTTAAAGAGTTAATGCAGTGAGATCCTGTGTATATTTTACTCAGCTTCTGCAATGTAATGCCTTGAAAAACTGTGTATGATATTACAATCAGAATATTGACAGAGATGCAATCAAAATGAAAGCTTTTCCATCATGACAAGAATTTCTCTCATTGCTTTGTATACAGACTCTCGTTTCTCACGTGTTTCCAGCACCTTCTTAACCCATGGCAGTCACTAATATGTTCCCCATTTGTATAATTTTATCATTTCAAGAATGTTATATAAATGGAACTATGCAATATGTAACCTTTTGGATTGCATTTTTTTTCCCACTCAGCATGATTCTATGGAGATTCACTGAGGTTGTTGTGTACATCAGTTGCTTATTCCTTTTCTGTTTTTGAGTGGTGTTCCCTGGTATTGATATACTGCTGTTTGTTTAACCGTCCACCATTAAAGACATCTGGGTTGTTTCCAGTTTGAAGCTGTTATAAATAATGCTGCTATAAACATTCATGAACAGGTTTTTGTGTATCTTTGTTTCTCTATAGCAGAAGCACAGGAGTGCAGTTGCTGGGTTCCATGGTAGATGCATGTTTAGTCTTTTTGCTTGTTTATTGTTATTTTTGTCTTTGTTTAAATAAACTCTCAAGGCTGGTCTGAAGGTGGTGAGTTATTTCAAGTGATTGTTCACAGTCAGTTACAGATTGAACTCCTTGTTCTACTCTCTCCCCTTGTCTTACTACTGCACTTGACTAGTCATAATAAATAAATAAATAAACTACCAAACTATTTTTTTCCGTAGTAGCTGTATCATTTTACATTCCTACCAGCAAAGTATGAGAGATCCAGTTGTTCCATAGCCTCTTCAGCATTTCATGTCTCACTATTTTTTATCTCATAGGTATGTAGTGATAGCTCACACATGGTTTTAATTTGCATTTGCCTAATGGCTACTGAAGTTGAATATATTTTTATGTGGTAATCTGCCATTGTCTATATGTCTTCTTTGTTGAAATGTTTCTTCATGTCTTTTGCCAATATTCGAATTGCTTTGTTTGCTCCTACAATTTAGTTTTGAGAGTCCTTTCTATATTATAGACACTAGTCCTTTGTGGATATGTGGTTTGCAAACATTTTCTTTCACTCTGTTGCTTGTCTTTTCGTACTCTACTGGATCTTTCACAGAGAAAAGTTTTTAAATTTGATGCAATCCAATTTATGATTTTTTCCTTTTATGACTCACAGTACTGATTTCACATCTAAGAACTTTCTGCCTAGCCCTACATCCTGAAAATTGTATACTATTTTTTCTCACTTTTATAGATTTATATCTTACATTTAAGTCTGTGATACATTTCAAGTTACATTTTCCTTAACATGAGATTAAGGTTGGGTATTCTTTGCCTTCCTGGTTTTTTTTTTATTATTATTATAGATTTTCATTTACTCCAGCACTGTTTGTTGAAAAGGTTCTTTCCTCCATTGGATCACTTTTCACTTTTGTCAAAAATTGTTTGGGGATATTTGTGTGTTTATTTCTGGGTTTTCTATTCTCTTCCACTGTTCTATGTGATATCTACCCCTCTGCCAATACCACACATTCTTTATGACTTTAGTAATATAAGAACTCTTGAAATTGAAAGAATGACACTTCCTGAAATTGGAAGAATGACACTTCATTCTTCTCTTTCAAAATTGTTTAGCTATTCCAGTCCCTTGCTTTCCATATAAATTTTGTAATTTTCTTAATCATGTCTAAAAGTCTTACTGGGATTTCCTGGAAATTGTGTTAAAACTATAAATCTGTATGTCACTTTTGGGAGAATTACTGTCTTTACTATTTTGAGTTTTCCAATCCATGAAAATGCTCTGTTTCTGCATTATTTAGATCTTTGATTTCTTTCATTGTGTGTAGTCCTCAGCATACATGTTCTGTATATGTTTTACACCTAATTATTTCCTGTACTTAAGTATTTCCTTTCTTCACATGATCGTGTTACTGTGCTTTTAATTTTTCTTTTCATATGTTCAGTGCTAATATATAAAATGGAATTTACTTTTGTATGATCAACTTGTGTCTGAATACTCATTTATTAGCAGTAGGAGAGGAGTATTTATCAGTTTTTTTGTTTTTTGTTTGTTTTGTATTCCTTGATATTATCTACATAGAAAATCATGTCATCTGCAATTAGGGACAATTATATTTCTTTCTTCTGATCTATATGACATTTATTTTATTTTCTTGCCTTTGTGAACTAACTATAACTTCTAGCAGTGAATTGAATAGAATGGTGAGACTAGACATCATTGTCTGTTGATCACAGAGGAAATTTCAGTTTTTCACCGTTAAGCACAAGGTTAACTGGAGGTTTATTGTATATTTTATTTATTTTTTTAAATTTTTGGTTAAGTTAAGAAAGTTCCCTTTATTCAAGTTTGCTGAAAGATTTTGGTTGTTTGGTATTTTCTTTTTTGTTGCTGTGTTTGAGGGTGTCATTCTGTTACCCGGACTGCAGTGCAGTGGCATGATCAAGGCTCATTGCAGTCTAGGCCTCTCAGACTCTCTTGATACTTCTACCTCAACATCCCAAGTAGATGGGACTACCAGTGCGTGCCAACACTCCCAGTTAATTGTTTCATTGTTGGTGGTGGTGGTGTTGTTTGTTTGCCTTATTTTTGTTGTTGTTGAGATAGGGTTTTACTATGTTGGCCAGGATGGTCTCCAACTCCTCGGCTCAACTGATTCATCTGCCTTGGCATCCCAAAGTACTAGGATTACAAGGATGAGGCACCACTCCCAGTATTTTTTTGGTATTTTTAAAATCATGAATGAGTGTTGAATTTTGTCAAATGCTATTTCTGAACTAATCAGTATGATCATGTAATTTTTCTTTCTTACTTAGCCTATTACTCTGATGAATTACACCACTGAAATAAATCTTTTACCCCTGAAATAAACCCTATTTGATCATGATGTATGACTTCTTATATATTGCTGAATTCTATTTGCTTATATTTTGTTGTGGATTTCTGTATCCATATCAATAAGGAATATTGACCTGTGCTTTTCTCTTTTGCACTCTTAGTCATTTTAAGGCACTGGGGTAATAGTTAGCTTCATAAAACGAATTGGAAAATGCCCTGTACTATTCTATTTTTAATAGATAAATTAAAATTGATATTAATTATTTCCTAAATGTTCAAAAGAATTCCTCAGTGAAACCATATGAGTTTGGAGAATCTTTATGGAAACTTTTAAATTATGGACTCAACTTCTTTAATAGTTATAGAACTATTCAAATTACTTATTTAATATTGAGTTAAATGTGCTTTTTTGAGAAAGTAGTCCATTTTGCTCAAGTTATCAAATTCGCATATGTAGACTTGTTTTATGTCATCACTATGCTTTTGAAATCTGCCAGAGTCAGTAATGGTAGCCATTTAAAAAACTACAGACATTAGTAATTTGTGTTCTCATTCGTTTTTAAAATCAGTCTTGCTAGAAGTTTGTCAATTTTATTGATCTTTACAGTGGACCATCTCTTTGTTTCATTAGTATTTTCCATTTATTTTTCTGTTCTTAATTTCACTGATCTTTTTGTTATTTTTTTATCTTCAAGATTCCTTTCCTTCTTCATGATTTGAGTTTAGTTTTCTCTTCTTTTTTAGTCAGTTGTCTAAAAGTTGTACAACTTACTACACTCCTTCTTTCCTGATCCTTTTATGAGAGAAGAACAGGCAGTGCTTGAGGCATTGATTTTTTCTTCCTTTTGGAATTTCCAGATTTCTGACTTCTTTAGCTGCAAGTCTGGTGCATGAGGATCACAGAAGACTCACATCTGTCTTGTTATTTGAGGCCTGCATTCCATGGCTAGTCTGTCTTCTCTCCACTTTTCAGTGTCTTCTTCTATTTGTTTGACATATGATGTTGAGGTTTTATGTTTGTCCTTAGCTGGAGATGTAAGGAAAAGTATTTCTTTTCAAAAACTGACATTGTCTTTGAAATATCTTTGACATATCTTCTTGAAAGAAGTATCTTCTATTTTTTTGTTTAATAATACAACATTTTGATCTCTGCTACATTTCATAAAACAAATGCAACTAATTAAGTACACTTCCCTTAGGTATGAAGTATGAAGTTAATTTACTATGCAGATAAAGAAGTAAATGGAACTCAATTATAATTTACAAGAAACAAAGTCAGAGTGAATTTGGTTTTTACCAGTAGTTATTTTTTATACATTAAAATAAATAAGTAAGCAAACTTGACTGGGGAAAAAAAGAAAGCTATTACCCAGGGAAGTAAGCCTACAAGTAAGCCTGCTAAAGCATTTTAAGCGAAACAAAATGGAAAATTATACTTAAATTCAGCCTGTGGAAGTTAGACTGATGCACCTTTTTGTACAAAAAGTTTATAAAGTTATTTGCTATACAAGCATGTTTTATCCAAGACTTCATGTTTTTTCCTACTACTTAAGAGATACCTACGTATTCATCTTAGTGGTCATATTTCAGTTTTGAAAGCAGTAAGAATGTTAGAATCTGTTGATGTCCATCTAAAAAAGTTTTATTTCTTATTTATCCACATTCCTTTATATATCTTTGTCTTTCAACCATGGTACTTATACATTTATAGTAGTGGTTTTAGTTATTAAAAAATGTCCATAAGGTGTTTATTTTAAAAATAATTTTCCTTTGTTTTTGTAGTATTCTCATTAAGTTTTCTAAAGTGGGTAGAGAAGGAACATATGAATATAATACTTGCTAAAAGACAACATAAATAGCAGGCACATAACTAAAGCATCTATGCCAACTGAATGAAAACCATATATATGTGTATGCATATCTATATCCAGATTTAATTATTTTACTTGAATCAGAGTAAGATTTGAGACCTGATCTGGTTCAACATTCTCTCAAGAGGTTCTTCATTCTTTTTGGCTTCATCTCATCAAAATGCATCTTGAGAATGATATTAAAATGGCAAAAGGCCAGAGTCTTTCCCCAACCAAAAATATCAGTATTCATGTAGGCCTGTAGATAAAGGTACAATTTTAATTTTTTCAAATGTCTACTGGTTGATAAGAATATTGCTTACATTCGGAATAACATTATTTAAAAATTCAAATTCATATGGGAAAGCAGTTTTGAAAGGTCTTATAATTAAAATTCCTCTCCGTATTATATAATGATGGTCTCAGGTAATAGTGTAGATGGAATACAGTAAAAGTACGCTAAACACTTGTTATTGTATCCAGGGAAGACAATAGACCAGGTAAATCTCAGAGGGAAAATGATTGCCTGTAGTAGATAATTATGTGCAAAAGGCTGCCTGTCACATAGATGATTACAACTGACAATGGAATTAGTATACTCCTCAGGCTGTGAAAAGTAGTCTGCCAATGGCTGGGCAGACTCAGTAGGAAAGTAGTATTGTACTGAAATTCATGTATCTGCCTAAGCATATTCTTATTTATTCCGTCTTTTACTCAATATACCTTAAAAATCTGTCTACACAGGATGTGGTTTCAGATGTAAAGAAAATTATAATTGTATCTCTGCCCTCAAATAGCTTAGAAACTTTTGTGACTTGGACTGTATACCATATAGAATAGCACATGGGAAGATACATAAGATTAAAAGAAAACACATAAATAATGTAGGCAAAAAAAATTCTGAAAGGAAAATGAGACCTTACTGGAGCCAATAATATTTAGGATAAATGACAATTACAATGCATAGAAGTCAGATGTGCAAAAATAAGCAGGTAAGCAATCCAGGTAGTATGGTTCTCAGCCTCGGCACTATTGACATAGTGGAAAATTAATTATTCATTGTGGGAACTGTTTTATGTCTCCAGACATTGAAAAACTGGCTCCAGGTGTTAGAGTTGCCAGATTTCACAAGTAAAGTTAAGTAGTTTAGCAAATAAAAAATAAAACACCACTTAAATTTGAAATTCAGACAAACAACAAAAATAACTTAGCACAATTATGTCCCATATTAACCATTGTCTGAAAATCAAAGTTAACTTGCCTGGCTGTAATTTATCTGTCAGTTCTAACTGGAAGATTAAGTCACCAGTGGCTGGAAACCACTGAGTTAGAGGAAAAGCAAGACCGGATTTCACAGTGGGAATTCGCTAGTTGTGTTTGAGGAACAATGAATTGACAAGGTTTCAGCATAACTTTTTAAACAAGTGTGTATCTCGTATGTACCTGCCTAGGATTGTTCTTGGTAGAGGGCAAAGAGTAGGGAATAGAAAATACAAAAATTTCCCTGCATGGTGGGAATTACGTTAAAGTAAGGTGAAGACAGTAAACACAAAGCTGAGTAAATTATGACTTACTGGTCAGTATAAACCAGATTTTGTTGCTACAGGATCAAACAACCCCCAAAATTTCTATGACTAAGAACAGCAAACATACATTTTGTTGTTGTTTGCTTGCTTGTTTACTTTTTCCCTGTTCCTATGTTTCATGTCCATCATGACGATTAGCTGTAACCATGCTTCACATCGCCTTCACTCCAGCTCCGAGGTTGCCAGAGAAGTCTCCCTCTGCAACATTTCTGCTTTTCTTGGGTTAGGAAAATCAGAGTGCAGCAAAACATAGGCTGACTCTTAAAGGTTTCACTCAGATTTCATTAACCAATGCAACCACATTGCCCTAAGTAGAGGGTGAATGTGTAAACCCCCCACCAGTAAGTGTAAAAACTATAAAATGTTAAAAACATGTATTAAGTTAAGAATCACGATATCTTAGATTTGTTTCCCACAAAAAGGAGCATGAGATATGGAGTTGGATTTAGGTAGTTTTTATAATATGTTACTCCAGAAAATTAGAATCAGGCTGTGTGGCGAGTGAGACAGAGAAGGAGGAAAGAACTATTATGAGAGCACCCTACAGAGTCCACTGTGCTGCTTTGGGTAAGGGGGGTTTGTATTGTCTTTACTGGCACTTCCCGAGTAGCATCAAGAATATTTATTGGGGATTGTCTACTAAGAAAGACAGAATGCTAGAGCATTTCTCCACTAGCTCTGTTCCCCAGTGAGTGGCACCAAATAAGAGGGGAGGAATACCATCTACCATGTATGGAGTTTCTGATTCAGGCTGGTAAGTGATACTAAGATAAAGGGAAAACAAAACAAAGGAGCAGAATAGGAATGAATATATAACAAAGGTAGTGGACACTTGATTTTTATAATATTTGTTGGATGGTTAGGAGAGGTGACATTTGAGGAAAATTCTGAAAGCAATGCAAGAGATCTTCATGGATATATCGGGGGAAAAAGAATCCAGGCGGAGTAATAGCAGTTATAAAGAGCCTACCGCAGTGCACATGGGACACTAAGGCAACTGGAGCTGGAAAGCTGCCAGGGAGAAGGACAGTTGTAAAATACTAGGTCAAAAAGACAATAAGGACTGGGAGATCATGTAGATCCATGTAGGCCATTGAAAAGATTTAGGATATACTCCAAGTGAAACTGGGAGCCATTGGAAAATTTAAAACGGAGAAGTGACATTAACTATTTTTAAAAGAATACTCTTGCTGCTGTACTGAAATACACTGTAAGAGGGCAAGATCAAAAGCAGAGAAACTAGTTCAAAGGCAAGGACAATAACAGAAGTGAGGATCACACATTCAAAGAAGGTGGTAGCAACAGAAGCAGTGGAAAGTCTATCATCTGGATAGATTATGAAAATACAAGGTTTGGTTTTGCTGATGAATCTGTGTGTGATGTTAGATAAAGAAAATAATCAACCTAAGCAATCCACAAGTTAAAGTTCCCATTGAATTTAAGAAAACCTCAGAAGGTTTAGGAGTTGAGAATAAGAGGCTTTTGCCCTGGTCATGCTGAGTTTGAGATGATTACCAGACATCTAAAGGGAGAAGTTTTATAAGCATTTGAAAATGAAGAGAGATTCAAGCAAGAAGAATAAAATGTGGAACTTCAGTGTGTTAATTGAGTTTTAATTCATGAGATTCAGTGAAATGATAAAAAGAGTAAGGTAAGAAAGGCATAATTTTTTTTTTATCTTTTGATTCCCCTGGAGAAACAAACTTTATCTTGACTATTGTATGTGTCCACCAAAAGCTAAAAATAATTGTTCTAGAAACACACAAAAATCGGCTGTTTCTATACCAGTACTATTCTGTATTATAATATTTGCTTCAGAGAATAGGGAAAGATAATCTGTGTGAATTATGCCAAAGATAAAAAGTATGTTCACATAAATCACTGTGATTGATGTTTTAAAACTTTATTTTTTATTTCAAATTTATAATACTTTTATTATGGGGAGACAATTCTCCATAGATCTCTTACATTTTGGCACATCTTTTGAATGGACTGCCATTCTTTTGGTTTATCTTTTTTAATATGATTATATAGCAAAAAATCTTGAAATTCTGCTACAGTGTGTCTCTCCTGAGCAAAGATCAGGCATGCTTTATTGCACGTTTTAATAGCTTCAAGCTCCTCAGATCTGAATTCCCCTCAGATAATGCAACACACTCTAGGTCCAGATTGTACCTGGTTCTTCTTGCATTGCCTTGCATAATCAGGGCCTTAGGAAACTAGAGCAAAACAATCCTGATACACTGGCTATTGCTTTTACTGAGGACTGAAGTCCTTTGTCTCTGACCCAGGATACTCATGTCGTCTGCTAGTATCTATGAAACTGTGGCTAGTTACCTTGGCAAGTTGTACTCTGAGTCAATATCTCATACTTTTTACAGTTCTTAACAGTTGCCCACTTTGCTTCTCAGTGATCTGATATGTCTCTAAGAAGCTGCAGCTAAATGTCATATCCTCTTCACTCACCCTCAAGATTCAGATGCTTTGGAGATATCTGCTATTGAGAATATATATCTTTCGAGGCCCCAGAGCAGAAACTCTGAATAAAGGTTAGAATTCTTCAGACCTCTCTAATCCCAGCCCTACCTCCCTTCCCCAGGTGTCAGGATCTGTGACCCTGAGCTCTGCTACCATGCTACAAGATTATTCAAAAGCCCATGAATATCTCCCCCTCTTTTCTGTGGTTTACTTTTGACCTGCAACCCCAGAAGCAAAGAAGACATTGAGGTGCAGAAGGCCATCCATAGCTCAATCTTCTAAGCAGTTTTCTGCAGTAGAACCTATTTTTAGCCACCGCATACCCATTAACATCAGGATCATGTTCGAAAACCTCTAAGGCTTCTGAAATTGACCTGCTAACCTGCCATATCTCTCAACAGTCTAAATATTACCATATGTGTATCCCTTCCTGGTTAGACTGAAGCTGCCTTTTTTATGCCAAAGGACTGAGCTGAGGGAGTAGTAAATGTTACCAAAAATGAGGCTGCCACAAAGATACTTATGGTGGGGGTTTCTCTGAAATGGAATTGGTAGTGAGTAGCCTCCTTCCTGCAGTACACCAGGCCAAATGACCATCTCTATAATACTGTGCAGAAGAACCATGCCTTGGTGGTAAATTGGATTAGAGGACCTCTGAGGCTTCTTATAATGCTCCTGAATCCTGAAAGCCTTTGTATGCAGTTACTCCCACACACAATGCATACACATGAAAAAATACACTTCTACTCACAAAATCCAAATCAATTGTTTCTTATAAATTGTGTGTGTTTGAATGTGTGTTGATTTTGTCTCACCAATAACTTGAAATTCATATCTTAGAATATTCTAGCATTTTATGAAAGTCGCAAGCTTAAACACTAGTCCTGGCATCACTTATTAATAGCCATGAAGTTGATAAAAGTTTCACTTTACCAAACAGTTTGCCAAAACTGTGATGTTTAAGATAAATAGTATTTACAGAGGTGGACACAAATACATCATTCTTACTACAGTAACTTTAAGAGCAACAAACTATATCTAATTTATATTAAAGTTTCAAAGTATCTAGAAATGTGAGGGTAACATCATAGGCTTGTTAATGTCTGCTAAATTAATAGAATGTAGTTTTCTCAAAAAAGGAAAATAGTTTGTAAATAAAATTCAAAATAAAAATAATATAAAAATGACTGTAATAAAAGACATTAATAAAAATAATAAAAATAAAATGAAGCAATGTAACAATGATAATGCTAAAGATAAAGCAATCAAAATAAATATTTTATTTCCTATATTATTATAAAACTAATATGGCATTTATATCATAGATTAGACTATCAAGAGTTGTAATAAAGTACCGTTATTTTTAAAGTAATCATAAATAATTAGGTTATTTTGCCAATTACCTAGGTTGTTGGTTATAATAACCCAATAAACTAGGTTATTTCCCCAATAACGAGGTTGTTTCCCGAGTGGGGAGATCCAAAGGATCTAAGGATCTAGAGACAACTTTTGTAGGTTAAATAGTGTCTCTCCAAAATTAAAGTCCACTGGGAACCTCAGAATATGATCTTATT
Organism: Homo sapiens; assembly: GCF_000001405.40. Lineage (NCBI taxonomy): Eukaryota > Metazoa > Chordata > Mammalia > Primates > Hominidae > Homo > Homo sapiens. Next base: position 113,960,650 of record NC_000008.11, read on the forward strand.
TGTAAATAGTGTCTTGACAGGTATAAATAGTTAAGATGAGATTATGCTGAATTAGAGTGGGCACTAAGTGCAATAACTGGTATCCTTAGAAGAAGGTAATGTAAAGACACATGGAGATACATGGAGGGGATGCTATGAAAATGAAGGCAAAGACTGCAGTGATCAATGTACAATCCAAGGAATATCAAGGATTGCTGGCAACCACCAGAAGCTAGGAGAGAAACAAGAAACGGATTTCCCTTCAGAGCCTCCAGAAAGAACCAACCTGCCAACATGTTCATTTCCAAATTTGGCCTCTGCTATGGACATTTTGTGTTTCTCCAAAAGTCATTTGTTGAATTCCTAACCACCCATGCTTATAGTATTAGGAGGTGGGGCATTTGGGCGTTAACCAGGTCATGAGGATGGAGCCGTTATGAAGGGAATTAGTGCCTTTATAGAAGGAAACTTAGAAAGCTCTATTGCTCTTTCTCTTGTGTGAGGATAAAATAAGAAGGCTGCAGTCTGTGACTCAAAAGAGGGCACTCACCAGGAAGTAACCATGTTGGCACCCTACTCAGGGACTTCCAGCCCCCTGAACTCTGACAGAATAAATTTGTGGTTTGTTTTGTTTTGATTAGGTGATAATTTCACTTTTCTTCATAAAATTAGTCCATTTTCCTTTTTTGCAGTCTCTACTTAAATTTTTTTTTTTTTTTTTTTTTTTTTTTTTTTTTGAGACGGAGTCTCGCTCTGTCGCGCAGGCTGGAGTGCAGTGGTGCAATCTTGGCGCACTGCAAGCTCCGCCTCCCGGGTTCACGCCATTCTCCTGCCTCAGACTCCCGAGTAGCTGGGACTACAGGCACCTGCCACCATGCCCGGCTAATTTTCTTTTGTATTTTTATAGTAGAGACGGGTTTTCACCGTGTTAGCCAGGATGATCTGGATATCCTGATCTCGTCATCCACCCGCCTCGGCCCCCTAAAGTGCTGGAATTACAGGCGTGAGCCACCACGCACGGCCTATTTTAATTTTTTAATGTTTTATTTCAATAGTTTTTGGGGAACAGGTGGTTTTTGGTTACACGGATAAGTTCTGTAGTGGTAATTTCTGGTATTTACTGGTAATTTCTGGTATTTCTGGTAATTTCTGGTATAATTAGTGGTAATTTTGGTGCACAAAAATTTCTGGTATTTTAAGCCACATAGTTTGAAGCACTTTGTTCAAGAAGTCCTGGGAAACTAATATACACACTAAAAGAAAAAAATAGAATTGGCATTTTGGAAAAATAGTCATTAAACTAGCAATTTGATAACACGACAAAAACTCTAATTAGTACGCAATATGTATGTCAGAATTTGAATTTTCTAATATAGACAGAACTGTACAGTGTTATATTTTCAATTACATAAACACTTGTCATTGAAGAAGAGTCCATTATCTCTCCTGTGTTTGAGCTTGTCATTTATTTTTATGCATTATCATCTTCATCATCAAATTTGCACTGTTATCATTATCATTGTATCCATTATAATCATCTTCAACAAAACTATAAACAAATATCGAACTATTTAAGCACTTCATTTAGTTTAGCATAATTTTAGATGTATGATCCCTGTCATAAAGGACATAAAGAGCAACCAAATATTGAATACACACACAAATAACAGAGAGTGCACTTTTCTTTCTTAAACCCATTTGTAGCAAACATCATTACAAAGAAATGTTCTTCTTAACCAAGTTATTTCTACCATAGGCAGATGGCCAATATTGAGTGAACTACAATAATGTGATTGCATCGAATCCTCTACAATGAATCAAATTACAGTGTGGATAATTCCTGTGGTCTCAATCCCAGAAACAGCCATTATCAAAACAAAATATAAGTGTAATTTGCATTACCAGAGTGAGTCAAGTGAGTCCAAGCCCAAAAAGTTTGAGACCAAAGAAATTGAAACAGAGATATTATTTTTCTAATTTCTCTATTACCCATTTTCAATTTATATATATTCTAAATCTCAAATATTGTCATCCCCTTCCCCTAAGGCCTCTTACAACTTTAAACCACTCATTGAAACTAAATGTTCAGGATTTTGCCGACAGAGAGAAAGAGAGAGAGAGAGAGAGAGAAACTTGGCAGTGAAAGAAGGGAAAAATAAGAGAAGATGGAAGAAGAGTGAGACGGAAAGTGTGACAAGAAAAGCATTAAATTATTTTTCCAGTTTATTGCATAGGGATATAAAGATGACAGTAAACATTTCCCTTTTTCCTCTGCTGAGTTCAAAGTATTTTTTTTTCTCACTAATGAATTAGAAAAACTGGGCATCAATTCAAATTTTTCTCAAATTCTGCTGACTGGAAATTTGATATCAAATAAAATATTCATTATAAGATAAGCCTATAACAACACAACAGAGTCGAAGTACTGCATTTCATCATAATGGAATTTTACCTCTATCAGTCTCCTCAACATTTTAGTGGATTATAGAAGTATTTGAAATTCAGAGAATTTTTGTTTAAAATTATGTGATGATGACACATTTGTACCAGTCAGTAAGCACTTATTGTATTTATAAAATAAATAAACTGCATTACCATTATAATGTAATTGCCATAAATTATTTTTAATGTGAAACATGTAATTCTGTAGTCTAATCTAAAATAGTGTTTATTAGTGACTTAGTGTAAGGAGTGATGTTCATAATTTAGCTTTTTTTTAAGATAAGAAATGGGACATTTTCAGAACAAGTGATGCATAGAAGGCCCATTGAAGCATAAATTTTTGTCAGAAATTTACATTTCCAAAATTATTCTTAGGAGATTTTTTTCTTCCCAGGATATCTGAGCAGGTCAAGACTATTCACATTCTGGGATGGGAGACCTAAAGAGTCCTTTAGGACTCTTGAAACCTATTCGAGAATTGGGTGATGTTCTAGACTTCCTTGAAGTTCTGCTAAGACAGCAATGTTTAGAAATAAGGTCCCATCACAAATTCCGTTTCTCATGATGTATGTTTGATAGGCATGGTCTTTCCTGTTTTTGTGAGAACAGAGGTCTTTCACAAAAGCTTAGGCAGTGTAAGTGTTCTGTTTCTTACAAAATGTGCAGTTTATTTTTTCTTAAAGTAGATACACTAGAATCTTGATGTGATTTTGTAAAAATTATCATCAAAAGTTATAATTTTTATTTCTATTTTTATCTAGAAGCGAGGTGGCATTAAATACAGAGTGAGAGGAAGCTTTAAGCTAAAAAGAATTGCATAAGGGTCTCCTACCAGAATTAGAAACATATATTTTAGCCCCAACCTAAGAGAACACCCTAATAATAATAATAGCCATGTCTAATAAAGTAACCTTAGAGGTAATAGTACATTTTTAAATCTATTTTTGTTTAATCAGCATAGTGCCACTATTGACATAGGCATCGTAATCCGTATTTTACTTGTGAGAAAACTGGCTTAAGGTCTCCTATCCAAATAAACAAAACTCATCATCTGGAATTAGAAATTCTCAGTCTAAGTACTTTGCTACATCCAAAAAAAATTTAAAAAGTCCATGGTACTAACATGAATTGCCTGTCCTAGTGCAGACCCTGAACATTGAATATTCAAAAAATGATTTGCCAATTTTAAGCCATAAAATGCATTATTACTAACTGGTCATGATGCTGTCCAAGAAATCACTAAACTTATTCTTGCAGTCTAACTGGGACTTTGTACCCTTTGATCAACATCTTCCCTTTCTCCATCCCTCCTTCTCCTACCCAGCCTCTGGTAACCACCTTTCAATTCTGTTTTTATGAGATTGACTTTTGTACGTTATACATAAAAGTGAGGTCATACAGTATTTCTCATTGGTGCCTAGCTTATTTAACTTGGCATTATATTTCAAAATCGCTAAAATAATAGATTTTTAATGTTCTCACCACAAAAATAAGTTGGTGAGATGGTGGATATGTTAATTAGCTTGACTGGATCTTTTTACAACGTAACACATAGATCAAAACATCACATTGTACCCCATAAATATACGCAATTAGTACTTGTCTATTAAAATGAGCTAAGTAAATAAACTACTGTCTAGTAAGGAGAGCAAATATCTGACAGTACAGTGAAATAAGCATATAATGCAAACAAAAGTCTTATCAGAGCACAAAGGAGAGATGTTAAATCCAAACCAGAAGCTCCCCAGAGAGAATGCAATTGGCTGAGGATTTGCATTCCCTAAAAATTTCTGTGGTGAAATCTTAACCCCGCAAGGTGATGGTATTAGAAGGTGAGGACTTGGGGAGGTAATTAAGTCATGAGGGTGGATTCCTCATGAAAGGGACTAGCACTCTTATAAAAGGGACTCTGAAGTATTCTTTTGTTCTCCTGCCACCATAAGAGAACACAACAAGAAGTAGGCAGTCTACAAACCAGGAAGGAAGCCCCTACCACACCCTGACTATATTCACACTTAGATCTTGGACTTCCAGACCCAAAGCTGTGAGAAATATATTTCTGTTTATTAAAAAAAAAAAAAATGACCTGCCGTTATGGTGTGATTTCCGAAAAAAAATCCTTTTGTGGTTCTGTTCTTTTATCAGACTGAAAACAACTGTCACTGATCTTGCAATTGCTCAGATATTTAAAAGCAAGGTCATTAACGTGAAATTTTGCATTACTGTAAAGCTCTTTGGACAAACCTATCTCAAAATCTTATTTCTTCTCCTTTCGTGCCCTGGTATTATCTGTGTAAATACTGTATCTGCTTGTCTAATTAGAGAAGTGCCCTGAAAGCACAGCCTATTTTATTTCTTTTGTATTCCTGCATCAATGCCTAGACTAATACACATTTTTAAGAAGTCTTCTGAGAATAGTAAGGGGACTTTATAGAGGGGGCTGCTCCCTTTTCTAATAAGTCTTCACATTTTGAGTAATAAAAGCATATATTTTTGCACAAGATTTTGGTGGTGGTTCCTTGGGCAACAATCGGGGGTTTTTCTAACAAAGGAGATCTCTTTCTAGTGGGCATAGAGGCAAACACATTACTCATCATGAAGACAGATAACTAATATATATTGAGCACTTCTAGAAGGCAGAAATATGATAGGCAAACTTAACCCTCACAGCAATCCTAAAGTGTATTTTCTTACCTCCATTTTGTGTATGAACATAACAGAGTTAATAAGGTTTGTGAAACTCTTCCAAAGTACTCCCCTTTTAAGTAGCAGAGACAAGACTAGAAACTAATATTTTTTATTTCAAGTATCTGCTTTCATCCATTATAGTAAGGTACATGAAGTGGTCTTCAGACCAGAGGCTTCTGGCTTCCATGATTATCGTTTATAGTTTGAAAGTCAGATCAGTCTCTTGAAAGCGGCCATGTCTTTGCAGCAATAGGGATTTGTACAAGGGAGCATGAGCAGCAGTGAAAGTGATGAGTTATCAGATAAATCTGTAGCAAGCTGACTGAAAAATGGGAGTGAAGGTTGAGAGGGCTTCTACTGAGCAGACAATGGAGGACTTGCCCTCCAGGCAGAGATAATGCCGTGAGTAAGGGCTTAGAACTTTCAAGTGTGTGTTGTGATGAAGCAAAACAAAACAAGCAAACAAAAAATAAAACACAAATTTCTCTGAGTGGTGACAAAAGGAAAGTTTCAGAAAATGAACAAGGTCCAAGGAGTATGCTTCTGTTTCAGAAGGGGGAATGTATATTTGAGGAATTAAAGAAATGAAGAAGTGAAAGAGATGGAATACATTCTGGAGATGCTTTTATTGTATGGGGCTAGGAATTTAGCAGTGGCTTTATAGAAAAAGTGTCACATTACTTGTATACAATAAGATGAATAATATGTTAACAGTTAAAATGATTAAATTCTAAGTGTTAATAGATTTCTTTAGATGATTTTTCTCAGAATTTTGTAAGTTTAAATGCATGGTGCAAGTTTAACAACTGTACAGAAATAGATTTTGCTTTTGTAATTATATAAGTTTTGAAAACGAAGGTTATAGCACAGAAATGTATAGAAACTAATTAACAGCTCACCATCTAGAATGAACAAATATTCATTTGGCTTTTAAATTTTATACTTTTTTTTTAACACAAGAAAAAATACTACAGATAAGCTCATTGTTCCTTTTCTCTATTCTTTCATACCATTTCTCCTCAGTCCTTAGAGGCAGCTTTGGAACTAATATCATTATCACTGGATGTGTTTGGGTTATTTTTTTTTTTTGTCTTTTTTAAAATTTATAATACTATTACACATATGCATTAATACACAAAATATATTGTTGTTTTGTTACCTTAAAAATATGCGATAAACACAGGATATTTACTTCTTCCCCTTTCATCTCTTTTCTACCAAATGCCTTTAAATCATAAACCCTCTTTTGACTTTTTTTGGAATAAAGAAAACTAGGGACAAGAAGATTTTCTGGCAATAAAGATACTTCCTTTAATTAAGGATTAAGAGAAAAAATCTCAGAAAGTACAGTGTGAAAGAAAAATGTTCTATATTTACAATGATATGAGTCAAAAATATTTAGCCAACAACCAATCTTATATAAGTTAGATAAAGACCAAATTATGATATTTCCATGTTAAGTTAGGGTGAATCTAAAACATAATATGTAGATTAAGGTCAAACCAAAATAAGACTATTCTTTTTCAAGTCTACCGAATGAGTTAATTTATTAAAATATATTAATATGAGCTTTATAAACACCTGAAATCACATTTTTTTGAATTTAGAAAACACACATATCTTTAAGTGAAGTGCCTGATGGCCGTGGGTATATACTGTAGTTAGCAAGAGGATTAAATTCAGAAATGTTTTTATAACCTGGGTATGACCTATTCATATTAATAGTCTCTTGTTCAAAACAAGCCCTTTAATTTTTTCATCATTCCCTCAAAGGAGTTTTATATTGTTGTTTAAACCCTTAAGTAAATAGTTTGAGGAGAATTCAGAATGTGAATAAAATTCCCAGAGCTCAAGATATCTGAGCTATTAATTTAACAACTTGGAGATGCAATTCAACAAACCATGTGTGAATACCCATGTGTTCTGACATATTGAAACAGCATTTTCAATTAATTAAGGAATTATTAATTAACCCCCATTAGTACAGCTTATGGTATGTCTTTCAGGAATAAATCTCAGTGGAATTAATTTACTCCACAAATGTTTATTGGGTGCTTCCTAAGTTCTGGTCACTATTCAAGGTTTCGATGATACTACAAAAGTAATAATAATAAAAACAAAAGCAATGATAATAAACACATTTCTGTCCTTGTGGAGGTCTAAATAAAAAGACAGAAGAACAAAAAATTAAACAAACCCTTTACAAAATATTGCATAGTATATTCTTAATTGGAATATATGAACTTCTCAACCAATTCTTTACTCTCTCACTCTAGGTTTCTTTTGTTTCATGTATGAGAAAATGTTTTCAACATTTTAAATTGTATTCTTCTTCATCTCTCTCTGCTATTTTGAGCTTATTATGTGTTTTTGTGAACAAATATTTTCATACTTTCATAAAGATTAATTAATTCACTCAAATTCCATGGGTATATACTGTAGCCAAAATGTGATGTTGAATAGTTGGAAGGAAAGTATATCTATAATGTTTCAAATGATATGAATAAGTCATTGACATAAGATCATCATTAACATAATATAAGTTTTATGGCAATATTTTCCAGTGTATTTTTTTCAGAACACTATTTTTGTTAAATCCTCCTCCAAAAAAATTTCTCAAGAAAATGCTGCTCAAAATACCACTCTATAAGAAAGGTTATAATGCACAATGGTAAATTAAATCTTTAAAGTAATCATGTAAAAAATGTACAGTTTTACACTAGTATTTTTTAAATATCTTACCCTAGGGTATTTTACCCCCTTATTAGCAATTAATTTCCTAGGGAACCATTACACAAGATAACATTTTGCTGCTGCTTTATAGTAAACCCAACTTTGGGATCATTAGGGCTTTAATGATGAATGTTATTTCCATGGACACTACTAATTCCCCACAATATCCATTTTTGCCATTTTAAAAAGAAAAGAAATTGTGTGTTTTGTTGAGGAGCATCATTGCTCAGCTAGAGACTATTATTTTTGTTTAAAGACACATTTGCTTATTTTTGCCTTCTCTTTTGTGTCCTTCTGTTTGTGAAGTGGTAAAATGAATACCTACCTTAGGTTCAGTGAGCATGAGAGAATTGTCCAGCTAAATAAATGGGTTCCATTGACAACCTTATAGAAGAGAGAAGTAAACATCAATGTTCTTTGAACCATTGTATCTTTGTGTGTCCTTGTTATAGAGATTAATATTTATTCTAAATATTACAGGAATAATCTTTTGTTTTATGTTTCAGCTAGTTTTATTTTTTTCACTTCAACATTAAGCTCAACCTTTCATGCCCATATGGTGTAGATTGCTTAAAAAATTAGCTACAATTATTTTCCTTCCTATGTTCACACTCCCTTGCAATGTGACTTTGAAATTATTCCCATAAATGTCTTAATGCAGCTATATTTTGCTCTTTGACATTAAAATTACCTTTTAAATAAAAGTACATGTGGATGAATAAAACATCATCTTTATTCTTCATGCAATCATGTAACTTTAAATAAATTGTTGAAATTAGGATTTAAACAATACTATTCCTATATGCCATATACAAATAGCAGCATCCATGTACAAATATCTTTGTGAACATAAGGTTTCATTTCACTGGGATAAATGCCCAAGAGTTCAACTTTGGGTCATGTAGTAAGTTCAGTTTTAGATTTTTTGTAAACAGCCAAGCTCTTTTCCAGTGTGGCTATAATACATTCCTGTCAGTTATGTATGAGTTATCAAGTTTCTCTACATTCTTGCCATCATTTAAGTTTTTGTTGTATTTTAACCATTCTGATATGTGTGCTTTTAATTTGCATTTGATTGTGGTTTTAGCTGGAATTTCTATAATGACTGAAAATGTTGAGTATCTTTTCATATTCTTATTTGTCATCTCTGTAGTGTCTTCAGTGGATTGTATTTTTATGTCTTTTTCTCATTTTCTTATTGTATTATTGTTGTCGTCATTTAATTTGAGATTTAAGAGTTATTTAGGGGTTTGGATCATAACCGTAAAAGACACAGTCTCAAATGCCATCATTCTAAGTGTTAAATTTCTGACAAATCAATATCCCTAAAGATCAAAATTCCGAATCTCTAAAACACCATAAATCACAATCCTGAAATATTAAAATCCCAAATGTTGAAGTCCAAAAAGCCGAATTTTGGGAAAGGAATTACTGCATTTTCAGTTGTATGCGGGATGGTTACATCATGTTAATTGCATCATTTTTGGTGGAACTATTACCTTGCTGTTGCCTTTATTTGCATTTGGCAGAAAACTTAGATGAGTGAGTTGGCCATGTGATATGGCAATGACAAAAACTTCACTTTAAAAAATACATCATTTGCGGACATTGGCATTACTTCCAGCTGATGACATTCAGGATCTTTTAATGAATTAAAGCCTCATTTGCCTGAAGAATCCAGCAAAATGACTGACTAGTTTGAAAGTAATTATGTTTATGGTAGGATACGAAAACATGCCATGATACTGCTGTTCAATCACCAGTATTGGTTCCACCAAATATGTGGCCTGAATATGAATGCACATGGAATGGATTTCTAGGTACACAAAACAACATAGGAGCATGGCACAGAAGATGAGAAAATTTAAAAAGGAATGCTCGTGTTGGTCGATGTCAAATTATAGAAGAATATCAAAAAGAGCAGTGCCATGTAGAAAATAAACGTGGACATAAACTATAAAGAGAGCCATGTCCTAAATGTTCTTAGAGCTATTTAGCATGACACAAAGCTTCAACATACAGTAAATGATTGTGAAAATACGTCAGCTTTTATGTTCTATCTTTGCACAATGGCCTGTAATCAATCCCTGCAGTACACTTTTTTATATTTTGATTTGTAATTGATTAATTTTTTTACTATTATAAATTGTCAGGATTATATTTTACAATATACGATTCTAGGTATTTTTATCTTCACATTATTTCTAATATGAGAAGTACAAACTGTGGAGAGACTTTTAGAAAGTTCTAATTTGTTTTATGCATTTTTGCAAACTTAGCTCCAGGAAATTGCATTATCACAACATTGACTTTTTGTGTAAATACTGCACATGTACGTAAAAAGACTCAAACTTCTTCAATATATAAAGTGATGTCTATTTTGTTTATCTGGACTAGTGAAAGATGAAATCTCTCGAGATCTTGGCTTTTGGGGTGACTGCCTATGTGGTGGTGACCCACTGCAGTTTTTTATTGATCTCATCAAAAGGCTTAGGCTTTCATCACAGTATTTGAGATAGCCACAGTTTTAAAGCTGGGTACACACAATTAACAACCATAGTGAGGTCCATTTATACCATTCTCCTTTTGACCTATTTCTTTATGAATATGTTTAGTTTGCTTGTAACTGAGCTATCATACCCATATGACTTTCATTAGTATACCTGAGTGCTTATGATTGCCAAAAATATGTATAATTGCCTATTTTATCATGTAAAGTGGCCTAAGAAGCACTCTGTTGTTTTATGTTTTGCAAATAAATTATCTTTTAAAAATGTAAATAAATATATTTTAAAGAACTTGTAATTATTTTTCCCAGTTTGTATTTTTAGGATTTTCATCTTTTATGATTGTGATTTTCAGGATTTTAGATTTTAAGAATTCTGTTTTTTCAGGATTTTAACGCTCAGGACTATGGCATTCTGGATGTATCTTTCAGGAATTTATTTTTTCTTTTTGAGACCAAGTCTCACTCTATCACCCAGGCTGGAGTGCAGTGGTGCAATCTTGACTCACTGCAACCTCCACCTCCCGGGTTCAAGCGATTCTCCTGCCTCAGCCTCCCAAGTAGCTGGAATTACAGCCACATGCCATCATGCCCTGCTAACTTTTGTATTTTTACTAGAGATGAGGTTTCACCATGTTGGCCAGGCTGGTCTTGAACTCCTGACCTCAAGTGATCTGCCCTCCCCGGCCTCCGAAAGTGTTGGGATTACAGGCATGAGCCACTGCACCCGGCCATCTTTCAGTATTATGATTGCCTCTTATTCTTTAAACACTCTAGATACAAAGCAAGACAGTGTGGTACTTGCAGAGTGATAGATACATAGATCAATGAAACAGATATAGACTCACACAAATGTGTCTCCTTGAAAAAGGTGCAAAAGAAATTTAATGAAAGAGGGTTAGATTTTTCTACAAATTATGCTGGAGTACCTTGACCTAAACTTCACATTTTACAAAAATTAACTCAAAGTGTTTCATAAACTGAAATATATATGTAAACCTACATAACTTTTAGAAAATAAAAGCATGGAAGAAAAATTTCAGAACTTAGGAGTAGACAAAGTTCTGATTTGACATTAAAAACATGGTTCATGCAACTATAAATTTATAAATCTAACCTACTATAAAATTTTCTCTGTGAAAATTCTTGTTAGGAGAATGAATGGAGAAATAAGAGACTGGGAGAAAAATGTTGCAAATAATTCTAAGATTTTTAAGGGCAGGAATTATGTTTAGGTCTTTTCCTCACCGTCTGTCTACAAAAAGTACCTAAGTATACATAGCACACAGTAAACTTGAGTATACCTGTTGAGAGAAAACTTGCAAGTTGACTCACAGAAATATTCTCTTTCTACTTCAGTGTCAAGGAGGGCAAGTTATTGTGGAATGCAAAGAGAAAAGTTCAATTTGGTATTACATAATTCATGAAAGATAATGCAGAACATTTTAAGCGCACTGATTTTCTGTGGGTCTTTTTAACACAATGTTTCTGTGAAAACGATGTGCATTGTTTACCATGAATGGGTCATAGTCTAATGTCCTTGTTGACAAGTGCGATTGATTGTCATGAAACTATTCTTGATGGGGCTCAGTCTCCTTGCTTTGCAGAATATGAGTGTCCTACCGCAGGATTGCTCCAAGTCAACAGGAAAAAAGTACCAATCTCCCTGAAAAGTCCTTTTAGGTATAGCCTGGCTATCAGATGTCAATACAGCTGACAAAGTGGCCAGCAAACTGCAAGTACTAGATATAACACAGTGATTATAAAAATTTACGGCTGTCCGCTAAAATGAGAATGTCTCCCATGGGTGTGAAAGTAAAATGTGAGGATTAGCTGATAAAGCATTCTGTTCTGGCTTTTTCTTTCATGAACTAAGATTACAGAGATGTGAAAATGTCATCCACAAGGTTTAACAAAATGTTCACCAAGATTTAGGGCACAAGATTGAATTTTTCAAAAATATCTTCCTTGTACAAGACAAAAATTTTAAACTACTTAGGATGAAGTTGTTAATTGGCAAGATAAACTCAGAAACTATTTAAATGCTCTTTTATTAGCATCCTACATTTTAAACAAAAATTCATATTTCAAAGTAAATATTAAGTGTGGTATAAGTATTTCTGTAATGTTAAGGATACTCCTAATTTAAAATAAGAGTAGGGCCATCATCTTATGAATCATGTCTAGAGAAATTTAGAGCTTTTGAGAAAAGTCAGGCTATCACTAAATTTTGACCTAATACTTGCATTCCTTTAAAATAAAATTTTATTTTCAGTCAATGTATTCATATTATTATTTGGAGACATGTCTTTGTCAAATAATATTTATGGATTCAATACTTTGTTATTAGAATTTTGCCTGAATATAGAGAAACTCCTGTTTAAATAGAGAAGTGGCTAATTCAGCATGCTATGTGGATCAACAGAACATATAAAAACTTCCTAGAGGTGAAAAAGACAGATAAGGAATGAATAAGAGACACATAAAATATGTTCCCTGTAATTCAAAAATTTTTCTCTTACTTCATCCTAGTACTACATTCATGAAATCAAGCTATCTTCCCAGTACCCAACTTTCTAATCCAACTATTATCTCTAATTCGACACTGTATTATCTCTCTTGATGTGTGCTGCCTAGATTTCTCTATTCTCTTGATTCCACTTACATTACTAGGGAAACTTCTCTAAAGCACAGTTCTGATCACAGTATTTACACACTCACAAATGTCTGTTATTCATTTTTGACTTTCGAGTTAAGCCATACCAATTTCACATGGTATTCAAAGTCAGTTGTTGGCTATTTGGCTCCAATTTACCACTGCGGGAGTATTTCTCACTCTTTCTCCTCACTTATCCAAGTTAATGAGATAAACCATGTATCGTGCCCACTCTTATTGCATCCTCTTTTCGCTGAAATTTTCCTGCTGCAATGCATCATTTCATTTCAAGCAAATTAAACTTGGAATTAGTATAAAACATTGGAGAAGCCCATTCTTACAATGTACTAGGAAAATATGCAATGCATGTACTGGGACATGTGTAATGTTGAAGAAAGAAAATCTCTTAAAAACAAATTTTCTTTTGCAACAATTTGCACAGGAAACTATCATTTGGATGAGTTGATTATCAGTGAGTATTGATGCTAGGATATGTGTATGTGGGAGCCTTGAAGCTTGATATGGAAATCGCTATCATACAATGGTGCATTCTCATTGCTTAAAAGTTGGATGCCCTCAGGCATGATCAAAATATGTTAATGCCGGAGGCAATCTATGTAAGAATTCAGCAACTAGAAGACTACAGACAGGAGTCATGACAGTATTGTCAGTGAAAGGGAATCTTCCTTGACTCTAGTTCCCATAACACCCACCCAGAAGATAATGATACTACGTAACTGGGATGGATATTTCAATTTCATTAGGTTTGATGAGAAATTATTTTTTCTATTCCCATAGGATATTCACCCCAACCCTTCATTATGGTTCCAAAAATTCTGTCTAGATGCCTGTTTCCCACCAGGTTCACATAAGTGGTAATGACCTCAGAGCATGCCTTAGTGCATTCTGGGAGACTGCTTCATTTCCAAGGTCACTATTTCAATAGTAGTCCCAGAATTTAGGCCATTATAAGCTTATTTGAGAATAAATTTTAGAATGATTGCTATAATTTCTATTCCGCAGGTTCAGAGCAGGATTCATTTAATAGGTTCAGAATTTTCTTATGTTTATTTTTAAAATAACTTTTACAAATCAGGTACATGACAAACATCACTATTAATATAATTGCATTTTGAATTACTCAATTAAGAAAATGGAGTATATCAAGCAAGCCAAAGTCTTTATATTATTTTACTTTTTTCATCCGTGGTTTAATAATCTTGGGATTATTCCAAATTATGCAAAGCTTAATGATAACCCTCATAAGCATCATATCAGCATGAATTAACTAACTAGAAAATTAAATTCTCAATAAAAAATGATATAGACTAGAAAGGATATATAATTAATAGAAAATAGCAACAGCAAAGAATACCCATACAAATATTTTATGTTTACCTATATTCTTTTCATTTATATGTATTTATTATTTTATCTTTAAACACTGGCAACAAATATTTTTACAATTACAGTTTTTCAAAATATTTTCAGTATTACATCATTCTAAATTAATAAAAATTAAATAAGACAGAAAAGCACAATGAAATTAATGTCAGGAATCATCAATATTTTAAAAACATAATAATAAATTTCAAGTGAAATATGTTCTTGGTATATTTTCAAAATATTTTCTGGGATTTTACAAATACCAAGGCTTAAACGTCAAGTTTTGAATTAGATTATGACAAGTTCCATTTACATATTTTATTCCTCTTACGTTTGTATAGTGCCCCTCATACTTTCAAAAATAACTTTAACCATTTCATATCCATTTTCACAAGTTTTATTCTAACCTCACAACAGATAATTCAGCAAGTGATAGCTGCAGAATATTTCAAGTCAATAACTCTTGGGGGTTGATTACAAAGAAGCAACAGTTTATTTGAATCGTCTGTCATTGAGACTTGTAAAGCAAGGAGCAAAACTCTCCTGTTTACCTCTTATCTTTCTTATTTAAGAAACTATTGTTGCAAATCAACATATATATATATATATATTCTTAAGACTTAGACATGTTATGTTGAAGGAGCTAAATTGGACAGCCTGTTTCTCAAGTATTTCCATTGGCTTGGTTCCAGTAAGAAAAAAAATATGATCTCCATGAAAATAATGACTGTTGTACACAATCTTTATAGTTGTAAGGATGGTAGGGAGGTAATAATAGATATGTTTGGTGCAAGAGATCAACAATAACTGTCAAAGGGCACATCACCTGACCCTTTACTGTATGAAAACAATAATAATAATTGTATGAAATGGGTTATTTATATTACTGCAAAATAACAACTTGGAGGGGTATCTTGTCTGATATCCTCAAAAATCTTTAAATATCTTCAAATTACATTACTGCATCCAACTATGGAGGCATGATTTCCAAGAGATACCTCAAGAAATTTTCAACCTGTTCATTGTACCAGGCTTCTCTGGAGACTAGGATAGAATATAGGCTCTAGAATATAGTCCCTGCCTCCATTAATTTGCTTATCTTTGAAATGACTTTGTCTGGATCTAACAAATGTGTTTGTTCTTAAGAATATGTTCTAATAAAAATTTTGTCTATCTATGTAAGCATGGAGTAATCCTTCATTTCCATTTTTAAAAATAAAATAGCCAACAACTATAAAACAAAGAAACACCTCAGTAATAGATTTCAGACACAAAATGTTGCTACCTCTGTGCCCGAAACAGTAAGATATTTCTTTTAGATTAATGCAGATGAAATTCAATAGGAGGCCTTTAAAGCTGACAGCATATTCTTCCTTCAACCAAAAGAGGAGTGTACCTTAACAACAAACAGAGGGCACATTTTCAACACACCACTAATAATTCTAACACTAATAGCCCATATGGTAAAGGGCTTTTTCCATAACAAACCTACGCCACAAGTAGAATCCTCCTGAAGAGACAATTACAATAATTAGACAAGTTTGTGTTTTTTTTTTCAGGATAGCATATCTTTTGACTTAAATGGAGAAAACCCTCCATATTTCTCACCTGAACCATAGCATCTGGCATAACATAGATTCTCAAAATGTCAACTGAATATATTTATTGAATAAAATCTGTTTGAAACTGTATGTCAATATAATTTTAATCCAATATTGTGAAATATTTTCAACATTGCAATAAGAGAATATAAACTAAGTAAGCTATCATAATTCTAAAAGAAAATAGTATGGTTTGGAAAGATTCTGTAGTATGAAATTAGAAGCAGGATTTTTGTTTTAAACACTGATATAAACAAGTTGCATAGACCAAAGCATAAAATTTGATAGGAAATATCTCTTAAAATTCTCATGGTAAATTAGAAAGCACTGCAATCAACCACCATCTGGTGATTGTTTATAAGATGAATTGTACAGGGATCTAGGCATTTCTATTGGGATTTAATGAGTTAGTCAGAAGGAACAAGAATGCAAAAAAAAATTCTCTACAAATATTTTAATTAGGTAGTGTTCCAATTTCATACAATAAAGGTTACTGCCAGATGAAATGATATAATACATTCAGTTCTTCCCTTAGTTTTGTTTTGCAACATGTATGACTACTACATCATTCATGTTTCATTTCCAAAGTCTTTACAGAATTTTTTTGTATGTGTATGTGAGAGTTGAGTGGGTGGGGCATTCAGAGGAATAGTTAAGGATTGTGAGATTCTACATTGAAAAATCCTGGTCAACATTAATTGATAATTATGCCCTAGAAATTAAATACATTTGTTTGGCAAAATGATAAATACGGGTTTTCAAATTTGAAAAAATTCTTTATGTTAAAATAGTGGCAATTTAAGCAAATATTAGTTTATGGAAATTTACATTTTATTTATTTCCCTTCTCTTTGTTAGAAAACAATTACCCATTTTACTTATTTAAATAATTAACAGGATAGCAGTACATTTGACTGCCTCTTTGAGTAATTTGAGCCTCTTTAATTTTATGTTTTTTCAATTCATATTAGAATCAGAAACTACATTGACCCAGAGAATAACTGGAAAATTAACAATGCTCTCTTTCACTGCCTTTGTGAGTTAATCAGTCATTATAGAATGAAGAAAAGAATACATGAAATTTTTGACAAAGTATCACAAGATGCCTTATGATAACTGGCATAAGATGTATTGAGCTTTCATGGCAATATATCAGTCAAATACATTATGCCACCAGATAGATAGGTTGATAGATAGATAGAGAGACAGACAGATAGATAGATGGCTTAAAAGGAGAAATGTATATATACGTAGCATATATACATATAGTGTGTGTGTATACATATATATGCCTTAAATGGAGAAAACCCTCCATATTTCCTATCTGAAACACAGTGAGTGACATAACATAGATTCTCAAAATGCCTACTGAATATAGTTATTGAATAAAATCTATTTGAAACTGTATGTTCAAAATAATTTTATCTATATATCTATATATTAAATATTATCTATAGTTAGATATGGTGGTATAATGTATTTGACTGATAGCTTGGCATGAAAGCTCAATATATATATATATTTATATATATGTTTCTGAGTAATATAAAGGATCTAGTAATGTGATTATATATTACATGAAGAAACTGTTCTATTTTGAAACTGCTTCTTTTACAAACTTAGCTGTTTTTACAAGTATGCCTATTTAATTTCATGGGATAACAAGAAAACATGTATATAGGTCATAGGAGGATAATGCTTAATGAAATAACAGATATAGTGGAATTAAGATTTGTATATAGAAATAATAATTCTATTATAAACTAATTGGTGATTTGAAACTATTAAATATCATTATGTGTGTATGTGTTCATTTTATTATTTCTATCTCATGATCATTTATTCACTAAATCTTAGTATTTGGCATACTGAGTGTCCTTATCCTCTCAGGAGCATCTTCCATTTCAAAGGCATGAATCATAGTGGAAAGATATCAGCATCATTGAGGCAAAATATTGAATTGGCAGTCTGGAATGAAGGTCTGAATTGGGACCAAGAAAAAAAATGTCCAGGACTATGTTCCATAATGAAATATATTATTAACTAAAACTCGTTACCTAAGATGTTTCCTTGGTCCATTTAAAAGTATTTGGAAATAATTTTTCTCTTGTACTATCTTGTAAGCCTTGTTGTTTCCTAAGTCCATGTTTAAGGATGTTCATAAATGATATAATACATATTTATGACTAACAATTTCAATTGATTTATATTTAAACAGGGATAAAGGATCTATTTCTACTTGTTTATTTTTGAAGTTACACTGGAAATAGTCACATTTTATTTTAGGTAAATCTTATGCTTTGCTGAGCATTAATGTTTCCACTAAGCCATACAAGTGCAAAACAAACAGATCTATGTGCATAGTTACACTTGTCTGATTTTAGAATTAAAGATGAACAGAGTCAGCCTAAGGCAAATTTGTGATGAAAGAGATAAAGTTGAACATCAGCTCACCTACTTCCTTCTGTTTACTTTCAGAATGTAACATCTTTTCTAAGCTTTGAGAACTCTCTATTCTTTTCTGTGCTCCCTGTCATGAAGTATGCTGAAATATTTATGGCTTATTGGGTAATTTAGTATTTGAAATGAAAGAACATAAGTAGAATAATGAATAGAGAATCTCTGTCAATTTATTCCTGTCTCCTACATTGTACACTACTAACACAAGTAATCAAACTGATAAATACCATGTCAAAGTCTGTCTTGGGAATGAGAGGTCATGAGAGTGGACTCTAGATTGTTATAAAGTTTGTATGTGTGTGTGAGAAATATTTGTTAAGGATGTCAAAGACCTAAATTTTTCCTTCTCTTATCTTCTTACAAATTGCCCTGTGGTAAAAAGCATGATAACACCAGGTCTTTATGACTGTTACTGCCCAAACTAAGTCCCTGTTACAGCATATTTCTTCACCGAAGTGGGTCTTAAACTGTGGTCTCCCTACAATTGATGGTCCTAGAAACCTTTTCAAGATATCTAGAATCTCAACCCTATTTCTATAATAATACTAATGATTATTTGCCTTTTCCACTGTGCTGACATTTGCACCGACAGAGAAAAAACAATGGTGTATAAAAATGCTGGCAGCTTAATAAAATTAAGTGAGTGCCTGAAACCGCACTCATTACCATAATGTTCTTCACTGGCAGGCAATTGTGGTTAAAATGAGGAAGAAGAGTCAGGGGTAAGATGGCCAACTAGATGCACGTGGAAACGGTCACTCCCACACAGAAAGACTGGGATTTCGACTAAATCAACAAAATTTGAACAGCTGTTGGGAGAGAAAATGCTGAATGTGGATGGAGAAAAGATATAAATGAGGCTTAAATGGGAGGCACCTGGGAATGTCTCACGGAGTGCCTGAATCTCAGGGCTGGTTCCTAGCCCTTAATAGTCCTTGAAGAAAGGGTGAATGAAAGGGCTGGGGGACTACTTACTCTTGCCATGGACCTTTGATATTCTAGCTGCAGGCGACCCCACATCCCCATGGGCGTTTGAGCTGGCAGGGGGATTTTCCCAGAAATTAAATGGAAATGGAGCTGTAGGAAGCATGGAGCCAGGAAACTTTTAGTATGGGATAGCTCTGGCGGAGCCTAGCTATAAGTGCCCACCCCCGCCTCTTCAGGGCTGCCCATCTCCCTCTGAGAGGTTCTGGCCCCAACTAGTCACTGTGCTTGCCTCCTTGCAGGACTGGGGAATGCCTGTCCTGCAGGCCCCCCTATCCATCAGTCCCATTCCGGGCTTCTGCCTGGCCACCCGCAGGAGAATGTACACAGTGCAGCCTCTACTGCTAACGTGGGCGCTTCGTTTCTACAGAGTGCATTCCATTAGCCTAGAAGTGTTTGGGGTCACCCAGTGCACCTGGAACCCCACCCTGAGGGCCTGGAGGAAATAGCCATGAGCAGATCTTGGAGCTTGAGGGCTGTAGCCTGTGGTTCAGGAGTGCCATGACAGGATCTGTGCCTGGCTCTCGATGCGGGGAAGAGCAGACACTCTTACAAAATGAGAGGGTTAAGTGGCACAGGTCCATGGGTTGGTATGGGACCTGGGCGTACCTCCCTCCACAGGGTTTGTCCAGTAAGTGTGTGACTCATCTTCTTACTGGACCTCTCCCCAGGACAGCCCTCTGGTCAGAAAGACCTAACAACAACAACAACTTTGGGGGCACAATGCCAGTGTTTAAAGATGGCTCCCCCAAAACCCAGGAGTGGGAGTATTGAGGGGATCACGTCTCTCCCGGTCACAGGGCAGTATATAGCTACAAAAGTGAGAATACACAAAAAGCCATGGCTGAGCAAGAGCTTATTTACTGCCCATTGCTTTCAAGTGCCATCTGCGGGATAGCAGCCTAAACTACAACACCAAAAAGCACTCATTCTCACCCCTGTGTAGGCAAGGGTAAGAATTCAATAACAAAGACCCTGTACATAGCCTTAGCCCTCTAAAAATTTCCAAAACAAAGCCACCTGACTAAACTCAATTTACACCACAGTTAAAGGAATACCAAACCTCCCAGATGAGAAAGAATCAGGGCAAGAACTCTGGAAATTCAAAAAGCCAGTGTCCCCTTACCTCCAAAAAAGCGCACTAGCTCCCCAGCAATGATCTATAACCAGTCTGAAATGTCTTAAATGGCAGACATGGAATTCAGAATCTGGATAACAAGAATCCTCATCAAGATCCAGGAGAAAATAGAAAGTCAATCCAAGGAAGCCAAGCAGTCCAGTAAAGTGAGTCAAGAGCTGAAAAAGGAAAAAGCCATTTTAAGAAAGGCTCAAACTGAACTTTTTGAGCTGAAAAATTTACTATAAGAATGTTGTAATACAGCCAGGCATGGTGGCTCATGCCTGTAATCCCAGCATTTTGGGAGGCTGAGGAGGGTGGATCACCTGAGGTCAGGAGTTCGAGACCATCCTGGCCAACATGGTGAAACCCCATCTCTACTAAAAATACAAAAGTTAGCCGGGCATGGTGGTGGGCACTTGTAATCTCAGCTATTTGGGAGGCTGAGGCAGGAGAATTGCTTGAACCCAGGGGGCAGATGTTGCTGTGAGCCGAGATCGAGCCACTGAACTCCAGCCTGGGCGACAGAGGGAGACTCTGTCTAAAAGAAATAATTAAAAATAAAAATAAAAAGAATGTTGTAATACAATTGGAAGTATCAACAGCCAAACAGACTAAGATGAAGAAAGAAATTCAGAGCTCAAAGACCAGTTCTTTAAATCAACTCAATATTTTTTTAATTAGAGAAACGAACGAAACCTACAAGAGATATTAATGTGGTGTCATTGTCTGGGGTAAATACCTGGGGCTTGTTGTCTCGCACCAAGAAGATTAAAGACACGAACACGCATGAGGAGTGGGTTTAGGAGAGGAGGTTTAATAGGCAAAAGAAAGAGAAAGGAGAATTCAGCTGTCTCCCTTGTGAGAGAGAGGGGCTTCCAAAAGGAAAACCCAGCCCATGGCAGACTGCATTAGAATTTATAGGCAGGCTTCAGGAGGTGGTGTCTGATTTAAGTAGGGCACAACAGATTGGTTCCATCAGGTGTGTTGTTTATATAGCTCATGGGGTAGGCTGGTCACCCCACACTAATCTTATTATGCAAATGGGCTTTCCACTTGGCTGGTGCCATATTATCTGCTCTTTACTGTACACATGGTTGGCAATGAGAAGGAAACATGGAGCTGTCATTTCAAACATGCCTTTGAACATCCCAGGTAGCCTTTCCTATTGGCACAACTGCCAGCATTCATCTGTGCAAGCTTCCAGCTTGCTTGTCTATGTCTGCAGCTTGTTTTTACAGGCTTCTCTTTGTTAGAAAAGAAAATGATTTGGGGGCTGCTTTTCATTAAAATGCGAACCTTTCTGAGGACTCCTGTACCCTCACTGTCTACCTAAGTAATTTCTTCTTAACTCATATATCAATATGGGATTATATATATAGAGATCAAATCTACAACTCACTGGCATTCCTGAGAGAAATAAAATAAGAACAAAATAAAATAAAAATGTTATTTTCCTAAGAAAATAAGCAATTTCAAAAATATATTTTGAGGATATAGTCTGTGAAAATTTCTCTAATCTTGCTAGAGTGGTTAGCGTACAAATTCAAGAAATGCAGAGAACTCTGACCAGATACTATACAAGATAACCATACCAAAGGCACATAGATATCATATTCACTAGATCAAATAGTGATCAAAGTCAATGCAGAAGAAAAAATCTTAAAGGTAGCTACAGAGAAGGAGCAGGTCACTTGCACTGGGAACCCCATCAGGCTAATAACAGACCTCTTAGCGGAAATATTACAAGCCAGAAGACATAGAAGAGATTGAGAACCTATTTTCAGAATCCCTAAAGAAAAGAAATTACAACAAAAAATTTTATCCTGCCAAACTATGCTTCACAAATAAATGAGAAATAACATCCTTTTCAGACAAGCAAATGCTAAAGGAATAGATTTCAACTAGACCAGCCTTATAAGTCCTTAAGGGAGTGCTAAACATAGAATCAAAAGGATGACACCTGCTACAACAAAAACACCCTTAAGCACATAGCCCACAAGCACTATAAAGCAACTACATAATCAAGTCTACATAATGACCAGATAACACAACATGATGACAGGATCAAAATCACATATACCAATACTAACCTTGAATGTAAATAGGCTAAATGTCCCACTTAAAGACACAAAGTAGCAGGCTGAATAAAAAGATAAGTTACTGTTATCTTCAATAGATCCATCTCTCATGTAATGACATCCACAGGCTCAAATTTAAAGAGTGGAGTAAGATCTACCATGCAAATAGAAAACAAACAAAACAAAATAAGAGTCACTAATATTATATCAAATAAAACAGACTTTAAGCCAATAAAAATTAAGAAGGATACTGAAGATCATTGCATAATATTAAAGGATATAATCCAACAAGAAGCCTTAACTCTCCTAAATATATATGCAGTCAACATTGCAGCACTCAGATTCATAAAACAAATTCTTCTTAGCCTATGAAAAGACTTAGACAACCACACAATAATAGTGGGAGACTTTAACACCACACTGAAAGTGATAGCTCTTTGAGGAAGAAAACTAAAAAAGAATCTCTAGAGTTAAATTTGACACTTGATCAGCTAGACCTAATAGACATCTACAGAATATTCCACCTAACAACCACAGGATATGCATTCTTCTAATCTGCACACAGGACATATTCTAAGATTGACCACATGCTCAGTAACAAAGCAAATATCAATGAATTTTTTAAATTGAGATCACATAAAGGATACACTTGGACCACAGTGCAAAAAAAATAGAAATCAATATCAAAAAAAGTCACTCAAAACTACACAAATACATGAAAACTAAACAACTTACACCTGAAAAACTCTTGTGTGAACATTGAAATTAAGGCAAAATTTTTTTAAAAAATCTTTGAAATTAATACAAATTAGGACACAACTTATCAAAATTTCTGGATGCAGCTAAAGCAGCGTCAAGAAGAAAGTTTATAGAAATAAACACCTTCATCAAGAAGTTAGAAAGATCTCAATTTAAATATCTAACTTTGCACCTAGCGGAACTAGAAAAAAAAGCTTGCAGAAGAAAATAATAACTAAAATTAGAGAAGAACCTAATGAAATTGAGATGCAAACATCCATACGAAAGATCAATGAAAACAAGAGTTTTTAAAAATAAGATTGATAGACCACTTGCTAGCTTAACAAAGAAAAATAAAAAGATCCAAATAAGCACAATCAGAGATGACAAAGGGATATTACAACTGATCTTGCAGAAATGCAAAAGCTCCTCAGAGAGGACTGTGTAAAACTCTATGCACAAAAATTAGAAAATCTAGAGGAAGTGGATAAATTTCTGGAAGCACACAATCTCCCAAGGTTGAACCAGGAAGAGATTAAACCAGAAAACAGAAAGATAACAACTTCTGAAATTGAATCAGTAATAAAGAGCCTACCAACCAAAAAAAAAAAAAAAAAAAAAGCCCTGGACCAGATGGATTCACAGCCAAATGCTACCAAATCTAGAAAGAAGAACTAATACCAATCCTACTGAAAATATTGAGCAGGAGGAGCAGGAGGGGCTCCTCCCTAACTCATTCTGTGAAGCCAGCATCAGCCTGATATCAAAATGTGGCAGAGATACAAAGAAAAGCAAACAAAAAAATATAAAACACCCCAGGCCAATATCCCTGATGAACATAGACACAAAATCCTCAACAAAATATTAGCAAACCGAATCCATCAGCACATTATAAAGTTAATATACCGCAATAAAGTAGGCTTTATTCCTGGGAGGTAAATCTGGTTAAATATATGCAAATCAGTATATGTGATTCACCATGTAAACAGAATTTAAAGCAAAAACCACAAGACCATTTCAATAGACACAGAAAATGCTTTTGATAAAATCTAACATCCCTTAATGAAAAAAGTCTTTAACAGATTAGAAATGGAAGGAACATACCTCAAAATAAAATAAAAAGCCATCTATGATAAACCCAAAGCCAACATCATACTGAATGGGAAAAAGCTCAAAACATTCCCCTTGAGAACTGGAACAAGAAAAAGATGACTGCTCTCTCTCACCACTCCTGTTAAACATAGAACTGAAAATACTATCTACAGCAGTCAGGCAAGAGAGAAAAAAAAAAAAAAAAGCATCCGAATAGGAAGTCAAACTATCTCTCTTCTCTGACAATATGATTCTATACCTAGAACATCCTAAAATCTCTGTATAAAAAGCCTCCTAGAACTGATAAATGACTAATAAAGTGTTAAGGTAAAAAATAAATATACAAAAATGAGTAGTATTTCTATACATCAAAAATATCCAGGCTGAAAATGAAATCAAGAACACAACCAGATTTACAATGGCCACAAAGAAAATGAAATACCTAGGAATACAGCTAACTAAGGAGGTAAAAGGTCTCTACAATGAGAAGTAAAAACTGCTGCTGAAAGAAATCAGAGATGACACAAATGAATGGAAAAATATTCCATGCTCATGGATTGGAAGAATCAGTATCATAAAAATGGCCATACTGCCCAGAGCAATTTACAGATTCAACACTATTCCTGTCACACTATCAATGTCATTCTTCAAAGAATTAGAAAAAAAAAACCTATTTTGTAATTCATATAACAGCAAAAAGTAGCCTGAATGCCAAAGCAACCCTAAACAAAAAACAAAGCATCACCTAACCTGATTTCAAACAATACTCTAAACCCACAGTAGCCAAAACAGATTTTAAAGGTACAAAATCAGACACATAGACCAATGGAACAGAATAGAAAACTCAAAAATAAAGCTGCATGCTTACCACCATCTGATCTTTGACCAGACAATAAAAAACAAGCAATGGAAAAAGGATTCCCTATTTAATAAATAGTGCTGGGATAACTGGCTAGCCATATGTAGAAGATTGAAGCTGGATCCCTACCTTTCACCACAAATAAAAATTAACTCAAAATGTATCAAATATTTAAATGTAAGTCCTCAATTTATACAAATTTGTAAATTTTTATAACATTTATAAAAATCCTGGAAGACAACTTAGGAAATACTCTTCTCAACATTGGCCTTGGCAAACAATTTTTGGCTAACTCCCCAAGAGCAAATATGACAAAAACCAAAAATAGACAAGTGGGACCTAATTAAACTAAAGAACTTCCGCATAGCATAAGAAACTATTAACAGATTAAACAGACAAACTAGAGAATGAGAAAATATATTCACAAACTATCCATCCACCAAAAGACTAATATCCAGAATATTCAAGGAACTTAAACTAATCTGCAAGCAAAAAACAAATAACCTAATTAAAAATGGGCAAAAGACATGAACAGACACTTCTCAAAAGAAGACATACAAACAGTAAACAAAAAAAATGTGCTCCATGTCACTCATCATCAGAGAAATGCAAATCAAAACCACAATGAGATACCATCTCACACCAGTCAGAATGACTATTACTAAAAAGTCGACAAACAACAGATGCTGGTGAGACTGTCGAGAAAAAAGAATGCTTATACACTATGACTGTGGGATGGAATGTAAAGTAGTTCAGCCACTGCAAAAAGCAGTTTGGAGATTTCTCAAAGAACTTAGAAACAGAATTACTATTTGACCCAGCATTCTCATTACTGGGTATATATCCAAAAGAAAACAAATATTTCTACCAAAAGGACATATGCAATTGCATGTTCATTACTGCACTATTCACAATAGCAAAGACATGGAATCAACCTGGGTGCCCATCAATGGTAGATCGGATGAAGAAAATAGATACATCTACACCATGGAATACTATGAAGCCAAAAAAAAAAAAAGAGAAATAATGTTCTTTACAGCAATATAGTTGGAGCTGGAGGTCATACACTAAAGTGAATTTATGCAGGAACAGAAAACCAAATACCCCATGTTCTCACTTATAAGTGGGAGTGAAAGATTGAACACACATGGACATAAATATGGGAACAATGGACACTGTGGACTACTAGAGAGGGGAAGGTAGGGGTTTGGAAAACTACCTGTTGGGTACTATGTTCACTATCTGGGTGGTAGAGTTCATTATTCAAATCTCAGCATTATGTAATATTTCCATGTAACAAAGCCCCATATACACCCTATATCTAAAATAAAAGTTGAAATTTTAAAAAATGAAGAAGGATAAGTAGGAGAAAGAACAAGCCAATTTAACTTAGGATTGTTCTCATGGAAAAAAAACCTAATAATTAACCTCAATCCTTGAATAAATGTGTTTTCAATATTCTGTGTTACAAAAAGACATGTATACCTGAAGTACTGTTGATGCATATGTAAAAATAATGACTCTTCAGAAAAAAAAAAAAACAAAAAAAACACTTGTTAGAGTTGTGAGCTGAATTTGCCATATTTTAGTGGAAGACCATTTTCATTTGAGAAAGTTTGGAAGAACAAACTTTGATTATTCACATTTGGGCATTTGACAAACAGCTGAAAAAAAATGAAATGAGACTGACGCTAGAGAAAAATTGCAATATGTATGGCCAATAATAAGGTTCAAGCTTTCAAGAGAAAATAAATTTGGGGGAAACTTATTTCACCATGAGATTGATAGTTTCCTAGATAGAGTCTAGGAAGAGTCTATTGATGAGATCGGAGGTGATATTAATGATTGCGATTTTCCTATCTTGTATAATGAATTTTGTGAAACTATGGCAGATCTGAATAACTTAATGAACCAATATTTTTCCTATGAGCAAATCATGATATTGCATTGCATGAAGTTAAGAGAATCAAATGGCAAGGCAAAATATTATAAAATTGCACATGAGCATACTATATTATGCTGAGTGAAATAACTAGACACAGAAAAATATTGCATGATTTCACTTATATGTGGAATGTGCAAAAATATTCAAACATACAAAGAGAACAAAACAGTGTTTATCAGGAGCAGTTGGGGGGTGGGATGGGGAGACATAGTTCAGATGATACAAAGTAGTAGATATGAATAATCTATAGATCTTACGCACAATATGAAGACTTTGGTAAATTGCATTGTATTTGGGATTCATGCTAAATGAGTAGATTTTAGCTGCTCTTTCACCAAAACAAAGAGAGAATGGATAGCTATGTGAGATGATGAATATGTGAGTTCACTTGACTATAGTAACCTTTCTGCTATTTATATGTAATCCCATAACACCATGTTGTAAACCTTAAATATGCACAATAAAAACATATTTTAAAAATAAGATTAAAAATATAGGCAATAAAATATATTTTAAAAATGATATTTAAAAAATGATCTGTTCATTCATTCATACATACTAGAATGTAATGAGAATGTAACAGAATATAAAATATTCCATAATATAGTCTGAGATTCTAAATTGCAAAAAACCTTTAAGAAATTTCTACTAGTTAAGTTTTGGTTAGTGTCAAAGAGGATATTTGATAATTATCTTTAAAAGATATTAAAATATGTCTCCTTTTCCAACTACATATCTATGTGAAGCCAGCTTATCCTCATATATTTCAACCAAAAAACACATTACCACATATTGCCATGCAGACACAGATATGAGAAACCAACTACCTTCCATTAAGCCATATGTTTCTAAAAATTGCAAAAATGTTAAACAATGCTTTTCTGACCACTACTTTATTTTAATTTAGAAAATAGTTACTTTTCATAAAAATGATTATTTATTTTACCTTACAATGGATTTATTCATATATATAGTAAGTTATAAATCAATATTTTAAAATAAGTATTTTGTTTCTAATACAATAAATATTGATAGATTGAATCTTCTGATACAAAAGTTCTGTGTGGTTCTCAAAAAATTTCAACAGCATGAAGAATGCCCCAGAATAAAAATCGTGAGGACCACAGCTTTAGTACATCCTCACCACGATAGAACCTATGAAATTTCTCTATATTTGGCCTGCCACTGAGCCAGTTTCCACCAGAAAAAAAATCTAATGAAACACTGCTTAATTGTCATTCTTCATGTATAAATTTTGTATCACTAAACATGATACTTTAAATGCAGGAAAAGTGATATTTGAAAAGTTTATCTTCTGAGTTCAGTAGATACTAATATTTGATGGTAAATGTTTATGTCTTTGATGCAGTTTTGTAAGTTTTTTTTTTAACTCTGAATAAGTCATTTAATCTTGTTGTATTTTAGTTTCCAATTATAAAAACAGCCTCTACTATTTTTTATTAAATTATTATGTCAGGAGAATTAATTAACAAATAATTGTTAAATCCTTTTTCATCTGTAGGTTCCAAAACAAGCCTAAAGGATAACAGTAACAAAATTCTATACCAGGAAAACATGTGAAAAATGAATAATGAAACTACTAACAGGATATGGAAAAGCAAAATAAAATATAAAAATTTAAAATGTTTACCATTAAGAATAATAGAGAAATATGTTTATGTGCAAAAATTAGTATAGTAATACCATTAATTATGGAAATATGATTGTGTTAGAGAGTTATGACATGAGATAAAACTAAGTAAGAAAATAATTGCCAACTAATGAATCACAAAGCATACTAATTTGCTGAGAAGAGCTGTATTTCTTATGAATGGCTGCAGCTTGCAGACTGGCAGTCCTGCAGGGTGGGATACATAGGCTCCAGCACAGACCAAAAGCAGGCACTTCAAGGGAGGGAAGGTGAGACAGAAGTGTATGCAGAATGAGTTGGCTAAATATACATACTTAACAAGTTATAAGAGGATCTATGAATAATCACAAAGGGAGAATACCCACATGGGTAGTGAGCAAACAAGCATGCTACATGTGTCCCATGTTCACTTTGGGGTAGAGATTTAATATTTAAATGCATTACTATTAAGCCCCATATGTGAAAGGTGAAGCAGAGGACATGAAGAAACTTAGTGCACCGCCTCTATAAAACTAGCTAGAATCGGTCTCTGGCCCACAGTCTGATCAGAGGAAAGCTACTGACGTGAATCACTTGTCCAATCAAAGCTGCAGATATGGCTTGTGGAACAGGTGGGTGAGTTAGTCCACTTCTGGCAGTCAGTCAGCTCTAATTGTTTCAATATTGCCTATCTCCCAACCAGTTCTTGTTTAGTTACTAGAGAAAAAGAAAAAAAATTGTGGCAGTTAAACTATAGTTTATTCTTTAAGTGCAGAAGTGCATAATTTAACCCTTGCTGGCATAGCCTTAGGTCTTGTTTATAGTTTGGTATCTATTGTCACAAAGATTCAGTTCTGTTCAGCTTATGATTCTCATATTAATGTAATATTGTATGCAAAATTTTCCAAATTTCAAGGACCATTGTTCATAAATTACTTTCCAAGAATGAGAAGCAGGAAGTCTTATTCCATGAATAATAAAATTAAACCATTCACAAAATACTAGGAAGATTTATAAAGAAACTTTTCCTTTCCCTAAAGTATATTGCAAACTTTAAGAAAATTCTCTGTTTAGAATCCACATTACAAGTAAATACCCAATGTTTATCTTGAGGGTTCTAACTTAATACAAATGTCTGTTTTTTTTTATTTTTTGAAATGTATTAATTTTTAATTTCTTTCACAGTCATAGGTATTTTAAAAGTCAGGTGTAAACCTGGCACTATTTCAAGGGCTTCTTAGAACATTGTATAATGGAAGCATATTTGCAGTGGGTCCCGCTTATCCATGGTTTTCCTAAGTTTCAGTTCCTTGAGGTAAGCCACCATCTGAAAGCACCCAATGGAAAATTACAGAAATGAACACTTCATACATGTTAAATTGTGCACCTTTCTGAGGAGCATGATGAAATCTTCAGCCATCCTTTTTATCTTGCCTAGGATATGAATCCTTCCTTTGTCCAGCATCTCCATACTGTATATGCCCCAACCCACTACTCACTTAGTCCTCTTGGTTATCAGATTGATTGTCACAGTACTTGTGTTCAAGTAACCCCTATTTCGCTTAACAATGGCACAAAAATGCAAGAGAATTGATGCTGTCAATTATGATATGCCAAGAGAAGGTGTCAAGTGCTTCCTGCAAGTGAAAATGTGAAAGTTCTTGACTTAATAAGAAAAGAAGAGAAAGTATATGCAGAGATTGCTAAGATCTGTGGTAAGAACAAATCCTCTATCTATAAAATTGTGCAGAAGGAAAAATAGATTTGTGCTAGTTTACTGTTGCACGTCAAACAGGAAAACTGATGGCCATAGTGTGTGTTGCGTTTAAAGATGGCAAAGGCATTACATTTGTGGGTGGAAGACATGAACAAAAATGTGTTCCCATTGACAGAAATCAGGTTTGGTACTATCTGCAGTTTTGGGCAACTCTGGGAGTCCTGAAATATATTCCCCATTGATAAGAGAAAACTAGTGTTTAAGTTTTTATACATCTGCCTGCAACAGGTCAGTAAGATTCTCGGAGTAAAGAGAATGATGATAATACTATCTAATATTTGTTGAGGGTCTAGGATACACAGGCTTGGTGACAGTATGTTATCTATTATCTCTAAACTTACAACAAAACAACTCTGCGAACTAGAACATATCCTCCTCTGCAATCTTGGTTGAAACAATTGGATGCAGGAAAGAGAGAATACAACACGAAGAAACATTTCAGCTGGCAGATTATTAACTGCATGATGTTCAAGTTTATGATATAGGAGTAAACTATGCCAGGCCACGACTGATGTAGATAATTTTATACAATTTGTACAATCTCTCAATTTATAATAATTAAGCAAGTTGTCTCCAAGCAGCTGTATTCCTATTTGAAAACAGCCTCTTAACCACCCACAGCAGATAAAAGAACTGAAAAGAAAACACCTTAGCAGGCCACTCAGCTGGCTGCTGAATCCTAAAATCCTAATTAAGCTAATCTTGTCTTCTAATATCTAAAATAGGTCACCTTCCTTTCTTCTGTACAAAGAAAATACCAAAAAAAAATTCCATATAATAAATTTTGCATAACTAGCAGGGAAAAAATACATTCTTACTCTTTTTCATTGTTACTTTTATTTACCTGAGTTCAGGCGCAAAGGCAAGTTATATAGATTCTGTTTAACTCAATTAGGGGAGGAAAAGGAAAACACAGAAAAGTGTTTATGCAAATGATGATCATTTAAAACAAGAACACTTTTTAGAGTTCAGAAAAAGAATGAAGAAAATAGACTAATTTCCAATTTTTTGTTTTGCTTTGCTTTTCTTCTTTATCTCCAGTTAACTCACAAGTTTAGGCTGCTAGTATATACAAGAGTAATGATGTCAACAGGTCATGTTTAGAAGGGACTCTTTTGATTATACCACACTGCCTCATGTAAATGTACTGTTTTTAGGCTAATATGGACTTCTCAAAAAATTCTGAAATATAAAATAACTATTTCATCTATCTTCTTTATACCTCTAAATGAAGAGTAGATAGCAAAACTAACATAGATTGATATAGAATGTGGCATTCAATTTAAATACGAAATTTCTCATGTTCTTTCATTCAAAATAAAATACCAACAAAAATAAAGATTAAACTTGGATATACATCAAGTATTACGCTACAAAGAATGTAAGATGAACAGCTTTTTGAAATTTTGAAGCTGATGGTCAACGTGAAGGGAGAAAACAAAGTTAATTTTTAAATTTTGTAGGTCAGTTAATTAGTAATCACTCCAATATGCTAATACCTTCATTTATCATATTTCATTAAACTTTTATTGTCTACTGTGCTAGATGTTGGGAATGTAAACGTAAAAAACCCTATACCTCAGAAAGGAGACACTATGCCAACAGTGAAATGTGTTAAGCTAATTGCTTTCCTCAGGGTAGTGTCCCATAAGGAAAAGAAGTAATGCACCTTCTTTAGTAGTAAAGTTACAAAAACATATATAGGTGTATATCCACCTGTATGTCTGTATGCCTCATATATGCATATATATTTATATAACTATGTATATGTGTATGTGTATATATGTACATACTTATATCCCTTGCCATTCTAAAGGTAATTTAAAGACTTACTCAAGCATAATGTGTACTTCTGTAATCTAGCTAAACTATTCTTGCTAAAACAAACCAGAGAGCTGTTTCTGTTGGTTGTTTTTTTTTCTTTCATATTTTACTATTCAGAATATGCTAATAGTTGAATTTCAGGTACAATTTGGATTTATTTTTAAGTGTAAAAGCCATTTTGGACAAAAATTAAAATTGAGAAAAAATAGACTCATATTCACTTTATATGAATGCAGTCGCTTCTCTCATGGTTGAAAGCTGCATTGTCCAAAGAACTTTCTGTAATAATGGAAATTTTTATTTGTGATTTCCAACAGGCAAGTACAAGACACTTGTAACTTTTGAGCAATTCAAATTGTTCTTGTGCAACTGGAAGCTGGATTTTCAACTTTATTTACTTTTCATTTGTATTTAAATAACCGCAGGTGGCTAATGGCTGCCCTATTAGACAATGCAGCTCTACAAAATTTTGTTCCTGTAGAAAACATTCTCCCATTTTATTAAATCTCTTTGCTGGCTCATCACTATCAAGTAAGTATACTATAGGATCATACATATTAAAATATTTTTTTAAATACACATTCTCCTAAATTCCAAAGACATTCTGGCTTAGCCCTATTTTCTGTCATTTTTTCTAAATCACAGTCACTCTTCCAACCCCCTCATATCTTGTTTTTTCTTCAACTAACTCCAGTTGATCTTCAATCCCCAGTACGCCACAAAATTGTCTCTTAATAAGGTAAGCAATGACAATGACTGCTAGTTTGTAAAATCCAAAGATTTTTTCTTGTCCTCATCTTACTTAACTCCTCACCTGCATTCAACGTGCTTAAACTACTCCCTCTGAATAGTCGCTTCGCTTAGCATATGTGACACAATTTCTTGGCTTTCCTTTCGATGTCACCGTGCCCTCTTTTTTATTTCTTCTGAATCTTCTTTCTCTTTTCAACTCTAATGTTAATATCCCTCAAATTTGTCTTCTTCAACTCTTATCTACTCAGTGTTCTCTCAGACTATCTTATTACTGTGATGATTAGTATCAGTTGCCATTTTGAGTGGATTGAAGAATGCCTTGATAGCTAGCTGGTAAAGTATTGTTTCTGGGTATGTGTATGAGGATGTTGCCAGAGGAGACTGACATTTAAGTCAGTACACTAGGAAAGACCCATACTCAGTATGGGTGGGTACCATCCAATCAGCTGTCATTGTGGCTAGAACAAAGCAGGTGGAAGAAGGTGGGATTTCTTTGAGGTCATTGCTCCTCTTTCTTTCCAAGTGCAATCACACAGGGCTTCATTCTCTTTCTCACATATGGGAAAGTTTTTCCTAATGTAGAGAGTTTGTAGTTGTTAAGATGCTCTTCCCACACAACTTGGAAGAGACTGCCTTTTTATTTATTCATGTCTCATCGTCTTATTGCAACAGTCACCTCAAAAGTGAAACATCCCTAGGTCAGCCAATCTAGAAGAATCCTAACTCCAACCCCTATTTTGTTGTCTTCATAGCTTACCCTATCTGCAATTATCATATTTGTTTATTCAACCCATTTGAAAATGAGGGGGGTAATAATATCAACTGTATATGATTATTTTGAAAAACAAATGTATCAATATATGCTACATGCTTAGAACAATAGCATATAGTAAATGCTTAATAAGTTTAACTATTACTTATATTATTACAGTCTCAATAGAAAGCAAACATCTCAAGACCAGAGAATATATCTAATTTTGGCGTGGAAATGTATTCTACAAATTCAGGATACTTAGCTCATGGTAGTCATTGAATAAGCATTTTTTGGATGAATGAATAAAATTGCAAGTAGCAAGAAGGATTCTTTTTTTAAAAAAATAGAGATCATTCACAGGGATGATTCAGAGATCTGAAAAACAAGATTTCTAAGAAAAAAAAGTTAAAGGAATTTTAATTATTGAACCTAGAATAAACAAGGCCAAGGGTGGTTGTGAATGGTTAAATAACTATATAAAAGCAATCACATCATTGAATTTAGTCACATAATTTCTGTTCATTTAAGTTGTGAAAAAGCCAAACTGGTAATTAAGTATCACAAGGCAAATAATAATAGTTATTTCATTGAGTTTTCACTTTTTAGCAATTTGAATTGATGTAGTTAAAATTCGTGTTGATGGAGATGACCAGCTGTTTTCCATTTCTACTGAGGATAGAAGAAATGAAAACAAATACTAAGTAAATCATGAAAATATGGGTAGCTAGAAGGAAGACATTCCTTACTGTGAAAGTTGTTGCAGCCCATTCCAATCAGTTTTAAAGAGAGCTTATAAAAACTTCTTTGTAAAACGCTCTCTATATTCTCATGTCAAGGAAAATATGGCCATATGCCTTATTTATATGGGAGGATCAAGCAGATGCTCTCTATAACCTTTTATATTAATGCACATATCTGTCAGAATTTTAAATATTTAAACATTTCCAAATATATTAGTAATTAAAATAAAATTGTAACAAAATATTTAATGTAGTCTAGAGTGCTTTGTAGAGAAAGAGTACATACTGTTTCTTTAGGCAAATAAAATTTGAGTACTCCTAAACCAATTTTTATTTCTCAGAGTAACAGATCAAACCATACGAATGTTCTTAAAAGTTCAGTACACATGTCTTAATAATTGCCTGCTTTAAGATTTTTTTAAAAAGTTTCATTAGTGAATAATGAAGTAGGCTTTATTAAAATTTATTTGCTGATTTTAAATTTT
The DNA here is from genome assembly GCF_000001405.40 of Homo sapiens. Taxonomy (NCBI): domain Eukaryota; kingdom Metazoa; phylum Chordata; class Mammalia; order Primates; family Hominidae; genus Homo; species Homo sapiens. Next base: position 113,995,879 of record NC_000008.11, read on the forward strand.
CCCCAATATTTGTCTTAATATTTTACTTGACCAGGCAAGCAGAAAAAACATATTATTTTTGAGATGAATAAAAAAGAAGCAGTTTTTCAGAGTGTTTTAATTGTATCCAAACTTCTTATAATCAAACTATATTTAAGGGTTTTATAATAACATAAATGGAAACTTAAATTCTTGTCTAGTTTTTCCTTTATTGTAGGAAATTTACTTATTAACTAAAATAAGTTTATTGTCTCACAATAGACACATAGTTAATATTTATGGATTACTCAGCATTGCCAAGTGATAGAAAGGTGATTTAACTTCAATAAGATACTGCTTGAAATATTTTGAAAAATGAAATTTTTCCAGGTATATTTTGTATAAACATGTATTGAATGATATTTTGTGAGTAAGCATTTGCAGTTATCATCACAGTGTTTTCCATTGTCTAGTGATTCATGTTATTTGAAAAATAATTATGGTCTCACCAAAATGATAAAAAAACTATAGTAACTTTTTAGCTAAGTAAAACAAAGTAGAAGTAACAAATTAAAAGCAATAGATGAAAAATAAACTGATCTGTGCCATGTGTCTTCCTTCCTTTGTATAAGAGAATTAAGAAACTTTTTGCTTGTTTTATTTTTTTGCATTTTAATAACTTTATTGAAAAGTATATCTTCTAGTAACAAACATAAGTAACATATCTGATATAGTAGGTTAGATTACCTCTGTCAACTCAAAATTAACCCTGGTATTTCCAAAATATTGAAATGTGTCAGCCATATGGAAAACTGTGGATAAGGATATCCCTTATCCACAGCACATAAGGGATATCCACAAAAACATGGTTTATACATTTGTTAATGATAATAAGTACTGTAGCCCCTTGGTTTATTGTATAGCTTTTATTCTACATGCAGAACTCCCCACTGCCCCAGCCTGATGCTTCATGGAAAGTACAGATGACCATTTTAGCTCAAACTGAAATGAAGCAACAGGTTTAATCTAAAATAGTTTTTGGGTTTTTGTTGTTGTTTTGTTTTTGCATGTTTTCTTTTCTCCTTATACACGGCTCGGTATGCTTTCAATAATTATGAGGGGACATTATTATAAATACAGAGCAAGTGATGGTAACAGATAGAATATTTTATGTCCAATTTGGTCAGCTTTAACCACCCAAGTACACTTCTAATATGTCAATCACTCATGTGGCAAACTTGATGACATCTTATTTAGGCTCCCACGCATGAGTGCAGCATTAGTTGCCCACAACCAGTTACACAATAACAGATAACTTTATACCACCTTTTCAATCACACACCTCTGGGATGTAATTATTTGTCTTTCTTTGATACAGTGTTTCTCAACTGGAAATTTTGTTTTATTGACGCCTGTGGACTATTTTTCACATCACTACTGTAGAGTGGGAGGGGGAGCTGGTTGCTACTAGTATAAAATGGGGAGGCCAGGGATGCTGCTTACTATCTTACGATGCACAGGACAGCTCCTCACAACAAGGAATTACCTACCCCACAGTGTCAACAGTGCTGAGGTTGGAGAAACCCTGCCCTAGTAGACTAAGTTATCTAAAGGACATTGAGATGATTTCTGCCACATCTGTAGAACCTAGCACTGTATCTGGCATGTCTGTTGCATCTAAAAACATCTGTTTATTAATGTTTTGCTGAAGACAGTTTAGAGAGAAGCCTTCTGTCATAATATGGTGCTAAAAAGACTATTCCCATTATATTCCAAAAACTCTACTCCACAGAAATTGCTTTATCACAAGCCCATCCTACTTACCCTTGATTAAAATTCTTCAATAGCTTCCTTTTACTTCAGGATAAAGAGTATTACAATCTGTGTACTACACTCTACTATTCTGTCTGTTCTTCATGTACACTAGTCTTCTAATTACTTGAGTGCTCAAACTAAATACGGAAGTAGTCTATGCACATTTAATATGCAGTTTGTAATTAATCTTACATGTGAGGCAGTTTTTTAAACACATGTGTTTATAAAAAAATTTCATTTAATGATGCAGCAACCTTATATGGTACTGTTATTATTTCTATCCTTAAAATGAGCAAACAGGAGCATAGAAGATGTACGTGACTTGCCCAGGGATATCCACAGCACATAAGTGGAGAAGCTCTTGAAGCAAATGTGAGGAATTAGTACATCCCAGATTGAGAGTTTCTAGAAGAAAAGACAAGATGATCCAGAGAACATAGTCAATTTGGAGAACTAAACATAATTTATTATGGTTGAGGTAAAATAGGACTTATTGCAACATGCCTCACAAATAATGCTAAAAAGATAGACATGCCACTTTATTATAGATTTTCCTTTCAAAAATCTATTCTCTTCTTCAAGACACAAATGTCTAAAGCAATAGCTACTCTATATCTATATATATATATCTCTCTATAGAATTATGTTTATGTCTATCTATTTCTATATTTAAAGTTTAAGGCCAGGCACCTCTCTTCACTTAAAAATACATGCCCTAATATGTTTAAAGATTGTAGAGAATACATCTGTGAAAATTTGCTAAAATATAAGCAATGCTGAACTATCTGGAATTCTTAGCAATCATTATCCCTATATTTTACTATGCCTCCCTCAACTCTGGAAAGTAATGCCAACTTTTTTTTTTTCTGTGGCTCTGTTTCTTTTATTAATGAGGTAATGTCAATAAATAAAAGCACCCCGATAATCATTTTAAGGAATAAAGTAATTTATACATAAATGCATGCATTAATAAATCTAAACAACATGCCATTTTGCTATTCAGTTATGATAAGAACACAGTCTATTGATTGACAAAAGTAGGCTTAAACTGTAAAATGGATTGTTTATAAATAAGAATGTTTTTGTTTCTAATTTAATAAAATCATTACTTTTTTAGTGTATAACTCTACAAAAAGTAATTGTATACAAAGAACGGAGAATATTTTTCAAGTAGTTTATTAAGCTATAAACTGAAAGAAACAGAATTTTATATAGCAACATAAATTTGTTTCAGGTTATTTTTCCTTGTTTACACTGAATAAATATTCAGCTCCAGTAGATGATTGTCCAGTAAAAGTTAAATAAAATATCAGAGAAATGACAATTCCATAAGAATTAAGTTTTCTTGTTAACTGCTCAAATATAGTAAACTTGCACTTAATTGTGATCCATTGATTAAACTACTTTGGAACTACACTTCACAGTTTTTGAAACTTAAAAATAAGGAATAATCTGGGGGAAAGAATATTTAGGAACAATTATCCAGAATATGTAACAGGCTACTCTGAAAAAAATGCATCTTCTCAGATTATCTTTTATGTCCTATGTGTCCTGAATTGTTGCTGACTACCAACTAGCACCCATTTTCTATTTTCACATACACGTAAGAGTATCCATATATTTTCACTGAGATTCCATTCTCTCCAGTAATGACCTTTGACTCCAGCTCCACGGGCAAGCTTTGATTAATTTAAGACAATTGGCATAACCTTAACTGTTTCAATCAGTATGATTTCCAGACTCTTACTTGCATAGTATTTCTTTGTTTGCATTTTATGTGTGTCGATGTGGAACCTAAAGAAAACTATTTTGCCAATATGAAAGAGGCAAGCTTAAGACACGCTAATATTGAAGAGGACAGGGAGGTAGTAAAAAGAAACTGGGCCCTTGATGACATATTTTGCTGATGAAACAAACAAAATTAATTTCTGGACTTTTCAATTCTGTTTTTAACCAATAACCACCCCCTAAGAGTTTTGTTATGTGAAGTAAAGCTTCATGACTGATATATAATGATAAAAGAATGCTTACGACTTTAGGATTTAGGAATGGATTTGTGCATACTTTCATCTTGGTTCCCTAACAATTTAGAAGGACAGCTCACCTAACAGTATAATTTTACCTATCCAGTGGCTATAAGTTATGTAAGAATTAAAGTATAACATTAAAATTAGGAAATCAAACTACAGAGATAAATTCAAGTTAGTCAATTAAATACACTAATGTGAGCAAAATACTAATACAAGCAAAATAAAACAATAAAATGCAGTGAATTATTTCTGTTGTAGAATGAGTAAGCGGTATATATATGGTGGCACACACACAGATAAAGTAAGGTTACATGCATGCGAGGTGGCTAAATAAATATGGAGTGACTTGAATTGGTCCTGTCCTGTTTTCAGTTAATCTGGGTAACTGGAGTAACCAACCAAAATGTATTTGCTAAGTCAAAGAGATCAACATAGAGAGTCCATGTTTACTAATGCCTTTACAGAGGTCCCCTGTTATCCACTCCATATGGAATACACCCCAAGACCCCCAGTGGGTGCCTGAAACTACGAATAGCATCAAATCCTTTATGCACTATGTTTTTTGTTTGTTTTATTAAGTCAAGAATAGTTACCTTTCTTCTTTTTTTTTTATTATACTTTTTAAGTTTTAGGGTACATGTGCAAATTGTGCAGGTTAGTTACATATGTATACATGTGCCATGCTGCTGCGCTGCACCCACCCACTAACTCGTCATCTAGCATTAGGTATATCTCCCAGTGCTATCCCTCCCACCTCCCCCGACCCCACCACAGTCCCCAGAGTGTGATATTCCCCTTCCTGTGTCCATGTGATCTCATTGTTCAATTCCCACCTATGAGTGAGAATATGCGGTGTTTGGTTTTTTGTTCTTGTGATAGTTTACTGAGAATGATGATTTCCAATTTCATCCATGGCCCAACAAAGGACGTGAACTCCTCATTTTTTATGGCTGCATAGTATTCCGTGGTGTATATGTGCCACATTTTCTTAATCCAGTCTATCATTGTTGGACATTTGGGTTGGTTCCAAGTCTTTGCTATTGTGAATAATGCCACAATAAACATACGTGTGCATGTGTCTTTATAGCAGCATGATTTATAGTCCTTTGGGTATATACCCAGTAATGGCATGGCTGGGTCAAATGGTATTTCTAGTTCTAGATCCCTGAGTAATCGCCACACTGACTTCCACAATGGTTGAACTAGTTTACAGTCCCACCAACAGTGTAAAAGTGTTCCTCTTTCTCCACATCCTCTCCAGCACCTGTTGTTTCCTGACTTTTTAATGATTGCCATTCTAACTGGTGTGAGATGGTATCTCATTGTGGTTTTGATTTGCATTTCTCTGATGGCCAGTGATGATGAGCATTTTTTCATGTGTTTTTTGGCTGCATAAATGTCTTCTTTTGAGAAGTCTCTGTTCATGTCCTTCGCCCACTTTTTGATGGGGTTGTTTGTTTTTTTCTTGTAAATTTGTTTGAGTTCATTGTAGATTCTGGATATTAGCCCTTTGTCAGATGAGTAGGTTGCGAAAATTCTCTCCCATTCTGTAGGTTGCCTGTTCACTCTGAGGGTAGTTTCTTTTGCTGTGCAGAAGCTCTTTAGTTTAATTAGATCCCATTTGTCAATTTTGTCTTTTGTTGCCATTGCTTTTGGTGTTTTAGACATGAAGTCCTTGCCCATGCCTATGTCCTGAATGGTAATGCCTAGGTTTTCTTCTAGGGTTTGTATGGTTTTAGGTCTAATGTTTAAGTCTTTAATCCATCTTGAATTGATTTTTGTATAAGGTGTAAGGAAGGGATCCAGTTTCAGCTTTCTACATATGGCTAGCCAGTTTTCCCAGCACCATTTATTAAATAGGGAATCCTTTCCCCATTGCTTGTTTTTCTCAGGTTTGTCAAAGATCAGATAGTTGTAGATATGCGGCGTTATTTCTGAGGGCTCTGTTCTGTTCCATTGATCTATATCTCTGTTTTGGTACCAGTACCATGCTGTTTTGGTTACTGTAGCCTTGTAGCATAGTTTGAAGTCAGGTAGTGTGATGCCTCCAGCTTTGTTCTTTTGGCTTAGGATTGCCTTGGCGATGCGGGCTCTTTTTTGGTTCCATATGACCTTTAAAGTAGTTTTTTCCAATTCTGTGAAGAAAGTCATTGGTAGCTTGATGGGGATGCCATTGAATCTGTAAATTACCTTGGGCAGTATAGCCATTTTCACGATATTGATTCTTCCTACCCATGAGCATGGAATGTTCTTCCATTTGTTTGTATCCTCTTTTATTTCCTTGAGCAGTGGTTTGTAGTTCTCCTTGAAGAGGTCCTTCACATCCCTTGTAAGTTGGATTCCTAGGTATTTTATTCTCTTTGAAGCAATTGTGAATGGGAGTTCACTCATGATTTGGCTCTCTGTTTGTCTGTTGTTTGTGTATAAGAATGCTTGTGATTTTTGTACATTGATTTTGTATCCTGAGACTTTGCTGAAGTTGCTTCTCAGCTTAAGGAGATTTGGGGCTGAGACAATGGGGTTTTCTAGATATACAATCATGTCGTCTGCAAACAGGGACAATTTGACTTCCTCTTTTCCTAGTTGAATACCCTTTATTTCCTTCTCCTGCCTAATTGCCCTGGCCAGAACTTCCAACACTATGTTGAATAGGAGTGGTGAGAGAGGGCATCCCTGTCTTGTGCCAGTTTTCAAAGGGAATGCTTCCAGTTTTTGCCCATTCAGTATGATATTGGCTGTGGGTTTGTCATAGATAGCTCTTATTATTTTGAAATACGTCCCATCAATGCCTAATTTATTGAGAGTTTTTAGCATGAAGGGTTGTTGAATTTTGTCAAAGGCTTTTTCTGCATCTATTGAGATAATCATGTGGTTTTTGTCTTTGGTTCTGTTTATATGCTGGATTACATTGATTGATTTGCGTATATTGAACCAGCCTTGCATCCCAGGGATGAAGCCCACTTGATCATGGTGGATAAGCTTTTTGATGTGCTGCTGGATTTGGTTTGACAGTATTTTATTGAGGATTTTTGCATCAATGTTCATCAAGGATATTGGTCTAAAATTTTCTTTTTGGGTTGTGTCTCTGCCCGGCTTTGGTATAAGAATGATGCTGGCCTCATAAAATGAGTTAGGGAGGATTCCCTCTTTTTCGATTGATTGGAATAGTTTCAGAAGGAATGGTACAGTTCCTCCTTGTACCTCTGGTAGAATTCAGCTGTGAATCCATCTGGTCCTGGACTCTTTTTGGTTGGTAAGCTATTGATTATTGCCACAATTTCAGCTCCTGTTATTGGTCTATTCAGAGATTCAACTTCTTCCTGGTTTAGTCTTCGGAGGGTGCATGTGTTGAGGAATTTATCCATTTCTTCTAGATTTTCTAGTTTATTTGCGTAGAGGTGTTTGTAGTATTCTCTGATGGTAGTTTGTATTTCTGTGGGATCGGTGGTGATATCCCCTTTATCATTTTTATTGCATCTATTTGATTCTTCTCTCTTTTTTTCTTTATTAGTCTTGCTAGCAGTCTATCAATTTTGTGGATCCTTTCCAAGAACCAGCTCCTGGATTCATTAATTTTTTGAAGGGTTTTTTGTGTCTCTATTTCCTTCAGTTCTGCTCTGATTTTAGTTATTTCTTGCCTTCTGCTAGCTTTTGAATGTGTTTGCTCTTGCTTTTCTAGTTCTTTTAATTGTGATGTTAGGGTGTCAATTTTGGATCTTTCCTGCTTTCTCTTGTGGGCATTTAGTGCTATAAATTTCCCTCTACACACTGCTTTGAATGCATCCCAGAGATTCTGGTATGTTGTGTCTTTGTTCTCGTTGGTTTCAAAGAACATCTTTATTTCTGCCTTCATTTCGTTATGTACCCAGTAGTCATTCAGGAGCAGGTTGTTCAGTTTCCATGTAGTTGAGCGGTTTTGAGTGAGATTCTTAATCCTGAGTTCTAGTTTGATTGCACTGTGGTCTGAGAGATAGTTTGATATAATCTCTGTTCTTTTACATTTGCTGAGGAGAGCTTTACTTCGCAGTATGTGGTCAATTTTGGAATAGGTGTGGTGTGGTGCTGAAAAAAATGTATATTCTGTTGATTTGGGGTGGAGAGTTCTGTAGATGTCTATTAGGTCCGCTTGATGCAGAGCTGAGTTCAATTCCTGGGTATCCTTGTTGACTTTCTGTCTCGTTGATCTGTCTAATGTTGACAGTGGGGTGTTAAAGTCTCCCATTATTATTGTGTGGGAGTCTAAGTCTCTTTGTATGTCTCTAAGAACTTGCTTTATGAATCTGGGTGCTCCTGTATTGGGTGCATGTATATTTAGGATAGTTAGCTCTTCTTGTTGAATTGATCCCTTTACCATTATGTAATGGCCTTCTTTGTCTCTTCTGATCTTTGTTGGTTTAAAGTCTGTTTTATCAGAGACTAGGATGGCAACCCCTGCCTTTTTTTGTTTTCCATTGGCTTGGTAGATCTTCCTCCATCCTTTTATTTTGAGCCTATGTGTGTCTCTGCACGTGAGATGGGTTTCCTGAATACAGCACACTGATGGGTCTTGACTCTTTATCCAATTTGCCAGTCTGTGTCTTTTAATTGGAGCATTTAGTCCATTTACATTTAAAGTTAATATTGTTATGTGTGAATTTGATCCTGTCATTACGATGTTAGCTGGTTATTTTGCTCGTTAGTTGATGCAGTTTCTTCCTAGTCTCGATGGTCTTTACATTTTGGCATGATTTTGCAGCGGCTGGTACTGGTTGTTCCTTTCCGTGTTTAGCGCTTCCTTCAGGAGCTCTTTTAGGGCAGGCCTGGTGTTGACAAAATCTCTCAGTATTTGCTTGTCTGTAAAGTATTTTATTTCTCCTTCACTTATGAAGCTTAGTTTGACTGGATATGAAATTCTGGGTTGAAAATTCTTTTCTTTAAGAATGTTGAATATTGGCCCCCACTCTCTTCTGGCTTGCAGGGTTTCTGCCAAGAGATCCACTGTTAGTCTGATGGGCTTCCCTTTGAGGGTAACCCGACCTTTCTCTCTGGCTGCCCTTAACATTTTTTCCTTCATTTCAACTTTGGTGAACCTGACAATTATGTGTCTTGGAGTTGCTCTTCTTGAGGAGTTTCTTTGTGGCATTCTCTGTATTTCCTGAATCTGAACTTTGGCCTGCCTTGATAGATTGGGGAAGTTCTCCTGGATAATATCCTGCAGAGTGTTTTTCAACTTGGTTCCATTCTCCCCATCACTTTCAGGTACACCAATCAGACGTAGATTTGGTCTTTTCACATAGTCCCCTATTTCTTGGAGGCTTTGCTCATTTCTTGTTATTCTTTTTTCTCTAAACTTCCCTTCTCGCTTCATTTCATTCATTTCATCTTCCATTGCTGATACCCTTTCTTCCAGTTGATCGCATCGGCTCCTGAGGCTTCTGCATTCTTCACGTAGTTCTCAAGCCTTGGTTTTCAGCTCCATCAGCTCCTTTAAGCACTTCTCTGTATTGGTTATTCTAGTTATACATTCTTCTAAATTTTTTTCAAAGTTTTCAACTTCTTTGCCTTTGGTTTGAATGTCCTCCCGTAGCTCAGAGTAATTTGATCGTCTGAAGCCTTCTTCTCTCAGCTCGTCAAAGTCATTCTCCATCCAGCTTTGTTCCGTTGCTGGTGAGGAACTGCGTTCCTTTGGAGGAGGAGAGGTGCTCTGCGTTTTAGGGTTTCCAGTTTTTCTGTTCTGTTTTTTCCCCATCTTTGTGGTTTTATCTACTTTTGGTCTTTGATGATGATGATGTACAGATGGGTTTTTGGTGTGGATGTCCTTTCTGTTTGTTAGTTTTCCTTCTAACAGACAGGACCCTCAGCTGCAGGTCTGTTGGAATACCCTGCCACGTGAGGTGTCAGTGTGCCCCTGCTGGGGGGTGCCTCCTCCCAGTTAGGCTGCTCAGGGGTCAGGGGTCAGGGACCCACTTGAGGAGGCAGTCTGCCCGTTCTCAGATCTCCAGCTGCATGCTGGGAGAACCACTGCTCTCTTCAAAGCTGTCAGACAGGGACATTTAAGTCTGCAGAGGTTACTACTGCTGTCTTTGTTTGTCTGTGCCCTGCCCCCAGAGGTGGAGCCTACACAGGCAGGCAGGCCTCCTTGAGCTGTGGTGGGCTCCACCCAGTTGGAGCTTCCCAGCTGCTTTGTTTACCTAATCAAGCCTGGGCAATGGCGGGCGGCCCTCCTCCAGCCTCGCGGCCGCCTTGCAGTTTGATCTCAGACTGCTGTGCTAGCAATCAGCGAGACTCCATGGGCATAGGACCCTCCGAGCCAGGTGCCGGATATAATCTGGTGGTGCGCCGTTTTTTAAGCCGGTCCGAAAAGCCCAATATTCGGGTGGGAGTGACCCGATTTTCCAGGTATGTCCGTCACCCCTTTCTTTGACTGGGAAAGGGAACTCCCTGACCCCTTGCGCTTCCTGAGTGAGGCAGTGCCTCGCCCTGCTTCGGCTCGCGCACGGTGAGCGCACCCACTGACCTGCGCCCACTGTCTGGCCCTCCCTAGTGAGATGAACCCGGTACCTCAGATGGAAATGCAGAAATCACCCGTCTTCTGCGTCGCTCACGCTGGGAGCTGTAGACCGGAGCTGTTCCTATTCGGCCATCCTACCTTTCTTCTTAAAGTACGCACTTTATGACTTCTCTTTGACATATCAAAATTGCCATATCCACACTACTCATGTGATTTGTGGCCATTATTAAGCAAAATAACGGTTACTTGAACATAGGCCTGCAAGAGCACAGCCATCTGAGAACCGAAATGTCTGGTCAGTGACTATTGGGCAGGAAGCATGGCCCCAAGGTGGACAGGGCTGGATGCCACGAGATTTGATCACATTATTCAGAATGGCATGCAATTTAAATCTTATGAATGTTCATTTCTAAAATTTCCTATTTAATATTTTTGGATCATATTTGACAACATATAACTGAATCCAGAGAAAGTAAAAATGGAGATAAGGGCGTGGGCCTACTGCACTTTTTGTGGGTGTGCACAGCTGGTTATAAGAGTATTCCGGTAATTTAAGAGGTTAAAATTTAGAGGTAAAGCATGTGAGATCATTCCCTTAGGGAAGAAGAAATGCATCACCTAAAAATAAATCAGATTATTATCCATATTAGGAATTTCTGTGATTTTCCTACTTCTTTTTGAGTACCCATGCTTTGTGCCATAGTGATTTGAAAAAAAGCCAGCTCAGTCTTGCTTTTGTTTGTGTTTCTTCTTTGGAATAGAGAGCAACTTCATTAAAATCCTTCTTCTTTTATTTATTCATTGGCAAATATAGAAGTAGAGATGAAGTTATATGTATGGCTCAATATATTTGGAATAGTAAGCCATAAATATATATTTCAAGCGAAATTTGTTCTTATATCACAGAATCATAAATTCAATTATAAAAAATGTAGCAAAGAGAAGCACAGAGGCATTATACAGACTTGACATTGTGCAATATTTCTGCATAGGACATCATTTTATAGGAAGGCATACATGCATATATATATATATACACACACACAGCATGTAAAACTTATTTTGTTGAAAGAAATGTAGTCAGGTTTTGAATCTGCTACTTACTAATAGTATGGCTTTATCACATAATTTCATCTTTCTTGAACAAGGTTCCAATGAGATGCTAAATGTTGCTTTTCTTTTTCTGGACTTTTGATCACACATGATAGAATCAAGACCATTTGCACAAGGTAAGCTCAAAAATTAGGGAACTGACTGGGACTTAGTTCATCACTCACTTCTCCAGTTACAATCAAAGTCAAGGAAATTGACCAAGAGATGACAGTAGTGGAGATTCCTTAGAAAAAACAAACAATGTGAAGTCCATATTCAATCCATACCTCTCTGGGGAAAGATGAGAGCATCTTTTCCCACACCCCAAAGTAACTAAGGTGAGCTTCAGGGAATTATAAGACAGACTGATGTTAGATTTCTTGAATATAAATGGGACCATATAAATTGGTTTTTACTCATACCTGGAAATGTCTAAAGATTAAGAGCTGAATAGAGCTACCCCTGATTTCAGAGGAAAAGGAGAAGGCAAGAATGGGAATGCAGCTACCACCAATATCATGGCAAAGATGTGTGCTTCCTTTTGGCCAGCTATGGACCCCAAGAATGAATACTGACTTGATTTTGAAAAGGGCTTTATTCAAAAGAATCGTGGTGGTATTTTGGGGAGAGGGGGTAAGACGCTAAAAAAATTCTGTATGGGTTAATTAGTCATATGCTACTGCTAGAAAGTGAGGGGACAGGAGTATGCTGTGAAAATAATCAGTTGCATCATCTAGAAATAGAAGATGCAAGTTATCTCAAAGATTAGTTCACTTAATGATCCACAAAAGCTTTTTTGTTTTTCTTTTAAGACAGGATTTTACTCCTATTGCCCAGGCTGGAAGTCAGTGGAGCAAACACGGCTGACTCACTGCAGCCTCAACCTTTTGGGCTCAAGCGATCCTCCTGCCTCTCCTGGGACTACCGACGGTGCCATACCCAGCTAATTTTATAAATATTTGTAGAGACAGTTTCACTATGTTAGCCAGGCTGGTTTCAAACCCCTGGACTCAAGATATCCTCCAGAATTGACTTCCCTAACTGCTGGGATTACAGGCATGAGCCACCAAGCCTGGCCTCGCAAAAGCTTTTTGAGTGGGGAAAAATACTGTGTTTGGAGAGCTATCATATATGACGATGTTTTCAAGAGTTAAATACTGAGATGTTGCAACATGAGACTTTTTATTTGTTTGTTCTTCCTTTCCCCCTCTTTTATACCTCCCCATTCTGTGACAGTTTGGAGGAACTAGAAACAACGCGGGGAATGGAGGGAAAATTGCAAAGCCAAAATGAATAATAGAAAAGAATGCACCCGGCGGGGCTCGGTGGCTCACGCCTGTAATCCCAGCACTTTGGGAGGCCAAGGCGGGTGGATTACGAGGTCAGGCGATCGAGACCATCCTGGCTAACAGGGTGAAACCCCGTCTCTACTAAAAATACAAAAAAAAATTAGCCAGGCGTGGTGGCGGGCGCCTGTAGTCCCAGCTACTCCAGAGGCTGAGGTAGGAGAATGGCATGAACCCGGGAGGCGGAGCTTGCGGTGAGCCGAGATCACGCCGCTGCACTCCAGCCTGGGCTACAAAGCGAGACTCCGTCTCAAAAAAAAAAAAAAAAAAAAGAAAATAATGCACCCCTTCTTTCCTGCCCATCCCCTGTAGTTTATGGAGCCTAAGTTAGGCCTGAACTTAAAGGGAGAAAAATATTTTAAAATATGAGAAATATATATTAGATTGTACTAGACCTTTAGAACCTGAAAGACAACTTGTTAATACCTTGAAGTTATTGGAAAATCTTGCTTAGATAGAACTAGCAGCTGTGATGATGTGAAAGACTAATGTTACATTTTGCTTAAAACCTAGTAAGTCTGTTTCATTCAAGAAACTATCACTATGTTATATACAATCAAGTAGTACAATGTTTCCCCCACACAGACTCTGATAATGAGCAATATTGTCCTTTGATTTCATAAAATAATAATTGTAAGTAATTGTTAGTAATTTTAGTAATTAATGTAAATGGTTTATCATATATTGTTGAAAGATATATTAAATGCATTGTTGAGAGATTAACATATCTTGTAATGTAAATGCTTTATCACACATTGTTGAAAGATATGTTAATCTTTCAGTAATCACAAGAGGTAGGAATAATTAATGTCCTATTTGACAGATGCATAGAGTGAGACTTAGAATGATTAAGTAATACTCTTAAAGGCATGCAGCCAGTAACAGAGAATGCCTGAATTTTAACCGAGGTCTGTCTGACTCCAAAGTCTTAAGGACTCTGCTCTATTAGGTCATTTCTCATTCTCATTTAATATACTCTGTCTCCAAATAAGCTATTAGCCAAATTTTACAACCAGAATAATTTACACTGTTCTGACCTGACTCCAGGGTTAAATAAAGAGGGGACAACATTTTTCTGGCCTCACTTTTATGCATGCTTTTCTCTAGGGCTGTTTTATAAGCTCATTATATAAAAGAGATACAGGGTGGGATATCATAAATGTCAGCTATGCAACTCCATATCAGGACAGTATAAAAACTCTACTAAGGAACTTGTCTTAAAAGCTGGGCCAGGACGACAGCTGTGTAAATATTTATGTAAATGAGTCAAGGTTTAGTAAAAATTCCACCCTTGTGGCTGGTTTTTTAAATTGTATTGGAGTCTATGTTTCCACTTGATCCAATATTGCTCTAAATACAATCTTGGATTTTATGACTCACATTTAGTAAATGATAATTAGATTTTAAAGCAATTTTATCAGTTTACTCTTTTAAGGAAGGTAATATCCAACTCTGATATAAAGATAATATAAGGCAGTGAGTAGTTCACCTTTCTAATACACTATATTGCCAAAAGTGACTTGAAACAGAACTAAGTTTTCGTTTCAGTTATTTTTTCTTTTTTTTTTTTCAAATTTAGGGGACTATTTTAAATGAAGTAATCAAATCATTTTCCTCTAATTATTATCACAGGTATTCAGTATATTGTGCAATCAAGTCATATTGTTACAACAAATTGCTGAAAGAAAATTACTAACAACCTGATTTACAAAATTTGCATGATACCTTCTAAAAATTTTCTTTTTAAGGATTTCAGGTGCAGAGAATTAGCTTAATTAAAACACTTTCTTCCTGAAAGATAACTTTATTTTGTATAAATTGTGTTTTTTAGATTTTATCATGCTTTATTTTACTTTATTCTTTAATAATAAAGTGAACACCTATGTACCACAAACCAAAACATAGTCAATAATTTAGATACACCTATATGCTCACTTTTACCATCTCCTTGCCTCTCCCTCAAAGTTGACACTATTCTAAATATTGCCTTTAGCATTTCCTTATTTTTTCAAATTTAGCTCACTTGTGTGTATAAGATAGGTGTATATATTGCTTAGTTTTGTTTTTCAACTATTTATAAAGTAGATGATTCAGACAGCATTGTTTAATGACTACTCAGCTTTAAAAAACAGTGATATAAAAGATTAAATGGTAAGTGTAGAATCATTAAAATATGTGCATGCTAAATGCAACTGAAAGGCTACTTAGATTTTTTAAAATATTTTTCTTCTTTTATTGATGCACAATATTTTACCTATGTATGAGGTACATGTATGTTTCACATGCATAGAATATATAATGAACTAGTTTTATTTAGATTTATTAGATTTAGCATGACAGAGGGAAAAGAATATTAACATAAGAAAATCTGTATTTTATTATTTCTGATTAAAATATATTATAAATTAGTATAGATCAGAACTTTCTATCTTGGCCTGAAATTCTATGTTGAAAAAGTACAGGATTAGGATCACAAACAAAATGAAACAGAAAATGTGGTTTAAAGAAATATCATAGAGCAGTGGCCTCCAATCTTTTTGGCACCAGGGACCAGTTTCATGGAAGAAAACTTCCAAGGGCTGGGGAGGCGGACGGTTTCGGGATGATTCAAGTGCATTACATTTGTTGTGCAGTTTATTTCTATTATTATTACATTGTAATTCATAATGAAATAATTATACAACTCATCATAATGTAGAATCAGTGGGACCCCTGAGCCTGTTTTCCTGCAACTAGCCAGTCCCATTTGGGAGTGGTAGGAAAGAGTGACAGATCATCAGGCACTGAATTCTTATAAAGAGCATACAACCTAGATGTCTCCCATGCACAAATCGAATTAGGGTTCGAGCGCCTGTGAGAATCCAGTGCTGCTGCTGATCTGACAGGAAGTGGATGCCAGAGTCGGGAGCACTGTCAGTACAAATGAAGCTTCACTTGACCGCCCGCCACTCACTTCCTGCTAGGCAGCCTGGTACCAGTCTCTGGCCCCGGGGGTTGGGGGACCTCTGTCATAGAGAGCGTGTGTGGGGGATGTAACTAAAATAGGGCATGGAAGTATATGACTTCTTCCAAAGAGATATATTTGTTACAAGTATAAAGAGAGGGAAAGTTAATATACAGACATTGTGCATTATGAAAATCAACATGTTTAAAGGAAGAGTCATTCTCAGGAACATGTGAGTAAATGAAAAAGGGGCCAGGCACAGTGGCTCATGCTGTAATCCCAGCACTTTGGGAGGCCGAGGCCAGTAGATCACCTGAGGTCAGAAGTTCGAGACCAGCCTGAACAACATGGTGAAACCCCATTTCTACTAAAAAATACAAAAATTAGCCGGGCATGGTGGCAGGTGCCTGTAATCCCAGCTACTCGGGAGGCTGAGGCAGGAGAATTGCTTGAACCCAGGAGGCAGAGATTGCAGTGAGCCAAGATCATGCACTCCAGCCTGGGTGACAGAGCAAGACTCTGTCAAAAAAAGAGAAAGGAAGAAAGAAAGAGAGAGAGAGAGAAGGAAGGAAGGAAGGAAGGGAGGGAGGGAGGGAAGAAAAGACAAGAAAAGACAAGAAAAAGGAAAGGATTGGGAGGAAGTGGAAATAATATCATGGTCTGAGATTAATGCAAGGTCCTGACCAGCAGGAGACAGAGGCTCATTATTTCCCCAAAACAGCACTCAACTGTCATGAAAGCAAAGGGAATACTCAGGGTTTCTGTGTGCTCTACACTACTCATGATTTACTGAACTAAAACCAAGGAATTTAAGAAATTGTTAGATTACCTTTTTGAAATTTTGAATTATCGTAGATCAATGGATACGATGGTCAAGTTGCTCTTTTAAATTTTATGTTAACAAAGAAGAAAACATCAGTGAGATCAAAACAATAACAGAAAGTTTAAATTCCAAGCTGGGTTTTAATGCTAAATAATTGAACCTCAATCAAGGAAATAAGCCATTCAGGTCTAAGATTCTTCATTTTAAAATAAAAACACTGTATTATATTATTTTTATTGTTCAGTAGTTCCCACTTTTCCATGGAGAATATGTTCCAAGACTCCCAGTGGAAGCTTGAAACCACAGATAATACCAAATCCTATATATACTATGTTTTTTAGTTTGATAACCAAGAGGACTACTAATGACTAGTGTAGCAAAATTGTGTATATGCTAGACAAAAGTATATCTCATGTCCTGGGCAGGATAAAGTGGGATGGTGTGAGATTTAATCATGATACTCAGAACAGCACAAAATTTAAGACATGAATTGTTTACTTCTGGACTTTTTTCATTTAGTATTTTCAGATGGTAGTTGACCTTGAGTAACTGAAACCACAGATAAGGAGGGACTACCACACTTTTTAGCTCTGTCATAATTCTTAGGAAATTATGCTTAATATATTCATGCAATTTTTATGTTTGCTCTGCTTTTCAAAGACTTTGAAAAAATGATGGTATTTGACGTTTACTCACCTGGTGAAGGAAAATTTGTAGATTTAATAATAAATAATAATTTAACAACTGATTTATTACTGATTTATGTAGTTAAGAATATCTATATGCAATTATTATTATTATTATTTTGAGACAGAATCTTGCTCTGTCGCTCAGGTTAGAGTTCAGTAGCATCATCTCAGCTCACCACAAACTCTGTCTCTCAGGTTCAAGCAATTCTCATGCCTCAGTCTCTGTAGTAGCTGGGATTACAGGTGTGCATCACCATGCCCAACTAATTTTTGTATTTTTGGTAGAGACAGGGTTTCACCATGTTGGCCAGGATGGGTTTGAACTCCTGACCTGAGGTGTTACACCCACCTCAGCCTCCCAAAGTGCTAGGATTGCAGGAATGAGCCACCATGCCCAGTGGCAAATAGTATTTTTTATTGGGAATTTTTATTTTTATTTTTAATTTCATCATTTTAATTTTGTTTTTTTATTGAATTTGATCTAATCGATTTCTTTTTTTTTTTTTTTTTTTTTTTTTTGAGACAGTCTCACTCTGTCACCCAGGCTGGAGTGTAGTGGTGTGATCTCAGCTCACTGAAACCTCCACCTCCTAGGTTTAAACTATTCTCATGCCTCAGCCTCCCAAGTAGCTGGGATTACAGGCACATGCCACCACACTTGGCTAATTTTTTATTTTTAATAAAGAAAGCTTTCACCATGTTGACCAGGCTGGTCTTGAACTCCCAGCTTCAGGTGATCTGCCCCGCTCGGCCTCCCAAACTGCTGAGGTTACAGGCATGAGCCACAGCGCCTGGCCTGATGTAATTGATTTCTTTATACGCCATCTACAGTATTTTATATACCTATAAATTCTATTTTGAAGAAACATTCTAGTCCACATTCTAGACAGAAATTTTTGTTGGTTTTTTTTTTCAGAACTAAAGGTTTAAAGACATTTCTCATATATAATTTTATATAGAGAATCTTGAATAATATATTGGACAATGTCCTCAGCAACAACTGTAAAATAGATAATGAAACAGTCTTGAAGGGGCATTTCTCGCACAACCCTTAATGAAAGCAGAACCTATAAGATTATACAACTAAATTAAGGCGATTCTGATGAGGAAGAAAATAACATTTGTTGAATCATCATTAGGTGACAGTCCTTCTGGACTTATTACCTGAATTATTTCAATATCATTTAGAGATTTATGGGACACCCCAAGAAAATAGTGTAGAAAATGTCAAAGGAAACAGACCTAATATTGGCCAAGTTGAGATGTGAATCCACTTCTGTCTGACTCCTAAATCCATAATCTTTCCATCCAGTCTCAGCATAGATCTACTGTCCTAGTCTAAATTAATGTACTCCTTCAGATATCCTGATTGATTAAAGGGTGTACTTAGACTTTTTGGAAGGGTAGATGACTTTATTCCATTAATCTCAAATTTTAGGATCCATAAAGATTATGTTTAAAATATAATCAAGGTTAAAATATAATCAAGGTTAAAATATAGACTATTAGACTCCACTGCCAGAGGTTCTTATTTAACATGTCTGTATTGGGATTTTTGAACTTTTATTTTAAAAAGTTCCTAGATAATGATGCTGCTGGTATTGTGGGGGACCACGCTTTGAGAACCAACCATTGCTCTAAGTTAATAGACTCCAATGTATTTGGCGATTTCTGAAAGGGGAACTTAGCATATCTGAAGGAGTTGATAATCTTTTATGGAACTAGAGAACTCAAATAAAAAAATAATAAATAGCAATGAAATTATTTTTCCCTTTACTAGACCATGTAGAACAAGTGTTAATTACTACCCAGCATGTACTTGTAACAGATTAGACTGAATGTTTTACATGGATGATGAAATTCTCAAAATATCTACAAAAGTGGCAGTTAAAACATGAGTATCAGCTTTACAAAGTGGAAACTGGAAATGCTCCATGGAGGAACTGGAAGCACTGGCCTAGTTCATTGCCTTGCTATCCAGGTAAGAGGGTTTATTTTTATAAATATGTGTTTGCAATTATTGTTTGTCTTCTGAACTATCATTGTTTTTTGCGGGTTTTTTTTTTTTTTTTGCTTGTTTTTCCTTTCCTTCCTGCAGAAGACAGTGAAAAAAAAAGCTTAAGAATGCCTTATTTTGCTAAATATATTCTTATTATCTTCTTACAATTTTGTATCACTGTCTTATATCTCACCTCATTCTCAATACCCTTTTCACGTCTGATGCCTTCCTCAATATTAAATTAGGAGTGCTCTCTAGAGTTTTATGTTCAACCCCTTTCTATTTTCTCTATAAAACACTTACCACCTCTAACAGCTCTAAAGTATAACCTTTTCATAACTGTTCATGTATTTATGATTTTGCACTTTCTGATTAATGTTCCTGTTATGCCCTTTCATCCTTCTGTCTATCCAGTATATTACTCTTCAGCTCAATTGTCTCTCTTTCTACAATGACACTCCAAGCTTCTTCATCTTTTTTCCTTTGTGATTCCAAATACATTGCATATGTCTTAAATATAGTCTGCATCGATTTGCGTTATGCTTACTTATTTTGTGTCTGTCTCTTTCATATGATCCTGAAGTGCAGCTCTCATGACTTAATAATCTTTGCGCCTTTGCCTGTTGAACCTCAGAAAGTGTTTGTTTGAGCAATATAGTGAGAAAATGATTGATCAAATCCCACATGACAAATAATATATAAATGTATTACACTGCAACTGGGAAAAACCCTTAAATAAGATTCCCTGGCATATTGGAGATGGTCACTTATTTCGACATCCTTTGCTATTCCGTGGTATACTGACTGCTGTCTGGAAGGTTCATTCCTTTATATTATTCTAAATATCTCTAGATTAGATTTGTTTTTTGTTTCATTTTCAAATTTGTTCTATTTGTGTAAAAGTCCTGGGAAGCCACATTTGTGTTAAATAAACGTATTTCAAACACCTAATGCTCATTACATAGGGCAGGAATTGCACTAGAAAGTAGATATAGCCTGAAATACAGGTGAAAGGAGACATGGAGAGATAGAAAAACTACAAACTAAAAACCAACAGGGGCAATGTAGAGGGAAATTCATGAGTGTGCATGATGCATACAGTCATATGTATTTTTAATAGATGAGTTAAAAACAGGGAATAAAACAGTGGATATCATTGTTTCAGACATGGTGATTAGGGATCTGGAACCAGGGATTCTAGACTAAAGTTAAGAGCACAGACTCTGGGAGAAGAACAAAAATAGTGTGATCAAATGCAAGCTTGTCTTGATTTAGTGGCTTACAAGAGAATCTTGGCTGTCTGGTGCTAGCATTTGTCCTAGGTTTGTGTAGAGAAATTCAGCGAGACAAAACTCCCGAGTAATGGCCAGCAGAGAAAAATGTCAAAAAATGCCAGATATATTCTGGAATTCTTTCTTTAGCTATTATTGTGCAGTACATGGTATTAACCTACATGGGTCCCTGTCTTCTTTTTTTTTTTTTTTTTTTTGAGACGGAGTCTCGCTCTGTCACCCAGGCTGGAGTGCAGTGGCGCGATCTCGGCTCACTGCAAGCTCCGCCTCCTGGGTTCACGCCATTCTCCTGCCTCAGCCTCCCGAGTAGCTGGGACTACAGGCGCCCGCCACCACGCCCGGCTAATTTTTTGTATTTTTAGTAGAGACGGGGTTTCACCCTGTTAGCCAGGATGGTCTCAATCTCTTGACCTCGTGATCCACCTGCCTCGGCCTCCCAAAGTGCTGGGATTACAGGCGTGAGCCACCGCGCCCGGCCCCCTGTCTTCTTATTAATTTTTGTAACCTAGAACAAAGCACGTGCATGATTCTCAATAAGTATTGTCTGAAATAATAAATAAATAAATTAATTAATAATACAATAAAAATATCTGACTTTTTACCTTTAACTAGTCATCTCGGTTCTCTTATACAACATCCACCCCATCTAATCCAGTATTTTGTGTGTTACTGAATTTTATACTTCCATGCTGACTGCAGTGCCTTAGGAAACTGTTGCACTAGTTTCTGGTGAACTATACAATTGGGGTAGCTTTGAAAGTTTCTCTAATTCATTATTTTGCTTAAAGGCAGCTCTAAAACTAAATAGACTAAAGGAAAATATAGAATATTTTAAATTTTGTGTAATAACTTAGTTGATTTACCCCCCAAAAAGCATATTTTATTTCCTTTTTGATTTGTTTTAAAGTCATTTTCTGTGTTATCAATTAATTACATATGTTTGTTAGCCCAAATCACGTTACTATAAAATGAATGTCATTTTTCTATCTAACTTTGGATTTTTTTTCTCATGGCTAATTTGCAAGTAATATCAAATACCCCATCTTGTAGAGACATTATTTCAATTTATATCGATATCTGATTCAATCTGCATTTCTCTTGAAAACAGCATAAAACCAGCATTTCAAAATGTTTGTTTATTGTAAAATGTACTTCTAATTGGCATGGATTACTTTAAGCAACTGTTTCCTCTGAAATTGCTATATGACATATATTCAATTCCATAAGAACCAGTTAATTTTGCTAAAATATTTTGGCAATAGTTTTAGAAATATGTACATAAAAATGTTGCTTTCTCATTTGGTTGATTCTTTCATGAATAACAGTACAAGATGTACATATAATAGTGCATAAAAAAGTACATACATATACTAAAGAATAAACTTTACCCCAAAGAAATGATTAGTGACATATATCACTAATTAATGTATTAATATTATTTGCAGCTATTATGATATTAACTAATATACTTAAGCATTTTAGAAGAATATCAATTGTTCTTGCTTAATAAATTTTTTGTTGGTTTCAAGTACTTTTCTTGACCCCAGGATAGATACAAATTCAGGCAGAACCAAATTTAATGATCATGCACTTTGTTTTTGAAATATGCACATGGCTAATTTTAATATAACACTGTAAATAAATTATATATATATATATATCTCTAAACCAGCACATAGATTCTTAAATTATACTGGGATGGGATGAGTCGATAGAGAAAAGATCAGAATGGGTTTCATAATAAATAATAACACAGAGTTGAATGTTGAGTGAGATATAAGAGTTAACCAAATAAAAATCAGACCCATCTATCCATTTTTTTTTACATTTCCATGTTTATGGCAACCATCCTAACCCACATCATCTTGTTCTTATATTAATTAAAAAGCCTTTTGGACTTTTTCCTTTCTACAAAACGTTGTTTCTATGGCTGCCAAAAAATGATATTGTTAAAATTAAATAAGACCACTCTCCTATATGTTTTTCAATAGCTTCCTGGAACTTAAAATAAGATCCAAATGCTTTATGCGCTACATAGTGGCCTAAAATATCCTAAAACTTATAGCCTCTGACTGATAGCCCCCCTTCTTTACTATAATTAAAAAATCTGATTTTTCCTTTCACATTATCAAAAAGTGAAAACTTGTTTCCTAATTAGGAATTTTGAATTTATTTTTTTCTTTGCGCTAATTAATAAATTCCTCATGGCTGACTTTTAAAAGTTCTAAAATGTGGTGGACTCAATATTTTTGGCATTTCTCCTATAGATAGATGTATGTCTTAACCCTTTGAGTCAAGGGACTGTTTTAACCGCTAAAGTGTCACATAAATGATGTTGTGTGACATCCAGGGTTGCTTCATGAAATATGATGCAACTACCATGAAATATGATGTAATTTCCATATATTTTTCTGGAAACTTCATGCTTGCTTCTTGAGCCGTCATGTGAGAATGCCAACAATTGTAAGGCTACTGTTCTTAAGGAAGCCTAGTCTTACAGAGAGAATACATTTAGATATTATAATCAGCAGTAAAAGTCTTTGAGTTATTCCAGCTCAGGTACCAGGTACATGGGAGTAATTGAGCCTTTGAACTATCATAGCTGTCAGCTGTCTCCAACCTTCAACATTTTTAAGTTGAAGTCTTAGATATGGAACAGAGTCAAATCATCCCATTTTGCCTTTTCTGAATTTTCCAACCACAGAATTCTTGTGCATAAAAATTGGTTGTTTTAAGCTATTACAATCTGGGATAATTTGTTGAGCAGCAACAGTAACTGATACGTGATACAAATTTCATCTCAAATAACACCACCTCCTCAGAAAAGGCTTCATGAGCAATTTATTTAAAATTGACCTCTATCACAAAATGACAATAACCATCATATTCATTGTCTACTTATTATTCATTGACTATTTATTATAGCTAAAACCTGGAAATAACCCAAATTGTTTATCTACAGTTGACTGAGTAAATCAATGTTGGCATATTCAGAGTGGAATATTATATACTAATTATTATGAAGGATCTATATATACATACATCATAAATGAAATATCTAAACAAAATGTTGACCATAAACAATCAGAACATAAGAGTACTGTATTACTCTGTTCTTACACTGATAATAAAGACATACCCAAGGCTGGATAATTTATAAAGAAAAGAGGTTTAACGGACTCACAGTTCCACATGTCTGGGGAGGTCTCACAATCATGATGGAAGGCAAAGGAGAAGCAGTGAATGTCTTACATGGTGTCAGGCAAGAGAACGTGTGCAGGGGAATTCCTGTTCATAAAACCATCATATCTCATGAGATTTATTCACTATCACAAGAACAGCACAGGAAAGACCCACCCTCATGATTCAATTACCTCCCACCAGGTCCCTCCCATGACATGTGGGAATTATGATAGCTACAATTCAAGATGAGATTTAAATGGGGACACAGCCAAACCATATCAAGAACATTCTAAATAAATCTCTCTATGTAAAGAACAGGTGAGACTTTTTTAAAGTAGTTATTGAAAAATGGCAGGAGAGAAGCTGCTGGGATGTTGGTAATGGGTTCTGACTGCTGGCTGCAATCTGTATGTTATATGCAACCAGTGTCTAAAGTAGTAGATTCTGCAACTGAATCTGAGTTTATTTAATCTTTAAAATCAGAAAAGGATATAGCTAGAAACTGTGATAAAACTATTGTGTCATATCCTAATAAAGAAGCTAAATCAAAATTTTATGCCAAATTACCAAGTTCCTTATTTATTTGTTTGTTTATTTATTCATTTATTTATAGACAGGTTCTCCCTCTCTTGCCCAGGCTGGAGCGCAATGGCATAATTATAGTTCACTTCAGCCTCAAACTTCTTGGCTCAAGCAATCCTCCCACCTCTGCCTCCTTAGTAACTGGGACTACAGGTGTATGCCACCACACCAGGCTAGTGTGTGTGTGTGTGTGTGTGTGTGTGTGTGTGTAGAGATGATGCCTCACTATCTTGCCCAAGTTGGTCTTGAACCCCTGGCCTGAAGAGATCTTCCGCCTCAGCCTTCCAAAGTGCTGGAATTATAGGCATAAACCAGCACACCCAGCACAAAATACTTCATTTCAAAAGAAATATTTAAAGCTGGGACATTTTCAGAGAAAAAAATAATTGGAAAATTAAAACAACTCCAAAAAAAGATTTATGTAAAGAGATTGAAGGTTGCCAACACTTGAAACTTCTATCTCTGTGGGTTCTGCTTTATTTACAAAGCATGGCAGAATGTTCAGTTTTTTTCTCACTAAATAGCAAAATCCATAGTGAGATATTAATTTAATCATTCATTAGAGACCAAATCTTCACCAGACATTTATCACCTAAAGTTTGATCTCTGACTCTTAACCTCAGCAAGAATCTTAACAAGAATAAAGGTTCTGTTTGGCTTTCATCTCTCTAGGACGTATTCCAGAAACTGCCTCCAAGAAGTAAAGTGGGACAGAGATATGAATAACTTACTTTATTTCCTTCCTCTCACAGACGTAAATCCTCTAGTGCCTTTCCAATATGTGAATACAGTCTTCTAGTTGTTTATAACAGAAGGAAAATTGTAGTACTCATGATTACATCATAGCCGGGCACAGCATTGTGACCACAGTTTCCAATCAGTTATGTATTTTTGTACCTAGAATCTGCCTCAATCCCTATGTTGCAATCTCTTTGAGACCGGAGTTCTACCTATCTTCAAAAACAAAGACAAATCAATGAAAAACACTGCTTACTCTGCACCTAACACACTGCCTAATGAGTAATAGATACAAAGTAAATAAATGCTGAATGAATGACTTAGGTGCTAATATACATATATTCAAAGAAAGACGCATTTATACACTTTTATTTAGTCATCACTGGTATGTATTTTAAAGGGAATAAGTAATGCATCTAGGTCTTCTACATGTATGTTATGTACCAAGTTTCACCCTCCCTACAAACCAAAAGAAATAAATTTTATTTTCTAACATTTATAATTTTAATTCCACAAAAAACTACATAGAAAGACTATATCCATAAAAAATGAGATTATGAAAATTTTAATAATTTGTTAAAATATTTACAACTAATGTCTCAAAACTTTCATATGAGCTCATTTATTTCTATTTCACCACACCGTAGAACTTCAACTCTTATTACGATAATGTTATCTGAGGTTATCAAATATACTGCGTAAATGATTTGCAATTGTTATTTTTTTCATGTGTTCATCATTTCTCAGGAATCATATATAGCACGTATGAAAACATATTCATTAGATTAATATGTAATTATTTTTTCAGACAGATTATAATTTTTAAAATGGCAATGATCACTCAATTATACCTATATACCATAATACCTTAACATTTATAAGTGTGCATTACACATACTTATGACTTATGATTTTATAGTAAATGAATGAGTTTTGCATACTTAATATGTATTTATTAATTGATCATATAACATTAGATTGTGTATATTGTGCACCTTATTTGTTGATGCTATATACACTTATGCAATAAACTCTAATCTACTCAAAACTGATGAAATTCTACCCACTCTTCACCAAAAAATAAACTGGAATATTTGGTGCACTTAAACCTGGGAGATTTGGTGCCATATATACCAAGTATGAACAAAATATAAACTCTTTCTTCTGGCATATAGTATCTAGCCTCTCTTCCTCTCATAATTTAAATTTCTTTTATCTTGTTTCCACTGATATCACTTCTGCTAAATAAAACCCATTTTACTCCAGTGACTGCTGACACTGCATGCCATAATGCATAACATAATGGTTACTAGTGTCCAAGATAGAATTTCCTGTCTCTCGATGCCCCAAATGCTGTCTGACTTTCCTTCCTCCTTTGGCACTGATCATTACTGATGCAGAATTCATGCTGAATTAATAACTAATCTGGCATATAAGTATGCCAGATTTTCTCTACCTATATGATGATTTTCTCCTAAATGTCTATCCGGGACCATATTCATTTAGATGCTTGCCTTCTCTCCATTGAATGGAATATGTGGAAATTACAGCAGCAAAGAGTTTGGGTTTAAACTGAGAATCAACATGCCTTTTATATCAACAGAATGAGAGCTATCAATGTGCCATTCTTTATTAGGCCTTTGTCTAGATTCATTTTCTTATATAGGCATATCTCTGAGTTGTTTAGGGTTAAGTTCCAGGTGAAGCTTTCAGCCCATCTTGGCTTTTGACATGCCTTTCTCTCTCTAAGCTTAATCATTATAGTTTTAATTTAAAATGAGAGACATGCGATTTATTCTTTTATTTGAATGCTTAGAGGTCATTTTAGGGATATTAATTGGCCTAATTTCAATACTGTTGTTTCTCGAGGTATAGGGAGGACTGAGGAGAGGGAGAGAAATGGGGCAATAGCTGGCTGGTGGAGCAGTCAGAACTCATGAAATGTTTATTAAGTTCTCTATCTTACATGAGTGTTGTTTGTGCCACACCAAAATAATTACAGTAATAATGTCACATATCACTGATCACAGATCACCATAACAGATATGATAGTAACAATAATAAAGTTTGACATATTGTAAAAATTATCAAAATTGTGACACAGAGACACAAATGAGCACATGCTGCTGAAAAAATGGCGCCCATGCTCTTGCTTGACCCAGGCTTATCACAACCTTCAATTTGTCAAAAAGAAAAAATCCACAAAACCTGAAAAATTCAATAATACAAAGCACAATAAAATGAGGTATGCTAGTACCTGTGCTTATAACTGACATGGTCAAAATAAAACATCAGGATAATTAAGTGATAAAGATAGGTGAGAGGGGCTCAGTTTGGATTTCTTTTATTATTCACAATTTTCCTTATTTCTTTCTCTTTTTTTCTTTTTCTTTTCTTTTTTTTTTTTTTTTTTTTTTTTTTTGAGATGGAGTCTCACTCTGTCGCCCAGGCTGGAGTGCAGTGGCGCAATCTCGGTTCACTGCAAGCTCCGCCTCACGGGTTCAAGTCATTCTCCTGCCTCAGCCTCCCGAGTAGCTGGGACTGCAGGCGTCCGCCATCATGCCCAGCTAATTTTTTTTGTATTTTTAGTAGAGATAGGGTTTCACCATGGTCTCGATCTCCTGACCTCGTGATCGTCCCGCCTTGGCCTCCCAAAGTGCTGGGATTACAGTCATGAGCCACCATGCCCAGCAATTTTCCTTACTTCTAAAGCAGAACTGGAAATATTACACACCAGATCATTGAAAACCTTCCATGAGACTTAATTAGTAAATGTGGACTTCTAAATATGCACCCTGATATTTTTACAGGATGGTTTTATATAAACGATCTCTCTGTTTAGATCAACTATAGTCTTTCATCAATCTCTGCCCAAATGTACACAAGAGAACACTAAAACAAATAGCTTTATGTGATAGTGCCATTATTTCTGGGGAGTATCCGTAAATATTCATTGCAATATTATTTGAATCATTTGAAGTGAAGACACATAGGCCATTTTCTTGGTGTCACTTGTTTAAACTACTCAGTTGTTGTCAGCCCAGGGGAAAAAAATGAGCTTGCAAGGCAACTGCATTTAAAACAAAAGCACAGTACAAACGTAAATATCTGGTGGCTCTTCTAGGTAAAATAAAAGTAGTACATTCTTATGGATACCTAGATATTTGTGAACTGACTTTTAAAAGTCTGAGAAATTCTCTAAAGCTGTATGTAAATTTTAGGTGTACATAGTATTCACATGCATATTTTTGAAGAGAGTTTATTGTTTTTAATAAGTTCTCAAAAATGGTTGTGGCATTATTCTACTTCTTTAATTCTGCCATGATCCTATCCATGCCTTTTTTCCCACATTTAAGTAACTCATACGTATGCTCTATTCATAATCATAAATAAAAAATGAGATGCTTGCAATATTAACTCTCATCTACAAATAATAGAATGGGGAAAGCCCTTTCCCACATGACCCATTGTTTCTCAAATCCATGTTTTCTGGTTATTGGAAATTCCTCATGTAGAGATTGCCAATTTAGTGGATACACCATGACTGATAGTATAGGCTACATTCTTTGCTTTATGAGGAACCCCAGCAATACTTGGGAAAATATATAAAGAAAATCTCTCTCCTCCCTCTCTCCTGCCCCCTCCACACAGACAAACACACACACACATGCACATACACACATATATATATGCCCATACACATACATACATTTGTGTCTGTGGGTATAAATAAAGTGACTTTTGAAGTATGTATATATATATATACTTCAAAATATATAGTGTATATATATACACTATATATATATATATAGTGAAAATCATCACAGACACTGGAAAGGATAAAGAATAAAATATAACAAATACATAAAGTTATTTTGGGCAAAATGAGGTTTATTAAAAATAGGTAAGGAAGGTCTCATTTAACTGATTGGTAATAATAAAAAAATGGAATGAATGGAAATGCAACTATATAAAAATGTAACAATTTGAATAAATTCTTGCACTACTAATGTAGGGAGGAATTCAATAGCACTGCCAAACATAAACATTCATTCAGAGTGCTGAAGTATTAGAACTCTGAGGGAGTATTATAACTTAGGGAAGAAGGAGGGAATTTTATAAACCTTTAGCAAATGTTCAGTTAGTATCAGGAATAGTTGGTCAAGAATGATTTTTGGATGAGGAAGAGCTGTTCTTGTGGTTTAGCAACCAGTATTTGTGCAACTCGATTTTAGCGAGAGGTCTGGGGAGAGTAGTTGATAGAGTTGGGATCAGGTGCAAAAATGGTGAGAAGAAGCTGCAGATGTCAAGGCAATGGGAGGGCCACAGTGGGCATCTCCCTTCGTTAACAGCGAGACTGAGTGTCCTTACTCAGCTACACCTTGGTTTGTACAGAACTTCAAGTCTGCTGATGATTACAGTCAAGAATTCACTGTTGATAACTGCCATTGTGGCTTCTTAGGACTTTTGTCTTTGTAATTGTGTTTCAATAATGTATCAATGAGTGGCTGGAAAGAAACCTTAACATTCTTAAGAAAACTCAGCCTCAGGTAATGGAAATAACAAATATTAGTAAGTATCATCAGAAGGCCTTGGCCAATAGCTTGTACTCAAGATTCTGCTCCTGTTGGTGTTAGGTAGGGGAATAGTTACTGTCCCCACCTTGAATCAGTAGAGAAGGGAAGTTCAAATCTACAGATTTGCAAAAACTTTGTTTATACTTTTTATTAATGCATAGAATAAAGGTTAGAGGATAAAACATTGAAAATCTCATTTTAGCAATAAAATTTCTTAAAGCAATACAGTGGAAATAATAGCTTCAAAAGGCGGGAAAACACACACATACAACAAAGAGTACAGAACTGGTGATTTCTGTCACTTGAGAAATATTGATCCAAATGTGTTGGGTAGAGTTACAATTATCAATAGGCTTCTGTTTGATCTGAGGTTCTTGGAAAGCTGGTTCCTTCATGATGTTGACTACTTCTGGAGTGCCATGATATAGTCTTAGATCTCCCTTTGACATGGAAGTCTAGCAGGTGGGTGTATGACATCTTTGCAAGTGGAAAACATTAAACCAAAAGTTGATTTCCTGGAATTTCACTGCACTCTTTGTGGTTAACAGTAACTGTTAAAGTGCCTTCCAATGAGGTTCAATATTAGTCGTGCATTGGTAGTATTTCCAGTAAATAAGGTTTTTAAGCTAAAGATCAGGCAAAGATTTATGCAGTTTTTTCTAGGTAAAAGCTACCAGGACACGTTGATGATATTATTGGTAATACTGCATTAAATCCCTACAAATTTTAACATGTTTGTCTGTAAGAGCAGAGTCAAAGATGGAGGTGAGATCTCTGGTTGCATAATCAATTCACCTGGAAGTAATCTAAGATTTTTCTATTGAAGTCAATAATAGATATGAAAGCTTTTCACAAGGCAAGTTGTTTAAATAGTTTTGCAAATTTTCTTCTAAAAATGTCATATTTTTTTTTTCTATTTTCTCTGAGAACTTGAGGAACTTTCTCTGAGAAATTCCCATGAGAACTTGAGAACTTGAGGGACGGGGCACTTCTGGCTGAAGGACAGAGCCTTAGATAATTTTCTTCAGTATCTTTCTAAAATAATTAGGTTCCTCCCTCACTGAACATATGGGCAAATATTTTACAAGTGGGAAATACTAAGTTTACATGTTGACTTTCTTTTGCCGGAAGAATTGCTCTATGGCAAGGAAAGAAATTTCACCAACCAGAAAGCAGATTTAAATTGTAGAAACAGGAAAGAGGTGGTGTTTATATAAACCCATTTTAGATTCTCTAAAGGCCTATAGGTTTTATCTCTATTTCATGTCCAATTTGTTTCTTAGGATTGTGGGAACCCACACCAAGGGCATATTTTGCAATCTTATTTAAAATTTTCTACCAATGCTTATTTATTATAGTCTTTAAAATTTGCGTTCAATGATGGAAAGAAAACATTTTTGAGACTCAATTTAGGATCTAATGACAGATCAAGAAATCATCTTCCTGCTACCAGAAACCATGTGAGTGGAGCAAACAATAAGATCTTTTCCGTTATGACATTGGAGGACAAGGTGCTTAGAATAGAGTGGACTCAAGACTTAATGCCAATAATGAAGAGTTTGTTTTGGCTTTGATTCTTGAACTTTGTGGATAGCTTGAATGTGTTTTAAAAAAAACTTGCTTTGTATAGTAATTATCTAAAACAATACCATTTGCTTCCGAGTCTGCTTTACAGTATGTGTCTCACACTGGCAATCAATTCTTTTGGAGGAAGAATCTAGTAGGGCTTCTGTGTAGTTGTCATATTTAATGGGGGCACTAGCCGCAATTAAGAAGCTGTGTTGCTTATAGAGCATAAGAAGATCATTACCCACTTAAAAGGAATATCTGGTGTCTGTGCAGACATTTGCTTTCTGCTCTCTAGACGGCTATAGTAAAAGCTATGATCTGAAAAACTACTGTGGATTTGGCTTCTGAAAGAAGTTTGAATTCAAGCAACTCTAAGTGGGTTATAATTACAAACCCAGCTTATAAAACCTCCTTGTTCTATGTTCATATAGAAATCATCAAAAATAAATTATAAACCAGAGTTTTCTAAAGGAATTTCACTGAAGTTAGAATCCGGGAAAATTTATGACAAGTGCATGACTGTCCCAAGGTCTACCATCCACTGTGAGGGGAAAATGGTTGGTGACGTTTAGGATCTCGGAGCAAAGGAGATAAATGTGTGTAGGAGGGAGGAGCAGGATTTCGGAGGAGGTCAGTCTAGGAGCAGGAATATGTTTGAATCAAATGAGGGACTTAAGAAGATCTGGGATATCTTAAGATTTAAGTGTGAAGAAGCCTCAGTTCATTTGGAGGCTGCTGCAATTGTGCACAAATCAAAGGGTAGGCTATTCGTAAAAGGTCCATGAACAATGGATCTCTGATTTGTACTGTCCTATTGAGATAGAACCCTAAATGTTAGCATGATCTTTCACGTACAAATAGAGAGATTCATAATAATCAGAAGTTCAAGATTAAGGCAATTATAAAGGGACTCTGATGTTACAGAATACCATCTTTAATAATTCTATCCAGGGCAAAAATTTAGATGTGATAGTTTTTGTCAGAATATGTATATGGCTAGCCAGTTTCTAAGAACTAAGGATCCATTGTCGACAGTATCCTATGTGATGGAGCAATTCCCTAAGGTTATTTTTTGGTTTGTTTTTGTTGTCGTTTGCTTTTGGCAATTAGCCAGGACATGTTAAGAATAACTTTCTAGTCATTGAGAAAAAAAAACAAAAAATTAAATGAACAACAACAACAAAAAAAAACAAAAAACACTTCAATACTTGTGAAAGAAGGAGGCAGAGACAGAGACAATAGGCTGTCACCCTTCAATGGTCTCCTATTTAAATGAGTACTGGGCAGTTTCAGCAAAGGAATAGTCAAATCAGTTGAGACCTTTCAGAGTTGACTGCTATGCTCCACACTTTCTTTCTTTGAACCAGATCATACTGTGAACAGATGTGAGGTCTGAGATACCGGTAGGGAAAGATATCAGATAGTAAATGATCAGTCTATGACATCAGTAAATGATAGTACAGGAATATTTTTCTGAATATTCCAAGAAAAGGCCTTCTACTTTATATTTAATTGTAGTACACCGTTTACAAAATAGGTCTATTCCAAAAGATTCACCAGACAATAAAACATGTCAACTAGTGAGAAAGCCCAGAGATGCAGGAAGTACTAAGACAAATGCAGAATCTGAAGGTCATTTGAGATCCCTACGTCTAAATTCTGTTTGCTGCTGCAAGGGCAAATGACAGAAAAGTAACAAAGTTTATGGTTGAGAGGTTAGACAAGTATAAAATAGAAATACAACATTTTGTATTTGCAATTGCATATAAAGATTCCCCTTTTTTATTAAGGGAAATTGTGGGCTGACCAGAAAGGCAAAAATTTCCTTCTGTCAGATAAAATGTGTTCTTTGTCTGTTTTGATTCTGTTTTTCAAATGAAAGCAGGGTAATTGTTTTTTCAGTGATCCTTTTCTTTATGATAGCTACAGGTATTTATCTATACAGTTTCAGATGTGTACTTGTGCATACATTTACCCAAATGCTTAATCAGAAGAGCTATTCATAAGAGCTTATTTTTGTTTCATTCTAAATCAAAATAGCTCTGAAGTGTTCAGCAAGCTCTTGTAACTCAGATAGAAGGATACTCTGCCTCGAATCTTCTGTTTTCTAAATAAATCTACCTTTCCAGGATTAAGACTGTCAATAAAGAAAGTAGATAGGTCAGTTGTAATGTTTTCTTCCTGAATGAGTGGAATATTCTCCTACGGTAGAAATGAGACAGTCTCTAAATTCTAG
Source organism: Homo sapiens (assembly GCF_000001405.40). Taxonomy (NCBI): domain Eukaryota; kingdom Metazoa; phylum Chordata; class Mammalia; order Primates; family Hominidae; genus Homo; species Homo sapiens. The sequence continues at coordinate 114,029,242 of NC_000008.11, forward strand.
GAACTACTTTTTTTCCCAGTTAATATCATTAGATATTGATCAATTAGCATTGATACCAAAGATCTCTGGGTCAGATTGTAAGAGGTATTATCCTGCTTTATATTTTTCATATCCACCAGTGGTAAAATTTTGATACTTGTATTTGATGTAATTTTGGTATCAATTCATCCTGCTTTCTCTAACCAACATTTTAAAATCTCTCATGCCTACAGGGTGATGGATTTAATCCAAGACTTTTCATAAGCGGCTAGGGCAATCTTTTTTTTTTTTCAAGAGAATTAAATCGTTTATTGATTACACATGATAATGGATGATACACAAGCTTCATTCCCATCTATAATTTTATCTGGTACCATTATTCAATTTAGATATATTGCATAGGATGTGCCAACAATCACTTTTATAACCATTCCATGATTTTGCTTGGGTAATCCCTTTTAATGGTGAACTTCAGGTCACAACAGTAACTATCAGTTCAACTACACCAAGGTTTCCGAAGACAATGGCTTCTCCACCCAAGCAGGTTGTATATAAATTCCAAATAGAACCTGGCATCACCCTGAAGGAATTCTAACTTCACACTGTTGGGGAAATTTACCAAGATGGCTTCAGGGTAGACTAACTTTACACAGCATTAAAAAAAAAAGACATTTATTCAGCGTCATGATCAGACTATTACATTTAGCAATCAACAGCATGGGTGCAAAAAAAAAAATCTACATTAAAACCCTTTGTTGGAATGCTTTACACTTTCCACAGAACAGAAACTAAAATAACCTGTTATACAACTAGTCACAAATACAGTCCTCGAGTTTTTTGCCCATACACAGGAGTATTTGTCTAAAACATGTCTTCTTTGTAGCAGCTAGGCCCTGCCACCACTGTGCTTGGCTGAGTTCACAAATCTGTTGTAAACAGTATATTTTATTATACTTTAAGTTCTAGGGTACATGTGCACAATGTGCAGGTTTGTTACATATGCATACATGTGCCATGTTGGTGTGCTGCACCCATTAACTCGTCATTTACATTAGGTATATCTCCTAACGCTATCCTTCCCCCCTCCCTCCACCCCACAACAGACCCTGGTGTGTGATGTTCTTCTTCCTGTGTCCATGCGTTCTCATTGTTCAATTCCCACCTGTGAGTGAGAACATGTGGTATTTGGTTTTTTGTCCTTGCGAGAGTTTGCTGAGAATGATGGTTTCCAGCTTCATCCATGTCCCTACAAAGGACATGAACTCATCCTTTTTTATGGCTGCATAGTATTCCATGGTGTATATGTGCCACATTTTCTTAATCCAGTCTATCATTGTTGGACATTTGGGTTGGCTGGTGCTGGGAAAACTGGCTAGCCATATGTAGAAAGCTGAAACTGAATCCCTTCCTTACACCTTATACAAAAATTAATTCAAGATGGATTAAAGACTTAAATATTAGACCTAAAACCATACAAACCCTGCAAGAAAACCTAGGCAATACCATTCAGGGCATAGGCATGGGCAAGGACTTCATGTCTAAAACACCAAAAGCAATGGCAACAAAAGACAAAATTGACAAATGGGATCTAATTAAACTAAAGAGCTTCTGCACAGCAAAAGAAACTACCATCAGAGTGAACAGGCAACCTACAAAATGGGAGAAAATTTTCACAACCTACTCATCTGACAAAGGGCTAATATCCAGAATCTACAATGAACTCAAACAAATTTACAAGAAAAAAACAAACAACCCCATCAAAAAGTGGGTGAAGGACATGAACAGACATTTCTCAAAAGAAGACATTTATGCAGCCAAAAAACACGTGAAAAAATGCTCACCATCGCTGGCCATCAGAGAAATGCAAATTGAAACCACAATGAGATACCATCTCACACCAGTTAGAATGGCAATCATTAAAAAGTCAGGAAACAACAGGTGCTGGAGAGGATGTGGAGAAATAGGAACAATTTTACACTGTTGGTGGGACTGTAAACTAGTTCAACCATTGTAGAAGTCAGTGTGGTGATTCCTCAGGGATCTAGAACTAGAAATACCATTTGACCCAGCCATCCCATTACTGGGTATATACCCAGAGTATTGTAAATCATGCTGCTATAAAGACACATGCACACGTATGTTTATTGCGGTCCTTCACATCCTTCGTAAGTTGGATTCCTAGGTATTTTATTCTCTTTGAAGCAATTGTGAATGGGAGTTCACTCATGATTTGGCTCTCTGTTTGTCTGTTATTTGTGTATAAGAATGCTTGTGACTTTTGCACATTGATTTTGTGTCCTGAGACTTTGCTAAAGTTGCCTATCAGCTTAAGGAGATTTTGGGTTGAGACGATGGGGTTTTCTAGATATACAATCATGTCATCTGCAAACAGGGACAATATGACTTCCTCTTTTCCTACTTGAATACCCTTTATTTCCTTCTCATGCCTGATTGCCCTGGCCAGAACTTCCAACACTATGTTGAATAGGAGTGGTGAGAGAGGGCATCCCTGTCTTGTGCCAGTTTTCAAAGGGAATGCTTCCAGTTTTTGCCCATTCAGTATGATATTGGCTGTGGGTTTGTCATAGATAGCTCTTATTATTTTGAGATACGTCCCATCAATACCTAATTTATTGAGAGCTTTTAGCATGAAGTGTTGTTGAATTTTGTCAAAGGCCTTTTCTGCATCTATTGAGATAATCATATGCTTTTTGTCATTGGTTCTGTTTATATGCTGGATTATGTTTATTGATTTACGTATGTTGAACCAGCCTTGCATCCCAACTATTTCTTAACAGAGCTTTACACATTTTTTCATACATTATTCTCATCCCAGCCATCTATTTCTGATATAATCATAGGTGTCCCCTATTTAAAGTTAGGAACATAAACCAAAGAGACAAATTGTCTATCACAATACTAATATTATTCCACCCATCCACCAAAAAAGCAAACCAAAACAAACAAACACTAATCTTGACTTTGAGGGCATCCATTTTACTTCTAGGTCTAAGACCCTTGAACTAAACTTACATGCCCCTCAGTGTTCATCTAATTTTTTGATAATGATGCAGGTCTCTTATTTGCTTTTAATCTGTCCCTGAGTCATTCTTAGGTTGGCATCACTGTTTGTAAGAAATCAGATTTTGTTTTGTCTCGTTTTCTTTCTCTTTTTCCTTTTGAAAGCACTGATTGTTAGCCACTTGTCTCTACTTAAGCAACTTAATTACAGTTATTTATATAAAACAACTTATGTAAGTATATGCAACCATACAGGGCATTCAAAAATATTCTCATGAGCAACCTGATATGCCATTGACTGCAACTTCTGTGCTATCTTTTGAATCACTAAAATTGTGCAGGGGTATTCATGTTTGCCTAAATGGTTATTCCTATGCAGTAAAAATGTACACTATGGATGGTTCCTTTACAGCTGAACATACCTATGCATACACCCATCCCCATTCCCCCCAAATAAGGCTTAATCACAAATCTGCCATGCCAGATTTTCCTTAGAGAATTACTTTTAAAAATGGTCTTTCATTGTCTAGAGCTATGCAGAAGTACCATAAGTGCTTCTTGGGGGTGGGTCATTGAACAAAGTTCTGGGGACTCTTTTTCTTCAATAAATCATCTTCATTTAGCTATTTAAATCATAGAGATATAAATGCAATTTTGTTGGAGAGAGAGAAAAAATCTGTTAAAATAAAGTTTGGAAAATAATGGTTATATCATAAACTGAAAGGGAAGACAAGATGATTAATTAAATATTACATTAGTTATCTAAAACGTGTGGATGCCTTTTCTAACTTTTTATTTTTTCTTTAACCTCCATGAGTATATTTCTGTAATCAGTATGGATCCTATACAAAAATGCATTATTTTGTGTGTATTTTGAGTAATACTTGACAAATATGAAATAATTTTTACTTGAGTACAGTGGTAATAAGTGAAAATTATTATCTGCTTTATAAGTGATGAGACATAAACAGTGCTATGATCTTCTTCAAAAATCATATGCTCCAATTTGCCATTATTATTTTAAGGATAGCAAAACATTTTTATATTCTTAATAAGGTAAACTGCACACTTGCTATGTGCAAGAAAGTGAGTTAGCATCTCTGGTTTATACAAAGATAAACGGTCACAAGCTGGGTTGCTACCTTTTAGGGCCTAACATTTTAATGAAAGAGACCATTGTTTACTAAAATACAAAAGCAGGTTGGAATATTTGGAGAAGAATGTGATAGTATCTAATCTGTTTTGATTAATGTCCATGAGGGTGGAGATCACGTAACATTAATTCTAAACACTAATGTGTGATCAGCAAATATCAAGCACATAAAAATAGTACCTAAATATGTGTTGTTTTTATATTTGAGAAAATATGAACAGTAAACTTAATAGAAAGACTGAAGAAGTATAAAGTGGATGTAATAAGGCTAGTTTTAGGAAATTGTAATTGCCTAAGTGACTAGAAATTATATCTGATATAAAGAAATAGCAGAGGAAAGAAAGAGAGAAGGAACTTAAGAACATTTCTAGATGTAAAACCAATCATATTTAGCAAGTTATTGGCTCTGTGCTTTAGTGAAAATGGACACTGAGTTGGATTTCTAACAAAACCAAATCAAAGGGTCAACTAGTATTTAAACTCTGTTATGCTAGTTTGAGCTTGCCTGTAGATGGGTAGAAGGAACCAAGGAGTAAAGGCTAACTGTGTTATAGATGGAATAATGAAAGAAAATGAAACCTGAAGAAAATCAATAGAGAAAATGTAGGAATTATCCAAGAAATCCAATTTAGAAATTTATTAATAAGGCAATTATCCAACAAAAAAGGAAGGTTCTATCGTTTGGATATTTGTGCTCTCCAAAATCCATGTTGAAATTTGATTCACAAGGTGGCAATGTTGGGAGGTGAGCCTGGTGGGAGGTGTTTGGTTCATGAGGGTGGATTTCTCATGGGCAGATAATTCCGTCTCTCAGGATTGAGTGAGCTCATACTTTATTAATTAATTACCATGAGAGCTGGTTGTTACAAAGAACCTGGAACATCCCTCGCTGTGTTTCCTCTCCCACTATATTATCTCTTTGCATGTGTTGACTTCCTTCTGCTTTCTCTGGTAAGTTGAAGAAGCCTCAGGGCCTCATCAGAAGTAGATGTCCAATCTTACATTTTCCAAGACATCAGAATCATGAGCAAAAAACTTTTTTGTTCAATTACTCTTCATCAAGAACTCCTTTATAGCAGCAAAGATGCATTAAGACAGAAGGAGAAAGTAAAATTGAGAAAACAGTATATAGAATGTTTCAGACTTCTTATCAATACATAAGTAGACTTTTTGTTTTAAATTAGATGTTTTTGTGTAGATTTTAATGATGTGTGTGAAACAGATAAAAGCATACTTGCAATATTCTCTCCTCAGATTTACTCATTTGATAACAATGTTTCACTGATTAGTTCAATATATTCAAAAACGCTATCAACAAATATAAGACTATCAGGTTGCTCGTTCATGTTTTCCTTTATCTTTCTTTTGTTTAATGTAAACATTAAGCTCTATAATCTAGTTGACTTCCATATTTGCCATAAAAATTTCAAAAGGTGTTTTAATTGTATGTGTGTTACAAAGATTATTGTTTTTCTTGTATTATTCATGTTTTCTTCTACTTTCAACTACAGTAATAAAATAAAATGTTTCTAGGATATATTCCATTTTCTTAAACTATGTCCAATATCAGACATACTATGGCACAATAATATGTAAGGTAAAATGTCACCGAATAATATAATTTTTTTAAGTATTACATGGGGGGATGGGTCTGCACATGTCGTCTGGGAGTCAGGGGATCAATCTTCCCATCCAACACTGATAGTATTTATGCACTCCTCTTTGGGGTCTGAGGATAGGCCTACATGCATCACCTGGAGACTGGCAGGCACAATCTGTTACCACCACTTCGGGCACCAAGAACTGTTGCCTGCAGGCCTGAGTGTTCATCCAGTATGCCTACTGCCATCACCAACATCACTCATACCACCCAGGGGTCCAAAACCCACCTACCTGCCCAGCTCCCTCTTGTCGTGGTCAGCACATGAGCAGGCTTCCAGGAGGCTCAAAGATCAGTCCACCTGGGTTTACTACCACCTGTGTCTTCATAAACCACCTTGGGGACCAAAGATAAGCATACTATGCTGCAACCACTGAAGCTTGAGAACTGACCTTGTTTGTGTCCTCATGCCCAGCAAAGCTTCACCACAGCCTCAAATAACAACGACAGCCTAGGCCACTGAATAACTCACAGACACCAACAACAGTGTCTATACAGAAGAAATTATAAATTATAAATTATAACTACCACGCCTATTCAGAATTAAAGTCAAAGCACTGTACCCAAGCAACACAATAGACACATCTACAGAAAAAAAAATGTTTTTCTTTTTCCTAGGAAAGCCAATCACCAAAATTGGAAGAACTGACTGTTATACCATATATGCTGATATGAAAGGGCAAGCTGAGAATCAAATCAAGAACTCAATCTCTTTTACAACTGCAAAATAAATAAAATACCCAGGAATATACTAACCAAGGAGATGAAAGATTGTATTACAAGAAGAATTATAAAACACTGCTGAATGATATAATAAAGGACACAAACAAATGAAAACACATCCTATACTCATGGATTGGAAGAATCAATATCATGAAAATGACCATACTATCCAAAGCAATCTACAGATTCAATGTTATTTCCATCGAAATGCCAATATCATTTTTCACAGAATTAGAAAAAAAATCCTAACATTCATATGGAACCAAAAAAGAGTCTGCATAGCCAATGCAAAAGAACAAATTTGGAGGCATTACATTACTGGACTTCAAATTATACTGCAAGGCTATAGTTACCAAAACATCATGGTACTGTATAAAAGTGGACACACAGACCAACAGAACAGGATAACAAACTCAGAAATAAAGCCAAATAAGTACACCCAACTGATCTTTGACAAAGCATACAAAAACATAAATTAGGGAATTGACACTCTTTAATAAGTGGTGCTGAGAAAACTTGTAAGCCACACGTAGAAGAATGAAATTGGATTCCTATCTGTCACCATATGCAAAACTGCACGCAAGATGGATTAACAACTGAAGTATGAGACCTTAAACTACACAAAATTCTAGAAGACAACATTGGAAAACCTCTTCTGGACATAAGCCTAGGCAAATAATTCATGACTAAGAACCCCAAAACTAATGCAACAATCAAATATAAATAAATGGGACCTAATTAAACTGAAAAGCTTCTGCACAGCAAAAGATGATGATCAAGGTAAACAGATAAGCTACAGAGTAGGAGAAAATATTTGCAAACTATGTATCCAAAGGAATACTATTCCAAAGGAATAGTATCCAGAATCTACAAGTAATTCAAACAAGTCAGAAAGAAAAAAAATAATCCCAACAGGAAGTGGGCAAAGGAAATGAATAGATATTTCTCAAAAGAAGATATACAAATGGCCCATAAACAAACAAAAAAAGCTCTAATCAACAGGGAAAGAAAAACTAAAACCATAGTGAGAGACCACCTTACTCCGGTAAGAATTGCCTTTATTCGTGAACCCAGGAGGCGGAGCTTGCAGTGAGCTGAGATAGCGCCATGGTACTCCAGCCTGGGCAACTGAGTGAGACTCTGTCTCCAAAAAAAAAAAAAAAAAAAAAAGATTTGCCTTTATTAATAAGTCAAAAAACAACAGATGTTGCCATGGATGTGGTGAAAAAGGAAAACTTCTCCACTGTTGGTAGGAGTGTAAATAATTAGTGCAACCGCTGTGGAAAAAGTATGGAGATTCCTTAAAGAACTAAAAGTAGATCTACATCTCAATCCAGCAATCCCACTACTGAATATCTTCCCAAAGGAAAAGAAGTCATCATATAAAAAAGACACTTGCACATGTACGTTTTATAGCAGCACAATTCACAATTGTAAAGACATGGAACCAACTTAAGTGTTCATCAACTAATGAGTGGATAAAGTAAATGTGGTGTATATACACCATGAAATACTACTCAGCCATTATAAGGAGTGAAATAATGTTTTTTTGCAGCAACTTGGGTGAAGCTGGAGGCCATTGTTCTAAGGTAAGTAACACAGGAGTGGAAAACCAGAAACCATATTTTCTCACATGTGAGTGGGACCTAAGCTACGAGTAAGCAAAGGAATAAAGAGTGATATAATGGATTTTAGAGACTCAGAAGTGAGAGAAAGGCAAGGGGGTATAGGGATAAAAAAACTACACATTAGGTACAAGGTACACTGCTTGGTGATGAGTGCACTAAAATCTCAGAATTCACTACTATATAAATCATCCATATTACAAAAAAATTGTACCCCAAAAGCTATTGAAATTGAAATAAACATTTTTTAAAAAAATTAAAAATATGACACCCCCAAAACAACAAAATAAGATAATTCTCCAGCAGCAGATTTCAGTGAAAATTGTATGCATGACATCTGTAAAAGAGAATTCAGAATAATGACATTAAATGAGCTCTGTGAGTTATGGAAAAGCAAATAAACAATAAAAAAATCATTAATTCACAATCTGAATAAGGAATTCACCAAAAAATGATATTATTACAAAGAAACAAAATTATTTCTAAAACTGAAGTCAGTGAATAAAATAAAAAGTATAATTAAGAGCCTTAAAAATACACTGTATTAAACAAAAGAAAGAATTTCTTATCTTGAAGACAAGTCTTTTTAAATAACTCAGTCAGACCAAAGGGGGAAAAAAAGAAAGAAAAATAATAAAAAAGAATAGAGAGTACCCTATGACACACAAGAAACCATAAAGCAAACTAATATTCCATTTTTTTGTGTGTTCCAGAAGGAGAAAAGATAGGCAAAGGAATACCCAACCTATTAAACTAAATAATAGCTGAAAACTTTTTTCAAGTCTTCCAAGTAATATAGCTCTCTAGATCCAGGGTACTCAGTGATCTCCAAGTAGATTCCACTCAAATAGATCTTCTCCAAACACATTATAGTGAAACTGCCAAACTGAAAAACAAAGTGAGAATTATTAAGAAAATAAAAAAGAGAGAAACACTTCAAGTTACATATAAACAAACCATCATCAGGCTAAGAGCTAATTTCTCAGCAGAAGCCTTACATTCTAGAAAAAAGTGGATAGTTTTACAAAATGTTGAAAACAAAGAACTGTGAGTCAAGAATACTATACCCAGCAGTGATAGCCTATCAAAATTAAGGAGAAATAAAATCTTTCTCAGACAAGCAAAACTGAGAGAGTTCATCACCAATAGACCAGCCAAACAAAAAAATGCTCAAGAGATTTCTGCATCTAGAAGCAAAAAGACAATATCTACCATCATGAAAACACACAAAAGCATAATACTCACTGGTATAACTAACACACATCAAACAGCACTAATAAACACTGAGAGAAAGAAAAAAAATGATACATAAAATAACCAGAAAACAACTAGCAAAAATAAAGGAATTTATCACCTACTAGTAATAACCTTGTATGTAAAAGATTAAATTCTCCCACTTAAACAATATAGACTGGATGGATAAATAAAAAATAGTAAATCAAAACATAAATCAACTATTTGATGCCACCAAGAAACTACCTTCACCTGTAGAGGCATACAGACTGAAAGTGAAGGGGTAGAAAAGGATATTTCATGAAAACAGAAACCAGAAGTGATCAGAAATAGCTATATTTATATCAGATAAAACAGATTTTAAGCAAAAACAAAGCAAAAACAGTAAATAGAGGTAAATATAGTCATTATATAATGATAAAGAAGTCAAAACAGCAGGAGGTTATAAAAATTCTAAATATATGGGCACTCAAAATTGGAACACCCAGATATATAAAGCAAATATTATTAGCTATAGAGGGAGAGAGAGACTCCAATAAAATAATAGTTGTGGACTTCAACCCATCACTCTCAGCATTGGACAGATCATCCAGACAAATTTGAACACAGAAACATTGGATTTAGATTGCACTTTAGGCCAAATTGACCTGACAGAAATGTACAGATCACTTTATCCAACAGCTGCATAATAAACGTTCTTCTGATCAGTGCATGAAAGATTTTCCAGGAGAGACTATATGCTAAGTCACAAAACATGTCTCAAATTTTTATTTAAATTGAAATTATATTGAGTATTCTCTAACACCAAAGTGTAATACTAGAAATCAATAACGAGAGAAACTGGAAACTGTACAAATACATGAAAATTAGACATTGTGACACTGAATTATCTTAGATCAATAAAGAAATTAAGAAGAAAATTTAAAAATTCTTAAAGAACATGAAAATGGAAACAAAACATACCAAAACCCATGGAATACCATGAAAGCCGTGCCTCTAGGGCAATTTATACTAAATATACATACATTAAAAAGTATGAAATTTTCAAATTAACAACAATGCACCTCAAGAAACTAGAAAAGCAAAAAAAAAGCAAACCAAAAATTGGTAGAATACAAGGTGTAATTAAGATTAAAGCAGAACTAAACAAAATAGAGGCATAAAAAATGCAATGGATCAATGAACAAAAATCTGGGTTTTTGAAAAAATAAACAAAATTGATATACTGCTAGCTAGACTAACCAAGAAAAAGGGAGAAAGATGCAAAATGAGAAATGGATTGAAAGAATTATTATTTTTAAAATGACCATACTGCCCAATACAATCTACACATTTACTACAATCCATATCAAAATACCAATTATGCTCTTCATAGAAATAGAAAAATAATTCTAAAATTTATATAGAACCACAAAAGACTCTGAGGAGCCAAAGCAGTACTGAGCAAAAAGAACAAAGCTGCAAGCATCACACTTCAAATGACTTTAATATATACTACAAAGCTATAATAATAAAACAGCATGGCAATGGGATAAGCATAGACACATATACCAACTGAACCAAATGGAGAACCCCAAAATAAATTCACGTATTTACAACCAATCAATTTTTGAAAAGGAGCTAAGAACATATGCTGAAAAAAGAACATTCTCCTGAATAAATCTTACTGGAAAAACTTGATATCTCTATGCATAAGATTGCGACTAGACCCCTGTATCTTACCATATACAAAAATCATGTCAAAATGGATTGAAGACTTAAATGTAAGACCCAAAACTGTAACACCACCAGAAGAAAACAGGGAAAATGCTTCCAGACTTTGGCCTAGGTAAAGATTTTATCACTAATATCTCAAAGCACCAGCTACAGAAACAAAAATAGACAAATGAGACTATATTGAATCAAAAAAGCTTCCTCACAGAAAAGGAAACTATCAACAGAATGAAGACACAATCTGTAGAATGAGAGAAATATTTTCTAACTATTTATCTAACAAGAAACTAACATCCAGAATATTCAAGGAACTCAAATCAACAGGAAACAAAAGAAAAAGAGAAGAAACAATCTAATGAAAAAGTTGGCAAGGCATCTATCTGAGTAGGCATTTCTCAAAATAAGAGATACAATTGGCCTTGTTGGATGAAAACAAAATGCTCAACATCACGAATCACTAGAGAAATGCAAATCCAAACGACAATGAGATGTCATCTTACCCTGGTAAGTATGGCTACTATCAAAAAGAAGAAAAAAAAAGCAAATGCTGGCAAGGATATGGAGAAAAGGAAACTCATACTCTATTGGTGGGAATGTTAAATAATACAGCCATTATATAAAACCATATGGAAGTTTCTCAGAAAACTAAAACTAGAACTACCACACAATCCAGCAATTCAGCTATTGTGTATTTATCCAAAAGAAAGGAAATCAGTATGTCAAAGAGATACTTACACCTCCATGTTTATTGCAGCATTATTCACAATAGCCCACAAGTGGAATCAACATAAGTGTCCATCGATAAATGAATAAAGAAAATGTGATATATATGTATATATACACACACACAATAGAATGCTATTCAACCATAAAAATAAGGAAATATTGTCATTTGTGGCAACATGGATGGACTTGGAGGTAATGTTAAGTGAAATAAGTCAGGCACAGAAAGACAAATACCACTTGTTCTTAATCATATGTGGGAACTAAAAAAGTTTATGTCATGGAGGTAGTGAGTAAAATGATCATTACTAGAGGCTGGAAAGGATGTTTGGGGGAAGAAAGGAAGACAGGTTGGTTAATGGGTGCAAACATAAAGCAAAATAGATTGGGTAAATTCTCATGTTTGATGACACAGTAGGGTGACTATAATTATCAACAATATATTAGATATTTTATAATAGCTAGGAAAGTTGTGAAATGATCCCAAAACAAAGAAACAATAAATATTTGATAGAATGGATATCCTGAATAACTTGAGTTGGTTGTAACAATGTGTTATAACCAATATGTGTTATCAAAGTATCACATGTACTCAATAAATCTTTACCATTATCATGCATCAATTAAAAATATAATAATTGACATTACTATTTTTCCAGACATTGAATCTGATTGGATTGGATTCCTATTACAATGCTTAGAATGAATGATGATGGGAGCTTAAACAGTTGAATAGTTCAGTTCTTCTGCTTTTATAAAATATTTTTTAAAAGAAAAATAAAGTTTAAGATGTATTTTAATTATTCTGAATTTCAAAATGATTTTATAGTTTTGTACAATTTTGGTTGCAGTAAGAGATAAAACGTGATGTAAATGAAAATAGGATGAAATAAGGGTAAAATTGGTAGAATATGAAATAAAGAGCAAAACAATAAATGAGAGGAATTTTAGAGATAAATGCTAGAAATAAACACAATATTCATATATTATGATTACTAGAGAAGAAACAAGAGAATTATCTTTGTGAATTCCATTTTTTGTTTATTTTTAATTTTGGACAGAAAGAAATGATGCATATAAATTAATATTTTTTACCAAAGGGTGATAGAATAATATTTAAAAATAAAATGGCAAAAATAATATATTTTATTATTATTATTATACTTTAAGTTTTAGGGTACATGTGCACATTGTGCAGGTTAGTTACATATGTATACATGTGCCATGCTGGTGTGCTGCACCCACTAACTCGTCATCTAGCATTAGGTATATCTCCCAATGCTATCCCTCCCCCCTCCCCCCACCCCACCACAGTCCCCAGAGTGTGATATTCCCCTTCCTGTGTCCATGTGATCTCATTGTTCAATTCCCACCTATGAGTGAGAATATGCGGTGTCTGGTTTTTTGTTCTTGCAATAGTTTACTGAGAATGATGATTTCCAATTTCACCCATGTCCCTACAAAGGACGTGAACTCATCATTTTTTATGGCTGCATAGTATTCCATGGTGTATATGTGCCACATTTTCTTAATCCAGTCTATCATTGTTGGACATTTGGGTTGGTTCCAAGTCTTTGCTATTGTGAATAATGCTGCAATAAACATACATGTGCATGTGTCTTTATAGCAGCATGATTTATAGTCCTTTGGGTATGTACCCAGTAATGGGATGTCTGGGTCAAATGGTACTTCCAGTTCTAGATGCCTGAGGAATTGCCACACTGACTTCCACAATGGTTGAACTAGTTTACAGTCCCACCAACAGTGTAAAATTGTTCCTATTTCTCCACATCCTCTCCAGCACCTGTTGTTTCCTGACTTTTTAATGATTGCCATTCTAACTGGTGTGAGATGGTATCTCATTGTGGTTTTGATTTGCATTTCTCTGATGGCCAGTGATGATGAGCATTGTTTCACGTGTTTTTTGGCTGCATAAATGTCTTCTTTTGAGATGTGTCTGTTCATGTCCTTCGCCCACTTTTTGATGGGGTTGTTTGTTTTTTTCTTGTAAATTTGTTTGAGTTCATTGTAGATTCTGGATATTAGCCCTTTGTCAGATGAGTAGGTTGCGAAAATTTTCTCCCGTGTTGTAGGTTGCCTGTTCACTCTGATGGTAGTTTCTGTTGCTGTGAAGAAGCTCTTTAGTCTAATTAGATCCCATTTGTCAATTTTGGCTTTTGTTGCCATTGCTTTTGGTGTTTTAGACATGAAGTCCTTGCTCATGCCTATGTCCTGAATGGTAATGCCTAGGTTTTCTTCTAGGGTTTGTATGGTTTTAGGTCTAACGTTGAAGTCTTTAATCCATCTTGAATTGAATTTTGTATAAGTTGTAAGGAAGGGATCCAGTTTCAGCTTTCTACATATGGCTAGCCAGTTTTCCCAGCACCATTTATTAAATAGGGAATCCTTTCCTCATTGCTTGTTTTTCTCAGGTTTGTCAAAGATCAGATAGTTGTAGATATGCGGCATTATTTCTGAGGGCTCTGTTCTGATCCATTGATCTATATCTCTGTTTTGGTACTAGTACCATGCTGTTTTGGTTACTGTAGCCTTGTAGTATAGTTTGAAGTCAGGTAGTGTGATGCCTCCAGCTTTGTTCTTTTGGCTTAGGATTGCCTTGGCGATGTGGGCTCCTTTTTGCTTCCATATGAACTTTAAAGTAGTTTTTTCCAATTCTGTGAAGAAAGGCATTGGTAGCTTGATGGGGATGGCATTGAATCTGTAAATTACCTTGGGCAGTATAGCCATTTTCACGATATTGATTCTTCCTACCCATGAGCATGGAATGTTCTTCCATTTGTTTGTATCCTCTTTTATTTCATTGAGCAGTGGTTTGTAGTTCTCCTTGAAGAGGTCCTTCACATCCCTTGTAAGTTGGATTCCTAGGTATTTTATTCTCCTTGAAGCAATTGTGAATGGGAGTTCACTCATGATTTGGCTCTCTGTTTGTCTGTTGTTTGTGTATAAGAATGCTTGTGATTTTTGTACATTGATTTTGTATCCTGAGACTTTGCTGAAGTTGCTTATCAGCTTAAGGAGATTTTGGGCTGAGACAATGGGGTTTTCTAGATATACAATCATGTCGTCTGCAAACAGGGACAATTTGACTTCCTCTTTTCCTAATTGAATACCCTTTATTTCCTTCTCCTGCCTAATTGCCCTGGCCAGAACTTCCAACACTATGTTGAATAGGAGTGGTGAGAGAGGGCATCCCTGTCTTGTGCCAGTTTTCAAAGGAAATACTTCCAGTTTTTGCCCATTCAGTATGATATTGGCTGTGGGTTTGTCATAGATAGCTCTTATTATTTTGAAATACGTCCCATCAATACCTAATTTATTGAGAGTTTTTAGCATGAAGGGTTGTTGAATTTTGTCAAAGGCTTTTTCTGCATCTATTGAGATAATCATGTGGTTTTTGTCTTTGGCTCTGTTTATATGCTGGATTACATTTATTGATTTGCGTATATTGAACCAGCCTTGCATCCCAGGGATGAAGCCCACTTGATCATGGTGGATAAGCTTTTTGATGTGCTGCTGGATTCGTTTTGCCAGTATTTTATTGAGGATTTTTGCATCAATGTTCATCAAGGATATTGGACTAAAATTCTCTTTTTTTGTTGTGTCTCTGCCTGGCTTTGGTATCAGAATGATGCTGGTCTCATAAAATGAGTTAAGGAGGATTCCCTCTTTTTCGATTGATTGGAATAGTTTCAGAAGGAATGGTACCAGTTCCTCCTTGTACCTCTGGTAGAATTCGGCTGTGAATCCATCTGGTCCTGGACTCTTTTTGGTTGGTAAACTATTGATTATTGCCACAATTTCAGCTCCTGTTATTGGTCTATTCAGAGATTCAACTTCTTCCTGGTTTAGTCTTCGGAGGGTGCATGTGTTGAGGAATTTATCCATTTCTTCTAGATTTTCTAGTTTATTTGCATAGAGGTGTTTGTAGTATTCTCTGATGGTAGTTTGTATTTCTGTGGGATTGGTGGTGATATCCCCTTTATCATTTTTTATTGCGTCTATTTGATTCTTCTCTCTTTTTTTCTTTATTAGTCTTGCTAGCGGTCTATCAGTTTTGTTGATCCTTTCAAAAAACCAGCTCCTGGATTCATTAATTTTTTGAAGGGTTTTTTGTGTCTCTATTTCCTTCAGTTCTGCTCTGATTTTAGTTATTTCTTGCCTTCTGCTAGCTTTTGAATGTGTTTACTCTTGCTTTTCTAGTTCTTTTAATTGTGATGTTAGGGTGTCAATTTTGGATCTTTCCTGCTTTCTCTTGTGGGCATTTAGTGCTATAAATTTCCCTCTACACACTGCTTTGAATGGGTCCCAGAGATTCTGCTATGTTGTGTCTTTGTTCTCATTGGTTTCAAAGAACATCTTTATTTCTGCCTTCATTTCGTTATGTACCCAGTAGTCACTCAGGAGCAGGTTGTTCAGTTTCCATGTAGTTCAGCGGTTTTGAGTGAGATTCTTAATCCTGAGTTCTAGTTTGATTGCACTGTGGTCTGAGAGATAGTTTGTTATAATGTCTGTTCTTTTACATTTGCTGAGGAGAGCTGTACTTCCAAGTATGTGGTCAATTTTGGAATAGGTGTGGTGTGGTGCTGAAAAAAATGTATATTCTGTTGATTTGGGGTGGAGAGTTCTGTAGATGTCTATTAGGTCCACTTGGTGCAGAGTTGAGTTCAATTCCTGGGTATCCTTGTTGACTTTCTGTCTCGTTGATCTGTCTAATGTTGACAGTAGGGTGTTAAAGTCTCCCATTATTAATGTGTGGGAGTCTAAGTCTCTTTGTAGGTCACTCAGGACTTGCTTTATGAATCTGGGTGCTCCTGTATTGGGTGCATATATATTTAGGATAGTTAGCTCTTCTTGTTGAATTGATCCCTTTACCATTATGTAATGGCCTTCTTTGTCTCTTTTGATCTTTGTTGGTTTAAAGTCTGTTTTATCAGAGACTAGGATTGCAACCCCTGCCTTTTTTTGTTTTCCATTGGCTTGGTAGATCTTCCTCCATCCTTTTATTTTGAGCCTATGTGTGTCTCTGCACGTGAGATGGGTTTCCTGAATACAGCACACTGATGGGTCTTGACTTTTTATCCAATTTGCCAGTCTGTGTCTTTTAATTGGAGCATTTAGTCCATTTACATTTAAAGTTAATATTGTTATGTGTGAATTTGATCCTGTCATTATGATGTTAGCTGGTGATTTTGCTCGTTAGTTGATGCAGTTTCTTCCCAGTCTCGATGGTCTTTACATTTTGGCATGATTTTGCAGCGGCTGGTACCAGTTGTTCCTTTCCGTGTTTAGCGCTTCCTTCAGGAGCTCTTTTAGGGCAGGCCTGGTGGTGACAAAATCTCTCAGCATTTGCTTGTCTGTAAAGTAAAAAATAATATTTTTAAATTTAGAATCCCTCTTACAGAATTGTGTTATCTGTATCTCTTTCTGCTTTTTGTTTTTCTGTTAATATAAATTTTGTTTTGTTTGAAAATATTATCACATGGGAAGGATTACTGTGGTTATAAACCGTAAAAACAAAAAACTAATATTTCACTCTTTTTTTACACATTCCTAAACAGTTCTAATATTTTAATTTAAAGTCCCACATGCATGAGCTCTGAATTCATGAGAATTATGTCCTTTTGTGGAAGTTGAGAAAAATATGACTTAAAGATTGCCTTCTCTTCTGGGCCCACAATCTTCACCTCTTCAGTTTCTCTTACTTGTCTTTCAATTATTTGGCCTATTGAGAGTGATTAATAAATATGTTATCTTGCTTTCTCTGTTTTTAGGCTATTTAAATTATTCCACTTTTTTAGTATTATGGCTTTCATTCATTCTTAATATGAAATAGTTTTTTTCTCTTTATAATCAATCCAAAACTATTTCTCAATATATTTGAATGCTTTTCAGAGAAAAAAAATATAGATGGTAAAATGCATCTCTACATTTCTGTCTGTATAATGTTTTGATCATTTTAAATAGGAGAGCTTCATGTGGAAATTTGTATTGAACATTACTATCTAGAATCAAATGGTCGTCTAAGAACGCTGCCATCTTGTGGTTAGTCTCTTAAAATATTTTTTCATATCTGCATGGGCTGCACACTTTTAGGTAGGTAGGTCATTACCAGTAAACACCAATTTTACTCTTAAATGATAAAGGATATTTGAATTTTTTATTGAATTAGCTCATTACTCATTAGGAGTTTGAAAATTTCTATGCCAAAAAGAGTAACAAAGGCTAAGATACATATTCTTCGGGACAAAGCTAGTTTTTAAAATACGGTGCAAACAGAATACACCCCTATGTATATCTAAAAATGACAACACTAGTAGATTTGTACCATGCACATAATAATAATAATAGATAATGTTAACTTAGTGTTTACTGTTTATAAAACTGTTTTAAGTTCTTAATATCCATTAACTCACATAATCCTCAACTACCTTAGTAATGTAATTACCTCTCCCTCACACATGCACAATTATGTTAATACAGCATTATCTATTTTATATATGATATTTATATGTTATCATTAAACAATATGGCCATTCTTTCTTAAAAATACATACATACATATAACATGTGTGAAAATAATTGTATTTGTAATAACTTGGCAATTTGTAATAATTTGGTAATAATTGTAATAACCTGGTAATAATTTAAATAATATCAAAATGGACAATATTTTTTCCACCCTTGTTCTTTAGATTCTCTTCTCAAAAATGACCCTTCTTACAATTTCTTGGTATGCTTCCAGATAAATTAATGTATATTCAGATTAGCACACACGAATTTACTTTAAAAAAAATACTGACCTTCACTTTCTAGCTGTGTGACTTGGGCTATGTATCTAGTATTTCTTTGCCTCAGCTTCCTTTTCTTCAAGAAGAGATTAATAGTATTACCTACCTCATAGGGTTATTGGTAGAATTAAATTTAAATAATTCATAAAGAGTTAAGTTCTAGACTTATTTTTCTGGCATTTTATTACATTCTTAAATTAATAGATACATTTATGATATTATTGGCATCATTATTACTATTAATATTATTACTACTACTATAGTGATAGAAAAGAAATTTCAAGTAACTTTCTCACATCAACCCACTAGGGGAAGCACATTATAGAACTCTGTATTTTATTAAACGGGCTTCTTTCCACGTAGGTGCAATTATCAATCATATCACAGGGTACTTTTACTTATATTAATTTCTTCTGAAAGATTGTTATTAGTAAATTACTTCTATAAACTGGGGTACAGCAAAGTTTGAACATTGTTATAAATATTTTCTCCAACTATATAGTTAAAAATGTTTATTTTGTGTCAATGATACAACAGATTTGATTTCAAAGTTGTATATATTTCAAATCATAAAACTATTGATTTTAGATTATTATTTTAAATTGTAGTGTCTATGTTTTTTATTACTATTACACCATTTTAAATTTTATTTTACATTCTAATTCTTTTAAAACTAAGAAAAAGATTTTGAAGGTACAATGATGCTCTTCTTTTTATGAATGTAAAATGTATCAAAGGTAAATTACTCATTACATAAAATCATAAAATAGATTTTTGACAATCTTCTTTATTGTAGTCCTACCTATCTCTAATTTTTATGAGGTGTTTTTATTTCTGATGTCAGCAAATGTGTCATTGCATCTTCCCTAAAGTCTCAACAGGGATGACAGAGCCTGCCAAGAGATCACATTAATTTCCGGGAATCAAATCAAGGTCTTTCTAAGGTTATCAGGAATTGCTAACAACCAGAAAATGTTGCAGTGTCCATCTGTATGTCTGAGCTTCTGATTTAAAATCAGTCTTCTTTATATAGTATTATGCCACTTATAATTCACCAATCAAAGCAACCTTCTGATTACATCTTCTAGCATATTTTTACTATACACATTTTAATGTGTATAATTATTTTGCAACTTGGGCGTTAAACAGAGACACTCAAGTTATGTAATTTCCACATGCATTTGAATAGTTAATGTTAAATGTTTAATGATATCCCTTGGAATAGAAAGAAAAAAAAAACAAAGAGCTTATTCTTTTCAAATATTTGCAAGACAATTATGGAACTAATTCACTTCCCTGAACTTCAGCTTTCTCATCTGTGTCCTGTGCAGTGACTTCACATAAGCTTAGTAACAAAGCAGTACTAAACAATAAAATATATTCATACAATTTTATTCACAAAGGCAAAATACAGTTTTCAAATATAGTTTATAATAGTATTTTTACCTTTCACAAAGAGAGGAAACTTTGCAGATAAACATATATATATTTCCAAAGGAAAGTGTTTTGTGGGTTAGTAGCTTTGATTCAATATTTAAAAATTGCCAAACTACTGTGAAAATTTATCTATTTGGCATACTTTCCCATCCTACCCATTTGTAGATATTTTCTATATAAAATTATTATAAAATAAAATGTTGTAAAATGTGGACTTTGATGTATATGTTCATATTTATTATCAGGATTCTGTTTCGACAGATTTTTATTATACTGGAAGTTGATTATTCCTCAGGATATTTGCAAAGATAATGAACGACCATACACACACCATATATTCTTTAGAGTTGAAATAAATATCACGCCTCATTCATGCCAGATCTCCTTGAAATGATTCAGCAGCTCTGTAAGAAAATTGTCTCTCAACTGGCTCTCGCTGATAATCAGGGCTTTCTACTGAACACTTCTGCAGGGTATAAGGCATTCTATTTGTTCTCAACAATTCACTGGGAAAAGCAAAAACCAATGGATGTCTGCTCATAAAGTGATGGAGTTCTGATATTTTGAAAAAAAAGCAAGTCAAGCCATCATGAGAAAAAAAAGAAATAAAATATAGTAGACATATTTGAGCTGTTGTATACATAATCTTTTTTTTATTCCTGATTACAATGTTTTATGGTTATTTAATTATCATATTTCAAGTGATTGAAAATGATGAATACTGAAACTATAATAACTTTTGTCAAGTGAGGAGATATATTTAGCAATAAATTTCTACATTCCTTTTTGAGGTGAATATTTTGGGAAATTAAAGTGACTTGTAAAGTGATCTATGAAAATATGTTGTATGTGGAGATAAACATTTGGCATCCTAATTCTATTAGTCATCTGATTTATTCATTGAACAAGTCATATCTAAGATTATTTCTTCTGCAGGGTACTTGACAGTACAAAGTACGTGGCATAAAGTTAAACTCGCTTCTTTCTCATTATTCATTTGTAAGTTCAATTATGAAACTAAGCTGTTTGAATGATGCCATATATGTGACATATCTTTCTGAAGCGGTTTGCCTCTTGATAACAATAGTGAACCAGTTATTGAACAGAAAAAAGAGGCTTGGCATGGTGGCTCACGCCTGTAATCCCAGTACTTTGGGAGGCCCAGGCAGGTGGATCACCTGAGGTCAGCAGATAGAGATCAGCCTGGCCAACATGGGAAAACCCCATCTCTACGAAAAATACAAAATTACCCTGGTGTGGTGGTGTGTGCCTGTAGTCCCATTTACTCAAGAAGCTGAAGCAGGAGAGCTGCTTGAACCCAGGAGGCAGAGGTTGCAGTGAACCAAGATTGCACCACTGCACTCCAGCCTGGGTGATAGAGTGAGATTTTGTCTCAAATAATAAATAAATAAATAGAAAAAAGAAGAGAGGAAGAGGAGTTGAAGGAAATGTCTCAAAGCTAAGATTCCAATAACCTGCCCCAAACCATGTCCCTCAAAGGGACTGCCTTGACTGTTAAGATCATGTTAGGCTTTAGCTGTAATTTTTCTATCAAAATGAGAATACCACTGGAACCAGGGAGGTGGAGGTTGCAGTGAGCAGAGATCCCACCACAAAAAAAAAAAAAAAAACCAGAGAATATCGCACATCTTGGAACAGATATTCTTATATAAGCATGAAAAATGGTTACCTGACTCTCATATTTATAGAGAAAAAGTGTTCTAAAATAAACAACCATGAGAATGTATCTGTACATGTGTTTTAATGATGATGAAAATTGAACGCCAAAACCATTTTCAAAGAATTGTAGGAAATTCTAGGCATATCTTATTTCAGTCATTTCTCCCTTCATTTGCTGTATCCTTTGAATTCCCCAAAAAAAATGAATGTGAGCATGACCTTGTCATAACACAAGGGATGCTCACAGCCACAAGTGCATTCATAAAATCTAAATGGTACCTTAATTATCAGAGAATAAATAATTGGTCAAGAATTTGAAGTCTGTTTACTCTTTAGGATGTTTTAACTTTTGCTTATTTTACATACCTACAACTAGCAAGCCCTAAAATCTAGTGCTAGTTGGGTTATATTGTTACATAATATTAAAGAGTTTGCTGCAGCAGGATTTCTTTTAACTATAAAACAAAGAAGATCCTGTTGATTAATTCCAAAGCAAAATAACTCATGAAAACAATAAGTAATAAATTGAGTAATAAATTTCAGACTAAATTCTTCAGATGCACACAATTTAATATAATAAAATATTTAGTCAATATGTACCTCACATTATGAGCACACATGTCCATTATAAGGCAATATTATTTATTATAATTATCCAATACTATGTTTTAAGGAGCAATTTTATCAAATAACATCACATATGATTTTTGTTTATTTCACATTTACTTCAGGATTTATTTTTTCTGTTGTTGCAGTTCTTTACTGATCTCTTTAGTGAAAGAAAATTGATAGTACTTATTTCTTGAATTTCAATTATTTATAATTCTCTCTGTGTCAAAATCCTAGCTACTTACAATTGGTAATTTAGATACTTTAAATATTGTGAATCCTCTGTATCTAATTTCCTTAGTTCAGTGATCAGGTTTTCAATTAGCACCTCTGTGTAATAAGAACTACTGGAAATTGAATCAGATTAATTGCTATAGGCTCCAATTTACAAATACTAGGAAGTATTAAAATTAACAACAGTTATTAAACTTATGTACAAAGGCATTTGGAGGCAAAACTAAATTGTCAAAATATTTAAACAATTGAATTATTATGGAAACAAAGAATTTCAGATAACAAATTACCTTTGTATACATATAATGTCACTTGATTTTTTTTCATTAAATAAATAGATATCAAGAAAGATAAGGTAGGTGATTTGGTTCCTCTCTCAAGATTTTATTCACTATATGTTATGGAGCAGGAAAAATTTATCTAAGGAAAATGAATGGCTTGAAAATATACTATACAAATACCCATCTGGTGTGTTATTTAACATATAAATAATGGCTGGGATAGAAAAGAAACATAATATTTTCAAAAGTTTAGCAACTTATAAAGCTAAAGTAGTCTAGACTGTGGTATTAGTAAAAAATATGGTGATCAATGGAACAGAGTAGAGGGCCCAGAAATATACCTACATAAATATAGTCAACTGATTGACAATGGAGAAAAGGCAATACAATGGAGAAAAAATAGTCTTTCAACAAATGGTGTTGACAAAACTGGATATCCACATACAAAAAGTTAATCTAGTCAAGGATCCCAGCCTTTCATAATAATTTACTCAAAATGGTTCACAGATTTAATTTTAAATTCAAAACTATAAAACTACAAATATAACATAGGAGAAAATCTAGGTGACTTTGCTTTGGTGATGACATTTTAGATGCAACACCAAAGACATAATTCATGAAATAAGTAATTGATAAGTAGATTACATTAAAATTATTATTATTATTATTATTATTGCAAAAGCCAATGCCAAGACAATGAGTACACAAGCCATAGACCAGGAGAAAATATTTGAAAAGATACATCCGACAAAAAAAAAAATATCCAAAATATTCAGAAAACTCTTAAAACTCAACAATAAGAAAACAAATAGCACAACTAAAAAATGCACCAGGCCAGGCATTGGGGATCATGCCTGTAATCCCAGCACTTTGGGAGGCCGAAGCAGGTGGATCAACTGAGGTCGGGAGTTGAAGAGCAGCCTGACCAACATGGAGAAACCCCGTCTCTACTAAAAATACAAAGTTAGCCAGGCATGGTCGTGCATGCCTGTAATCCCAGCTACTAGGGAGGCTGAGGCAGGAGAATTGCTTGAACCCAGGAGGCAGGGGTTGTGGTGAACTGAGATCGTGCCATTGCACTCCAGCCTGGGCAACAAGAGCAAAACTCTCATTAATTTCTTGTAGGAATGCAAAATGGTACAGCCACTTAGGAAGATGATTTAGTGTTTCTTGAAATACTAAACATACTCTTAGCACATAATCCTATAGTCATGCTCTGCTTTAGAACTTTTGGGGTGCTGTAATAAAATAGACTGGGCAACTTATAAACAACAGAAGTTTATTGCTCACAGTTCTGGAAATTTGAAAGGCCAAGATCAAGTTACCAGCAGACTTGATGTCTGGTAAGGGCTCATATCTCATAGATAGCACCTCTTGCTATGTCCTCACATGGCAGAAGGGCAAGGAAGCTCCCTTCAATGTCTTTTGCAAGGGTGCTAATCTCATTCAAGTAGGTTCCACCCTCATTATCATAATCATCTCTTTAAAACTACACCTCTTGCTACTATTACACTGGTGATTAAGTTTCAACCTGTGAATGGTAGGGACACATTCAGACTAAAGTATGTATGTATTCAAAGGATTTTAAAAACTTATCTCTACACAAAAAACTCTACACTGATATTATTAGAAGCTTTACTCATAATTGCTGACAATTCAAGGCATCTAAGATGTCCAAGATTTCCTTCAGTAGGTGAATGAATAATCTGCAGTATATCTAGGTAATGGAATAATATTCAATGCTAAAAAGGAATGAGCTATCAAGTTGTGAAAAGATAGGGAAAAAACTTAAATGCATGTTACTAAGTAAAAGGAGCCAAACTGAAAAGGCTACATACTGTATGATTCTAAACATATGATATTCTGGAAAAGGCAAAACTATGAAAATAGTAAAAATATCAATAGCTGCCAGTGCTCAGGGAAAGGAAACAATGAACAGGCAAAGAACAGAGGACTTTTGGGGCAATGGGGACTGTCATATATTATAATGGCGGATATATGTGATTTTACGTTTGTCCATTTTCACAGAATAAACAAAAGCAAAAGTGAACCCTGTTGTAAACTATGGACTGTAGGGAATAATGACAAGTATTGCAGGATCATAAATTGTAACAAATCTACCACTCTGGTAGGAGATGTTGATAATGAGGGAGGATATGCATGTGTGGGAGCAGGGAGTATAAGGGATATCTCTCTATATTCTTCTCAATTTTGTTGTAAACATAAAACTACTCTAAAAAATTGTCTTAAAAACACTTAGCAACTAATATATAAATATTTAACCTTCATGTATAGAAATGTAAATATATTAACTAAAGGGAAAACGCATTGTTTAATTAAGTAATAAAAAAGAAACCCATAACAATTTACACTGAGGTATATAAATATCATTTGAATATCAGTCCTCTATTATTATCTATTATCATCTTGCTAGATTTATTTACATAGATAATGTAGGCATACGTCATATGTCCATGTGATATGTGCTTGTACATATGTATATGTACTTGTATGTACTTTTGTGCAATATAGACTAACAAGAAAAGTAGAAAGTATTTTTAATGCAATATGTAGCTGCAAATTTTTAATCTTATACATATCTGATGTAAAATTTTTTAGAACTTATATAAGAACTTCTTATATGCCTTTGTCAACATGAATTGTTATTGTAGTAAAATCACTAGGAAACATTTCTCTAGTACTCACTGTGTGCCAGACCCACTTTTCAGTGCTCCAAATCTGTTAGCTCATTCATTTTTTACTGTAAAACTATGAAGTAGTATATTTCATCAGTATAGTGCCAAATAAAAAAACAATGCAGGTAAGTTAAGTAGCTTTCTCACTTACTTGGCTACTACATGGCAGAAGCTGTGTTTACTAACTATATTCTGCCAAGTAAAGCACAACTTCATCTAACGGTAGAAATAAAATTGTTCTTCATTTATACAGCTTTAATAAGCAACAGAAACAATAAAAAGGGAATGTAGTTAATTGCAATAATGATTGTTACTTAATAAACATAATGCTCAAATGTATAAGATTCAAAATAAACCCTCTGTAAATGAAAATAAATAAAAATAAAAATAAAAATAAAAATGAAAACAAAAATGAAAAGGGACAGTGTTGAAATTGTAACTTTGTCAATGTTGATGAATTTAATTTCATGTCTTGGTATTTGATTTAGATTGAAGTTATGTCATTATATCAAATTACCATAGACATATTTTTGATTCAGCAAATGCTAGAAAATTATTCACATTACTATTAATTCATCTATATGTTTGATTAATAAAATACCATATAATTTTAAAACAATAATGATATGGAACACTTAATTTTTTTCCCTGCAGGAGTCAGATTAAAATACTCTTAAAATGAATTTTTCCAGGCTAGTGATAAAAAAATCAGAAAGTATTCACTTAAGTGGAAGGACTATATCACTAAAATGTATTTGCGGATCAAGTTAAGAATATTTTTTCCAAGTTTTATTTACTTTCAAGCTCCTGGTTTATTTAATAATATGAAGGGCACACAGGCTTTCTCAGTTCAGTTAGATGTCATCGGTGTGTTTGTATTGTATCTTCTAAAACAGAATTGACCATTTGACCATGCACCTTGTTCCGAAACATTAGCTACCTCTTTTTCACCAATATTAATTTATATTATAGTATATGTTCAGGACTTTCTTAAGCCTTAGGTTGTAGCAAAAAATTCTATGTGCTCAAAGAGCTGACACTACCTTGGAAAAGAACAGTCATCCACAACTGCCAGAACAATGTGTGTTCTGTAAGATTTATGTGTACAGTGTTGTGGAAGCAAGAGGAGAGATAAGTTGAATGTGGAATACTTAGGAAAAATATATCCACTACATCTGAAACTACAAATATAAACATAAGCATTTCCATTTAAGGAGGTGAAAAGTTATTAGCCAGAAATTACAGCATGCTCAAAGGCAAAAGTTATAAGAATATTGTAGGTATGGGGAAGAGTAAGACATATTATATGAGAGTAGTAAGTTTTATGATCTATTTCAAATTGCTTAGTACTCTCAGTCTTTGTTTCCTCATTTATATAATTATATAATAATTCCTTAGTTTATTTTTGATGAGTATGAATAAAAATGTACCTATAGCATATGACCTGAATCAATATATGTCAGTTGTACTTCCTACCGTTATAATATGTTCCAAGTAATACTTATCTAAAGAGGAAAATGCAAAAATAGATATAATCTTTGTACTTTATCAACTTAAATTCTATTATAGACATCTTGATTATTATTCATGTTTATGTAGATTGACATAAATGTTGTGATGTAAGTTGACCAAAGTGGTGTTGATGTTCCCTTCACCTTGGCTAATCATTAAATGGGCTTCTTACTGATTCTATACCTTTATCTTCCTTTCCTTAGATCATTTACTTTAAAAAACTTGTATTTTTGTTCTCTGGCCCATTTGATTTGTTACCTATTTCACAGCCCAGAAATGACTCGGCCAAGACATGATAGCCATCTCTTTAAATTGTAATTATCAACTGAGAGAGTGCCCTTAGCTCCCAGTTTCTGTGAGAGGATAGAAGCCTAATTTCCACAAGCACCTTGCTCCAAGTTGCAAAATTAACCCATCATGAAGATAGGAGATATTTACTTTTTCTTGGATAAAGCCAATTAGGAAATATGCATGACCTAGGATCCACCATCCCAGTTCTAAATGCACATGCCAGCCCATTCTTTCAGCAGAGTTGAATTCAGACTAAGCTCTGGTTCTTCTACCTCATTGAAGTAGCCCTGAATAAAGTCATTCTTGCCTGCTTAACTCTGTCCAGTACAATTTTTGTTTTAACAAAATAAATTGAGCATTACCATTTATAGACAAAATCAACTAGCACATACAATTAGAAAATGAGATAAATGAAGATGCATGTTATCAATTCATAGAAATAAATATTGGGAGAAATAGCTAAAAATTTAAATTCATTGTCATTAGAGAGAATAATTACAAAATGGGTAAATTTGGAGCATGGGACACAAAATAAATTGTTATGATAAGCCTTGTAGTAGTATTTTTATTTATAAGTAATAAACATATTTTACAGGTTGAAATTTTTTAATTAAATTTTAAAGACACCAAAGCAAAAAAAAGAATAGTTAATAAAGCACTCAGGAAATTAGATTAAAGTAACTTAGCATCTATTAAATCATGGTTAAATTTGCATAACACATTTTTTTTTGCTTACTAGTGCTTCCCTATACATAATTTCAAATTGATGCTTCTTTAAAAAGTCCCAATAGTAACAATGGCAGCAATTATAATATTGTGCATGCTATACTGCTTTTCATTTTTCAAAGTGCATTCACATAAATTATTATTGTAATTACATTATCTCCTTCTCTAAGCTAGCAAAACAGACACACTTTTACGAAAGAGAGAAAGAGAAAATGATATTCCTATATGTTAAGGAGGCCACCTTTTCTTCACTGTACTGCAGAGTCACTGGTGGAAAAACCCAAATGTGTGGGTCTGTTCCTCTGTTTTATACTGTTTCACTGGTTTGTCTTGGCACTGGTACCATATCACTCTCATCAATGACGCTGTATAATAATGCATGATATCTCGAATATCCAACCTTCTTTTAAAAGAGAGTTTAAATTATTCTTATTGCTTTTATTACAGTCTAAAATTTAAATTCAGTCTGTTAGTTTAAAAAATCTTCTGAAGTTGTTGGGTAGAATGATCTGTAAATGTTTGTTAGGTTGATTTTGTCTAAAGTTCAATTCAAGCCTAGTGTTTCTTTGACAGTTTTATGTCTTGATAATCTGCTAGTTCATGAGTGGGATATTGAAGTCTCCCATTATCATTGCATTGCTGTCTATCTCTTTCTTTAGGTCTAGTAATATTTGGTTTATGAATCTTGGGTGCTCCAGTGTTGGGTGCATATGTATTTCATACTGTTATATTCTCTCATGGGTTGATCTCTTTATTATTATGCAGTGACTTCACTTGTCTTTTTATAAATTTTTTTAAGTCTGTTTTATCTGATATAAGTATAGCTACTTCTGCTTGCTTTTGGTTCCTATTTTCATGAAATATTTTTTTCCTTTATCTTTAGTCTAAGTGTTACTGATAAGTTGAATTTCTGTAAGCAGCATATAGTTGGTTCACGTTTTTTAAATCCATTCTGTGAATCTATATCTTTTAACTGTAACATTTAATCCATTTATATTAAAGGTTAATATTGATATGTAAGGTTTTGTTTCTGTCATAATGTTTATGATTATCTACTTGTTTTAGGGATTCTTTGATCCTTTTTTTCTCTGTGTGTTTGTCTTTGTGGTTTGGTGGTGCTCTGTCATGTTGCCATTTATTTATTTCTCTTCCTCCTTTGCATGACTGTTGTTTAAAACCTGTGGGTTTTATACTTTTTTGTGTTTTTACAGTGGCAAAAGTTGATCTGTCATGAATGTGTTTATAACTCCTATGTACATTTCTTGTGGGGCTGGACAAGTGGTGACAAATTCCCTAAGAGTTAGCTTTTCTAAGAAAGGTTATTTCTTCTTCATTTTTGAAGCTTATCCTGGAAAAATTTGAAATTTGTGGCCGAAAGTTTTTGTTTTTCCTCAAGTTCTCTAAAAACAGTATCCCAATCACTTCTGTCTTGTAAAGTTTCTGCTGAGAAGCCTGTTGCTTGTCTCATAGGGTTGCCTTTTTGGTGATTAGAACCTTTTCCATTGCTGATTCTAGGATTTTTTTTTAGGTTGACTTTAGATATATAAACTCTATATGTCATGGTGAAGTCTGCCTTGCAATGTATAACAGTGGTATTCATTGAGCCTTTTGTATCTGGATGTTTAATCTCTTGCAAGACTACTGAATTTTCATCAATTGTTTTGTAAATAGATTTGCTAAACTTTTTGCTCTTGCTTCTTCCTCAGGAATATTGGTGATTTACAAATTTGGGTTTATTTTGTAGTTATATACTTCATAAAGGCTTTGTGCCAATGCACGTATAAAAATGCTTAACATCACTCATCAATAGAGAAGTGAAAAGTAAAACTACAATGAGATATCACTTTATGTTGAACAGAATGCCTACTATTAAAAGTCAAAAATGACATGTTGGTGAGAATGTGAAGAAAAGGGAATGGTTATAAACTGTCGGTGAAAAAAATAAACTGTTGGTGAGAATGTAAATTAGTATAATTTCTATGAAAAACACTATGGAAATATTTCTAAGAACTAAAAGTAGAACTTCCATTCAATCCAGTAATCCCATTATTGTTTATCTACCTCCCCAAAAGATAAATCATTACATGAAAAGACACCTGCACCTGTATATTTATTGCAGCACTATTAGCAACAGCAAACTCATGGAATTAACCTAAGTATCTATCAGTGGAGGACTGGGTAAAAAAAAAATTATATGTGTGTGTACACAGACACGCATATACACAATGGAATTCTATTCACCCATGAAAAAAACTAAGTCATGC
Organism: Homo sapiens; assembly: GCF_000001405.40. Classification (NCBI taxonomy): domain Eukaryota; kingdom Metazoa; phylum Chordata; class Mammalia; order Primates; family Hominidae; genus Homo; species Homo sapiens. The sequence continues at coordinate 114,059,611 of NC_000008.11, forward strand.
CATTTGAAGCAACACACGTGATATTAGAGGCTATAGTCTTAACTAAAACAACTCAGAAAAAGGTCAAATACCACCTTTCCTCACTTATAAGTGAAAGCTAAATAATGTTTACACCTGGATATAGAATGTAGAATAACAGACACTGAAGAGTTGAAAGTGTGTGAGGGTGGTACCTGGGGGTGGGCTGAAAAATTACTTAATGGGTACCATCCACGTTATTTAGGTGATAGTTACACTAAAAGCCCAGACTCCACCACTATGTAATATATCCACATAACAAAACTGTACATAAACCCCTTAAGTTTATACAAATAAAAAAATTAAAACAAATCGTTTGAGATTTTTCTTGGTAATACATTTAATTTGTAATTATTTTCAAAGAATTAACACCCTTAAATACTGAGCCTATGAATCTTTAAGTGATACATTTTTATGTAACACATATGTACATTACTTATGGCACTTTTAACTCATTTCAATAATGCTTGGAAGCTTATCTTAACTATAGATGATATCTAATAAACTTTTAAAGTTTATAGATTTTGTAAATGTTTTAAATTTCTGAAGAAAGTATGTTTTTGGTATTATATAAACCCTTCCTGTGGATTTTGTTTTGTGTCAGTTTAGCACTCTAGCTTCTTTCCTTTGCAGCTTAGTGTTTTTCAAAATGTTAAGCAGTCCAAGAGAAAGCTGTTGCCTCTGTTTTCTACCATAAAATCAGAACTCCAACTATGCATGCTTCAAATGAATGATGTTTTTCTGCATATACTACTCACTTTAAAAAGAAACTAAGAGCAAATTAATATGTTGCTTTTGTAGAATAAAGAGAAAGGAAATTATAACACATGTGCAAGTTGTACAATTAGATTTTTATTTTGAAAACACTACGAATAATTTGATATTTTATTTACAAATAGTAAACTACAAAGAAGAACATTCTGTATGTCTTATATAGTTAATTTAGATTAATTAATGGTGTTTTTGTTCCTTACAGACTTAACCACGATGTCATATTTCTCCAAGTCTTTTTTTTTTTTTTTTTTTTTGAGACGGAGTCTCGCTCTGTCGCCCAGGCTGGAGTGCAGTGGCACGATCTCGGCTCACTGCAAACTCTGCCTCCCAAGTTCATGCCATTCTCCTGCCTCAGCCTCCCGAGTAGCTGGGGCTACAGGCTCCCGCCACCACACCTGGCTAATTTTTTGTATTTTTAGTAGAGACGGGGTTTCACTGTGTTAGCCAGGATGGTCTCGATCTCCTGACCTCGTGATCCACCCGCCTCGGCCTCCCAAAGTGCTGGGATTACAGGCATGAGCCACTGAGCCCGGCCCATATTCTCCAAGTCTTAATTTCCCTATATCTAAAGCCAATACCAGGGGAAAAAAATTAAAAGATATCAAATAAGTAAAACAGCCACATATCAGGTCTTTCTCAACTCTAGGTATATGACAGTTAATAAGGGGTAATATGTATAATTTGCTCTAATTTTGTCATTTGAAAGCTATTATAAAAATACATACCTCAAGCAGGTATTTTGAAATTTGGATTAAATTATATATGTCTTTAGTCATATATAACATTTCAACTACAAAATATTTTGTACTATCTGTTTTGTAGAATTTTTCAGTGAAATTCATGTTGGCACATTTCAACTGAATACTGCTATAAAGTAAATAGTATTATGGAAAACAATCAAAGTAAAAATGATAAATATAGCCTTTGGAAGAAGTAAAAGTTCATTTATTTAATTTGTCCATTAACCCAGATATATGAATACATTCACTTATCAAGCCCCAACAAAGTATCTGAGAGTGACCTCCACAATTTGAAACATTTGCCCTGAAACAACCTCTTCTAAAGTTTTTAATTTGCCCCAATTCTGATCCAAATCTTGCTGCCCTCTGAATCCATGAATTTACATATTCCTTATCATGCATCAGGTCAAAGTTTTGTCTTTTGCACTTAGTCCCTCTAGATTTGCCTTAACAGATTTATAATTGATCACACACACCTGGACTCTTTGTTAATCTGCAGAAAGAAACGGAGATCACTTTTAAAGCTACTGTAATAAAAGAAAGATACGTAAATATATATAGCTATATTTATAAAGATATATATTTATTTTTCTTAGCATTGGAGTGTGCAGCAACTGAAACCAAAATGCATTATTTATGAAAAACAACAAAGATATATCAATATGGTTTGGCTATGTCCCCACCCAAATATCATCTTGAATTGTAGCTCTCATAATTCCCATGTGTCATGGGAGGGACATGGTAGGAGGTAATTGAATCATGGAGGTGGAATTTTCCCATGCTGTTCTCGGGATAATGATAAAGTCTCACAAAATCTAATGGTTTTATAAAGGGCAGTTCCCCTCACAGGCTCTCTTGCCTGCCACCATGTAAGACTTGACTTGCCTCTTCATTTGTTTTCCACCATGATTGTGAGGCCTACACAGCGAGGTGAAACTGTGAGTCAATTAAACTTCTTTCCTGTTTAAATTACCCAGTGTTGGGTATGTCTTTATTAACAGCGTGAGAACAGATTAATACACATATATTTCAAATATTATACATCATATACGTGTTCATATATACACACATAAATTGTATACACAAATTTGTTTGCGTACAAGCAAAAATCACATATAAGAATCAATTTCACAGCACTTTGATCAAGACCAATCTGTTTATTGAGTTACTCCTTGCATTTGATATTAATTTCCATTACTGTCTGCCAAAAACTGAAAGCTCATCCTGGACAACAAACTACCTATTGAGAGTTACCTAACTGCTTTTTAGTGTTTTTGCTGAAAATATGTATCCTCATGTTCTATAAATGCTGGTAAACCTTTTTACCTTTTCATCAATCTCAAATAGCCCCTCCTAATACTTTGCAGTGATGAATTCCCAAATATTTTATAATTCATAATTAGAACCTTCATTTTATCATACAAATTATATTTAGTTTGAAAATGCCATTAATAGTAACTCAAATAAAAATATTTTGGATTATTGTTGTAAGAGTAAAATGAATTTCAAAAATAGCCATCCATGCATATACGGAAAGGAACTAATATTTCCATTGTGGATTAGAAAATATATATTTTCATAAATAAGAATTGTTGATTTATATTTGTGTACACCCATCTGGTAGAGAAGAAACATAATAGGTTTTATTCAGCTTATGTAAATTTTAGTGATACGTGTAGGCTGCCAATCTATATAAAATATCTGTACAAGCAGATTTTATTGTGTGAACTTCTAAATGGATTACCTGTACATAAAGAAGTTCTCAACTTTTCCTAAAGCATATAAAAGCTTAGAATTGTTTAGAGACTATATGGAAAAAACTCAGTAAGCATTCAAAATACGAAAGAATATAGCATTGCATATTGTATATTTGGATCTTGGTTTGACAACTTGGGTTGACATAATGAATTCTAAAATAGTATAATTAGCAAATAAAAACCAAACATTTCAAATAAAAATGGACCTCAAATATGTTCAGTAACATGCCTCGAGTCAAATAGTTAAATATTAGGCAAAGTTAAGTTTGGAATATATTCTCCATTCCTTTCTTTCTTTAGATACAACTGTGGAGTCTTTTTAGATATTATGGTGAAGTCTTAGTACCATAAGTAGTACATTAATTGTTCTATTTCTTAAATTAATTGATCCCCAGGATTTAGCATGCTTATATATGATATATGGGCTTAGAAACCTACCTGAAAATTCAGTCATAATAAACTTTATGAAAGTCTGATACACAATGTGTTTATAGCTGTCATTCACCCAGCAAATAGTTACTGGGAGTGGAGGTTGAATCTCCAAGTATAATACATGAACTCCCAGGCTGTCGAACCCATGCATGTCAGAAATGCAGTCATACAAAATTTTTGTGCTTTCAGAATATACTGCATAACTCACCTTCACCTTCAGGCATCCTTTCGATGGATTCACAAAGCTGGAAGAGAAATTTGTTCATTCTGATAGTCAGCCATCCCGCAAGTAATGTGCATTGGGAGATGAAGTTAAGTAGAAAGAGCTTATTCTCCTCTAGGCATATAACATAATTGCTTTTTTCCTTCTTTCAACCACTGTTAAAGGAGCATAGAGTTTTTGGCATAAACTATGTTGCAAACAGTTCATAAAGAATATAATAAGCATGCCACTTTGTCACGGTATGAAGACCAAATAAATGTTTTCAAAATAAAGCAATCGGTGTTTATTTCTTGCCTAATGCAACATAGATTTTAGAGTCTTCCAAGGCATGTGATGTTTGTTTTAGCAAAATGGATAAGTACATGGAATCACAGTGTGTGGCTCTAAATCTTGCTTCTGAAACTTAAAATTGTGTGACCTTGAGAAAGTTCTCTAAAATCATTGAAACTTTGAGTTTGCCATTAAGAAAGGGGATGGTAATAATATATACTTCATAAGATTGTTTTCAGTATTGAGTTATTATCTTTGCAATGATTAGAACATTGCCAGGTATATAATAAATGTTCATAAAAATGTGGTTATTGTGAGGAATATTCAGTGAGTCTTTAACTTAAAAATTTCAGGTATTATAAACTAAGCCATAACATTTTGTGCTTAAGGTAGATCTGTCACTTCCTGCTTTAACACATGATCTTCTCAAAACTAAAAACAATGTCAAATAAAATAAAAAAGAGAGAAAATATAAAAAGATATTTGTGTGAACACAAGATAGATATCTCTATGAGTCAAAAGTAAGACAGAAACTAGAGAAAGTAAGTGAGTTTGAAACCACTGGTTTACTCATGGCCAGAGACTTGCAATAAAGGCCAAGAAATTATTTGGACTAAAATGTACATGAGATATGGCATACTGAAGCCAGATTCACTGTTTTAAGTAAACGGATGTAGGAGAACTTATAAATGATAGTGAATGATAACATGACTGCCAATCTAGAGCATTGATTTTAACAGAAGTTGCGGATTATATATCCAAATATACAACAGGCAATACAGGATTATATAGAATGAGCAGGGAAGAGCAAAAACACAACATTGAAAGATGAATTTAGCCAACTCTTACTAGTTTCATGACAATCTACAATAACTTCAAACATATAAGACTTCATTCTAGATTGGGGACTTGCCAGATTGATGGAAATGCAAAAGGGCTATCTGGAAGGAAGAAAAAGAGAAAAAATACAAATAATAATAACAATGGAAGAAAAACAAAATGGCTCCTACTTAAAATGAACCTGCCAACCAAAATTACAAAACACATAAAGGAATAACATGCTAAAAATATATCCTAGAAAACAACAATAATACAGGAATTCATTTGAAGTGAACTTAATTTTAAGGAAGCAATCTGGTGAAAATTTTAAAATGCACATACTTTAGAAGCTTAAAGTGATAGTAAAGAAAATCATTAAAAATAAATAATGAAACAAATACAGGTAGTCATGAAAGAAGAACAGATAGGATAATATAAACAATGGAATTGATATTTTTTGGAAAGGGTCATTTTTATTCTAGTTAACTGTAAAGATATATTAAATTAAAATATAATATTTAGTATTAACTCAGAATGCATTACAGATAAATCAAGATATAAAATATATTAAAGAAAAGGTAAGAGGCACAAAGGAGAGATTGGTCTGTGCCTGCATTCTTCAAATGAAAGTAACAGAGAAAGCAGCAAATGTCAGAGTTACAATGTTTAAAGAGATAATTACCAAGAGTTTAGCAAAATATTTGAAAAGAGAGAGAAACTAATTTCAAGTTTAAAGTGCACCCTGAATATCAGACACGATAATTATAAATTAATACCTGCACACATTGTAGAAACTCTGTAGAAAACAAAAACATAGAAAAGAAATAACTTTTAAACACTGCTTGAGAGAAAATATTATTTACAAAGACATTGCAATTAGATTGCACCCAGCTTCTGAAAAGCAACAGTTTTCATTTATCTAATATTCAAATATTTATTAAATGCTTACTCTTTCCCTGACATTAGTATGCATACTCCAGAGAGAGCTGTGAACAAAACAGACATAAATTCCTTCCTTTGTGGAGCATATTACATTCTAGTTTGAAAACAAGAAAATAATAGAATATGTTAAAATTGCTGTGGCAAATAACTGTGAATCCAGTAGGTTAAAAAATGTAATAAACCATTATAAAATAATATAAAAAATATTTTCAGGCATATGAAGATGAAGAGAGTTCATAAAAAATTGTTGCCAAATAAAGTGAAACCACACTACAAAACTGATTGTACATTTATACAATTTACTGATGAAAAGCAGTATTAAAAGACAAAGGAGAAACATTTGTTCATTTCCATAAATACAGAAAAAGAATTAAATGCCATCCTTTTTATTATTTTTTAAAGGTAATTACATGAATTATTTACACATAATAGAAGAGGCTGAGAAGCTAACTAGGACACACTAAGGCAATCTAAAAATTCAGGCAGAAAGACATGATTGCCCCTAGACTGGAGAGATAAATGGAGGAGGTTGGATTAAACTGAGAGATTAGCACTGCTTTGCAGAGGTTAGAACTTCCGCATCTGTCTGACAGGAATTGGCACTATGAAAGAGATGCTGCTGCTGCTAGAGGCATCTTCCAAGGTATAAGAAGGGAAAATATTGCTTTCTCCCTTACAATTTTTTACCTCTGTTTCCAACCAACCATAAGTAGGTTGCCACTAGGATTCACAGGAATCAGCCCCACTTTCAAAGAGAAATTATAATGAGGAGAGGTGAGAAGTATATATAACAGAAAACATAAGGTAAGTACCTTACCTTAAATTACATGCACAAAAATCAAGTCTACATTACTAAAGACCTAAATGTATTACTAAAGACCTAAACGTACATAGTAAAACTTCAAAAATATCAGATAAAACAGTATCTTAGTAATCTTTGTTAGGAAAGGTTTCCTAAACAAAATACAAGCATGCAAACTAAGAACAAAATGTTTCATATTTGGTACATTACAATTAAAATTTACTTATCAACATGACAAAATTTTTAAAAAATCATTGATTAGAAGAAACCTTTTCATTGCATCTAATGTCTAATTAATTACTCTCTAGTATATATAAAATCTTAAAAAGTAATAAGAAAATACAAATTTCTCTTCTTGTTATATATCCAAAGGAAATAAATTCAATATCTCAAATAGATTTCTGCACTCCCATGTTCATTGTAGACTTATTCACAATAGCCAAGATGCTGAAAAAACCTAAGTGTCCCTCTATGGATTAATACATAAGTAAGTAATTTTACATATATAAAATGACTGGCCATTTATTTCACTTAATAACCAATCATTTTATATACATAAAATGTCCTTCAAGTCCATCCATGTTGTAGCAAAGGGTAGGCTTTCCTATTTTAAGGCTTAATAATATTCCAAATATTATTAAACCTTAAAAGGTATTTTTTAAAGGTAAATACATGAATTATTTACACGTAATATTAGACATAATGTTTGACATAATATTACATACAATATTACACATACTACACTTAAAGGGTTACTATTATTATTAAGCCTTTAAAAGGAATATTATTAAGTCTTAAAATAGGAAAACCTACCCTTTGCAACAACATATGAACTTGAAAGATATAATGCTAAGTGAAGTAAACCAGTCACAGATAGAAAAATACTGCATGATCTCACTTTAGAATTTAGAAAAAAATACTGCATGATTCTCACTTAGAATTCATAAAAGCAGAGTAGAATGGTGGTTACCAAGGATAAAGGTTGGCAAAATGGGTAAATGGTTTTTGTTTATTTATTTGCTTGAGACAGAGTCTTGCTCTGTCACTCAGACTGGAGTACAGTGGCACGATCTTGACTCACTGCAATCTTCACCTCCAGCGTTCAAGTCTCATGCCTCAGCCTCCCCAAGTAGCTGGGATTACAGACATGCCCCACAATGCCTGGCTAGTTTTTTGTTTGTTTGTTTGTTTGTTTGTTTTTTAATTTTTAGTGGAGACGGGTTTCACCATATTAGCCAGGCTGCTTTCAAACTCCTGACCTCAAGAAATCTGCCCGCCTCGGCCTCCCAAAGTGCTGGGATTACAGGCGTGAGTCACCGTGCCCTGTCAGGTAAATGTTAATCAAAAAGATGCGAAGTTTTAGTTATGTAGCATGAATAAATTTTAGAGATCTAGGTACAGCACGGTGACTATAGTTAATAATACTGTATTGCAAACCACTTGAACTTTGTTAAGAGATTGGCTATTGCGTTCTCACCACACACACCAAAATAAGGCAAAAAAAAAAAAAAAAGAAAATGTAAATAACCTAATGTATAAATAGACTAAAATATTTTAAAATCCAATGAACCCATGAAGTGTAAAAACATAATTGTACTATAATACTGAATCATTCCTCAATCATCAGAATGACCTAACTTATAAAACCTGAAAACATAAATGTTGGTGCAAATTCAGAGCAAAGGAAATGCTCAGAAACTACCGGTAGGAATGGCAGTTAGAATAACTATCATGAAGAACAGTTTGGTGATATTTAGTAAAGTGAAAAATACAATAAATTGAGACTTAGCAAGATTACATAATTTGCCCAAGGTTCATGATTATCAAATTGGGAACCTAAATTTGGGTTCAGCTTGTGACCTTAAATTTTCTTATCCATACCCTCAATAACTATGATAATAAATAACTTAAGAATATCAATTCTAAAGCATAGTAAATCCCCAAATTATCAATGTTTGAATTGTTGAGTAAATTTTGTTTAGCGAGGTAAGAGATTTTGTAAGTGCAAGTAGAATTATTTTTAACAAGGTTTGAATTCAGGCAACTCTTAGTTAACCAGAAAATATGATCTTCTACCTGTGACTGACCAGGATTTTCTTTTCTTATTATAATTCTCTTTAATACAGTCCCTTAGAAGTCTTACCATTACTGCTAATCTAATTTCTGGGTACACAGTTTACATGCTACAATTCTACAATCAGTTGCTATGGCTCCCTGATTCTATCCTTTTATTAAGCTTCAATTATTTACCTTTTTCCATTTGGGGAATTAGTTTGCTTAGAAATTATACAATTCTTATGACTGGCAGCTTTTATTTCTTTCTAAAATTTAAGTCTCCCTTATCTTGTCTTCCTTATCTCTAGCCGCATACATGTTTCCTCCTTCACAAAGCCCTTTTCTCTGGTAGAAATACCTCTTGCCTAGCTAAAGATCCTGACATCCTCTAACAGACTAAGAAAAGATGTGACCTTTCATGCTCAGTTTCCTAGAAACAGCTAACGGTTCATGGTTTATGGTTTATGGGATTATTTTTTCAGTGCATTATTTCTGCCTTCTACAACATCCTCATTCCAGTGGAATGCTCTTAAAATAAAAATTAAGCTAAAATAATGAACACAGAAAAACTCTAACAGGCCTACTTTCTATCAGGAAATTAAGATAGTCTGTCACAAAGCACTTCCCCTATCATTAACTGACATTGAGCAAAGTCCTGTAACCTTGGCTGGGTCTCCTAAGTCTTAAGAGTTGCTATAAAATTTGTATAAAACAATTTTATCTCAGGTAAGGACAATAACTGAATCAAATATATTTGCTGAGAGCTTTTTTTTTTAGCTCTGAGATCTATCATTCTATATTTTATTCAACTATATCCATTTGTTGTTCCTAACTTTATTTTATTTTATTTATTTTTTTTTTTTTTTTTGAGACGGGAGTCTCGCTCTTTCGCCCAGGCGGGAGTGCAGTGGCGTGATCTCAGCTCACTGCAAGCTCCGCCTCCCGGGTTCACGCCATTCTCCTGCCTCAGCCTCCCGAGTAGCTGGGACTACAGGCGCCCGCCACCGCTCCCGGCTAATTTTTTGTATTTTTAGTAGAGACGGAGTTGTTCCTAATTTTATTATGCATTGGCTTTAGAAATACTTTGAAGACTCTGCAAGTAGATCATACTCATTAATTGTGCTACAACACAAGTTTTCAGGTCACTTACATGCATGGCATTAATCCACTGGTCCAAGATATTTTATAGAGTAAAATATTAGCTATAATTTGAAAGATCTTAAAATTAGTAATATTTAATGTTAATTTGTTAAATATCTGCATGGATTATTTAACATTTGTTTCAGAAAAAAACTGTAAAAACGAAATACGTCTATTTGTAAATATGCATGCTGTTGATAAAAGGAAAAAAATATACAAAATAATTGTGATCTATTGATTTGCAACTAAGTAATTCAGAACTGTGTAATTCTACTTTGGAATGAGCTAGAAGACAAAACAAAAAAGTACAAATTAGCTTACTTTACTGAAACATTTTTCCATGTTTAAAGGAAATATTCCTTTAATATTAAATAACCCATCTGAAGATAATTTGCTTTCATGGTTGCCACATTATGCTTATTTAACGTAAGTTAGAATATTCCAGTAAGGGTTGAAATTATCATACTATCCTATCTGCATTTTATGGATCCGAAGGGAAACTGACCTCCTTTAATATGAGACCATTTTGGTGCCAGCAGGGATGAGTTTCCTGTGGTGAGCATTTGGCTTATGACAGACTTGTTTTCTGTGTATTCTTAGCAGGGTGGGAAGCCATGGGAACAGAACCATCCGAGCTGACAAGAAACACACTTTATATCATTTGACGTTTAGTAGAAAGACAAACTTTAGTTATTTTTTCTGATATCGAATATACTTACATCACATAATTAAGGAAAAGTCTACCTTAGTTAACTCATTGATGATTAATAATTCAGTTTTTGGAGTAGGTAAATAAAGGAAGAATAAATGAATGATTGGTCTATTTGATCACTTTCTTTAAAGAAAAAATTTTGATTTAAACACACACCTCCATTATCAAGTTTCAATACACATTGAAAATGAATAAATTGTATGATATTCATTTTACTGTAAAGCTACAGGTGATCTGCTCAGTTTCATTTATACTAACCATGGTACTTTAAAAGTAGTAATCATTAATGATGAAACAGGATAAAAGCTTAAGCTTCAGAATCAAACTGCATTAAGTATAAATATTAGCTTTGTCATTTGACTTCTATAAGCTAAATATTCGTCATCTGAAAAACGAAAGCCTCATTAATATTGACACATTGTGGTTTTGTGAGATTTAAATGAAAGGATGGAGATCCATCACTTAATATGATGAATCTTATCTAATAAACACAAGTTATTAATGGTGTTATTGTATTTTTTTAATATTAAGAGATTTAAAATAAAACATGTACAAAAATTTGTAGTGAATCTTTAACCTCTAGCTGACATTTAAATTTTATTTTAAATACAGATGAATCCACACATAATTTCATTCCTGTATATGATAATTGTATATCATATACATATACATATATTAACAGAGTTACTGATAATAAACAGGTTAATTTACTTGATAAAAAAGGAAGGCAGCATATAAAACTCAAAATATATTTGTAGATCTCCAGATTCATGAAGAAATATTTTGATCATTAGACCATATGGCCTTAATAGATCTTTTAATGCATTCATTTGTTATACTAAATAATTATTTAATTTCATTTTTTGTCATGTGTTCTTGCTAGCAAATGACTTTTTTAAAGGTTTTATTTACAGCTTATTTTTTAAAAAAATATATTCAATCTTGAACTTGTAGGTGTGCTTTGTTTCCTAAATTAATTTAGTAGACTATTTTCCCATAAAAATAATGTTATAAATATATTGTATTTTCCAGTGTTCATTCTCGAAAACTGAAATAGTCAATGATATTGCTAAATTATAGTAATAACAATATTGATCTCAGTTCTGGTTCCTTAAATCTCCCAAGAGTATTTTCCTTTGAAAAGACAACTCTTATCTATTCAACTGATTTGCTAAGTATTAATATTTCAGAGAGTATAATATAAATGATGTGAATATGTCCAAGGGGCCTTGTGGAAGTAATTTATTGGCATCAAGAACATCAGAAGGCAGCCCAGTACCTTTGAATTCTGTACCTAGGGGGGCTTCCCTAAGGTCTTCCTGGTTTTCATGGATTTTTATACTGTGCTTGGCAGAAGAAGAAAAAGAAGTTGATTATTCAGGAGCATAAGGATTCTTTGGGAAGTAAACAGATATTTAGGACAGTCAGTCAGAGAAAATGATGGCAAGGCCCAAGAGCAGAAGATTGTGGAAGAACAAGCGGCAGATGGCATTAATTTCCATCCTGACTGGTGGTTTGAGGAAGTACTATTTACATATAAAATAGGAGTTTTTTCAGGGAATTAAGGTTCTTTCACAGTCAGTTATTAGATGGTTATTTTACTCATTCATTCAATAGCTCATTCAACAATTGTCAGGCTCCTCCTGTGTGTGGTGCACTGATGTATGGAGGTAATGGAGACAGACACAACCTGACTTTCACAGTCCATGCAGTTTAACGGAGGAGACAGGAACCTAAACAAGTTTTTAGAAATGAGCATTTTCTCGAATAGTTTCATATTTACAGGAAAAAAGGAAAGCACCAGTACAAAGAGTACTCATATACTCCATAGCCAGTTTCCCCTAGTATTAACACCTTTATTAGTCTGATGCATTTGTCACAAGTGCACCAATGAACCAATATTAATATATTATTATTAATTAATGCCCACCCTTGATTCATATTTCTTAGCTTTTATCTAATGTCCTATTTCTAGCCCAGGATCACATCGATGATACCACTTTACATTCATAATACTTGTCGTTTTCTTGCCTATGTGTAAATAATAAGCTCTTGGCTGTGAGAGTTTCTCAGAATTAATTTGTTTTTGATGACCTTGAGAGTTTTAAAGGTACTTCATCAGGTATTTTCTAGGATCGCCTCTACTGGGATTTGTCTTTCTTCTTCAAATAATTATTCAAGGGTTATGAGTTTTTGGAAACAGGACTGCAGAGGTAAAGTGTCATTTTTATTACATCCTATGAAGGGAATGCACTACCAATATGCCTTCTTATTGTTGATATTAAACTTGATCATTTGGCTGAAGTAGTGTCTGTCACCTTTTTCCATTATAAGTGACCTTTTTTACCTTTTCTATACTGTACTATTTAGAGGGAAATGACTATAAATAGGCTTTTAATCATAACATGGGAAGAGGAATGAGGTAAGAAGCAGTGCTTAGATAGGGAATTTGTACAGGGAGTTGTGAAAATGTATAGGAGGATGAAATAGCATGGCCACTGACAACAGGAAATGCCCCTCTTAAGATGTCATACTTTACTGACTCTGAAGAATCAAAATTCATTAGTCAAATAACAGTGTGAAATGGAGGGAGCAGAATTAGTGTGCAAAGACATTGGATGGTTTTAGTGTTTTCAGCACCTCTTGTTTATCTAATGATCTCTACAAATTATAAAAAGTTAACCTTCAGCCCAAATTATAAAAAGCTAACCTTCAGCCCAAATTTTAACTTGACGTTTTATATTCCAAATAATTGCCATAATTGTTTTTCTATCAAAATAATATGTTGTACCACATGTGTGTATATTTGCCTCATACATTATATTTTATTTCATAGAAAAATGTTGCTGTGAAAATCAAGCAAATAATTGCCATTTGCAAGTGTTTCTACACAATTCTGTCTATTCTTCATAATTTTTAGAGGCAGGTGTTATTCCTGGTATTTTGAAAGAATAGCTGATAACCAGTAGGAAAGGAAAGTGATTGATGCTGTACAAATGGTGGGTGTGGAAGTGGAGGTGACCTAAATATATTGTTCTAATTCATTCTTATTTGACCCCTGTGTCTTAGTCCATTTGAGATGCTATATCAAAATGCTATAAACTGGGTAGCTTACAAACAACTAACATTTATTTATCACAGTTTTGGGGCCTGGGATGAAAAAAATCAAGGCAACACCAGATTCAATGCCTGGTAAGGGCCTGCTTCCTCAAAGGCAGAGCCTTCCTCCTGTAGCCTAACATTGTGAAAGGAGCAGGCAGCCCTCTGGGACCTCTTTAAAAAGAGAGCTAATCTCATTCACGAGGCCTCCACCCTGATGAACTAATCACCTCCCAAATGCCCGACCTTCTAATACATTGCTTTGGTAATTAGGTTTCAACATAAGAATTTTTGGAGGACATAAACATTCAGACCACAGAACTCTATAAACCAGACAGAGACGAATACCATGGAAAAATAAAATGAGGGGAAATTAGTAATTGTCAAAATTTATAATTGTTCAGCCATTCAGGAAGTGTTGAATATATTGAGAAGCTACTATGAGGTAGGCATAGTCTTATTTGTTGGAGTTAATATGACAGGCATAATCAGACACAGCCTGAGGGACTTTAATATTCTAAATACAAATATACCTAACGGACTTGGTTTTAGCATTCTACTACTTAGCTACCTATGTAGACTTAAGTCAATAAAGCTAAACAGAATCATCTCTCGCATACCTTAGAAAGCTACATTTTCTGAGAGCGTAAGAAAGGATTTGTACAGAACAGAAAATGTAATGGAATGTAGTAGGCTGTCTTTTAAAAAAATCATTGTGAAGCAAGTACACTGTACACTTGTTACCAATTTGTCTAAGTCCAGTGAAACAGAACACTCATGAACACAACAAGTTACATGAAGTGGTTTATTATTTATACATAGGCAGCAAAGGACAACAGAAATCTAGGATGGTTAGGAGCTGGTTTCACAAGCCTCAGGATAGCTGCCTGGAGTGGACAGAATGTCATCTGTGCATATACCACTTGCAACACAGATGAAGAATCCTGGAAAGCCGCCCACCCCAGTTTTTATACCCCAGGGTAACATGACTGCCCTCGTAGAAGTAGTGAAGGATATCCTGCTTCCTGTGGGGGACTGAAACAGAGCTCAGGCTGTTGTACGGCAGGCTGTTGTACGGGTCTCTCCCTGTCGCAAGTTGTTACATTCCCAGCACATTCTAGTTATTCTTAGGAACTGCAAGTAAGAAAAGAAATAGAACTAGATTGGCTCAAAGCCACTCACATAACTGTACTGCAGTCATTCTCTAAAAACCTGCTTCAAAACTAACTAAGAAGATAAGAAGAGAGATAGAACCCACAACAGACCTAAAAACTAAGAATTCCTGGGAGGTGGGGCTGAAAAAATTGGCCTTTTTTAAAATTTGCCAAATGATCACACAAGCACTAAATCTTCAGACCTCCTAGAGTGGATCTCGAAATATATTAACAATAAGAAATAAGAAATAAAATTTTAAAGGGAAAAAAAGTGTGAAAAGGTAGAGGAATGAAGGAACAATTTGCTTATTAATATTGATGGGCATACTCAAGAATTTTAAAAAGTATCAAGAAAAGTAGTTTTAAAAGTAACAGTAAATGTATTTATCTAAGGTGGTATCAGCGCATATTAAATCATGGCCTTTTTATCATTGAAAAAATTGAAACATATAAGTTCAGTGGACAAGGGCACGATATGCTATAAGAAATGGTGAGAAAAAAATTTAAAGATACGTAACATCTTTATTTTTAGGAGATGATAGTTTGATCTTCTCAAATAGAATTTAAATATGTACGATTCATTATAGCAACTGAAAAAAATAGTGTTTTGAAATGCTAGTGCAAATATGAAAAATCCTGAGGTAGCCAACAGTTGTGTAATTATTCAAAGAAACTTTCATTTATTTCTATAATTTGTGTTTTATTTATTCTCAGTTCTCAACTTCTAGCAAGGACTTTGTCATCAAACTCATATCTCTTTAAAATCTGGAGTTTAAACAAGCAAACTGATTAAGCCTTTTAACACTCGGCATGTCTATTTATTCCAACAGCTTAGGCTGTTGTCATGGCTCTTGTGTAGGTATTCTCCTTTCACTATTTCCTCCCTTCAGGTGACCCCACAATGGCATCCTCTCTGTTTTCAAAGTGAAAGCTCTTGCCCTTTGCCTCAAAGCTTGGCTTCAGCTGTTCCTCTAAGGCCATTCTTAACTTGTGTCAAAAAGTTTTTACTGGGTTCTGATTCTGAATATATTCCAGGCTGCTCTAGTCTGATGGTCTTATTCTTTCAGCAAAAGATCATTAATACAAACTCTGGTAGGTTTTGAGCTTGGTGCTAAAAATGAAGACACCTAATTACCAGCTAACCTATAAGAATAATTTAACTTTGATAAACCTCATATTTCTCAGCAGAAAAACAAAAATAATAATGCTACATTACAGGATTTATTGAGAATTATATAAAATCATATTCTTCATCCTATTCCTGATTCTGCCTTAAATGATGTAACTCAGTGTATGACACAGGAGACCAAGAAGTAGCAGAGACTATTATTATCAGCGCATGTAAAAATATTAGAGATTTATAGTTCTAGTGAATATCTTTATGTATTGTTGAAGCACCTCTAAACCAATTAGTACCTAAGTTCCTATTTCCTTTCTTAAAAACTTAGAACTACTGTTCTGGATGCGGGCCAAACCCTTTCTTGATTATTCAATCTTGTACAGAGACTCCAGTCAATTCTCAGATTATATTTGTATAACCAGAACTACGATATTTTTCATTGAATGTAACCCACAAGCCAAATGGTTCAACGGCCATCTATGTTAGAATTACTAGGGGTAGAGGTGTATATTAATAGTGTAGATTCCTATACCACACTCTGGAACTGCTGAATAAAAGTCTCCCAAAGTAGAACCTAGACTTGTGAACATACAAAGAGGTTATAGGTTGAATGTTGATACGATGTTAATATTGAGTTTGGCATGCCTGACTTTCTGTCTAGCCATTAACTACAGCAAAGCTAAACTCTAGAACTCAGAAAATAATTGACGGAGACGAAACTAGAAGCCAGGTACTAATTTCCAAAGTAGTGTCCTTGTGTCTATTCTATGATCGTTTTCAAGAGACAAGTTATTCACAATATAGCAAATATAAAGATAGTTATCTAAAGATAGTCACATTGCAAGTTTTTAGGGATACTATCACATAGATCCTTAAAATGTTGCTGTGTGAATTTTATCGTTTTAGACAAGATCAGGAGTAGGATGAAGTGAGTAAGCAATAACTTCAGGTGCAAAATGCCAAGAGGCACCAAAAAACCTCAGTAGTTCAGATAACATTTTCATGCAATATTTTAAAAAATCTAAATTAATTTAAAATATCCATGATGAACAAACTATCAAAACATTATATAAAGGCATGACAAGTATTTCTGATTTTACCTTTTGACCCAGATTCTAATATGGTTTGGCATGGTACTGATTCTAGGAGTACACCCAAATTAAAAATGTTGAGTTACTATGGAAATACATGAATGAAAAGAAAGTCTCTTGCCTATGAGGTATTTAAGATTTTGCTGAGATACAAACAGAGAACTGAAGAAATCTTTATTTTATCACAGGTACTTAAGAATGTATATTATGAACTGAATTGTATATACCCAATATTCATAAATTGAAGCCCTAACCCCTACTGTCTTAAAATGTGATTGTATTTGGAGACTGGACCTTTATAGGGGAATTTAGTAAAATGAGGCCCTTAGAATCAGCCCTAATCCAATCTGACTAATGTTCAGATATGCAAATAAGATGAGAGCATTCAGAGAGAAATGCCGAGAGTATGCACACACAGAGAAAAGGCCTTGAAGAAAACACAGAGAGAAGGCAGCCATCTGTAAGCCATGAAGAGAGGCCTCAGAAGAAACCAAACCACCCACAACTTCCTGCCTCAAAAAGAATGAGAAAATAAATTTTTGTTGGGTAAGCCACCCAGTCTGTGGTGTTTTGTTATGGCAATCCTAGCAGGCTAATACAATGCCTGTTTATGGTGGAAGTAGTGGCTCCGCTCTTTTTAGAAAGTGATTACACTGGAACCTTTTTTGAAAGGATAATAATAGTTGGCCAAGGGAAAGGTATAGGAAAGGTAATTTGCCAGGTGGACAAAGATTTTAATGTGTGAATGAATAAATGAATAAAATGAGTGAATGCCAGCCGGGTGCAGTGGCTCATGCGTGTAATCCCAGCACTTCGGGAGGCTGAGGTGGGCAGATCACCGGAGGTCCGGAGTTTTAGACCAGCTTGACCAACATGGTGAAACCCCGCCTCTACTAAAAATACAAAAAAGTTAGCCGGGCATGGTGGCACGCGCCTGCAATCCCAGCTCCTCAGGAGGCTGAGGCAGGAGAATCACTTGAACCCAGGAGGCGGAGGTTGCAGTGAGCTGAGATCGCGCCACTGCACTCCAGCCTGGGCAACAGAGCAAGACTCCATCTAAAAATAATAATAATAATAATAATAGTGAATGCCTTCCTGGCAAAGTAAATCATATTAGATACATATATTTAGATTTCATGATATTGCTCTGGCATTAAAGTACAATGTAAAGCATCAATAAGTTTGTGATAAGAAATTAAAATATGACGTTTGATAAATTAAATGCAATTCTATGTCAAAAAATGTAGTAGGATCTGAAATCTTGGATTTTGCTATGAGATGAAACCTATGGCTTGGAAGATACAAAAATACTGACATATTTAATTTAAACTTATTTATTTATCCACCAATGAGAAAAAAAAAGGAATGAGGTTCTTTCACAATTTGCACTATTCTCAAAACATACTCCGTTATTTTGTGCAATATTATTATATATCCAGAGGGACGATAAGCAAAATCTACCTCAAATATAAATCAAACCTGAAGAACTATTAGAGGTGGAAAGAAATTTAGTTGCTTGTATTAACCTATAAGAATATAAAATAAGTGAGTCACAGTGGCTTACTCCCAGAACTTTGGGAGGCCGAGGTAGGGGGTTTGCTTTAGCCCAAGAGTTCCAGAACTGCCTGGGCAAAAAGCAAGACCCTGTCTCTAGAAAAAAATTAAAAATTAGCTAGGCGTGTTGGTTGTCTGTAGTCTCTGCTATTCAGGAGGCTGAGGTGGGAAGATTGCTTGTGCCCAGGAGTTTGAGGTTGCAGGGAGCTATGATTGTACCACTGCACTCCAGCCTCCAACCTAGGCAACAAAGGACCAAAAAAAAAGAAAAGAAAGGAAGGATATGAGAGAGTCATAGTCATTACTATCTCCTTCTAATAAAAAGAAATAACACACACACACACATACACATACACGCACAACTAATAAGAACAAATTAGCTACATTCAGTGATAAAATTCAATTTTATTTAGTTTTATAGGCAATATGTCAGCATATATTCTTTCTAATTACGGAAATTTTATGTCTTCATCATTTACTCTTTAAGCCAGAAGGGTTGTGCCTATATGCATTTTGCGCTTTTATTTTAAAGTAAGCATTTATATATGAATATTTGTATCCAAGCTAATTCATGTCAAATTCAATTATAAAAAAAAGGAAAACTTAAGTGTTTCCACAGCTAAAATATAAGTTGTAATAAATGGAAAAATATTTCACCAAAGGAAACACTCTAAATACAGATAAATGTTCTGTGATTTTATAATAATTTTTTAAGAAACACAAAATCCAATATTAAACAAATACTTCCAGGGAAAAGTTTAGGATAATATTTTTACTAAATTCAGGCAAAGACATTGCTACCTCATTTATTAAGTGAATGCAAACACTATAAATAAAATATTAGTAAACTGCATTCAGCAGTGTGTATATATGATAATACATTATGGACAAATAAGGTTTATCCCAAGAATGCAAGGTTGGTGTAATATTAGTAATTTAATTACGGAGGTTTTGATATTAACAAATTAAATAGAAAAATCATGTGATTTCCATAAGTGCACGAAAAGTGCTAAATAAAATTCAACATATAGTCACAACTTTTAAGCATCAAGATATCAATAAAAAAATAAAAAAGATAATAAAGGATAATTTTGAGCTAATAAAGGACAGACACATAAAACTAGAAAAAAGAAACACTGTTGAAGGGTGTATTTTGAAAGTTGTTACTATAAGATGAGGAAACAGACAAGAATGCTCCTGACACCCATTCTTCTTCAGGAAAAGAAATCAAATTAGAAAAAACAAACAAAGGCAATTTTTGCAGGTATCATGATTGCTTGAGGAGAAAACCATAAAAATAATCCAAAAATACACAATGAAAATATATTAAGAATATTTTCTGATTACAAAATCATTATATAAGTAGAATTTGTAAAAATCCCTAGTTATTAGTTAATAATATAAGCCAAAAAAACAAAAATGGCAAATAAAATGTAAACTTTTTTAGAATAAATGAAGGTAAAAATTATGCCTTCATAGACAAAAGTACAAAATTGTATTGAAAATGTAACAGGGACTTACAAAAAAGTGAGATGTATTATAGAATAGATTAGCAGTCTATCATATAGATGCCAGTTCTCCTCAAGTCTATCTATAGATTAAATGCAATTTCAAATCATATTTCAAAAGGTACAGTTTTTGTCTGTGTTTGTGTGTGTATGAGAGAGAGGGACAGAGAGAGAGAGAGAGACTTCTCACACCCCCTTTTTTTTTTTTTTTCTGTGAGACAGAGTCTCACTCTGTCACCCAGGCTGGAGTGCTGTGGCATGATCTCTGCTCACTGCAATCTGCCTCCTGGGTTCAAGCGATTCTCCTGCCCCAGCTTCCTGAGGAGTTGGGATTACAGGCACCCACTACCACGCCCAGCTAATTTCTGTATTTTTAGTAGAGATGGGGTTTCATCATGTTGTCCAAGCTGGTCTCAAACTCCTGACCTCAGGTGATCCACTTGCCTCGGCCTCCCAAAGTGCTGGGATTACAGGTATGAACCACCACACCTGGCCTCACACTCATTCTAAAATGAATATGGAAGAACAAGGGTCACAAATAATCAAGACACTTGCAAAGAATTTAAAATTTAAATGACTTTTTTCTGTCAAAATCAAAATTGAATATAAAGCTTTAAGACAGGATGATATAAGCAGAAGGGCAGAAATACAGAAAATACGCAACATAAGAACAATTTGTTGTATATGTAGTACTTAATCTATAACAGAATGGGTCTTGAAAATCAGACAGCTCAAAAAATGGTGGTAATCAATACATTTTGCAGCAAATATTTGCAATTCTAAAAACTCCTTATGTTATACCACAAACAAAAATGAACTTTACACTGATTAAAGACTTCAATTAAAAGGTAAGACTAAGAAATGCACAAATGCTATTAAGAAAGAAAATGAGAGCTTTTTTTTTAATTGACCATGTGAAAGGAAATATTACTTAAACCACATAGAAATAAAGCTACAAACTATACAGAGGAAAATAGATACACTCATTCAAATTCAAATTCAGAAATTTGTAATTTTAACTTTCCCATAATCCTATAAAAGCAATGAGGAGAGAAGCCACAAAGATATTCCCAACGAAGTACGGTTGATTTTCATTCTCTGCAGTAATAAGTGTTATAAAATCTCCCTGAGCACTAATTTTACAAATACTGACATATTGCTCCTAGAGGAGATACAGGATTAGGTTCCTGTGAGCCTGTGGTCACAACATTTTTATCAACTGACCAATGCATAACCTTCTTTTATGTATGATTTTGTTTAATAACACCTTACTTAATATATATATATTATTGATTAATTAACAATAACTTATGGCCAATTGCACAACTCATGCCTAATTAAAGCTTCTTTAACACATGTATTTTCTCTATAAGGCACAACATTACCTCCTTGCACTTACTAACACTAGACAGCACTTAATTACTATGCTTAGGGGGCATTTTCAATGCTGAAATCACCAGCAAAACACACACACACACACACACACACAAATATGAGAAATATGACACTATGTAGACCATGAAGAGAGTGCTTCTTTATAGTATGAGAGCACAAACCTGAAAACAGAATGTCGACTTGGTCTGCCTCAGCTGGGATTGTGCATGTTCAAAGCGCAACTCAAATATTTTGCTGTTCCGTGCATATCTGCTAATGAGCACAAAGCACTACAAATATTGATTGTAGCATTACCAGTTAATTTTGGCAAGGAGGCAAATTTGCAAATATGGAATCAGCAAATACGGAATCTGCAAACACTTATTCAAATACCAAATGAAGATTCACTGGATTAATATTTGGAATGTATAAAATATTCCCTATGAATTCATATAAAAGAGTAAAACAATCCTGTAGAAAATGGGCAAAACATGTTCAAAATTTGTCATAAAGAGAAGTCATGACCAACCTTTTTAGTAATCAGGGAAATGTTAATTCAAAGCATGATTTTATATTCCTTCCTAAAGATTATAGTGAATTATAAAGCCTAACAATAAGAAATATGGGTGAGAATGTAGTACGATAGGATCACAGTAATATTATTTTTAGTAGTATATATTGAATTAGCCATGTTAAAAACAATTTAACATTTTATATCATAAGATTAAATGTTCATTTTCTACACCAAGCAATTCAATCTAAGATATATGCCAATGGGTAATTTTTTGAACTTGTGTACCAAGAGTCAGATATAAGAATATTCAGCTCTGTATTTTCATAGTAGCAAAAATATGTAAACATCCCAAATGCATATCCACAATGGGATGGACAAATAAATTATGCCATCTTTATGTAAAGGAATACATAGGAATGTTCAGAAGTAATAATGAATGAAGTGGTTCATCAACATGAGGGCATCGACATGAGTGGATTTCAAATAGATAATGCAGAAGCACAGAAGCAAGTGATAGAAGAATACATATAATGGAAACTGGTTAAACCATTTAATAAAATAGATAATATCAAACAATATTTGGGAATTGATAATACAAAATCCAGTTGTGAAAGATAGAGTGAATTGTAAATATGGTGAGATTCCTCAGAGAGCTTTTAATATGAAGGTAACATCCTATTATTTCTTAACTGATGATTATATAGATGCCATTATACTATTTTTCCAGGCTATAATATAACTTTCATGCTTTCATGTGTTTGTATAATATCGATCAAAATAAAATAATAACATCAAGATTACCTAAGAAATAAGAACATAGTTTGCCTCTTAAATTTGTAGAAGGCTTTAAGGTTTGCGATTTATTTTACTTAATAAAACTTAAATTGATGAGACTGAAATATAGACATATATATGAAAACATGAATCTGTTTTAGATGTTTTGTTAGGTAAAATCATTCACAAGGCCTAGAGCCTTCTACAAACGAGAGGTAAACCATATTGTTACTTCTCAGGTAATTTCAACTTTACTGTTTTTATTTTGATCAAGAAGAAAGAAATACCATAGTCAGTTCCCTTAGGAGAAAGGAAACTGCTTCGTGCTCTGTTTGTTTGTTTTTTAACACACTGAACAACATTCTCAGTCATTTCATCCCAAAACTTAAGATATAAAAAACACTTCCATATCATTATTCTCTGTTGAAATTTAAAGCAGAAGGAAGGAAGGAGTTACAGATAAGAAGACACCAAATTAAGTTTAGCTGCATAAGTTTAGTCTAACTCCTGTTTTGTTTTTTCCATACCTCAATCACAGCTTGCTGTGAATATCTAAGTTCCATTCATTTTGCAAAATCTACTCTTTTTTAGCATTAAATTAAAATTCTTGCAGTGAGAGCAAGAAACCAAAGAAGTATATTTGTAACTACTGAAAAACAAATTCAGCAGCCTTTTTGATAAATACATTTTTAAAGTAGGATATATTTAATTGGATTCATGATAATTAACTATAGGTTCAAATGTAAAAACAATGCAACTCCAGTCAAATAATGAGTGTTCAATAAATAGTAGGCATTATTATCATTATTCTTTTCTGCAATGTAAAAAATCCATAATCAAGAATATTTCTCCAACTTTTGGTAACAGGTAAAATAATAAATAAACATGAGTTTTGTTATTATTGAGTCTATAACAATTCCTTAGGGAAAATTTATGTGGTTTACTTTTCTAGCTTTTATAAACCAATGCAAACTATTGTGGCATGACCTATCTGAAAATTCAACGTAAAATATTTATTTATTTATTTATTTGATTGAGATAAGGTCTCAGTCTGTCACCTCGGCTGGAATGCAGTGGCACAATCACGACTCACTGCAGTCTCAATCACCTGGGCACAAATGATTCTCTCACCTCAGCCTCCCAAGTAGCTGAGACCACAGATGCAGACAATCATGCCTGGCTAATTTCTTTTATTTTTTAATTTTTTTGTGGAGATTGGGTCTCCTTATGTTGCCCAGGATGGTCTGAAACTCCTGGGCTCAAGCCATCCTCCCACCTTGGCCTCCCAAAGTGCTGAGATTACAAGCATGAGCCACCAGGCCCAGTCTTCATTTGTTTGCAACATACTTGAACTGGGTAAAAGAGGAATTCTTTAGGTGACCATAATCTGTCCGGAGGGCTGAGTTACGTACCCACTGATTACTATGGAAAGTATGTGTTGATCCCTAGAGGAATGAAAAGCTTCTTTTAATTGACCATGCCTGTAGATGGAAGGGGAATGGTCTGTGCAAGATGGGAAATCAGATTGGCGGCACCTTTTATAAACCCATAAAACCATCACTATGTGAACCAGAAAAAGAGAAAATATTGTTCTAGGGAAGCAAACACTTGGGATATATTCTTATTTTGGCCTTATATCAAAAGAAATAGGAGGAAAAAGGTAGAAAGTCTCCCCCAGAAAATTTCTAACCACAGCAGTCATGCCAATGTACTTGCATTTGAATTTCAGGCCACCACAATGCGGCCTGAAAATGTGCTGAAGACATAATTGTGGTCATTCCTGATAATCTCCACATTTAAGGCACATATAATGTTGCCACAGGGCTCAGAAGGGTCTTCAGAGGCTGTTGAGACCCCAGCTTCAGCAGGTTTCCAGGTTTTTGACACCGTCATGAGAAAAAATTCCGGGACTAGTCAGACGGAAGTGAAAGGCAACAAGCCTTTATATTGCTAAGCTAAGTACAAGCTTAAGAGAGAAGTGCAGGTTTGCTCATGAGAATAAGATGTGGACAACACAGTTCAGGTTTCTAATTTTATGTGTGTTTCTTTAATTAGGGTTGAAATAATCATTAGGTATTCTACAAAAGAAAAGGATTTCAGGAGACCCCAGTATCCATCTCTTTCTCCCTTGTTTAAGTTTGCCTGAAAGTGTCATGGACATGTTACCCTGACCAGGGTTTTGGCCATTTTTTCTCCCTTATTTTGTGTTTCTATTATCCTGTGGTTTCTTTGCCTACTTCCTGTTTTAGCTGCTGTCTGGGTTTTTCCATCCTTCTGAGACCACCCAGTGCTATTCCTACGTCATAAACACAATTTCTGTCTTAAGGAATCAATACATCTATGTCAAATCCACTCTTCAAAGAATTTCTACAGAATAACATTTCCACAAAAAACTGCTAATAAAAACATGATATGTACATGAGAAAATAAGCCACCACAAATAAGAATGTGCAGAAATAGGCAGTGGCAGTATCTGATTAATAAAGACTGAAGAATCGAAACTAGCAAATGTTGGACAGAAAATAGAATATTGAATGTATACATTTACATTAAAGTGAACATTGAACATATCCATAGAGAAGAAACAAAACTAAACAAACAAAAAATATACAACACAACTATCTACAAAGGAGCAGAGCTTAGACTGATTTCTTATTTGCCTGTATGGGACTGTTAAAACAGAGAGAAAATGTGTCAGAAAGTAATAAAGTGAATCTATAATTGTATACCAAACTTTATTCTTTATGAATAATGATGAAATAAATACTTTTCAGACCAAACATGAAAAAAATAGCATCAAAATACCATTAGCATGTGTACTTTGAAAGAGGATAGTAGAAAAAGTATTTCTGAAGAAACTTTTGGAATGCAGAGAGAAATTTTGACTAAAAAGTTATCATAAATTAATTCTATATAATGGCTTGCTTGGCTGGTATAAAAGTCTAATTTGGTCTGATATGTGTCATTAAGATTAAGATGGCTCTAAAATCTTGGGCAAAATAGCATAAAATTTTAAATGATTGCATTGGAGTTAAATAATTTAAAATGTATTTTTATATTCAGGAATAGGGTAAGAATATAAGTTGACTATAATTTTATGTTCAATACATATTTTAAGCTTATAAGGTAGGCCGGGAACTGTGGTTTATGCCTATACTTCCAGCATTTTGGGAAGTCAAGGCTGGAGGATCGCTTGAGGCCAGGAGTTCAAGAACATCCTGGACAATATTGTGAATACCTGTCTCTACCAAAAATTTGATACAAACAAACAAAAAATAGATGGACGTGGTGGTGTGAGCCTATGGTCCTAGCTACTAGGGAAGCTGAGGTAGGACAATCGCTTGAGTCTGGGAATTGAAGACTGCAGTGAGCCATGATTGTGCCACTGCACTCCAGCCTGGGAAACAGACTGGTTTGAAAAGATATTCAAATACATACATTGTGGGGATTTTTAATATTTATATTATGATCATTGTAAATACACATACAGTCGTAAGAAACAGCACTCTTCATTCAGTCTCAACATCCTGCATAAACCACAGTACATTGTAAGCAGGTAATTGACATTGATAAAATTGTTTAACCATATTTAGATTTTTCTAATTACATGCTCTCCTTTGTGTGTGTTTGGATGTGGATTTGTAGGAGAATTTATCACATGTGTAGATTCATGTGACCATAACCAGAGTCAAAATATAGAACAGTTCCATCGTCACAAGGATCCTTCTTCTTGTTCTTTTCTAACCACCACTTCCCCACTTCTCTCCTACTCCATAACTCCCCATCCTTAATACCTGTAAACCAAAATAGCTTCCTTTCCCCATAATTTTGTCAATCAAGGATGTTATACAAATGGCATCACAGAGTATGCGAATTTGGAGGATTGACATTTTTTCTTAAAAAAGCTTTCTTCTTCCTTTGAAGTATCTTTACAGCTCTGTCAAAAATTAGACATGCTTGTGTGCATTTATTTCTGGTCTCTCTATTCTAATCCACTAATCTCTTCAGCTATGCCACACTGTCTTGATTACTGTGGCCATGTAACAATTTAAGTTCCCAGATATGTTGTCTAAGTTGTTTGGTATATCTACAGTTTCTTTCTTTTTATTGTTGAGTCACATTTCATGGTATGCTTGTACCAATGTTTGTTTAACCATTCACTTACTAAAGGGCAGCGGACTTGTTTCCAGTTTTTGCTTATTATGAATAAGAGTGCTACGAGTATTTATGTACAGTTTTTGTGTGAACGTAAGTTTTTATTTCTTTCTGATAAATGCCCAGAAGTGAAATCATTGGGTCTACGCTAGCTGCATGTTTAGGTTTTAATAACTTACCCCAATTTTTTGATGATGGCTATACTACTTAAAATTATGACCTGAACAGTTTGAGCAAAGTGTGAGTCATCTAGTTTCAGTGCATCCTTGACAACAGTTGATGCTGTGATTGTTTTCTCATTTTAGCCATTCTGATAAGTATGTAATATTAATGTATGATTTTAAGTTGTATTTCCACAATGGCTAATGAAGATTACCACAGGTTCATGTACTTATTTTCCGTCTGTACAGCCTCTTTAATGAAATGTGTCTTTGTGTTTTACCCATTTTCTAACTGAATCATTTTCTTATTTAATTGTTTTTTCTGTTCAGTTTTGTGAGGTGTGCATATATATTCTAGGCACAGGTCCACTGTTGGATATATGTTTAGCAAATACTTTATCCCTGTCTATAAACTTGTATTTTCATCCTCTTAACATGGTTTTTTGCAAAGTAGAAGTATTAACCTTGATGTGCTCCAGTTTTTTGTTTTTATTTTTATTTTTTATTTTATGGGTTGTGGTTTTGGTGTCAAATATAAAAAGTCTTTACAAAGTTGTGGAGCCCTAATATTTTTATATATTTTAATAAAATTAAATTATATTTTAACATTTAAATTTGTGATCTATTTTGAGTTAATTTTTTATTTAAAATATAACGTTTAAGTCAAAGTTCTATGTTTTTACCCAATACCTGTACTAATGCTCCATCACCATTTGCTGAAAAGGCTATTCTTCCTCCCTCAAATTACCTTTGTGCCTCCTTCAAAACTTAGCTTGGACATATTTGTGTGGGTCTACTACTAGGTTTTTATTCTGTTTTGTTGATTTTTTTTTCTGTTCCTCCACCAATACCACACTGGTGTGATTGCTGACTCTATACTATACCTTAATTTTTAGCAGAGTAAATCATCCCAATTTTTTCTTCTTTTAAAATATTTTTATAGCCTGGGTGACAGAGCAAGACTCTGTCACTAATGTAGGGCTTGTGCCTTTCTATATTAAATTTTATAATGAACTTGTCTCTCTACAAAAAAACCTTACTGGGAGTTTGATAAGGATTGCCTTAAACCTCTGGATTAATTTGGAGATAATGAACATCTCTACTATGTTGAGCATAGTATATCTTTGATTTCTTGCCTCAGATTTTGTATTTTTAATACATAGATTCTATATATTTTGTGAAGATTTTATCTAGCTACATAATTTACTTTGGCACAACTGCAAATTATATTGGGTTTTTAATTTTGGTTTGTACAAGTTCCTTGTGGTACACAGAAATTCAATTGATTTTTGTGTGTTGATCTTGTATTCTACAACCTTGCCCAATTCACTAATCAATTCTATGAGTTTTCAAAGATAATTTAGGATTTTCTATGGTTATTATGCATCATCTATGAACAGAGATAATTTTATTTATTCCTTTCAAGTTACTGTGCCTTTTATTCTTCTGTCTTGCCTTATTGCACTGGCTATATTGAGTAAAATCATTTAGAGTTGGTATCCTTGCCTTGTTCCTGAAATTTAGAGTGATAGAGTCTAGATACAGACTGCTAAGACAATTGGGATTTTCTACAAAAAAAAAAAAAAAAAAAAAAGAGAGAGAAATATCTCATTCGTCACCCGTACAAACACAAAAATATCAGTTTTCAATGAATCTAGAGTTTTAATATGAAGAGGGACATATGCCAATTTTAAAAGAAAATACAAAGAGACAATTATATGACCTTAAGGTAGCAGACCGTTTTTTTCATTCTATTAGAATATACATAACATAAAATTTACTATGGTAATCATTTTTAAGTATACATTTTAGAGGTGTCACATAAATTAACATTATTGTGCAACCAAATCTCAAGAACCATTTTCATCTTGCAACACTGAAATTCTAGGCCCATTAATTAACAACTCCCTTTTTCCCCTCTCCTATGCCCTGGAAACCACCATTCACATGTCTCTCTGTCTGAATTTGACTATAGGTACCTCATATAAGGTGAATCATGCAACAATGGCTTTTTAAAATACTGTACAAAGCACAGAAGATAAAAGATATATAAAATGGATGCACCAAACTATAAACTTCAAAAATACCATAACATAATGGAAAATTAAGCCATTAACTTGGATAAGACAAGTTTAATATGTAACAGAAACATAGGACTACTCTCCAGAAAATATATAAGAAATCCTCTGAATCAAATAACTGAAAGAACAACTTAATAGAAAAGTGGGAAGATTCACAGAAAAGAAAACATGAACAACCAATGCACATTTTGAACAATATTAGTTCTATTTCATAAATATTAGCATTAAAATCACAGTGCAATGCCATTTCAGATCTACTAGTTGACAGGATTCAAACAAACACTGACAATATGTTGCTGAAGATTTGGAGTAAAGGCATTTCTTTTTTTTTTTTTAATTATACTTTAAGTTCTAGGGTACATGTGCACAAAGTGCAGGTTTGTTACATACGTATACATGTGCCATGTTGGTTTCCTCCATGTGGGAACTGAACAAGGAGAACACTTGGACACAGGGCGGGGAACATCACACACCGGGGCATTTCTTATCCATTGCTGGTGGAACTGTAAATCAGATTAATCACTTTGAAAAACAGCTGTATTTACCTATTAAAGTCAACTAGAACCCTGTAATTTTATTCTTCTGTATATTCTCTAGAAAAACCCCTGCCTATATGTTTCACATGGCATATATTAAGATTATCTAAATAACATTTTTTTGTAAATCATGAATGTACCTCAACAATAGAATGCATAAAATATTTATTAGCAGATATTATGGGCATATTATATATGATATATCTCAAAAACAACTTCGGTAGGATTTCTAAAAGTACATCATGGAATATGTACAGTTTTATTCAATTTATATAAATGTCTGTCATTAATTCACGAAAACAAAAGTGTTAATTTTAGGAATACATATATTAGGTAAAATTTTAGAAAAATGTTTAATGATAAACTCTGGCTAGATTAGGTATAAGAAAGAAGGGAACAGGGTATGTTTTGAGAGGGATTCCTTGGGTGATAGTAAGTAAAATATAAATATTGTGTATTTTGAGATGAATGATTATTGTCTTATTATTATTTCATACATTCATTTTTGCATTCATCATCACTTGTTTTATAGATAATACATTAAAATATTAAGATAAATCATTAATATGGTCTAAACATTTAAGATAAAATGTTAAATTTAGCATGGGCCACTTTCATTTTCAAACAACTTCTTCTATTACAGTAACATAGGTGAGACAATGAAATAACTTTATTGCTTATTCATATAATATGTACTGTTTCACAGAATTTAAATGTATTTATTCCATGAAGATGAAGATTTTCTCATTTTATTCATTATTATAGTTGCTATCTTGAAGAGTCCCTCGAGTAGAGTAAATGCTTTATTTCTTTTTGTATGATAGAGTCTTGTACTAACTGCTTCTAATGAAATAAATGAATGAAATATATAGTGGTGCACTATGTTATACCTGCATTCAGCTATTTAGAATCTAATAAGTACATCAAAAAGCACACATTTTCTTATATTTCTCAAGAGTAGTTGCCAGCATTTATACATCTTTACTTTCCCTCCTAAGTTCTCAACACGTTAGTGATTAGATGGGAAGGATTGAACAAATAATAGAATAACTTCTAATAAAATATATTGAATCTAACATGAAAGGATTATGTATTTATGCACCAAGTATATTTCCAGAGTATTTATTTTAATAAAAAGATTAGAAATATAAACAATATTTTTAATGTTTCAGAAATCCATGTTTATATGTGGAGATTGCCTTAAAATGAATATAAGTTTTATAAAAACTAATTGATTTCATTCCTGAGTGTTACATTATATTAGAAAGGGTATAACCAAAGTGATTTATAACATTAATTTTTGCTACACAAGGCAGTATAAGTACTTTCTTTTAAAAAATTATATATTATACATTCTAATGAGAAACAGTTCATTGTATAATTTTAATTTTTTATTTGATGAGTAAAGGTGTGTAATGATTCAAAGGGAAACCTTAAATTTTTAAAGGTGAAAAATTCACCTATCATTGTACTCAGTATAATTCTTTGACATTAAATTTCACCAATCTTCTTTTCCATTTACTTTATGTAAGTCTTTGAATGATGTCGTGCTCCAATATAGGAAATAACATTGTCAACTTTACCCAGAGTGCCATCTAATGGCAGTGTTGTGTTGTCTCAAATTAAATCAATTTAAATATGCTACCTTGCATAACTATTTTCAACTTAAAAGAAGTAAATCAAACATTACATATTATTTTGTCTTTTCTAGTTTCTTGTAAGAGGGATATGAAGTGAAGCAACTATATTAAGAATAAGAAGAAAAAAATTCAAAACAAAGGAAAGGCACAATGTATAGCAGGACATTGCAAAGCTGTGGATTCATGTGACAGTGCAGAAGGAAGCCTATTTATGTGTGCATGAACTGTGAACAAAAATTTCAAGTTGAGAGGCATAGAAGCAGAGTTAATGATAGACAAGCATTTGGCACAATAATTTGAGAGGAAACAAGATAGAGAAAACAAATACTCTACGAAAAGTCTTACAGTCTTGATTATTATTTAGCCTTTATCATTAGTTAGTTGCAAAACCTTGGGGAAATACCCAATCTGGCTCATCTGTGCCCTTATGTGTATAATGACAATAATGATATTTTTTCTAACCCATACTGGGCATATTATAATGAGAAAAAAAAGGAAAACACTTTGCATAACTTAAAGTTATATAAATATGAGATTATTGTGAGATAAAATCAGTTTATAAGGAAAGTATTGTGGAACATACAGTAATCAGCCTATTATGCAAGAGACTTTAGACAATTTGTGTATATGGCAAGCTACAA
This sequence comes from Homo sapiens, assembly GCF_000001405.40. Lineage (NCBI taxonomy): Eukaryota > Metazoa > Chordata > Mammalia > Primates > Hominidae > Homo > Homo sapiens. The sequence continues at coordinate 114,091,697 of NC_000008.11, forward strand.
GGAACTCTCTTTTAACAACAGGCATGTCTTTGGCTTTAGATACCTTTTTTGCATTGCATTTCTTAGTGTGTATATTTGTTTACCTAGCTTTATTATTCTTATGAAATTATAAATACTGATGAGAGGCACTATTAATTCTCATATATTTGAATTTAATATTATTTTAGGAGACATAAAACTAAGCTTAGATTTGGCAGCATAACCTGTCATAATATCTCCAACAGGCAAATTTTGCTTTCTCTCTTCTCTCTTTTATTTCCATGTAGAGTTGTATGACAAATTAAATAAATGTAATATGCCAATTATTTGTATACATGGATCAACGTGGTTTGCTTTTAACACTTTTGAATGGAAACGGTTGTGTATCATATAATGCAAGTAATTTCAATACATATATTTCCTCCGGGCTATCATGTATCCCTTTAAATTAGGGTTGGTTCAGAGCTTTTCTCAGACAGTCGTTGCTTAAGACCAATCAAGAAACATCTTCACCAACCACCATTTAAAAGTTTGCTATAACTCAAGAGATCCTCATTTTGTCAAAATCTTATGTATGACTCCTCCAAGTATTGATTCATAAAGCCAGTCTCCTATCTCCCTGAATTTACAAGGATCTGCCTAACTGGCCTGAAGACAAAAGTAGAGAGGAATCTCTTCTTTACTAACACTTACTAAGACTTTGATTATAATTTAACTGAATTTTAAGTAAACTTGTGGGCACTTAATTTATTATTTAGTTGTTTTGTTTAATAATTATAGGTTTTATTTAAAAAGGAGTTGACTATAAGGAATTACCTTCTAAATATAATAAAACATTTAACAGATATATACAAATGTTAGTGTTCTAAGTTTGAAAAGGCTTACCCACATCTATATGTCTAATTTCCTGAACCAATTCTAAGAAAAGATGAGCTTATGATAAGGAAAAACAGAAAATTAAGAACAATTGACAAATGGTTCATTGTCAATTTGTCAACAAATTGTTCTTCGTCAATCTGTCAAATCCTATCCTAATTTTCCAGAGCAATAATTAATTTAATGATCATGAAGACGTTGTGGTGAAGAGTCTAGCTTTTACAGATTTTCTAAAATATAACTTTAAAAATAGTCTATAGGCCCACTCTTAATCAATTACATAATATTTTTGTAGTTAATAAGATATTAATTTAAAATTCCAAGGAAGTCTGATTGCAAAGGAAAGTATACATTTATGCATAGTACACAATAGTAATAAAGTATTTACTTATGTACACAATAGTAAAAAAAAGTTAAAGTACATTGATTTTTCATTATATAAAAACTTATTCTCAGTAACAGAGAAACATTTTTTCAAGGTTGAGAGCAATAACAAATGGTAGCCAGCGTATAGATATACATCACCATGTTCAAAAAGTATGTGAGAAAGGAAATTACCATTCAGGAATTCCTATACATATATATATGTGTAAGGACAACTTCCAAGGACAATAACAAAAACAACAACAAAAAGAGTCCAATGGAGAGGCAGAGGCAGCAATATAGTTTACAAGTGAGGAAATATTATCTGAAATGCAGATAATGAATGAATGGATTGCAGATCAGGCACCATTGCGTAAGGTAGCTAAAATACAATATTCATCACACATAAGCTCTAAACACTCTATTTTTATGATGTTAGATACCAAAAAGGCCACTCTTTATGATGATTCATACAGCCTTCTACAATGATAGTGATATAATCACTTAAGAATCCACCATTCTTTTCACTAAGGAATCACAAAGAATAAATGACACTGAGAGGTCATCTGTTCCCTCTCCCTCACCGCTGAGCAAGACCACACGTAAGCAATTCTAGACAAGAATATTTGGTTCTAAAATTGGAAGTTAAAAATACAGGGTGTGATAAATATTACCAATCTCATCTGACATTTGGAGTAGAAACATTTTTTTCTTTTACCCTTTCCCAAGTTACAATGGCATAAAAAATTATCATACAAGTGAAAGTGGAATGGAATGTAGATAGTTTAAAATGTAATTTGAAAATGAAAAAGTAAAACTTTTTCACTTAATTTATATCAAATTATTCTTAGGCTAAAAAATGTTTTCAATATCTATAGGGTACAATAAACCAGGTATTACTTGGGAAAAAAAGAGGAGAGTACCATAAAATAATGATTGTATCTCCCTTTCCAATTGTTCCTCAAAACTACAATCTGTATGTGAAAGCTAAGAAATAAGCCAAATAAATAAATAATTGAAAATTTCTACAAATTAAAATTAACATGTAATTTTCCCAAAAGAATAAGACATAGTTGAAAAATTATTTGTCTGAGTCAGGAGGTTTAAAATATTGTAGTAGCTATTCTACAGATTTACATGATTAGCATTGGATATATCAGTTCAGTTTGGCGGAACAGCATTTTTTCTAAAATACATGGAATGTACTGAATATTATTTAAGATGAAATCCTAATATGATTTGCAGATATATCAGTAATTTTTAGACAGGATTATCAAAATTCCACTGAAATAATCAGGAAGAGATAAATCTGTGGACTTTTGACTTATCCAAGTTTTTGAGTTGATAGAATAAATATTAAACATCTTGAGTTTTGAACAGAATGTATCAGCTAGCAATAATAAAAATATCATCTTTAATACTTACAAATTTTAAGTTGAAAGATGTATTTTAATGTGAGAAACAAACTGTATTTGGTTACTGCCTATAGTCCAAAAAATCTGGAATGCCCTACTGGAGTCAAACTTAGTAGTGCAGAGTAAATCCACTTGTTCAGGTAATTGACTCGTATTAGTCATGGTGAAGAGGTAGGAGAAGTAGTAAATTTCCTCCAATAAGTTCCTTTAGAAGACAATTTGCACTCAATTGAGAAAATTAGATGAATGTCTATTGTTGGCCAATCTAATTTAGTAGCTTGCTCAGTGACAGGAATAAATGGCAGAATAAAGGCCAATAGTGTTTCCCTACCTCATGTAAAGAAAAGACATGAGGAGGAAGCAGTCCTTTCAATTTAACATAAAGACTGTATTAATTCAACTTACTCTATCAAACGTTAATGAGTGTATCATTGCAAGACAATATATAAAAGACTGATGTAAAAATATTCAAAATATCAAATAATTGTGCTTTTTGGAAGTTTGGGAAAATAATTGTTAAATAATTCAAAAATAGGAATTTAAAAGATTAAAACATGTAGAGAAAATATGTTAAAGAAGAAAATGTGGATATGATGGGGGTGGAAATGCGGGAATAAAGAATATGTTAATTTATGGCTTTAGGCCCTACTTTATAGCTGTGATAATTTTTATAGTAATACTAAGAAAATCAAATAAAATGTTTTTCTCCTTTGGCCAAGATGGGGAATAGTTATATGGTTTGTATTTCTGCCTAAAGTAACTAAATTTTTTGGAAAAAAATATATTATATACTTTATTATATATCTATAATATCTATAATATATAATATAATATATATCTGTAATACATATTACATTAATGAACATCATACAATGAAAAACTATGATTCCTAAGAAATGGTAAGAAAATGAAGTGAGCTTTACCATTGCCCAAACTCACTGCACAGAGACAGTATTCAAGATATGGGATAAGGAATGATGAAATAGGCAGAGCCTAAAAGAACCTTTGAATTAAGGGGATAGAATTTAATGTCCAAGGGGGAAAAAATGATTAGCATTTGCAGTCAAAGTACCCAAGTGAGACAACTATGGACACTTCTAGAAGGTTTTCCTGTGTCTGGAACAGGGAAGGCATGTGGAAAAACTGCCTAATATCAGGTAAAAAATTACAAAAAAGAATTAGAGAGAATAATCCCCAAAGATATAGAAACTGTGTTATATTTTAGACCAATGCACAAAACCTCATCATTGACAGGGCTTTGAGTGCAGTACTAAAAGTGTTTTGCCTTGGTGAGGGGAGCATAAAATTCAACAAAAATTAAACAATTTCTGGTCCTGTTTATCAAAGATCAAACTGCTTCAAATTTATTTAACCATGTTTCACAAGAAAAGAAAAATATTTATAGGAGGAGAAAAATATCCCATTTCAAACTAAGTAAAATTCACAATGTTTGGCATTCAAAATTTAATGGCATAAACAATCAGATAAAAAAGATCCAAAGTGATGAGATAAAGCAATCAATAAAACCCAATCTAGAAATGACATATATGATACAATTAATAGGCAATGATATTGAAAGAGATGTCATAATTCTATTTCCTTTGTTTGTGAAACTAGTAAAACTATTTAATATATAATTAACAATGTGGATGATAGAAAAAAATGTCCAAATCAAACTGCTAGGGATAAAATTACAATGTCTTACATGAAATATAACCGAATGAAATCAAGAACAGATTAGACATTGCAGAAGACAAGATTGGTAAACCTGAAGACATATGAATAGACATTATCTATAATAAAACAAACAAACAAATGAAAAAGACTAAAAAACTCCACATAAATAAGGAGTTGTGTCATAGTTTAAAATAGTATTACATAGGTGTAGTTGGATCACCAAAGGTAATGGATTAGAAAAAATAAAAGTTAAAATTGAAAAAGTAATGGCTAAGACATTCCTCTCAAAAACTCAGATTAGTGATAAGGAAACCCAGATTCATGTGGTTTTCCTCTCAAAACCCAGATTAGTGATAAGTAAAAGATCAGAGAAATTTCTAAACAGGACGTTCAACAAAATAGTAGACTAATAATCAATTAAATGACCAATGAAAATGTCCAAAGCACTGGATGGATAGAACAGAAATCGATAATTACCGAGAAAGAGAGAGAGAGAGAGTAATTTTATAAACATTCCAAGCCCACAGGCCAAAGAAGTCCAAAGATTCCTATATGCAAAATATATAGAAAAATTACATGTAGGCATATGATAAACTAAGCCTCAAAAGTAGGGATAAAGAGAAAATCTTCAAAACAGGAAGAGGAAAAAGATCGATTTTATACAGAGGAAAAAACCTAATTATGACAGCAGAATTTTTTTTAAGCAAATGGGAACAAGAATGCAAATTCTCTCAACTTCTGATTGGAAACATAAATGTTAAACTAAAATTCTGCATTCAGTAAAAACATCCTATGAAAGTGAAGGTAAGATTAATATACTTCTAGTTTTACAAAAGCTGAAAACAGTTATCAGCTGACTCGCATTTGAAGAAAGAACATAGTTCAGGCAGGAGAGAAGTAATGCCGGAGGGAATATGAAACCATACAAAAGAAAATAGAACAGAAGAAATGGCAGCTGGTAATCACTTAGAAGTTCAGAGGATCCCAGAAATGAATGCAGACTGTGCTAAGACAATCTAACTTTATTAAAAATATATGAAATAACAGAGTAAAAGAAGTTGTGGAAATATATTGATTTAAGTCACTTTGGAAATGAGTGGAATCTGTAAGATTAAAGGCAAAAGGAACTCCACATAAACACTGTACTCTAGTTGATAAAGTTGTTTACTACAGGACTATGGGTTAACAGTTTGCATATTGTTATTCATATATTCTGAAATTGAACAACTATATAAATGAATGGTGAGGGCTAGGAACCAGTTTGTATTTTGGAGTAGAAATTTACAGATAAACTAGCAAAGGAGGCTAGAATAATCCATGTGGCAGTAGATTATAATTGGAAACATTACCATGAACTTAGGTTTAGCTTAACATAGACATAGATGTTAAATATATAAATATTTATAGGTATGTGTCTCCACAGGTTAGTAAACATATGCACATGTCCTTTTCCTGTCAGCTGGGAGGGCCCAGAAACAATTTTCTTCCCAGTAGCAATGAGCAAACCTAGCATCCATATCTTGGGTTCTAGTATCAATTTTTTGCAATGAAAGGAACAAGGGCCCCTAGGAGAAATGGACATTTCTAGGAATCAGGGAGGATATACATGAGACGAACCTGGAGAAGCATATTGTAGTGATCAAGGTCAGTATCTATAGGGATAAATCATGTAGATAGTATATACCTTTGATAGGATGAGATAAAAATGGCACTTTACCTCTGTGGTCTTCCTCTCAAAAACCCAGATTAGTGATAAGGAAACCCAGATTCGTGTGGTTTTCCTCTCAAAACCTAGATTAGTGATAAGAAAAACATCAGAGAAATTTCTAAACAGGACATTCATCAAAATACTTGACTAATAATCAATTAAGTGACCAATGAAAATGTCTAAAGCACTAGATGGATAGAACAGAAATCGATAATAGCCGAGAGAGAGAGAGAGAGAGAGAGAGAGAGAGAGAGAACAATTTTGCAGTTTTTCTGTATGTAAAAATGGGTTCTAAAATAAAGTTTTAAATGTAAAATAATATAATACTATTTATGGTAACAAAAATATTTTGTACTGAGGGATGAAAGTGACAAAAGATGGGCAAATATCTGTGGACAGTAAACTAGAAAACATTGGTAAGAAATATTGAGGTAGATCTAAATAAATGAAGAGATATTCCATCTCCATCTATGTCATGGCTTAATAATGTTAAGATATTAAAATTGCCTAAAGTTAATATATAACTTTAATGTAATTCTATGCAAAATTCAAATAGCAATTTTTTTTTCAGAAATTGACAAGATGAATGCAAAATTCATGGGGAAGTTCAAAGGAGTTAGAATAGACAAACTGATTTTGAAAAATGATAAAGATAGAGAAATTATAATACCTGACTTCTAAACTTATTATTAATTTACTCTAATAAAAAGATTGTGCTACTGGAATAAAGATAGACAAATGTGTTAATATAATAAAAAAGGAGTCTACATCTGACATTGAATTTTAACAAAGACGAAAAAGCAATTCAGTGGTTAAAAATTGTCTTTTCAAAAAATCATGCTGGAATTATTGGATATTCTAATGCACAAAAAGTGAATCAGGGAATCTATATTTATCACCACATATAAAAATTAACTCAAAAAGGTTCATGGAGCTTCACCTAAAAGCTAAAAAATGTAAAAATATCTGAAAAAATTATAGATGAAAAATTATTTGTCATCTTAAATTAGGCAAAAACTTGCAAATACAACATTAAAGCATGATTCTAATAGTACCAAAATATTGACAAACTGAACTTCATAAATATTAACAAATTCTTTCCTTCAAAAGCAGTCAAGAAAAATTTTTAAAAAGTCAAATAATGCATGAAAAATATTTGTAAATCATATAGCTGATGAATGTATTTTCATATGTAAATTACTCTCAAACTCAATGAAAGAAAGCAAACAAACCATTGCCAAAATTGACAAAATAATTGAATAGGCACTTCAATATACAAAAAAGATACGCATATAGGATATAAGCATATGAAGCTCAACATTTTTATTCTTTAGGTAAACGCAAATTCGAACCATAATGAGACAACACTACACACTTATGAGAATAGCTACAATCCTAAAAAGCCTTTTTATATCAAATGTAGGTGGGTATATAAAATGGTACAATCACTTTAGAAATCAGTTTGGCATTTTCTTAAAAACTGGAACACAACTCAAAAATATAATTTAGTCATTTCGCTTCTAAGCATTTACCCAAAGCAAATTATATGTCCTTGCTAAGATGTGTACACAAATGTTCATATCAGCTTTATTTGGAATAGCATTAAAAAAAAACAACCAAATATCCATGAACAGATGAATGCATCAAAATTGTATATGTCCATAAATGAATCAGTACTCTGCATTTTAAAAAAGGAATTGTTGTTGCACTCAACAAGAGAGACGGATGTCAAGATATTTATGTTGAGTAGAAGAGGTAAGACAAAAATAATGCCCATGAGATTCCACTTATATAAAATCCTAGAAATGCAAACTAATATTTAGTGAAAGAGAAAATCAGTGGTTTCCTGAGGACTTAGGGGATCAAGTGTAGAGGAGCAAAAAGAAAAAAAAAAAGCTCATCATATTGATAATAATTATGGTTTCAAGGTTATATATATATATGGAAAGTTATGAAATGGTACACTTTAATAATGGGCCATTTAGGTATATTCATTATACCTCAATAAAACTGTTAAAATGAAATGACATTGTGAATTTGTTACACGTAAAATAACTGACTAGCTCTACATATTTTAAGAACCACTGTGAATTCACTTCATCATAATAAACTACTTACATTTATAATATGCTTTGCAGTTTAATAATCACTGTCAGTAAAATTATTTTGTTAATGCCAACAAAATCCCTACAAGTTTGATATTATCTTGATTTTATGTTGGAAAATCTGGCTTAGAGAGTTTCAATTATTTATTTGAGTTTATAGCAGCTAAGAATGTGCAGTAATCCCCTACCTCTGGCTGTCAGGCAAGCACCCTGTTTACTGGATCATACTTGCCTTACTCTTTACTGTAATGTCTTATCTGAAGTTCACTGTGTGCAAATTCTCTTTGAATGTTTATGGCATTCTCTATGTTAGTTGGTTTATATCATTGACCATATCATATTTCATTTTTATACACTTCATTTTTATCCAAATCTCTGAGCACATGCCTTTTACAAAAGGAATGCATAATGAATGCTGTGGTTGAATTAGATTTATACATTTATTTTTGTAAATCTTCTGCAATCTCTGCAAACTACTGTGTGTCACAAGGCCTTCACTTAAAAAATAAGCATGGAATTTCAAATCCATTAGACCTAATGGTCTCGAATATAAAGGAGTTCAAAGGAATGAATAAGCAAGTTCTCCTCTCTCAGTTTTCCCTGCCCCATGTGTTTAATCAGTTTACAAAACATATAATCACTGGGAATAAATACATACAGCGTCTTCCCAATGTTTATCTGTTATCTATTTTTTAAATTATTATAAAGTTCCTCCATCTGTATTTTATCAGGGACTGTATCTCTATACAATGACTTATAAAATATTTTAATGTGCTTACAAACATTGTGATGATCTATAAATAAGGGAAGTCTAGGACATTTTTAGTACTTATCTTGAGTGTATCTCATGCAGACAAAAATTAATCCAATGTCACTAATTAGAGATGTTGAGGTTTTGTGGACATCCTACCAGATTTAAGACATGTAGAAACAGAATTCTTTCACAGAGTCCTTTTACAGTTTGTTATTAAAAACTAAACCAGTAATTATTAGTTTATAATGTTTATAATGTGCTATAATATTCTTTTTTAGTGTAAAAAGATCTGGGATCCTCAGACCCATATATGAAATTATTGGACATTTAGTAGATCTAATAGTTTTTAAAATATCTAGGGGAGGTCTTAAAAATTGGAGGAAGGACTTATAAATGGAGGAATCCCTTCAATGAAGTATAGTAGAACAGTTCCTAGATGAATATATTAAAAGCAAATAATAGAAAAAAGATAATATTCCAATATTTATCATTTTTAGTAACTTGCATTTTAGAATAATGTAAAAATGTAAAAGTATGGAGAATTGTAGCCACTGCCTATATATAAATAGAATCGTTTTTACAGTTATAATATTAGGTGGCTCCTTTTTGAATCAATATGGTAATTTATGAACATATGCACACACAGATATGTGATCAATATATTATACATACGTATAGAGTTTATATATTGAATATATTATAAATGCATGTAATCAAGTATAATTAAACTGATATATACTTTACAATTTTATGGAGAAATAATAGACTGAATATTTACTACATCTAGTGATGTAGAAAGAAACATTTAAAATGGCTTACAAAAGAAGGAAAGTAGAAGAAAGTCTATGAAGATTATGTGCCACCATATGTCAATAGAGAGACAGGGTTCCTATAACCCAAGGATAAAGAATGAAAACAAACCTATTCTGTGATGTATTACAGTGATAAAATTGATATACTGCAGTCTTTGTGAAAGCTTTAGGCTTTTTCTTCAATTAAAAGCATATTTGAGCATACACCATAATTCACCATATGGATGAATCTGAATTCTGTGAATGGAGACAGATTTGCTATATAATATATTTCTGTATTTTTTTAAACTTCATATTCTTTTGTGAGGCACTTTTTGAAGGAATGAGTTTGTTAGGAAATTTATTTGAATAATAAAGGACTAAAGAGTATCAAGTTTAAACTTTTGATGGGGCTGAACTTTGTTAGCATTCTTATGATTAAATTTAATGGCATAAGAAGTAGCTGAATTGGCATTCAAGGCTTAAATAAAGTGAAAAAAATTTACAGATTTATGGCTGATAACAGATTTATTTCACTTCTCATTAATTTTGTGAAAAATACAGACTTTATGCTTCTCTATCATAAGCAATATTAGAAGTGATATTAATTATGTTTTACTTGAAATAAAAATGTCAGTTTTAAAATTTGCTATTATGACTAATTATGGCATTTTTGAATCACAACCCAAGACCCAAAAAACAGAAGTATAAAAGTATAATCTAAGCAAAATTGTGGTGATCTCTAGAAGTAAATAAATAGGAAATTACTGTCTAAAACATGTCAGAAATGTTGGCTAATTGACACTGGGATTTAAAAGCTTTGCTCTAAATAACATGGCTAAATATTGAAGGCTAACTCTAGCCCCAGGGATATGTTTTTTAATAGTCTTCTTGTATTAATTGTATCCAAAAGGTTATATAACCATTTAGTACAGTTTGATTTAATTATAAGCTAATTTGATAAGGGTATGAGTCCATCAGGAAGACTATTCAAAGCATAAGCTATCTTTACATGGCAAGTAGTTAGCAGAGTTTATAAAATGTTTACAGTTATGCCCAGATTTGACTGACTCACAATAAAGTTAATTACATCTTATCTTTGTGAAACTGATGTTACTTGTTTTATTTTCGACACTTGAATTTTAAAGCATCTCATTTTTGGGAGGGGGTATCATACAACTGGAAGCCTTACAATGATAAGCTAAGTAGAAATATAGCTAAAAAGCACTTTTGAAGCTGTTTCAGGCTACCGATAGCTGTCATCATTTAAAAGTAATTGCAATATAAAATTAATTATGTTGTCATAGATGAACAGTGACTCCTCTCCCTTCAAAAGGCAGAAAAGAAAGAGAAATGTAGTTCATTTCTAAATGCGGCACCTCTTCAAACTAGAGGTGGAGCTCAAAATGAGCTTCAGGTTTTATAAGATTGAGAAACTGATTTCATTATATATTTTCCATCATGTGACAATATTCACTTTCCAATTTTTGCCATCTGTCTCCTCTTATAATTACTGCTTAAAAAAAGAAAAGAGTTGGGGTGGGCACAGAGTCATTCATCATGTGGCAGTTTACACTGGTGTCTATTGTGGGCTACCATCATAATACAATAACCTATGCAAATAATAATAATAATATGTAGTGTTTTAATGCAGATAAAAGAAAATAAAACAAGAATAGTGTGTTCACAAAGTGGTTAAAGAGCATTTTAATTACAACCCCTACCATCAGCTTCCAGTTGTGTTTGTGAATAACTTTATAGCCTTAGACGCTTTTGATTAAAATCACTTTATTCTATGATACAAATAGAAAAGTCAAGGTGGAATTCTACTAAAATTGTTGCAAAAAATTTAAAAGGAGGGACTCCTCCCTAACTCATTTCATTAGGCCACCATCATGCTGATACCAAAACCTGGCAGAAATACAACAACAAAAACACAAACTTCAGGCCAATGAACATCAACGCAAAAATTCTCAATAAAATACTGCCCAACTGAATCCAGCAGCATATCAAAATCTTAACCACCACGATCAAGTCGGTTTCATTTCTGGGATGTAAGTTGGTTCAACATATGCAAATCAATAAATGTAATTCATCACATAAACAGAAGTAAAGACAAAAACCACATGATTATCTCAATAGACAAAGAAATGGCCTTCAGTAAAATCCAACATCCCTTCATGTTAAAAATTCTCAATGAACTAAGTATCAAGGAACATACCTTAAAATAATAACAGCCATATATGACAAACACAGCCAATATCAGACTGAATGGGCAAAATTTGGAAGCATTCGCCTTGCAAACCAGCACAAGACAAGTATAACTTCTCTCACCAATCCTCTTCAACATAGTATCAGAAGTTTTGGACAGGGCAATCAGGCAAGAGAAAGAAATAAAGGGTATTCAAATAGGAAGAAAGGAAGTCAAATTATCTTTGTTCGCAGATGACATGATCCTGTATCTAGAAAACCCCATTGTCTCAGCCCCAAAGCTTCTTAAGCTGATAAGCAACTTCAGCAAATTCTCAAGCTACAAAATCAATGTGCAAGAATCACTAGCATTCCTATACCCCAACAACAGGCATGCAGAGAGCCAAATCATGACAACTCCCATTCATAATTGCTACAAAGAGAATAAAATACCTAGGAATACAGCTAACAAGGGAAGTGAAAAACCTTTTCAAGGAGAACTATAAACCACCACTCAAGGAAATCCGAGAGGACACAAAGAAATAGAAACATTCCATGCTCATGGATAGGAAGAATTGATATCATGAAGATGGCCATTCTGTCCAAGGTAATTTATAGATTCAATGCTATTCCCATTAAACTACCATTGACATTCTTCAAAATTAAAAGAAAACAACTATTTTAAAATCCATATGGAACCAAAAAAGAGCTTATATAGCCAAGACAATCCTAAGCAAAAAGAACAAACCTGGAGGTGTTATGCTACCTGACTTCAAAATATACTAGAAGGCTACAGTAACCAAAACAGCATGGTATAGGAACAAAAACAGCTAATGGATGCTAGGCTTAATACTTAAGTGATGGGTTGAACTGTGCAGCAAACTATCATGGCACATGTTTACCTCTGTAACAAACCTGCACATCCTACATATGTACCCTGGAACTTAATATAAATTCAATAGAAATAAAAAGAAAATCAAGTTGGAAGAAAATTTGCTGATGTTTTTCAAAAGGATGCTTTAAAATATAAACTCCTTTAGTATGGTGATACCTCTCTAATGTGCTTTACTTCCAGACCTTCAAGTTTTTAAAGGTTGCTGTAACACAAGTAAATCAACATATATTAGACTCTTTTACAGATGAAACATTTGTACAACATGTTTAATAATGTAGATACTTTTAACTTTTTCATAATAATGTTGATGGCTAAAACTATGTTGAGAAATTAGTGGCAAAACATAATTCAGTTTCTGGCTAATAAAATGAAAATTCCCAAACCTCGAAAATGACTACTTGAAAAGTGAAGTTTTCAGTAACATATACTTACTCTTGATATAATCAAAGTTGTTTCCATAATTCAGTTATTTTAAAATATCTTGAAACTTAATTCATTCAAACTTAATATATTTCATTCTCAGCTGAGAGATCTCACTCCTCAGAGGAAATAAAAATTAATAAAAGAAATACCGAAATCAAGCTTTCTCTGATCGATCACACTGAAACTGGAAAATAATAAAAATAGTGCTCTGATTTTTATTATTAGCCTTCCTGTAAATTTTAGAAATCACAATGGCTTATCTTAAAATATGAGTAAAAAACATAACCAAAAGATGAGTGAAGATAATTCCCTTTTATACTGAAGTGAAGCCTAGAAAGGACTTTAATTGCTTTGTAAATGAGTGCAACGTGATTGCATCAGAAACAAAATTTTGTATGAAACATTTATAAAATGTTTTATTTTCAATAAATCAAAATTCAATGTACATTTGGTCTAAGACATTTTAAAGGATTATTCTGTGTCTTTCTTCAACTCTATGACTTGTTTAAAAATATCTCACAAACTGGAACTAAATTCTAAGGGACTCAAAAAATAGAGAACATTACCAAATAATTATGCTTATCTATTAATTTTCATTATTACTTCTTTGATTTTTTACCTGGAATAATTTAGTATTAGGTCTATAAATATTCTGTTCTAATGTATTTTTGAGAGAGTTTACCCAAATTTGGCATTCAAGAGCTGATTATCTACATTTCTTATTTTCAGTTTTTTAAGTCATAGAAAACCTAAAATGAAATATTATTACCATTTTTTATTTGTCTATGAGCTAGCTAAAGTACTTTCAGTTCAAGATAAATAAATGAGGCACTTTCTTTTAATGCATATTATTAGAGATAAGAGAGTACATACTTCTGATTCTGGTGAATCTCATAGGATATGAATTATCCCAAATTTATTTTTAGATACAATCTGATATTCTCAAGTTTCCTGCTTTCCAAATAGCTCAAGATTAGCAGAACAAAAATGCTTTTATATTGGCCCACTTCAAATGTTCAAACCTTCAAAATTGTTCTATGACTGTAGCCCCAGAAATCTGCGTTTTTGTCATCTTGTACACTTATCTATTGACCATGTCACTTTTCCCTCCCACATTTGACAACAAATTATTTTTGCATTGCTCTAAATTACTCCAAAACATGTTCTTTTGAATATTTTATTTTTTGTGTTTGTATGAAGTGTTCTTCCATTTCAGATAGTCACGTGTATTTCTTGCAATGCAGTTTTCAGAAAATACTCCCTGGGGAATTTGATAAGTGCTTACTCCCATTCACTGTGTGGTCCTATGCTGCAGGTCAAACATAATTAAAAGTATTGTAGTCATCTGAATACTAGACTCTATTGTAACAAATCAGTGTTAAAATGCCAGAAAAAAATGAGCCAAGCTGACACCACTAGACAGAAACCATTAGTAAGCTTTATTTCTGCCTTAGCAAGACCCTTTCAATTCAGAACTCCCAACAGTTCATCACAGTCTGTGGAGAATCACAGACAGATTAGATGGAACCAAAAAATTTGATTTTTTTTTGTTTTATTCTTCTAGCTAATTTATGCACTTGTACTACTGGATAAGCTCAGTATCCTGTGTCCTCAGTATCTTTATGGCACATATAATTTTTTGCTTTGCAATATCCTACTTCTTTTACTTTCACGGATTAATTTCATCGTATGGCATTTTACTCGTGTAGTACTTAGGCTTACCTAATCATTCAGCATATTTTCAGTTCAGACTATATGTGAGGTGTAGTACAAAATTCTAAGAATATAAAACCACAAAAGCATAATCCTATATGGCAAGAAGCTCACAATCTAATGGGACAGACAGAGAAGTAAATAGATAAGAGTACAATTCAATACTCAAATAACTAATTAAAAACATGCAATATACTTGCTTTTTATCTTTCCTCTCTCTAATGCTTAATATAATTTTGACTTCTTAAACCTTTCCTCATGAGTATGGACATCTTCTAGCTCAAAAAATGAAGTAAAAATCAGACAGGAACATCAACATACAGATTTTCATGGAATAATGAGCTCCAAGTGAGATCTCCATCAACCCATGATTTCTAAAATCTAAAATAACATCAGCCCGTATTGTTTACTTATGTCCTCAACAGTGCTTTATGAATAGAGCTTCTGACTAAGGGCAGATGTTCTCAAGGTATAGTTCAATTCTGTTCATTCACCCTTGGGCCATATTCTAACCTTCACTTCTTCCTCCACTTATAATCCTACTGAAAATAATAAGCTTCATTGAAAGGAATGTCAGCATTGTAATCAGATGAGCCTGGGTTTTAGTCTTTCCTTAAGAACTTGGTTGAGGAAAATTATTTAAAAGTCCTTGAGAGCTTGTGTGATCTTTTTTTTTTTTTTTTTTTTTTTGAGATGGAGTCTCGCTCTGTCGCCCAGGCTGGAATGCAGTGGACTGATCTTGGCTCACTGCAAGCTCTGCCTCCCGTGTTCACACCATTCTCCTGCCTCAGCCTCCTCAGTAGCTGGGACTACAGGCGCCCACCACCACCCCCAGCTAATTTTTTTGTATTTTTAGTAGAGACAGGGTTTCACCGTGTTAGCCAGGATGGTCTCAATCTCCCAACCTCGTGATCAGCCCATCTTGGCCTCCCAAAGTGCTGGGATTACAGGCGTTAGCCACCGCACCCGGCCTTGTGTGATCTTTTAGGTTAGAACAGTAGTTCTCAACCAGGGGCAATTTGACATGTCAGAGATATTTGGTAATATCTACAGATATTTTTTATTATCACAACTGATGAATTGCTATCAGTAGAGGATACGTATGCTGTTAAACATTCTATACAAACATGATAGCCTCCA
This sequence comes from Homo sapiens, assembly GCF_000001405.40. Taxonomy (NCBI): domain Eukaryota; kingdom Metazoa; phylum Chordata; class Mammalia; order Primates; family Hominidae; genus Homo; species Homo sapiens. The sequence continues at coordinate 114,107,726 of NC_000008.11, forward strand.
ATAAAGAATTTTCTGACTCCAAATGTCAATAGGGCCTCTGCTGAGAAAGTATCTATATTAGTTTTCCAAAGCTGCTGCAACAAAATGCCATAGACTGGGTGGATTAAATAACAGAAATTTATATTTGCATAGTTCTGGAGGCTGGAATTTATATATAATAATAAAATATAAAATTAGGTGTATATTTATTATTAAACATTTAACATTAATACTTAAATTATTAAGTATAATTATTCAATATGTTAGTATATACTAAAAAGGCTCTCTCACCTCACATACATTTTTTTCTGCTCAATTTTGATAATATATTCAGAATCTGACCACAGATTTTCACTTCCATTGTCTTGATACTCATCTTTGCCACTATATTGGTTAGCTATTGTTAGTAAACCACCTGCCACAAAACCTCAGCAACATATGACAATAAACATTTATTCTTTTTTTTTTTTTTTGAGACGGAGTTTTGCTCTATCACCCGGGCCGGAGTGCAGTGGCACAACCTCAGCTCACTGCAAGCTCCACCTCCCGGGTTCATGACATTCTCCTGCTTCAGCCTCCCAAGTAGCTGGGACTACAGGTGCCCGCCACCACACCTGGCTAATTTTTTTTTGTATTGTTTTTTATTAGAGACAGAGCTTCACCGTGTTAGCCAGGATGGTCTCGATCTCCTGACCTCATGATCCACCCGCCTCGGCCTCCCAAAGTGCTGGGATTACAGGCGTGAGCCACTGCGCCTGGACTATTCTTATAAATATGCTGTTTAGTTGGTGTGATTCTGCTCCAACATGTGGTGACTTGGCATTGATGCTCAGGTAGGGCTCAGCTCAGTGGTTCTACATCATGTGTCCCTCATCCTTCTCCTGGGATCTTTGTGCTAACGGATGCATGCTATATTAATGGAGATTGTGGAAGCATAAAAGAACAAAGAGGATACCATAAGGCTTAGAATCAGAACTAACTGAGCCCCACTTCGAGAAGAGATAACACATACCTTGAGGGGAAGGAAGATTTTTGGCCAAACATTTAATCTATCCAAGCAGTGGGAGGAGAGTCATGACCTTGAAATTATTAAACCTGGGCAGGAGTACAGTGGCTTAATCTCAGCTCACTGCAACCTCCGTTTCCCGGGTTCAAGCGATTCTCATGTCTGAGCCTCCCAAGTAGCTGAGATTGGAATTACAGGTGTGTGCCACCACATCTGGCTAATTTTTGTATTTTTAGTGGAGATGGGGTTTTGCCATGTTGGCCAGGCTGGTCTCAAACTCCTGACCTCAGGTGATCCACCTCGGATCACCTCGGCCTCTCAAAGTGCTGGAATTATGAGTGTCAGCCACTGCGCCTGGCCTGTATAGAAGAGTTCTTATCCAACTTTGAAATAATTAATATAACTGGCAGGATTGGGTAAATCTATTTGGACATCCTTTGGCCACAGACTCAACCCAATGTTTAGCAAAGGGCAGGGTCAGTCACAAAGCCCCAAATTAAAATATGTTGCCTAGGGAAAGGAACATTTCTTGTAGTACAAAGTGAAAAGACGCTTGGTCTTCCTTAGTAACCTTCTGAGTATATGAAAATGAGATGAGCATAATTCAAATGTAAAAATATACTGATGAAAACGTTAACAGTTTCCTATTTTAAAATTCTTATGGAAACAAAAAAGAGCTCAAATATCCAAGACAATCCTAAGTAAAAATAACAAAGCTGGAGGCATTGCACTACCTGAGTTCAAAATACACTACAGGGCTACAGTAACAAAACAGTATGGTACTGGTACAAAAACAGACACACAGCCCATGGAACCGAATAGAGAACCCACAAATAAAACCATACGACTACAACTATCTGATCTTCAGCAAAACTGACAAAAACAGGCATGAGGAAAAGATTCCCTATTCAATAAATGGTGCTGGGTTAACTTGCTAGCCATATGCAGGAGATTAAAACTGGACTCCCTCCTTACACCATGTACAAAAATTAACTCAAGATGGATTAAAGACTTCAATGTAAAACCTAAAACTATAAAAACCCTGGGTTTCATGATGAAGATACCAAAAGTGATTGAAACAAAAACAAAAATTGACAAATGGGATCCAATTAAACTAAGGAGCTTCTGTGCAGCAGAAGAAACTATTAACAGAGTAAACAGACAACCTACACAGTGTACAAAAATACTTGCAAACTATAAGTCCAAAAAGGTCTAATATCCAGCATCTATAAGGAACTTAAACAAATTTACAATTAGAAAAAGAAAAAAACCGTACAAAACTGGGCAAAGAACAAGAACAGAAGCTTTTCTAAAGAGGACTTGTGTGTGGCCAACAAGCATATGAAAACACGTTCAGCATCCCTGATTATTCGAGAAGTGCAAATTAAAGCCACAATGAGATATCATCTCACGCCAGTCAGAATGGCTGTTAGTAAAAATCAAAAAACAAATGCTGGCCAGGTTGTGGAGAAAAAGGAATGATTATACACTGTTGATTGGAGGGTAAATCAGTTCAACAATTGTATAAGACAGCGAGACCATTCCTCAAAGACCTAAAGACAGAAACACTGTTCAACCCAGCAATCCCATTACTGGGTATATACTGAAAGGGATACAAATTATTCTGTTGTAAAGACACATGCACACATATATTCATTACAACACTATCCACAACAGCAAAGACATGGAAACAACCTAAATGCCTATCAATGACAGACTGGATAAATGAAATATAGTACATATACACTACAGAACACTATGAAGCCCAAAACAGAACAAGATCATGTCCTTTGTAAAGACATGGATGAAGCTGGAGGCCATTGTCTTTAGCAAACTAACACAGGAACAGAAAATCAAAAAACACATGTTCTCACTTATAAGTGAGAACTAAATGATGAAAACACATGTATATATAGAGGGAACAACACACACTGGGGCCTATCAGAGGGCAGAGGGTGGGAGGAAGGAGAGGATCAGGAAAAATAACGAATAGGTCCTAAGCTTAATACCTCAGTGATGAAGTAATCTGTACAATAAACACCTATGACACAAGTTTACCTGTGTAACAAATCTGTGTATGTACCCTTGTTCTTATAATAAAAGTGAAAATAAATCATAACATAATAAATATTATTAAAGAAAATGTTAACAATTTCCTTTGTTATGTTCTCCCAACAATTCTGTAAAAAAGTTTATAATACACACACATATATATGTATATTTATAATAATATAATTTCAATCATACATATATTAGTGTATGATTTCTTTCATTTAATTTCTATATTAGAAAATAATGTAATCAACTATAAATAAAAATTTTGGTTTAACATATTTTTAAAAATATATTATTATTTTCTTCTGTATTAAAATAATGCCTGGCATATTTACCTTTAAATTATTGACATTTATTTTAAGTACTTACCAAACCTCAAGTGAAAAATAAAATAATATGCTTCCAGTGGTTCAAACTAGTTCTGGGAATATTTTCTAGAGATTTAAATGGCAACCTTCTGAAAGAAGAAAAGGATTGTTATATTATTGTTTCAGATTCAAATGGCTTGTATGCCATTTTAGAGAGCACACTGCTGACAGTCTTAATTTTCAACTCATTATCAGTTTTACACAGCCCAGCGTGTCAGAGTCTAGTGACTATTTTATAAAGATGTGACTCTATTCTTAAGAAGAAATGATAATTATAAATTCTTACAATGTGAAGAGCCCCATAATAACTTTATCCCCCATGTAACATTAATAGAGTTTGTTTAATAAATCAGGTTGATTGCCCATAATAAATCTACAATCCTGGGTTGCATTACAGTTGCAGTCATATCTGCATGATGCAGTTTTACCCCTTGATGGCTGCCAGTTGCAAAGACATAAATAAAGATTAGGTAATGATGAAGACTGAAGCGTATGCCAGTGCTTTACAATTGTAATTTTATTGCCTTTAAATCAGCACACTTTGTCATGGAAATTTTGTGGCAAGGAAAACTCAATTGTTTCCAAAATATAAAACTTATATTTATAATTATAGCTGCTTTTAGAGAGATAGTTTGCATTAAAAAGGTACAATATTACTCAGTTATAGTTATTATGAAAATGATTAGAAAACACGCATTTTACTGAGTGTGGCATGGCTCCAGAAGCCCCTGAAGTACATCATGTTTTCTCTACACAAGCAGTGAGGTATCCCAAAGAGGGTTTCAGTAAAGATGGTCTGAATCCATCTTAAGTCAGATTTGAGTTAGAATAGCTTATTAGGCATTTATCTGTTATGTTTGCTCTGGAGAAAATACCACATCCCGTTGCAACTCTCTCCTTCTCCCTTGGGCCTAGAAATGCTTAGCATTGTCAGAATGTATAGTTACCAAAGGCCTCTCAACATTCCAAATGCATTTTTCTTCCTGTCTTTACTGAAATAGATGAGAGGCTGGAAAATGCAGAGACATCCTACTTTGTTCTACTCTAAATAAAATGACAAACACACAACACATATGCACACACACAGTAAGGCAGAAAAAGATCCTTCTTTTATATCTACTACATTTTCATGAAAATGAGGCTAACCAAGAAACATTTGACATGGATGATGTTACAAACACACTATGCTTCATACCCTCAGCCCCATTATTTTATAATTCGTATAGTATTTATCTAGCACCAATTCAGTAACAGGTACATTAATCTGATTGAGCCCCTATCACTCTCAAAGTTGGTTCCTTTTAGATACTTGTTAGAGAAACAGGAGGTGATGCTGACATTTACAGTTCCTGTCTCATGACATTGCAATGCACAGACAACACTGACTGTGAAATCGAAAAAGTCAGTATTAGTAGTGCTTGAGGAATTTTCAGTCCATCCACAGTGTAATACTCAAGAGCACATCAAAATATATTCCATAAAGTCATTCTTCTTCAGGCCTGATTTTGATATTGAAATATTAGCATTCATTTATACTTGCTTTCTGGCTTTATTTCTGCTTTCTGATACCTAAAAGAATCTTAGGTTCACTTGGCTATGGCAGCCTGTCTAGGGAACCCCCCTGTTAGATGAGTTATACAATGGAAGAGATTTCATGAGAGGAAAGGAGGAGGGAGAATAATGGAAGAATAACAGAGATCCTTCAGTATCATCTGTGTGCCAGGCACTTTGTTAACTTACTTTAAAAGCATCATCTCGGGCCAGGTGTGGTGGCTCATGCCTGTAATCCCAGCACTTTGGGAGGCAGAGGCGGGTGGATCACCTTAGGTCAGGAATTCGAGACGAGCCCTGACCAACATAGTGAAACCCTGTCCCTACTAAAAATACAAACAATTAGCCAGGCGTGGTGGCGCATGCCTGTAATCCTAGCTACTTGGGGGGCTGAGGCAGGAGAACGGTGGAAGCTGGGAGGTGGAAGTTGCAGTGAGCCGAGATGGCGCCATTGCACTCCAGCCTGGGCAACAAGAGTGAAACTCCGTCTCAAAACAAAACAAAACAAAACAGGATCATGTCATTTCATAATCATTTCAAACCTATAACAAAAATGTATCCTATTTTCATAAAGAAACCAAGAGAGTTCAATTAACTTATTTCAAGTCATACATGTTGTAAAAGTTAAATCTAAGTCAAATAAATTAGGTCAGATTCTAAAAACAAGTCTCTTAGGAAAAGGATAAGTACGAATTTTGATTGCCTTGAGAGTCAGGGGAAACTTCACGGATATGGTTTGGCTGGGTCCCCACCCACAATCTCTACTTGAATTGTAATCGCCATAATCCCCACGTGTCAAGGGAGAGACCAAGGGAAGGTAATTAACTCATGGGGGCAGTTTCACCCATGCTCTTCTCGTGATAGTGAGTGAGTCTCATGAGATCTGATGGTTTTATAAGGGACCTTCCCACTCCGCTCTGCTACTCTTCCCCCTGCCACCTTGTGAAGAAGGTACCTTGCTTCCTTCCGCCATGATTTTACGTTTCCTGAGGCCCCCCCCACCACGCTGTGAGTCAATTAAACCTCCTTCCTTTATAAATTACCCTGTCCCGTGGAGTTCTTATAGCAGCATGAGAATGGACTAATACATTCCCCCAAAGATATTCGCCCCACTCCCCCACACAAAAGGAAAGAGAGCTCTGCTTTCTGGTCTTAGCCTGAAGTTCCACAGGCAGAACCTTTATAACTGATAAAAGCCAAAAGGAGTAACAGAAATAAGAACTAATATTTGATTTTAAGGCAGATCTGTAGAATTAATGCATTTTGAGTTTTAAAAATATTCATTACATTTAATAGATTAACAAGTAAATTATATATTATAGACGTAGCTTGAAACTATTGTGGATATGTTCCACTCCCTAAGGAGCTAAGAGTCTAATTTGTTCCAAATAATATAAAACACTCCATCGTTAACAATACAGACCAGATATCCAACCATATGACATTTTTATTACTTTTCTACTGTTGCTGTAACAAACTATTATGAATGTAGTGAATTAAAATAACACAAATTTATTGTTACTGTTACGTATCCTGGAAGTCCAAAATCTCTCACTCGCCTTCCGCCATGATTTTAAGTTTCCTGAGGCCTTAAAACCCCAGGGGAAATAAAAACCATTTTGACGGCCGGGTGCAGTGGCTCAAGCCTGTAATCCCAGCACTTTGGGAGGCCGAGGCCGGCGGATCACCTGAGGTCAGGAGTTCAAGACCAGCCGAAACCCCGTCTCTACTAAAATTACAAAAATTAGCCGGGCATGGTGGCGGGTGCCTGTAATCGCAGGTAGTCTTGATGACCAAAGTCATTTTTTTCCATCTTTAGAAAACGACATGGGAACAAACAGAATGAACAGATCTGAAGCTAGTGTGTGTGAATGAACACTCTTTTGCTTTATTCCAGAATGCTGTACATCTATTTTGGATTGTATATTGTGTTTGTGTATTTATGCTTTGATTCATAGTAACTTCTTATGGAATTGATTTGCATTGAACACACAATGTAAATAAAAATAAATAAATAAATAAATAAACAAACCCAGGAAGAAAGAGCCCTTGGTAGGGCTTGTGCTTTATGGAGATTCCAGATCTATTTCTTTGACTTTTTAAGAATCTAGAAGATGCTGCATTGGCTGACTCATGGTCTGGCCTTCCAGTTTCAAAGAATATCACTTCAGCCTCTGCTTCCTTCGACCTATGTCCTTGCTCTCTAGCGTTGACCCTTTTTGCCTTTCTCTTATAAGAACATTTGTGATAACATTAAGTCCATCTGGATAATCCAGGGTAGTTTCACCGCATCAAGATCTTGAGCTTTATCACATCCCCAAGCCCCTTTTGTCATGTAAGGAAACATATTTATAGGATCTGAAGATTAAGACAAGAACACATTTGGGGCCCATTATTTTGTCTATCATGATTTCCAATGCTACATAAATTAGGAGAGAAAAATCAGAAAATTCAAATAATGTGCACTCCTATAACTTCACATAATCCTACAATTTTCAATGTATGTCTTATTCCTCCATGCATAAAAGCCCTTTACATACACTCTGCAGCTTTCTGCATTTTAGCCAAGTTTGTTTCAGTTCTTCAAATACGCTTAAAGATCAAAAAATGATATTTCCTGCCTCAAAGGTTTTGAAATAGCAATTCCTGGAGCTTAAAATATTCTTAATCTTATCCAGTACTTCCTTTGTGTAACACATATCAAAAATTTAATTATAATTTTATTTGCATAATTAGTTCAACATTGAGCTATACAATTGAAGCATAAACTCTGTGAGTGCAGAGATCCTGTATATGTTGTATTAGAAAGTAAGAGCATATTTGTTCAATAAATGAAGAACTCAATCAATAAAATAATCAATAAAAATAAAACTCTTCCTCATTTTGTTATGACAGAAATGCACTCAACTTTTTAAGAGATTATTTAAAATATATTTTTCTTTTTCTACTCTTAAAAGGCAGTCTCTTTTTTTTAAGAGGAGACACTGTAGAGGTTATAATAATAAAATGCTGTGGCACGCTCAGCATACATGAATGTTCTGCATGTCCCTAAGCAAAGACCTTCATATTGTCTCCATAAAGCCTCAGAAGGTGGTATTCATTACCTTGGTGGATTTGCCAGGCCCTGGATCTTGCCTTCTGTTTTAGAAATTTGATTTTGTCGGCACAAGAGAAAAAAATTCATCTCTTAGGAGTGGATTTACATTAAATAAGCATACAAGCCTGATGCCACTATATTAATTTACAATGAGATATATAAGTGTTGCAGGCAGTGGAATATTTAATTCCACATAAACAGTCCATTTACTCCTTCAAAATAATCCAATATGGAAGTGAGATAATCCAAATTTTGCTCGGTTAGCATAGATTTAAGATAACAACAATTATTTAGTATTAATGAAATTGTTATGAAAGAAAAAAATATATATACACCATTTCAAAGATTCTTTAGAAAAAGTTTTGGATCTCACATGATTACAGATCTACTGAGTCAGAATACACTCTTGTTGGAGCTTGAATGGGCACTGCTAAGATTTGTTTTACAATTTTGCTTTCTCATACTTATTTTACCGAGTGATATTTCTCTATGTGCATTCTTATATATGTTGACAAATTCCTCCACTACTATTTAATTCCTTTTAAGCTTACTGGCTATTTTGTTTCTTTTAGGTTATTTGCATAACCTTACTTTAAATAATGATGGTTTTTGTGTATGTGTCTGTCTGTGTGTTTTTTTTTCTCTCTAAAGTTTATCCTATTTATGTCATCCCTAAATGCTTTAGGAAAGACTCCCTGAAAGTTGCACATAATATCCTTATGACTACTCAATATCTGTGAATTTACTAAAAATAATTTCTAGAGTACTGTAGGGGTTCTCATTCTGAGATGATAATTTATCAAGAGAATCACACAAATTATGTTTTAATTTTTTTAAATTCTATGAAATAGACAAATTTGATAGGTATTTTATGACAACTACTATCATTTTCTAATAACCTGTAGACTTCATATGCAAATCTACTGCTCTAGATGCCATTTACACAATGGAGAACAAGATAAACTTTTTGTTTTAAATGAAGCTTGCATTCCACTGGAAGAAGGCAGAAAATAAAACTATTTTGTATACTCACTTAGCAAAGGATTCTCTAAAGAAGTGATACTTCAGACAAAACAGAAATGATGAGAAGTTAGCATCCATGAACCCTCAGAGCTCAGATAAGAGAACAACAAAAGCCCCAAATATAACAAATCTGGAAATTTTAAGTTGTTGGGAAGATTACTGAGCAAGAGAAATGAGTTTAAGATACAAGATCTAAAAGGTAGGCAGGAAACATATCCCATCTGGCATTGTAGTTCATGGTCATTATTTTGATGTTTACTCTTGCTGTCCTGGAAAATCACTGGAAGCCATCAAAATAAAGAGTGAAATCATCTAATATATATTTTAAAAGATAGTTTTGCCTGCTATCTGGAGAGTAGATTCTGTGGAGGTAAAAGCTATACTAATAAGTCCTGTTTGGAGGTTACGGCCACAGTGCAGATGATGCAAGATGACGGCTAGGTTTATGTGTGTCGTAGTAGAAGTGGTGAGAAGTGGTAAGGTTGGAAATATATTTTGGAGCTAGAATAGATAGGACCATTGGTGAGCTTGCTGTAGAGCCTGAGAGCAAGAGAAGAAACAGTAACGTTTGGCAATAGTATCATTACAGCGTCGTCTTCTTTATGCCCCCAAGATGTGAGTACAGAGACAGGCTGACATCTGAAATACTGAACAATCTAATTTTCTAAAAATCAAACACTATGTGTGTTCACAGGCTCGATGTTTCATCAAGTTGAGATAATCATCGTTTCCAAAAAAAGCTTTGCACTTTGGCATTCCATTTCTTTGTAATGCACTTCACTCTGCCTGGAATGATGTAGATGGTTCACCTCCGCCTCTCAAAACTTTCTTCATTTTTTAAGAATTAAAACAAATGCTAACTCTTAACAAAACTTTTCTGAATCCTATAAAAGGATCTCTTTCTCTTTAGTAGATGCTCAGAAAAAGTAGAATAATTAGAAGTCCACAATTAGTTCAAAAGTAGACCTACCAATTATCATTTAAATTTGCTTTATAGTGTATTTTAATTCATTATTTTAAATGATAAGATGAAATACAAAAATTTTATTCTGTCATACTTTTGCTTTCTTTTTTAAGTCAGTTATAATTGAGTAGCCATCAGAAGAATTTGATCATCAGAGGCAGCCCACATCCAATTAATGAATAGAAGCAGGGGAGGGTACAGTAGGATAAGAATGCTTGGCCGAATTACTTGAATTTGAGAGAACTTTGAAAGACTATCTCAGCTCCAGAACTTTCTGTGGGGTTGGCCAAGTCTTTTTTGCAACTGTACCAGCGTTCAATTTCTCTGTCTGCCCCACCTTGTTTCCCACCCTATTCTCCAGATTTTGTTATCAAGCATTTCCCAATAAGCCTCATGTACATGAACCTATGTTTCAGAATCTTCTCTAGGGTGCATGATTTCAGAATCAAATCTGATAAAAATAATAGCAAAATTATTTAGGCAATATATTTATCACAAAATTAAAACATGCAGTTTCATGAACGTCACATAAAGTTTAGTGAATGTTAAAATAAAACTATTTAAATATCCATTCAGTAAAAATGGCTTTAGATGAGTGTTCTGATCAACTTTTTGTGCTTTTTAAAATATATAACTTTTTTCATATTTTGTCTTATTCTCTTTCACACTAAGTTAGAAAAGTCTAGCATTTATGTGGCATTATAAATGGTAGCAAGGAAACATATAATAATATTGATATTCAGATAAAATAGAGATGAATATTATAAAGTTTGTGTTTAAGTAAACAAACCTTAAAAATTATATACTTTTAGTGAAAAAATCACTAATTCAATTTTGGTTATATTAGCATTTTTCTTTTTGAAATTTGTCCAATAATATGCCATTAATTTTTCTCTGCAATAAATAAAGAGAACTTTCAAATGTTGAAAAATTGTCAACCACTTGAGCCATTTTCTAAAATACCGTGATTTTATGTTAAAATTAAATGAATTTAAAGCTATGAAGTGAAACGGTAAAAATATTTAAGATACTGAATATTTTCAGTTCACTATCTCAAGTGCTAAATTCACTTGAGCAAGACACTTTACAGAAATAGTCTTCAGCCTCCTTTGAATCACAAATAAATTAATTTTTAAAACCCATTTCTATTTTCAAAATTTTGTTTGAGTATATTCTCACTTAGCAGAGGACAAGCAATATCAGTAAATCAGATTCTTAAGTTCTGTGCCCATGAATTTTTTTTCTCATGAACCAAAGAGGATTTGCCATTAGTCTTAATGCTTTAATCATATTCACAATTTTCACTGTATATTTCAAAAATTTGACCACCTTCTCTTCTCTCTAGATAAAGTGGCCTTTGGATTCACTTTCAAGAAAATTCCATTTTATCTCTAGTAAGTCCTTTGTAATGGAGAACCTATAGTAGTACTGTAACCTCCTTCATGAATTAGTCAGCTGAAAGCAACACCACAGTCCTCATCTGCAACTTTTAAGACTATGCTAATCATTATTTAGAGTGATTTCTCTAAAAATAATAATTAATATTAAATGTAATATGTTCAACATATAAATGAAAAATGTATTCCACTGTCTTCTTCTGCTGAAAATTTCAAAACATTTGCAGGCTATTTTCCATACTCCAAGGAAACCAGTGATGTGTGGCGTATAGAACACATTTTAAAATGATGCAGATTTAATGATATTAAAACAAACTTCAGTAGGATTATTTTAATTAAAGTGATATTAATATTCTGTGAGAAATTTGATAATTAAGAGTATTATTATAAAATGAAAAATCCACTGTAGTATACACACTGTATAGTATAGTACACACTATAAGATGACAATTATACTTTACATCTATAATCATTAAAATGTTAGTAGTGCAAGAAATGACAGATAAATGGAACAGAAATAAAGAAGTTATAATACCCAAAAGAGGCAGAAAGTGGTGAATAGGTTATTAATAGCAGAAGAAATGCAAATACTAATAACTATGAAAAATTGTTATCAGCATTAATGTTATATTCAAATAAATATCATATCTGTCTTGTAAAATTGACAAAGCTGCTCCTAATACTTCATGCCTGTAAGAATTATACAAGCAAAATGATATATTATTTTAAAAAATTTGAAGCTTAGTCTTTTTAGAAACATTAACTTAGAAGTATTTTAAAACGTTAAAAGTATTTATTATGGTTCACTAACAATTTTATCTAGGAATTCAACCAAAGACACTATCAGACATGGAAAGAAAGATTCATGAGCAAGTACTGATTTAATAATAAGATGGATTGAATCAAGTACAATGTGACAATGTGATAAAATATTCAACCATTATAAATTGTATAGGAATAAGTTACAATGACATGAAAGAAAGTTGCAAAACACAGTTAAGAAGAAAACTAAGACATAATACTATGCATACTTATATGCAATATGATTGAAATTGATAGATGCATATTTGTGGGTTTTGTGTGTATGCATCTGTGTGTATATATAGTTGCTATATTTTCTCCTTACATTATTACATAATATTTCACAATGAATATGTTTTACATTTATTATATATAAAGGTAACACTGCAAGCTCTGCTTTTTTAAGAGAAAGACTTGCTCGTTCCAGAACATACTGCAGATTAGAAGAAAATAAATGAAGCTGAAGAGTGTATGTTTTAGGAATAAACTAGGAATAGAAGAAGAAAACATTCCAAGAAACAGATAAACCTAAAGCAATGATAGTTACAGAAATAAAGTAACAAAAGTGATTATAATTTTTGCTTATTCTTCATTTTTTCTAAAGGCCTATGTATAACAAAGAAATTCAAAAACATTGTAATTTAGGGGTTGTTTATTGTATACAGAAATTCAAGTTACCTAAGTGATTTCAAAGTTAAATAAATAATAATTTGAACAATAAAGCTGAAGTTTAAATAAATAATGGACAAAAGTTTGAGAGCAAATTATTATTGTTGATACATAAAATAGAATGCAATGAAGGCTTATTTCACTCACCAAGGGAGGAAGGAAAAATAATATGGTTGTAGTACTATTTGGGGGTAGAGGGGTATGATGGAGCCATTCTTTGGAACAAGATCAGAGTCAGGTAATCCACTTTCAGACAGGCATTCAGTATAAAAATCGAATGTGCTTGATTTTATATTTCTTGAGACTGACAAAATACAGACAAAACCTAACACCACTCAGAGAGTATCAATCAAGGTTCAACCAGATATATATATGTAAAATCATAATATACATATATGTAAATACATAATATACATGGTATATTATATATCCACACACATAATTATATAAGGTATTGGCATAAGTAATGGTGGGGACTGGTTCTGTGAATATGATATCCATAAGGTAGACTGTCAAGAAGGGAAAGCTGGAAATTTTCAGGCGGGAGAAGTTTCAGTCCACAGGCAAGATGTCTTCTTAATTAAGAAGGCCTTTCAGTTCTTTAAATCAAGCATGCCCACCTAAATCATTGAGAACATAAAGTCCATTGATTGTAGATGTTTAGTCATATGTTCAAAATACCGTCACGGGAACACCTAAATTAGTGTTTGATTAAAAAACTAAGAAGTATCGTCTAGCCAAGTTGACACACCAAATTGACCATCATGAGCCCTGTGCAACATGAAATAGTGCAACATGAACAGAAAGATGAATAGTAGAAAATGGTACCTACTGATCCCCCTGGCTAGATATAAGTATATATACTAAATCATTTTGAGTTCATCCAAACATGGTGGAAAATTTACATTTTCTATATGATATTTTATGATTACAAACTAATATGTCTAATAATTTGGTCTTTGTCCAAAGCCATAACTTCAAAATATCACTTCTTAGATTATAATTATTTAGTTTGTTTCTAGGTAGCTAGGTAATTATACGTGACACAAAAGTCAACAGCAACAAAAATTTTAGTCAATTGAAAAGTATAATAATTAAAGTCAATATAATAATTAAATTTAATATAATAATAAATTAATCATTATATTATTATATATTATATTATATATTATAAAATTATAATAAATTTAATATAATAATTAAATTAATATAATTAAATTATGTAAAATAATTTAATATAATAATTAAAGTCAACTATGAATTCAATAGTTGTTAGGTGTGGTAAATCTATATATTTATTTATTTCCAAATTCGAAGAAAACTCATGAAGTGTCCTATGTTATTAACCCAAATACAGATTCCTGGAAGACCAACTGACTTGTTTATTTTCCCAAATCACAGTATGTAACAGTGATTTCTGGTGCACTTTAATATATCTTTAATTGTATTCTGTTCTAAATAATTAGTAATTTGAACTCAACTGGCACTAATTTGGGAATACATAAGCCTCTTGTGGTTTTGTTTTGATTTTCATAATACAATCTTTTAAAGCATATATCATGTACACAAAGTCACTGCAATTAATATAACTAATACATATTTTTAAATTTCATAAGAAAAATTATTAAAAGTGGCTGTTTTTACAAGGTTATTGTTGCTAGCAATGCACTCCATTGGGATCTGTATACTCCGCACATATGTCTGTCTTGTTAAAGCTCGTGGAGATAACATCGTGAGGTAACGTTGGCATGAATATAATTCATTGAGTTTAACTATCTCAGGAACAGCATATTGAAAAAAATACATATATATAGTTAAATGTATATACATGCCTTATATATATAGAATAGGTTTTTTTGTGGATTTGAGGGGCCTATGTGTTATAAATTCAAAATCAGATGCCAGATATATTCAAAAACAAATATTCATTAATGTCTCAGGACTCCAAAAGTAAACTCTAAGATCACTGACCTGTAATTTCTGAAGTGTACTAATAAGGCTGTGGGGGCAGGCACATACAAAGACACATACGGATGTCTGTCATACTTACATAACATTTTACTCTTTGGGTGATACTGAAGATAAACTTTTGCATTAATCAGACTGATTAAGTTTTAAAATGTAACCTATTTTGTAATTTTATTTTATCTTAGGCTATAGAAGACACCAGGTCAGATAAATGTGAAAAAAAAAGTACATAGTGTCTGTTAGCTGAAATTCTGCAAAGGAGATTGCAGCTATGAAGTGGAGTATACATGCAGCAGAGTAACTAATTAGGCAGCCATCTGGCACCACGTAGATCAGGGCAAGAAGGCCTCCACCTCTTAATAGTCCTTTAAGGCATTGCTCTCTTACTGCAGTGTGCTAATTGATAGTCTTATGAAGGCCTCGAGTTAGAGGAGAAAAGTAAAATGATGCTCTGCACAGTCTGATTAAGATGATTAGCGAAATACATCATAGGAAGATGTCAAACAAAATGGTAAATGTTACAAAAATACTCAATAATTATAAAAGCAAGATTACAATAAAATGTTTTCATATCAAGTAGTTTATTTGTCTGACATGCTGATGAGATGAATGGAGAAATTTTGTGCAAAAATGCTCTTTAAAAAATATTTCAGCAAAAATATTATCACCCACAGACCCCTCTTGCATTCCACGTCTTTATTTGTCTTGAAAAGTTCAAGAACTTAAGAAATGTCATGCCATATCACACTGTATTATAGAAGGGAAATGTGGAAGACATATTATTTTTCCTTTTAAATGCCTAGAGTTGTGGATGAGTCATCAAGGTAAAAGAAAAGTGATAATGTGACTGACAGTGCTCTTCAATGTCTTGAACTAACCTTGCAATTTTGTCACTACCTGCCAAAAATCATGTATTATACTTATTCTGTAAGACCTACCTTCTTTCTGGAACACATGATTGACCAGAAATCCCAGGTATTTCATGAATTTTTCTATTTTCTGCTCCATTCATCTGTCAGTCACTGTTTCATTACTGATTTTTCCAGCTTCTCTGCCATTTGCTGAAATTGATTCCATAAGCAGGAGAGACATGGTACTTTTTAAATTATTATTTTAAGGAGTCACTAGAAGTCCTTAAAAATGGGAGGAATATTCAGGAAGTAAAACATGATTTTTATAACCCAAGAAAATTGTTAAGAAAATTACATATCTAATTAAATAAATGGAAAACTTTAAAATATCTAAAATATCTAAACTATCACTACTCATGGCAAGGAAAAATGTACTTCTCTCTGTGAGATGTAGACTGACTTTCCTTTTCCTCACAGTCCTTCAGGGACTATTTATCTATGGCACTTGTCTGGCAGGCAGTTCTTTAGCTAGCCTATGTGACTAACTTCCACCTTCTCCCCTGAGGATTACACAGACATGACATTCCTATCAGATTGGCTTTCAATGGATTTAGTTGCTTTAAAAATGACTTGTGACCAGTAAAGTGTGGAGGTGGTCACTCCACAGACTCTAAATCTTTGGAAGATTATTTTTAAAGCAAATCCTTTAAAACTACTTTAGAATGAACTTTTTTATTTAGAATGATGTGGGAGATTACTGAGAAAACCAGAAGGATCACCTTTCCAATAAACTAATGGAATATGGCTTATTCTTGAGCTGTAGATAATGCACCAATTTTGTTAAGGATAGAATTTTAATCTAAGAAATAAAATATTAAATGTATTCATCCTATCCAACTGAAAACCACAACAAGAATTCAATGACGAACACATGTATTATTTAGATATAATGTACCAAGTACTACACAATGTGCAAAATACTCTGTCTGCATTACACCCCTTAACCCATTTATGCCTAGTGTTCCATTATTGGAATGCTAACCATGTGGGAGTTATTTATATCCTACTGCTCAAGGTCATCACCAAAGTCTGATTGCAAAAATTCAAAAAATTGCAACCTCAGATATAAACGGGTTAATTCTTAAGGTATGTCTTGAACATCATGTATACCTTGTACATGTTCTTTACAGCTGAGAAAAATGACTATCTTTATAATTAGTACAATTAGCTATTCATTCTTATGTCAAAATCTAATTTATTTCTTATAATTATAAAAATAGACTATTTCAGCTCAAGTATTTTCATTTAAGAAAAGGTGATGCACTTTTTCTAACCAGTTGTATAGGAGATATTGCTTATATCTTCTTCAATTCTGTGGATAACAGACTACCAGAAAACTGTAAAAATCCTCTCTCCAGTTTACAAATTAGACAATTTTAATTTTTTGTTGCTTTCCCCTTTCCATTTTTTTTTATCTAATAAAAATGTTATTACATGCTTAATGGCACAGAGAGTTGGAGTTGGAGAGTTGGAGTTTAAAAACTCCATTTTTTTTAAAGCTGCATCAACTCATTTTAAGGTGTATATGCCTTTTAAAAAGTATAGACTATTTAGTGTGTATATCTTTTATTTCTGGGATGGCCTGTAGTTTCAATAAAATTATTCATATCTTAAAACACATACAGACCTTGTTCTGTATGGTCACTCATTATATATTCACCACCCTTCAGTTACATGAGTGATGTCCTTATGTAGAAGAAACTAATTACCGGTACAATTATCCATCCTAAGAATCCCAGAACAAAAAGACAAGACAGTTTGAAATATTTTAGTATTTTTGTTGACATCTCTTTATCTCCATTAACATTGCTGATAAATAACAGGTGGAAGAACCTTTTTTATTCAGCCTGTGTTACGAGCTGAGTTCTGACTCTCCCAAATGTATATGTTAAAATCCTAATCCGTAGTACCATGGAATGTGACAGTACTTAGAGATAAAACATTTTAAAAGGTAATTAAGATAAAATGCAGCCCTTAGGATACTTTTTTTTTTTTTTTTTGAGACAGCATCTTGCGCTATTGCCCAAGCTGGAGTGCAGTGGCAGGATCTCGGCTCACTGCAGCTTTGACCTGCTGGACTCAAGAGATCCTCCCGCCTGAGACTCCTGAGTAACTGGGACTACAGGTGCAAGTGAGTGCCACCACACCCAGCTAATTTTTTGTATTTTTAGTAAAGTCGGGGTTTTGCCATGTTGCCCCGGCTGGTCTTGAACTCATGAGCTCAAGTGATTCACTTGCCGCGGCCTCCCAAACTGCTGGGATTACAGAGGTGAGCCACCACACCCAGCCAGGTGGACTCTATTCTAACCTGATTAGCGTCCTTTTAAGAACGGAAGGTTAGAACACAGACACACACAGGCTGGGGGGGACATGAAGACACTAAAGGAAGACAGCCATTGTATTAGTCTGTTTTCACCCTGCTGATAAAGACACACCCGAGACTGGGAAGAAAAACACTTTTAATGGACTCAACAGTTCCATGTAGCTGGGGAAAGTGAAAGGCACTTCTTTCATGGCATGGCAAGAGAGAATGAGAGAAACAGAAAGCAGAAACCCCTTATAAATCCATCTGATCTCCTGAGACTTATTCACTATCACAAGAACGGTATGGGGGAAACCACCCCCACGATTCAATTATCTCCCACTGAGTACTTCCCACAGCACTTGAGAATTATGGGAGTACAATTCAAGATGAGATTTGGATGGGGACACACAGCCAAACCATATTAGCCATCTACAAGACAATGAGAAAGGCCTTCAAGGAAACCAATCCTGACAATATCTTGAACTTAGGCTTCTAGCCTCAAAAATTAGGAAAAAATAATTTTTTTGGCAGCCCTGGGACATTAAGACAGCTAGCATTTATAAGTAGTTTCCTAATATATGTCGTAGAGAACAGTCCATCAACACTCAGAATGTGTGTTTTACCCATCTACTAAATGGTGACCACTGTGAAAAAGAATGCTGACAATGCTAGAAAAACGGTGCTTTCATTCAATAGGGACTACTTACATGAAGTGATCTTTCTGCTTCTGCAACTTGGAATTGACAGAATTAACCTTCATATAGAAAATGTTACATTGACAACAAAATGAATATGCAAATAACATATCAAATAAGAAAGTGGAGATTATTAACCACAGTGAGTTCACAGTAGCCCTAAACATTTAGAAAGGGTTGAAAGGTACATGAATACAGAACTACATGCCCTACAATTTGTGGATCAGTGGAAAAAAGGAGAGGGCATTCTAAATAGAAACAGCCCATAATCAGATATAGAGAAAGTAATGACATTAAAAAAAGTTTGAAAGAAGAGCATCAAGAATAAATTATACACTACTTAGAGTAGCTTTCAGGAGTTTCAAAACAGCAGAGTTTTTCTTATGATTTTTAGATTTTTTTATTGATACATAATATGTGAACAGGTTTATAGAATGCATGTGATATTTTAATACATGCAAACAATGTGTAATGATTATATCAGGGTATTTGGAATATCTGTCACCTGAAAACATTTATCATTTCTTTGTGTTATGAACATTTCAGATCTTCTCTACTAGCTATTTTGAAAAACATAATAGCTTATTGTTAATGATGGTTACCCTAATGTATTATCGAACCCTAGAACTTAATCCACCTAACTGTATCTTTATACCTATTAACAAACCTCTTTTCTTTATCCACCTCCCTCAACACACACCCTTCCCAGCCTCTAATAACTATCATTCTACTTTCTACCTCCACGAGATCAACTTTTTTGGCTTCCACATATGAGTTTGAAAATGCTGTGTTTAACTTTCTGTTTCTGGCTTATTTCACTGAATATTATGTTCTTCAGTTCAATCCATATTGCTGGAAAAGGCAGGTTTTAATCTCTTTTTTATGGCTCAGTAGTATTCCATGGCGCATATATACACCACATTTTTTCTTAATCCATTCATCTGTTGAGGATCACTTCGCATTTCATCATTTCATATCGTGGCTAATGTGAATAGTGCCACAATTTCTTTAATATACTGATTTCCTTTCCTTTGCATAAATATGCAGTACTGGGATTGATGGGTCTTAAGATAGTTCTACTTTGAGTTTTTTGAAAAAAATTCATACTTTTAAAAATAATGGCTGTATTAATTTACATTCCTACCAAGTGTATAAAAGTTCCCTTTGCTCCACATTCTCACTAGCATTTCTTAGTTTTTGTCTTTTTAATAATAGTAATTCTAACTGGGCAAGATGATACCTCATTGTGGTTATGATATGTATTTCTCTGACCATTAGTGATATTGAGCATTTTTTCATATACCCGTATGCCATTTGTATGTATGTCTTCTTTTTAGGAATGTCTATAGAAAAACATTACCCACTTTTTCATGGAATTTATTTATTTATTTATTTATTTATTTATGCTCTGAGTTGTTTGAGTTGCTTGTATATTCAGAATATTCATTCCTTGTGGTATGAATAGTTCTCATATATTTTTTCTCATTCAACAGGTTGTCTCACCGTTCTGTTGATTTTTTATTGCTGTATCGAAGCTTTTTAATTTGATATAGTTCCAATTGTATTTTTTTGCTTCTGTTGCCTGTGCTTTTGAGCTCTTAGCTATAAAATAATTACGTTGACAAATATCATGAAGCATTCCCCAAATGTTTACTTCTATTTTTTTTTTATAGTTTCAGGTCTTGAATTTAAGCCTGTAATTCATTTTTATAACTGGTGAAAGATAGGGGTGCAGTTTTATTCTTTTGCATATGGATATCCAGTTTTTCTAGCCCCGTTAATTGAAGATAATGTCTTTCCCCATTGTGTGCTATTGGAGCCTTTGTGTATGATCAGTTGGCTGTATATAAGTGGATTTACTTCTTGATTCTCTATTCTGTTCCATTGGTCTGTGTGTCTATTTTTATACTAATACTATGCTGTTTTGATTACTATAGCACTGTAATATATTTTGAAGTCAGGTAGTGTGATGCCTCCAGCTGTGTTCTTTTTCCTCAGGATTGCTTCAGAATCTTTTAATTCATACAAATTTTAGAATTTGTATTACATTTCTGTGAAAAATAGTATTGGCATTTTGATAGGGATTGCATTGAATTTATAAATTGCTTTGCATATTATACTCATTCTACCAATATGAATTCATCTTATACATGAGTATGGGATATCCTTCTATTTGTCCTGTTTAATTTTTTTCATCAATGTTTTGTAATTTTCCTCATAGACATCTTTCACCTCCCTGGTTAAATTTATTCCTGGATATTTTATTTATTTCATAGCTATTGTAAGTGGGATTCCCTTTCTGATTTCATTTTCAACTAGTTCACTATCAGTGTAGACAAATACTACTAATGTTTATGTTGATTTTGTATCCTGCAATTGTACTGAATTAATTTGTCTGTTGTAATAGTTTCTTTGGGTAGAGTTTTTAGGTTTTTCTAGATAGTAAGATCATGTCTGCAAAGAAGGACAATTTGGCTTCCCTTTTTCTAGCCTGGATGTCTTTTATTTCTTTATCTTGCCTGATTGCTCTGGGTAGGACTTCCAGTGCTATGTTGAATAGGAGTGGTGAAAGTAGGTATTCTTGTCTTCTTCCAGTTCTTAGAGGAAAGGCTTTCAAATGTTCCCTATTCATTATGATGTTAGCTGTGAGTTTGCAACATATGGCCTTTATTATGTTGAGGTATGTTCCTTCTATGCCTAATTTACTAAGAGATTTTATCATGAAAGGGCATTGAATTTTATCAAATGATCTTTCTGCCTCTACTGAGATAATTATTTGGTTTGTGTTCTTCATTATCTTGATGTGATATATCACATTTATTGATATGTTTATGGTGAAACATCTCTGCATCCCTGGGATAAATCCCACTTGATCATGGTGTATTTTTTTAATGTGCCACCACATTCTGACTTTTAGTATTTTGTTGAGGATTTTTGCATCTGTGATATAGGCCTGTAGTTTTCTTTTTGTTGTGTCCTTGTCTGGGTTTGGTATTAGGGTAATGCTGGCCTCACATAATGAATCAGGAAAAATACTCTCCTTTTCAATTTTTTAGAATAGTTTGAGAATTGCTGTTAATTTTTTCTTTTTTAAATAAGTTTGGTGGAATTCAGCAGTAAAGCCTTTCAGTCCTAGGCATTTGTTTGTTGGAAATTTTTTAAAACTCAGTCAATGTTGTTATTCATTATTGGTCGTTTTGGGTTTTCTGTTACTTCTTGGTTCAGTCTTAAAAGGTTGTAGGTTTTCAAAAAATTGTCTGTTTCCTCCAGGTTTTATAATGTGTTAGCTATAGTTCTTCATAATAGTCTGTGATTATCCTTTTTATTTCTGTGGTATCAGTTGTAACTTCTTGTTTCAGATTTTTTTATTTGCGTCTCCTCTTTTATTCTTGGTTAGTCTAGCTATGAGTTTATTGATTTTGCTCATTTTCTCAAAAAAAAAACCTTTTTGTTATGTTGATTCTTTGTTTTTGTCTCTATTTCATTTCTTCTGCTCTGATACATATTATTTCTTTTTTTCTACTGATGTTCAATTTGTTTTGATTTTACTTTCTAGTTCCTTGGGATACATCTTGATGTCATTTACTTAAAATCTTTCTATGTTTTAATGAAGGTATTTATTGATATAAAATTCCCTCTCAGCACTGTTCTTTCTGTATCACATATGTTTTGGTATGTTATGTTTCCATTTTCATTTGTTTCATTATTTTTTTAATTTTCTTCTTAACTTCTTCATTGATCCAGTGGTTATTCTAGAGCATGTTGTTTAATTTCCATGTATTTGTACAGTTCCTAAAGTTCCTCTTGGTACTAATTTCTAGCTTTATTCCATATGGTTTCAGAAAATATTTGGTAAGATTTTCATTTTTAAAAATTTGTTGGCAATTGCTTTGTGTCCTAACATATATTCCATTCTCGAGAATGTTCCTTGTGCTATTGAAAAGAATGCATATTCTATGGCTGTTAAATAAAATGTTCTGTAAATGTCTATTAAGTCCATTTGCTCTAAAATGCAGCTTGAATTTAATGTTTCTTTGTTGATTTTCTGCCTAATCTTTCCAATGCTGAGAATGGAGTGTTAAAGTTTATTATTATTGTATTGTAGTCTATTTCTCCTTTTATATCTAATAATAATTGCTTTCTTTATCTGGATACTCCAGCTTTGGATATGTATTTGTTTATAATTATTATATTATCTTTCTTAATTTTTTTATCATTATATAATGACCTTCTTTGTCTCTCTTTACTGTTGTTTACTTAAAGTACATTTTATATGATGATGTAAGTATACTTACTCCTTACTTTTGGTTTCTACTTGAGTGGACTATCTTATTCTATCCTTCATTTTTAATCTATATGTTTCCTAAGAGTTAAATGCATTTTATGTAGACAGCATATAGTTGAATCATTTTTTAATCTATTAAATCAGACTTTATCTTTTAACAGCATGATTTAACTCATTTACACTTAAGGTTAATATTGATAGGTGAGGACATATTCCTGTAATTTTGCTAATTGTTTTCTGTTTGCTTTGTATATCCTTTCTTCTTTGCTTTCTTATTGTTTATAGTGGTAACATTTGAGTTATTTCTCTTTCTGATTTGTCTGTCTGCTCCACCAGTGAATTTTATACTTTTGTGTGATTTCATGATGGTAAATGTCATCATCTAGCTTCCAGATGTAGGACTGCTTTAAGCATGTTTTACAGGACTGGCCTACTGGTGATGAATTCCCTCAGGTTTTGCTTGTCTGGAAAAGGTTTTATTTCCTTGTTTTTGAAGAGTAGCTTTCCTGGATATATTATTCTTGACTAGTAGGTTTTTTTGTTTGTTTCTAACAGAGTTTTGAATAATGATCTCATTCTCTCCTAGCCTGTAAGGTTTCTGCCAGGAAATCCCAAGAAATGCACTTTTAGTCTGATGAGCTGTATTAGTCTGTTCTCATGCTGCTAATAAAGACATACCCGAGACTGGGTAACTTATAAAGAAAAAGAAGATTAATGGAGTCCCATTCCACATGGCTAGGGAGGCCTCACAATCGTGACAGAAGGTGAAGGAGGGGCAAAGACACATCTTACATGGTGACAGGCAAGAGAGCTTGGGCAGGAGAACTCCCATTTATAAAACCATCAGAGCTCGTGAGACTTATTCACTACCATGAGAATAGTATGGGGTAAAATTCTGCCCCAGTGATTCAATTACCTCCCATCAGGTCCCTCCCATAACACATGGGAATTATGGGAGTACAATTCAAGATGATATTTCAGTGAGGACACAGCCAAACCATATGGGTGTTCCCTTATATGTGACTTAATGATTTTTCTCTTGCTGTTATTAGCACTCTCTTAGTCTTTGACTTTTGACAGTTTGACTGTTATGTGCCTTGGAGAAGTTTTTTGGGCTCAATATATTTGAAATTGAGATTCCTGTATCTTGATGTCTCTATTTTTTTAGAGATTTGGCAAATTTTCAGATATTATTTTATTTAATAGATTCTCTATGCCTTTGTGCATTACATCTCATTCTGCAAAACAGAAAGTTAAAATATTTGCTGACTTTATGGTGATATGTCCCATGGACTTTATTTATTTTATCTTTTTATTCTCTTCTTCCTTTGTATACTGGATTATTTCAAAAGGCCCATCTTTAAATTCAGAAATTGTCTCTTCTGCTTGATCCAGTCTACTGTTGAAGCTCTCTATTTTATTTTTTATTTCATTTATTGACTTATTCAGATCCAGAATTTCTGTTTGATTCTTTTTAATGATATTTAACATTTTGTTGAATTTCTCATTCAGATCATTAATTGTTTTTCTGATTTCTTCATACTGTTTATCTATGTTCTCTTGTATCTCACTGAGCTTATTCAATATCATTGTTTTCAATTATCTTTTAGGCAGTTTATACATTTTTTATTGGAATTTACTGATGAAGAATTATTTTGTTCCTTTGGAAGTCTCATGTTTCCTTGTTTTTATATTTTATTTTATTTTTTTATAATGTTTTTTGTGCCCTTACCTTGATTTCTGTGCATCTGGTGTAAGTCACTTCTTTCAAATTTTTTTTTTATTATTATACTTCAAGTTTTAGGGTACATGTGCACAATGTGCAGGTTAGTTACATATGTACACATGTGCCATGCTGGTGTGCTGCACCCATTAACTCGTCATTTAGCATTAGGTATATCTCCTAATGCTATCCCTCCCCCGTCCCCCCACCCCACAACAGTCCCCAGAGTGTGATGTTCCCCTTCCTGTGTCCATGTATTCTCATTGTTCAATTCCCATCAATGAGTGAGAACATGCGGTGTTTGGTTTTTTGACCTTGCGATAGTTTACTGAGAATGATGATTTCCAGTTTCATCCATGTCCCTACAAAGGACATGAACTCATCATTTTTTATGGCTGCATAGTATTCCATGGTGTATTTGTGCCACATTTTCTTAATCCAGTCTATCATTGTTGGACATTTGGGTTGGTTCCAAGTCTTAGCTATTGTGAATAGTGCTGCAGTAAACATACGTGTGCATGTGTCTTTATAGCAGCATGATTTATAGTCCTTTGGGTATATACCCAGTAATGGGATGGCTGGGTCAAATGGTATTTCTAGTTCTAGATCCCTGAGGAATCGCCACACTGACTTCCACAATGGTTGAACTAGTTTACAGTCCCACCAACAGTGTAAAAGTGTTCCTATTTCTCCACATCCTCTCCAGCACCTGTTGTTTCCTGACTTTTTAATGATTGCCATTCTAACTGGTGTGAGATGGTATCCCCTTGTGGTTTTGATTTGCATTTCTCTGATGGCCAGTGATGATGAGCATTTTTTCATGTGTCTTTTGGCTGCATAAATGTCTTCTTTTGAGAAATGTCTGTTCATATCCTTTGCCCACTTTTTGATGGGGTTGTTTGTTTTTTTCTTGTAAATTTGTTTGAGTTCATTGTAGATTCTGGATATTAGCCCTTTGTCAGATGAGTAGGTTGCGAAAGTTTCTCCCATTTTGTAGGTTGCCTGTTCACTCTGATGGTAGTTTCTTTTGCTGTGCAGAAGCTCTTTAGTTAAATTAGATCCCATTTGTCAATTTTGGCTTTTGTTGCCATTGCTTTTGGTGTTTTAGACATGAACTCCTTGCCCATGCCTATGTCCTGAATGGTAATGCCTAGGTTTTCTTCTAGGGTTTTTATGGTTTTAGGTCTAACATTTAAGTCTTTAATCCATCTTGAATTAATTTTTGTATAAGGTGAACTCCCATTTACAATTGCTTCAAAGAGAATAAAATACTTAGGAATCCAACTTACAAGGGATGTGAAGGAACTCTTCAAGGAGCACTACAAACCACTGCTCAATGAAATAAAAGAGGATACAAACAAATGGAAGAACATTCCATGCTCATGGGTAGGAAGAATCAATATCATGAAAATGGCCAAACTACCCAAGGTAATTTATAGATTCAATGCCATCCCCATCAAGCTACCAATGACTTTCTTCACAGAATTGGAAAAAACTACTTTAAACTTCATATGGAACCAAAAAAGAGCCCGCATCACCAAGTCAATCCTAAGCCAAAAGAACAAAGCTACAGGCATCACGCTACCTGACTTCAAACTATACTACAAGGCTATAGTAACCAAAACAGTATGGTACTGGTACCAAAACAGAGATATAGATCAATGGAACAGAACAGAGCCCTTGGAAATAACGCTGCATATCTACAACTATCTGATGTTTGACAAACCTGAGAAAACCAAGCAATGGGGAAAGGATTCCCTATTTAATAAATGGTGCTGGGAAAACTGGCTAGCCATATGTAGAAAGCTGAAACTGGATCCCTTACTTACACCTTATACTTCTTTCAATTTTTATGGATTGGCTTTTGTAGGGAAAGTGCTTTTCCTATAAAGGCATCTATAGTGTAAATTGGATAGCATGTTTTTGCTTTGATTCTGGGTAACTGCAGTAGGTGTATTCTTTATATGATTTGTTCAGCTATAATCAGCATCAGTGGTGTTTTGTGTTCCTCAGTGTCTAAGGATAAAGATGTTCTTGCTAGTGGAGGCTGTGGTTAGGCTTTGCTAGGTATGAGGACACAAAGTGAGTTTGTTCTTAGGCCCTAGTCATAGAGGTGGTGGGGCCTCCCTTTGGCCACTTGGTGGCATACAGTAGCACCAGTGTTAGAAAGTCTAGGAAGACTGATTTTTGGGCTTCCAGGCAGCTTGTGCTCAGGTGCTGGCTGTGGCAATGATGGACTAGATAAGCAGGTGTGTCCTAAGACCCTAAGCATTATGTGTGGGGTCAGTGATGACACTAAGGGTCCTGGGTCAGCCTCCAGGTAAGTGGGTGGCACTGGCAGTCTTGTTAGCAGGCTGGGTAGAAGCTCAGACCCTCAGGGGAAGTGAATGGGTGCCATTGGTAGTAGGTGGGATTGGGAATTCCCAGACCTTTCCAGATGATGTGTGCAGGCAATGGTAGGGGTGGCACCAGTTGTGGTGAGCCTGTCCTCAGGCCCCTAATTGTACATGTGACATGGGCTGTGCTGAGTAACATTTCGATCCCCAGACCTCTGGTCTATGTTCACAGGTACCAGCAAACTGGGCAGGCCATCCTTCAGATCCCTGAAAGGCATGTAAAGAAACAAGTTGCAGCAACTGGGATGAACATATCTCTAGATCCCTGGAGTAGGGTGGCCCCTGATGGGACAGGCCTATTCTCAGGATCCCTGAATGTATACAAGGGCACAGACTATGGTGGGTAGGGCAGATCTATCCCCAGGTCCCCAGATGGCTTGAAAAGGCAGGCAGGGCTTCTTGCCCAGCCTCCTGATGATGTTCACATGTGTCATTGGTTGCAAGCAGTGAAGACTGACTTGTAGCTCCCTGAACAATGTGCCCTGGAATTGGCAGGGCTGTCCTCAGGCTCCTGATGTTTTGTGCAGGTGAAGTCTGTGAAGGGTAGGGTTGGTCTATCCCCAAACACTCAGTCTATGTGTACAGGGGCTGACAGGTTAGGCAGGTCTGTCCTCAGGCCCCTGGAATGTGTTTGTGGGCACCAGTGGCAGCAGGTGGAGCAAATTGACCTCCAGGCCCCTGGACAATGCACAAGAGAATTGGCAAGGGTGGTGTCAGGCTGGCCAGTCTTGTCCTCAGGCCACCCACTGGTGTGGCAAGTACCAGCTGTGGCTTGCCAGGTGGGTCAATCCCCAGGCCCCAGATGCCAGCTTCAGGAAAGCTGGGCCTGTTGTTAGGTTCCCGGCTGGTGTGCATGCATGCCAGTGGTTGCAGACAGGGCAGGTTAATCCCTAGGCTCCACCATGACACATATGGGCAATGGCTAGGGTAGCACCCCTCAAGGGGTCCCCAGGCCCCTCATTATGTATGCTGTCACAAGCTGTGGCAGATAGGTCTGGTCAAACCCTAGTTCACCAGTCAATGTTTGTGAATGGCAGCAAAATGGGCAGTCCTGTCTTTAGGCCCTACAAAGTGTCTGCAGGTGCCAGTGGCAGAGGTGGTGGGGGGTGTTTTGACTCTCAAGCACCAAGACAACACATGTAGGCATTGGCAGGGATATCCCAAGGAGGAGTAGCCTGTCCTCAGTTTTTCTGACTGTGTTCATGAGCACCAGCTGTGACAGTAAGGGCAGGCTGTTTCTCAGATTCTCTGGAAGTACAGGAAGGTGCACAGTGTTCCTGCTGCTAGGGGCTGGGGGTGGGGTTGTTGTCAGTGACAGTGGCCTCAAGCAGGTGGCTTTCAGGTCTGGAGAGCATGTACTTTGGCCATCTTTGTCCTGGGGCAGCCTTCCCCATGCACTGCACTGACCATTCCCCAAGGTATAGGACACTGCATGCACTAGAGTGCTGGGGAGCTGGTTGCACCATTGGGTCCAGCTGGTGTTACAACACTATAGCAATCTTGGGCGAATGTGGAAGATCCCAGCTGGGATCCTTGGATCTGGAGATGCAGGGACTCTTAGGCCCCATGGAAATCTTGTGGGGGCTGGGCTTTCCTAATGGCACTGTTCCGCAACTGCTTGGTTTTCAGGAGATGCGTAGGATACAGCACAAACTTCCTCTCTGGAACCATGCCATCACATGGGCCCCAGTCAGCTATCTATACTAGACTCATGGTCCATGATGACCATGGAGCTCTTCTATTGCTAGGATTTTAGGAGTCCATGGTTGGCATCTGGACAGTTGAGAATACCTCACTTACCTCCCCACTATCCATCTGCACTAGGGAGTTCCTCATGGATGCCAGCTAACTGTATCTAGGACAGTTGCTTTGTTTCCTCTCCTTCTGTGCTTTAAAGATTCCCTGTCATTTTTTTTTATGGTTTCCAGTGTTCTCTCTTAGAGTCTCTATTTAATATGTAATTATCTACTGCTGTTCTGGTCTTTTTTTGTGGAGGAGGTGAGTGCTGGCTGCTTCTAGTAAGTATATCTTGAAGCCCACCTCTTTATATTTTTAACTGACTAATCTCCCAGAGGAATACTATATTTGAGGCAATTCAAAATACTGGCTGTTAGAGAACATACTCTGAACTCCATCTTTGCCCTTGTTTTTTTTTCTCCACATTTCCAAAGCTACCAGTTGTTAAAGGTTCAGCTCATATTCTAAATATTGCCACTATATTTTATGTTGATATGATCACTCTTTGAGAGAGATAAAAGTGAAACAAATATCAAGTTCATTTCTGAAACTTAATTACTTTGGTAAGAAAGCAAAAGTAAATGAATTATGTAGTGAGTACAGAATGTTTCAATCTGGAAAATATTTTGTCTTTTAAGCGGATGAATGAAAAATAACTTGACCTATGCTTCTAGAGTAGTAATTTAGAGCAAGCAGGCCAGGAAAATTGTCCCTGCTTCTGATTTAATCCTGGACCTAGCATCATTACTTCAAGACACAGCCATAGTTAACTAATGGATTTTTTTAGAACATACTTGTTTTAATTCAGATTCTCTGAGTAGCAAGTAACAGAAAACAATAAAATCTTAATTAAGTAGTACGATAAATAGGCTTTGCCATATTGCCTAGGTGTGAAATAGGCTCTACCATCTTCATTTATATAAGTACACTCTATGATGTTTGCATAATGACAAAATCACCCAACAATGCATTTATTGGAAAGTATCCCTCTCATTAAATGATGCATGACTATATTTCTACATTTAAAAATCATATTTGTGTTTTCTTTCCTTGATGCATTGTTATTGTAGATTCCACATGACAGCTCAATTTTAAAGGGCGTTGTACACCGTCAAGCCTCATTATCAACCCAAATATCTGGGTGAATTATTTATTGAATGACTTAACGTTACCTTAATTTCTCTGAATGGAGGCAATTATTGTAATTTATAAGCTTTGTGCATAAGACATGGTAAAAATAAAAAATATATAAAAACTCAATCTTCCTTGTGGGAAAATAACTTTTCCTTTTACGAAAATTTTGCCAATTAATGACTTTTCTAGAGCACTTTGTGTTAATAAAGTCACTCATAAGATATTCATTAAGCAAGCATCACTACCAGAAAGCAGGATATCTGCCAGATAGGCCCAAAGAGGTCCATTAAAAATAATTATAGAACTAGTTAATCAATAAATGAACAAACAAATATATTAGATTTAATTAAAACCTAAACAGAAATAATACATATGAAACACAAGAGGGAAATTATTTTATAATGTTCCAAGAGTTTATACAAAATACATGTAAAACACAAAGCTGCAAAGAAAATCATAATAAATATCAAAAGTTAGAGTTCTTATAAATCCTATTTTCTAATCATAGTTTAAGAATTATAAATGAACTGATAATACTTGTTTATTTCTGAGTGTTTAGCATGGGTAAGCATCTAAACCAAGAACTTTAGAGATGTCTATCTTTTTATTTTTTCTTGCTTTTCTTATGGAAAATTTTAAACTTATTTTATATTAGAGAAAATAGTATAATTTATCTGTAAGTGCCCATCAACTTATGGCAAATCTATCCTACCAAAGACATCCCCACATGTCTTCACTCTCTTGGAGTAAATTCCAGATGTTATGTTATTTGCTGCATAAATGTTCAAATATGTATATCTAAATAAAAATCTTTTCATAAACATAGTGACAATATTATGCTTTTAAAATCAACTATAATCTTTTAATAAGAGGTAATATTTAATATTAATATCAATTGTATTATTTATCAAGTATCAAGTGATAGATGCCCTTAAACCTCTCATGCTTCCTTCTAACTTTGAATCAAGATCCAAATTACATGATATGTATCGTGAGCCTCTTTTAGTCTATAATTCTTCTATTTTCTTTTTAAATATTTTTGGTTTTCTTTTAATTTTGAAATTTATTTGTTGAAGAAATCAGCTCATTTTCCCATAGAAAGTCACATAATCTGGAATCAGTTTATTGATTTCATTTTCTTTCAAAAAGTTGTTTTCCCTTTTATTACCTATATTTGGAAAGTATCTTCAAAATCATATTTACTGCTTGCAAGAATAGTTCATAAGTGGTGATGTGTACGTTTATCCAGAGCCATACAGTGTTTGGAACTATCTTTGAAAGGATAGAAGACATTGACAATAATTGCCTAGATGCATTGATCAAAAGGATTATAAATTGAGGATTTATTCAATTTTTTATTGTTTTTATTTTACTATTTGGAATAATATTATAATGAGAAACTTTCTTTGGTTATTTGGTTAATGAGGCAATCAATTTTATTATAGAACTATAATCCAATTATATTAGATATATAATTTTAAATAAAATTATTAGATTTATTTTTATCAAATTATTAAATAGAAAAATATAGGTAAAACAATGATTTCCTGAAGTAAAATATCTGAAACATACCAAGAAAGATATTAGTCTTAAAATATTCATTTAATTTGCTAGGGTAGTTTCTTTGGAACTGTTTTGTTTTTGCATTAAGTAGATGTTCTCCAGTTATTCAACTTTAAGTATCATCTTTATTTTACATATTCACAACTCTTTCACCTGATTTAGCAATTTTCCTCGGGTACATCACTTTTATTTTAGCATACTTCAAAACATTTTTGTTTGGTTTTGTAGCCATATCTGTATAGCTACAGAAGTTGTTTGTTCAAATTTCAATATTTAGATGAATTGTTTCTTAACCATAACTTATTGTGACATAGGATTACTATAGCTGTTTATTATGTTTTGTTTTGTTTCTTTGTTTTAATTCATCCCTTGCTTGGCTATAATTTAGGGTTTAGTAATTTCTTTTAAAATATCTTTATCCAATGATGTCTGATATTTCAAAATGTCTTGTGGTTGCCTTCTACTTGAATGACAGTTTGATTTTGCATAATTTCCTGGATCAAATTATGCTTTCAAAATCGGACAGATATTCTTTCATTTATTCCATTTCTTTCCACTTTTGACTGATGCCTTGAAGAAGTCAGAGTCAACCTGACTTTTCCTGCTTTCTTTAGTATCGTTCACATTAAGAAATAATTTTTAATCTTTGATGTTCAATAATTTATACGTATCTGTTAATCAGGATATTTTTATTTCCTCATGTATCATAACATATATTTATTATGTCAATATATGTTTATATATGTATATATAATATATTAATATATAATTAATGTTGTTAAATGAGAAGGATATGTAGCAGCTTTCTATCTTATATCTTACATCAAATTTTAGTGGAACAAAAATTGTATGTAGTAGAACAGAACATAGATGTAACCTTGAAATGATAATATTCCGGTTTTATTTTCTCTAACTCATAACATACTCAACCTTAGAAACCTATTCCATGCTATGTCTTGCCCCAGAATCCAAATTTATGTCCCTGAGAGCTACTCACAACCTCTGTCTAGGATCTGATTTAGCTTTAAAAATCTATCAAAAGTTTTCACATACAGATGAGGGAAAAAAATGTATTTAACTGTGATTTGTTACTAAGAGTATATTAGCTAATCACTTATAAATGCATTTTTTCTATACATAATAGTTTGAAAGTGAAAGTGATAAACATGATAAATTGGAAAGTTAAACAATGAAAATTGAAGAAAGCACACAAAAGTAGTTTCAAACTAGTATGTCTTTGGAAATTAATTTAATTTTCTGTTTTATAAAATAATAAAAAATCTTACAAATTTTATAAAATAAAATTGTCTATTATTAGGCCCAGTATAGTTTGAGCTAATATTAAATTTGCAGTGATATATATTATATTTCTATGTTTATTTCATGAAACTCAATTACAATTTCTGTATTTGAAAATAAATTTCATTACAATTATTTTCCCATAAATTTGCAAAAGAAAAATATAAGTGTAAATATGTTTTCAATCATTTTTAAAACATAGCATATTATAGTTTGCTTTATGATCTCACAATTAGAGACTAATAAAATAATATCAATACTTTCTTTCATATACTTCCAAATGCATGTCCTTTTGTATTTCATATTAGAGCTTTTAAATTAGTTGATTACTGTTCTTTAAGTTTTAACTGACAATTTAAGCTTATAATAATTTAAAAACTCTGATCTTAAAGATTTTTCAAGTGAATCTAAGAGAGATTGAGGTATAATTAAAAAAGAAATAAAAATTCAGTATACCTTGATAGAACAAAGAAAATTGTTTATTAGAAACCTAAAAGAGTTAATGTTCCTTCCTAAGTGACTAAATTACTGTTGAAATTAGAGAGTAGATTTTGAGTGAATTTGTAGTTAGTCACTTGGTAAAAATAAATAAATTTAAAAAAAATGTCACCATAAGACACGTAAGTTTTACAAATGTGTTACAATCATAGGAGTGCTCATTCTCATGACTGCTCCAAAGTGACGGTTTATTCCTGACTTTTTTCAGTCAATGATAAAACAAGATTATTGATGATGAACTAAAGGTTTAACATGCAATATTCGGTATAATGCATACTTCTATCAAAAAGTATTATATTCTCATGCTGTGAACTTTACCATATTCATCAAATGCCAAACTTGATTTCTAACATATGAACCTTTAGCACCTATTTACTTAGGTACTTTTTAAAAATTAACATAAAATCTATTTACTGTGAATGCATAGTTCATTTTGCAACATAAACACTTTTATAATTTCTGCTTGGGGAAAATTTGAGAAAGAGCACATTTACATAGTTTAAGTGGAGTTTGACTCTATTAGAAGGTCATACATTGAGTTATGTACTGCTGCACTATGTAGTTCAAAGGGAATTTTTTTCAGAAACTGAAGTATATGCACAATGCTAATGAGTAGAGGGATAAAATGAGTACTAATGATCAGATATATGGAGAAGTAAATTAGCCAGTTCCTAGAGGGAGTGAGTTCTTTCACTTCAAGTTTCAAAGCCATGCTTGAATCACCATCTGTCAGGGTTTATGGACTGAATGTGTAGCCCTGTTATCAGTGGAAAATCCCTGCCTCTCTTTTTTTTTTTTAATTATTAGAGTTTATTTCTTATAGCAATTTAGATTTATTAAAAAAATGAACAGAAAGTACAGCAAGTTCTTAAATACCACCACTACCACTCTCCTTACAGTTTTTTTGTATTTTAACACCATGCACTGGTGTGGTTCATTTGTTAAGACTGTTGAACCAATGTTGATAAGCTATTCATAACTAAAATCCAAAGTTTACATACGGCTTCACTTGTTGTGTTGTTAGGTCCTACAAGTTTTGCCAACTGGATAAAGCTATTTATCTGCCATTATAGTATTGTACAAAATGCTTTCACTGCTCTAGAAATCTGTGCTCCACCTGTGTATTCCTTCCTCCTTTCTTTGGCACCAACCCCAACTCCTAACAACCACTAATCTTTTCTTTCTTCTTCTTCTTCTTCTTCTTTTTTTTTTTTTTTCCCGTGAAGCTACTCTTCTTTTAGCTTTTATTCTAGGTCTAGAGGCACATGTACCTTTGTTACACAGGTAAACACATTTCACAGGGCCTCGTTGTCCATATTATTTCATCACCCAGAAATTAAGCCCAGTACCCGATAGTTGTCTTTTCTGCTTCTCTCCCTACTCCCACTCTCCCCACTCAAGTAGACCTCAGTGTCTTCTGTTTCCTTCTCTGAGTTCATAAGGTATTATCATTTAGCTCCCACTTATAAGTGAGAAAATGTGGTATTTGGTTTTCTGTTCCTGCATTAGTTTTCTAAGGAAAATAGCCTCCTGCTCCATCCATGTTCCTGCAAAAGACATGATCTTGTTCTTTGCTTTGGCTGCATAGTACTCCATGGTGTATGTGTACCCCATTTTCTTTTTTTTTCTTTTCTTTTTTTTTGAGACAGACTCTAGCTCTGTCACCCAGGCTGGAGTGCAGTGGCGCGATCTCTGCTCACCGCAAGCTCCGCCTCCCGGGTTCACGCCATTCTCCTGCCTCAGCCTCCCGAATAGCTGGGACTACAGGCACCCACCACCACGCCCGGCTAATTTTTTTGTATTTTTAGTAGACACGGGGATTCACCGTGTTAGCCAGGATGGTCTTGATCTCCTGACCTCGTGATCTGCCTGCCTCGGCCTCCCAAAGTGCTGGGATTACAGGCGTGAGCCACAGCGACCTGCCGTGTACCCCATTCCCTTTAACCAATCTATCGTTGATGAGCATTTATGTTGATCCCATGGCTTTGCTATTGTGAAGAGTGCTGCAATGAACATTCACATGCCTGTGCCTTGATGACAGAATGATTTATATTCCTCTGGGTATATACTCAGTAGATTGCCGGGTCAAATGATATTTCTGCTTAGTTCTTTGAGGAATCGCCATACTGTTTTCCACAGTGGTTGAGCTAATTTACACTTCCACCAACAATGTGTAAGTGTTCTCTTTTCTCCGCAAGCTCACCAGCATCTGTTATTTTTTGACTTTTTTTATAGTAGCCATTCTGACTGGTGTGAGATGGTATCTCACAATGGTTTTGATTTGCATTTCTCTAATGATCAGTGATATTGAGGTTTTTTTCACATGATTTTTGGCCACATCATGTATGTCTTCTTTTGAGAAGTGTCTTTTCAGGTCCTTTGCCCGCTTTTTAAAGGAGTTGTTTTTCTCTTGTAAATGTATTTAGGTTCCTTACAGATGCTGGATATTAGACCTTTATCAGATGCATAGTTTGCAAATATTTTCTCCCATTCTCTAGGTTGTCTCTTTACTCCGTTGATAGTTTTTGCTTCGCAGAAGCTCTTAAGTTTAAACAGATCCCACTTGTCAATTTTTGCTTTTATTGCAATTTCTTTTGGTGTTTGTCATGAAATCTTTGCCTGTTTCTACATCCAGGATGGTATTGCCTAGGTGTCTTCAGGGTTTTTATAATTTTGGGCTTTACATTTAAATCTTTAATCAATCTTGAGTTGATTTTTGTATATGGTATGAGGAAGTGGTCCAGCTTCAGTCTTCTGCATATGGCTAGCCAATTATCAAGTACCACTTATTGAATAGGTAGTCTTTTCCACATTGCTTGTTTTTGTCAGCTTTATCAAAAATCAGATGGTCATAGTTGTGTGACCTTATTTCTGGGCTATCTATTCTGTTCCATTGGTTTAAGTTCCTGTTTTTGTACCAATACCATACTGCTTTTTGGTTACTGTAGCCTTTTCATATAGTTTGAAGTTGGATAAGGAGATGCTTCCAGCTTTATTCCTTTTGCTTAGGATTGCCTTGGCTATTTGAGCTCTTTTTTTGTTTCATACGGATTTTTAAATAGTTTTTTCTTGTTCTTAATGAATGCCATTGGTAGTTTGATAGAAATAGCATTGAATATTTAAATTGCTTTTGGTAATGTAGTCATTTTAATGATATTGTTTCTCCTATGTGCGAGCATGGGATATTTTTTCCATTTGTTTGTGTCTTTGATTTCTTTGAGTAGTGTTTTGTAATTTTCCTTGTAGAGATTTTTCACCTTCCTGGTTTGCTGTATTCTTAGGCATTTTACTCTTTTTATGGCAGTTATGAATGGGATTGCCTTTGTGATTTGGCTCTCTGTTTGGCTGCTGTTGATGTGTAGAAATGCTAGTGATTTGAGGACATTAATTTTATATCAGGCGACTTTGCTGAAGTTGTTTATCATCTGTAAGAGCTTTTACTTTAAGGCTATGGGGTCTTCTAGATATAGAGTCATGTCATCTGTAAACAGAGATAGTTTGACTTTCTCTCTCCCTATTTGGATGCCCTTTATTTCTTTCTCTTGCCTAATTTCTCTGTCTAGGACTTCCAATACTGTTACATAGAATTGGTGAGAAAGAGCATTCTTGTCTTGCACCAGTTTTCAAGGGGGGATGCCTCCAGCTTTTGCCATTTCAGTTTAATGTTGGCTATGGGTTTGACATAGATGGCTCTTATTATTTTGAGGTATATTTATTTAATATCTAGTCTATTAAGAGTTTTTAACAGAAATAGGTGTCGACTTTTAAATTGAAATCCTTTTTTTTGTATCTATTGAGAGAAAAGTATTTCTGCTGTAATTTTAAGCAAAAAAGTATTTCTGTTGTATTTTCGCAGCAATAGCTATGAAATAAAAATTTCCTTACTTGGGAAATTTTGAGATATTCAGAACTGAAAATAAAGAGGGATTTTCTATAACTCCATTAAATTGTTAAACCTTTAACAGGTAACAAATAAAAAGAAATCCTGTTAAAATAACATTCTGAGTTGTGGAGGGAGGTCACTAGGGCTTAACATGTTCCTTTGCTCTAGACACCACAGTCTACATCATCAGATACTTACTTACGAAAAGGACATTAATGTATGATTTAAATTGAAATGTAATGATGACAAAGGAATTTCTTGAAAATGATTAAAGCTATAGTAGTAAATAAAAACTCTAAGCATTTACCTATATGGTTAATTTAATCGTAATGTGCACGCTGACATGTTTTATAAGTAATGGATTTCTGACATATTTACAGTTCTATTCTCACTAGGACAATATTGAAAACTTTAAAATAGATAAGGTCTAAGAGAAGAGTTGCTCTACTGTTTAGGGCTAATTCTATTTTTTATATTTTCAAATTATCAGATCCTTTCTGTATTTTTCCTTCAGATTTTTTTTCCCCCTGTCTTGGTCAGAACTGGGTTGTTGCTTTCTTGTACCAGGAACTTTGCTTTTACCAGCACATATATCATTTACAGCAGTGGATGTGTTTTTGGAAGAAGAAGCTCACATTAACTCTGAGGGTCACCATGACCTAGTCCCCATGGAGATGATTTGGATTTTCCTCATCTCTTCAATATTTCTAAAGGCACAGTGAACTTTCAGCAATTGTTTCTTCTGACTACTGATTATACACATTTTTATCATTACAAGCTACTTTGGTGTTTGTTATGATCTTTGTGTTTCCAGGTGATTTCCATCCATTAATCTCCTATCATCCACTGGTGTTTAACCTCTTATTGCTCAGCCTGTTCCCCTACAGGTGTCTTGACCAACTAGAAAACTTCCAGTTTAACAGCATGATACTTTCCCTTGTTTCTGTATGGAAGGTCCAGTGGTATAGCATTTGGCCTTATTTGGCATTGCGGTTCATACTATGTCCTACTAGAGCACAAGTTATACTGGTGACAAGCTGTATTAAGCAATATACAATCAACTTGAAATACAGCACTGGCTGGGAGCATCTGCATATGTTTCAGTCATGCTCACAAGCTTGCCATATCAGCCATTGTACATTCTGACATGCTAAGTGTAATTATCTCTGAGGAATACAATAACAGAAAATGTAAACAAAATATGAATACTAATATACTGTAGTTATTTTTAGGAAAATATGTGGGAAGAGTGGCCCTTAGTATGCTACCGTGCTGTGTTGTGCAGCATTAAGTGGGGTATATGTAATTATCTTTTTGATTTTGCTGTAAAAATCTGAAGGGTAGAAGTTTCATGAGTCAGAGTGCTAAATTTCTTTCCCTCCAAAATATTCAGCAAATGGCCCATCACTTACTGCAATGAAGCCTCTTACTTTTTATGTGGTGCTATGAATAACTGCCAATTCCTCTTGCTATAGCATTCAGCAACTTCCAGTTCAACTGCAATGCATTTAATGAATGTACTGCTTTAATTTTATTCTTGATTAGGAGAATGAGAGTTCTTATATTTGGTAGGTTTTATCATTAATGTAATTTATCAAGTTGGATACTCAGGGAAAAATGAATTAACAGATATCCTCATTCTTCTGAAAGCCAATAGTAATTATAATAATGGCAGTTATAATAATAACAAAAGCAACGAAAACATATTACAATTGCATATAATAAAGATAAACCAACTTTTGATGAGTGCCAGGCTCTACTATTTAACTCCATGTAGTGCTCATGTTATTCCTTTGAAGCATGACATTTTTATCCCCATAATAAAGCAGAGGATCCTGAGATTTTGAGATGTTAACTCTTCTGTCCAAAATTAAAAAATCTAACTCCAAAATGGAAGAACCAACCCTGAACCTCAGTCCATGTCACTCCAGATTCCATGCGTTTTTTAAACCAGATGCTCTTTATTTCTTAAACTAGATATAATTATATTATTTTCAAATGCCAAATTTATAGGTGGAATATATATGGATAACTTTGGATAGTCATTTAACGAAATATATACTTTATATGATTTCATTTCTCTTAAAGATATAAGAAGTATATAAAATATATAACCTATAATATATAACTAATGTTAATCTATAATATTTTAGACATATATATCTCTTCTAAACATGAGTATTAGAAGAAAAAGAAAACAATGTCTTCTCTCTATTTTTGTTATAAAATCATACATAGACATTTCAGGAGATGTAAAATAAAGGCACTAAGAAGAACATTTTATTAATTTAATCATTACTAATTCAACTTTCTAGTAATATTTTGCTAATTTTCTTTCCAAGGTTTTACCCATATACATATAGGAGCACACTGCTACACAAATACTTTATCATTTCTTATAATATATTTTACAGAAGTAGTATCATACCTAAATTTTTCATTTAATATTATGAGACATATACAAGCATCAAAAAATAAATGAAAATTGTGATTATTATTTATGTCATAATCTACTAAATATTTTCTGCTCTGTTAGTTTATAAGTTTCCAGACACAACATACTTAGTCATGAAATATTAGGAAAATCTGTTCTAAAATCAAAAGCAAGGTTAGAATCTCTCACTGATAATATACAATGTATTTTCAAAAGGAATAAATTAAAGAGACATTGTTAGTAGTTAACATGACACTCTACCCAGAGTATCCAAGAGAAAATACTGGAAAGATATTGCAATTAATGAGCTGTATATTATGTTAAAATATTAAATAAAATGTTTAATGCAAAAAAAGCAAATACATTGGAACAACTTCCTTGTAAATACTATACGTCCTGCAAAATACCAAAGTGTAAACCTGAGAAGGACTGCATTGGGCCTCTAAAATGATATACTTCAGTAGAGGACAACAAAGATTAACTAAAAAAATAAAAAATAAAAAATAAGAAACTTGCAGGCACAATTTCATGTTTATGAATGGTGAAATCAATATTGTAAAAAGTCAATTCTAACCAATATAATCTCTACATATTACACAGTTGCAGTCAAAATGCAAATAACTCTTTAAAGAATTTGAAAAATGAAATTATAAATTCAATGTAAGAGAAATTATAGTTTTTTCCAATAAACTATGGTGGCAAAATTGTTATATATTTGAAAACATGTTTACTTGTTAACACTTTTTTCTAATACGAATTAAATTATAATAATTATTATTATTTACTTATTTTAATTTCAGTGGTACATGTGCAGGTTTGTTTTGTAGGTAAACTGCATGTCACAAGGATTTGGTGTACACATAATTTTGTCACCTGGGTAATAAGCATAGTACCTGATAGTTATTTTTCTGATTCTCTTCCTCCTCCCATCCTCCACCCTCATGTAGACCCCAGTGTCTGCTGCTCCCCTCCTACTATCCAGGTGTTCTAATTGTTTAGCTCATACTTATAAGTGACAACATGTAGCATTTGATTTTCTGGTCCTGTGTTAGTTTGCTTAGGATAATGGCCTCCAGCTCAATCCATGTTGCTGCAAAGGACATGATCTCAGTCTTTTTCATGGCTTCATAGTATGCCATGGTGTATATGTACCATATTTTCTTTATTCAGTCTACCATTTATGGGTATTTAGGTTGATTCTATGTCTTTGCTATTGTAGATAGTGCTGCAGTGAACATAGGGATGAATGTGTCTCTATGGTAGAACAGTTTATATTTTGGAGGGTATATACCCAATAATGGGATTGCTAGGTGAAATGGTAATCCTGTTTTAATTTCTTTGAGGAATTGCCATACAGCTTTCCACAGTGGCTTAACTAATTTACACTCCCACCAGCAGTGTATAAGTGTTCTCTTTGAGGCACAACCTCATCAGCATCTGTTATTTTTTTACTTTTTACTAACTGCCATTTTGATTGGTGTGAGATAGTAATTCATTGTGGTTTTGATTTGCATTTCTCTAATGATTAGTGATGTTGAGCATTTTTTATATGCTTATTGGCTGCATACATGTCTTCGTTTGAAAAGTGTCTATTTATGTTATTTGCCCAATGAAAAAGTGTATTTCTACTTTGCCTTACATTAAGCAAGAATTTGAGATAGAAAATATTTTGTATAATATTTAGAAAATAATAATTAATTTTCATAATCGAGGTGGGCAGGATAAAATACACACGAGGCAAACAGAAATTGGCTGATGTATTTTATTCCCCCAAAATATTCTATGTTACAAAATCAACTAAAAACGTATTTATAAAGCAAATGTTAGACCCAGGAATATATATGTAGCATAGGTTTAAGGCAAA
Source organism: Homo sapiens (assembly GCF_000001405.40). Classification (NCBI taxonomy): domain Eukaryota; kingdom Metazoa; phylum Chordata; class Mammalia; order Primates; family Hominidae; genus Homo; species Homo sapiens. The sequence continues at coordinate 114,149,331 of NC_000008.11, forward strand.
GATGATGTACCCAGTGCCAAGAACAGTGGCTTATGTCTTTAATCCAAGCATATTGGGAGGCCTAGGTGGGAGAATGGCTTCAACCCAGGAGTTCAAGACCAATGTGAGTGACACAGTAGGACCCTGTCTCTAAAAAAATAAATAAAAAAAAAATTAGCGAGGAATGGGGGCATGCACTTGTAGTCCCAGCTACGTGGAAGACTGAGGTGGGAAGATCATTTGAGCTCATCAGGTCGAGGCTGCAGTGAGCCATGATGGTGCCACTGAACTCCTGCCTGGGTGATAGACAGACACTGTCTCAAAAAAATAAAAATAAATTAAGGGTTTGTATCCAGAAAAAAGAACTAAAACCTGTAAGAAGAAGACAAACTATGAAATAGAGTAATAGACAAATGATATAATTAAAAATTCATAAAATTTTAAAAATGCTTAACCTTACTGCTAATCACATAAACTGAAAACATGAATATGGAATTTTACCCACCAATTAAGAACTACTAAAATGATTAATAACATCATATATTGGTGAGAATGTGAAATAAAATGCACATACACAATTTTGTAGAAGTATAAATTTGTTAAACCTTTTGGGAAAGCAGCATGTTATTAAATATTAACACTCCATTTATATACCATTTGACTCATAATTTCTATTTCTCAGAACCTGTTTTGCAGAAATACTCCAAGTGGGCACAAAAAAAAAATGCATGAAGCAGTTGGATATTGTTTCACTCTTTTAAAAATAAAATAAGAAATAAGCAGCCATCAATGGGGAAGCATCAAGCAAATTTTATATGATTATACTTATGCAGTGCTATGCAGCTTTTAATGTAAAATCAAACCAAATTTATTGACATGGAAAAATTGAAGATATGTTGTTAAATTTTTACATTTAATACAGGACAATACTATAGATAATATGGTGCTATCAATTTTCAAAAGCCGTATATGTTTATCTGTTTCTAATTTCATAGGAAAGAGGAATGTAAAGACATACGGTATGGTGTGTTATAGAGCATTAATCCTAATTTCCCAGTCACATGTTTTGTTTTTGTTTTTTCATTTCAAGGGTAGGTATTTTATGATTTAAGCAAAGGTGCCCATGTAATTTATGATCCAAATCTGGATATGTTTGAGAGTGTAATTAATAATTACGCATATTGAAAGGAACAAACCATATATCTCCTAGCAAACCTCCCACTGTCCCTGAAAATCCTGATATATAGTCTCTATATTCATTCCAGTTAGTGAATTCTCTTCCATCCCCACTGTTTTTGGTATGTGCAATTAATATGAAGATAGTCAATAAAAGAAACATCTTTTGCAGATACTACTACTGCTACCAAAACACCAGGGGTTTTCTCTGGGTCCTTCTACTCACTCCATAGAAAGCCAATCACTGAGACAATGAGTATTACCAAGGAAGAAGGCTCTAATTGTGTCCGGCAGCCCAAGGAGATGGGAGATCAAACTCAAATCCATCTCTGTGACCAATTAAAATAAGGAATTTATGTAGCCGGGAAGAAATGTAAAAATGTGTAAGAAAACAGGAACTAGGGAAGGGCAAGGAAGCAATCATGAGGAATGAAGGGTTCTAGGCATCTCATTGGATGTGATCTGATGAGTTTCAGTTTGTCGATATTTTCTATTTTCTTTTATTTTACTTTAAGTTCCGGGACACATGTGCAGAATGTGCAGGTTTGTTACATAGGTATATATATGCCATGGTGGTTTGCTGCCCCTATCAACCTGTCCTCCAAGTTCCCTCCCCTCGCCCCACACTCCCCTAAACAGGCCCTGGTGTGTGTTGTTTCCCTCCCTGTGTCCATGTGTTCTCATCACTCACCTCCCACTTATGAGTGTGAACATGTGGTGTTTGGATTTCTATTCCTGTGTTAGTTTGCTGAAGATGATGGCTTCCATTTTCTTTTCTTTTTTTTCTTTTTTTTTTTTTTTTTGAGATGGAATTTCGCTCTTGTTGCCCAGGCTGGAGTGCAAAAGCAAGATCTCGGCTCACTGCAACCTCCTCCTCCTCCTGGGTTCAAGCGATTCTCCTGCCTCAGCCTCCCAAGTAGCTGGGATTACAGGCATGCACCACCACACCCAGGTAATTTTATCTTTTTAGTAGAGACAAGGTTTCTCCATGTTGATCAGGCTGGTCTCAAACACCCGACCTCAGGTGATCCACCAGCCTCGGCCTCCCCACATGCTGGGATTACAGGCATAAGCCACCTCGCCCAGCCTAATGGCTTCCATTTTCATCCATATCCCTGCAAAAGACATAATCTCTTTCCTTTTTATGGCTGCATAGTATTCCATGGTGTATATATGTGCCACATTTTCTTTATCCAGTCCATCATTGATGGGCATTTTGGTTGTTTCTATGTCTTTGCTATTGTAAATAGTGCTGCAATAAACATATGTGTGCATGTGTATTTATAGTAGAATGAATTATATTTTTTGGATATATACCCAATAATGAGATTGCTGGGTCAAATGGTATTCCTGGTTATGAATCCTTGAGGAATCACCATACTGTCTTCCATAATGACTGAAATAATTTACATTCCTGCTAACAGTGTAAAAGCGTTCCTATTTCTTCACAGCCTCATCAGCATCTATTGTTTCTTGACTTTTTAATATTTGCCATTCTCACTAGCATGAGATGATATCTCATTGTGGTTTTGATTGGTATTTCTCTAATGATCATTGATGTTGAACCCAGCTGATACTTTTTTGAGAGGCCCGAATGTCATTTCCTGAGGAAGGAACTCAGATAAAACAAATGTAAGTTTCAAGCTTTATGACCAGATGGGTGAATTTCTATGTTTAATCATAAAAACTATCTATGGCACCATTGGATTGATGTGATGGTTAATATTGGGCATCAGCTTGATTACACTGAAGGATGCAAAGTATTGTTCCTGGGTGTGTCTGTGAGTTTGTGGCCAAAGGAGATTAACATTTGAGTCAGTGGACTGGGAGAGACAGACTCACCCTCAATCTGGGTGGACACCATCTAATCAGCTGCAAGCATAAAAGCAGGCATGGAAAGAGGACACTTGCTGCGTCTTCTGGCCTCCCTCTTTCTCCAGTGCTGGATGCTTCCTGCCCTTGAGCATCAGACTCCAAGTTCTTCAGGTTTTGGACTCTTCAGGTTTTGGACTTATATCATTGATTTACCAGGGGCTCTCAGGCCTTTGGTCACAGACTGAAGTCTGTACTGTTGGTTTCCTTAATTTTGAGGTTTTGGGACTGGGACTGGCTTCCTGGCTCCTCAGCTTTCAGACAGCATATTGTGGGACTCCACCATGTGATCATGTGAGTCAAACCCCTTCAAATATATTCATCTATTAGTCCATCCATTTAGAGAACCCTGACTAATACAGATTTTGGTGCCAGGAGTATTAGTCTGTTCTCATTGCAGCTAATAAAGACATACCCAAGGAAATATAAGACATACCCAAGGGAATATAAGAAAGACATACCAAATTTTATAAATTACTGGATAATTTATAAAGGATAGAGATTTAATTGACTCACATTCCACATGGCTGGAGAGGCCTCAAAATCAGGGAAGAGGCAAAGGAGGAGAAAAGGCGCATCTTACGTGGCATCAGGCAAGATAGCCTGTGCAGGGAAATTCCCCTCTATAAAACCATCAGGTCTTGTGAAACCTATTCACTATCATAAGAACAGCACAGGAAAGACCCAGTGCCATGATTCAATTACCTCCTTCCAGATTCCTCCCACAATACATGGAAATTATGGAAGCTACAACTCAAGATGAGATTTGGGTGGAGACACAGTCAAATAATATCATTCCGCCACCAGCCCCTCCAAAATCTCATGTCCTCACATTTCAAAACCAATCATGCCTTCCCAACAGTCCAACAAAAGTCTTAACTCATTTCCGCATTAACTCAAAAGCCCTCGGTCCAAAGTCTAATCTGAGACAAGACAAGTCTCTTCTGCCCCAAGCCTGTAAAATCAAAAGCAAGTTACTTACTTTCTAGATACAATAAGGATACAGGCATTGGGTAAATACACTTGTTCCAAATGGGATAAATTAGCCAAAACAAAGGGCCTATAGGCCCCATGCAAGTCCAAAATCCAGTGGGGCAGTCAAATCTTAAAGCTCCAGAATGACTTCATGTCTCACATCCAGGTCATGTTGATGCAAGAAGTGGGTTTCCATGGTCTTGGGTAGCTCTGCCCCTGTGGCTTGCAGGGTACAGTTCCCACTACCCTGGCTGCTTTCAAAGGCTAACATTGAATGTCTGTGGCTTTTCCAGGTGCATGATGCAAGCTGTTAGTGGATCTACCATTCCGGGGTCTGGAGGATGGTGGCCCTCTTCTTACAGCTCTGCTAGGCAGTGCCACAGTGAGGACTCTGTGTGGGGGCTTCCCACCCTACATTTCCCTTCTGCACTGCCCTAGCAGAGGTTCCTTATGAGTGTTCCACCCCTAACACACCACTGCCTGGACATCCAGGCGTTTCCATACATCCTCAGAAATCTAGGTGGAGGTTCTCAAAACTCAATTCTTTATTTCTGTGCACCCACAGGCCCAACATCATGTGTAAGCCACCAAGTCTTGGGGCTTGTACCCTCTGAAACAAGAGCCTGAGATGTACATTGGCCCCTTTTAGCCATGGCTGGGCTGCAGGGCACCAAGTCCTGAGGCTGCACAAACAGTAAGGCACCACTGGGCCAGACTCACTAAACCATTTTTCCCTCGTAGGCCTTCAGGCCTGTGATGGGAGGGTCTGCTGTGAAGATTTTCTGGCATGCCCTGGAGACATTTACCCCCATTGTCTTGGCAATTAACATTTTGCTCCCCATTACTTATACAAATTTCTGCAGCTAACTTAAATTTCTCCTCAGAAAACTGGTGTTTTTTTGTTTTTGTTTTTTTATTTTTTTTATTTTTTGCACATCATCAGGCTGCAAATTTTTCAAGTTTATGCTCTGCTTCCCCCTTGAATGCTTTTCTACTTAGAAATTTATTCCACCAGATACCCTAAGTCATCACTCTCAAAAAGTTACACAGACCTCTAGGCAAAATGCCACTAGTTTCTTAGCATAGCAAGAGTAATCTTTGCTCCAGTTCCCAACAAGTTCCTCATCTTCAACTGAGACCACCTTGGCCTAGACTCTATTGTCCATGTCACTATCAGCATTTTGGTCAAAGCCATTTAATCTCTATCCTGAGATTTTGCTGAAGCTGCTTATCAGCTAAAGGAGTTTTTGGGCTGAGATGATGGGTTTTCTAAATATACAGTCATGTCATCTGCAAACAGAGATAATTTGACTTCCTGTCTTCCTATTAAATGTCCTTTATTTTTTTCTCTTGCCTGAGTGCCCTGGCCAGAACTTCCAATACTATGTTGAATAGGAGTGGTGAGAGAAGGCATTCTTGTCTTGTGCTGGTTTTCAAAGGGAATGCTTTTAGCTTTTGTCCATTCAGTATGATATTGACTATAGATTTGTCATAAACAGCTCTTATTATTTTGAGATATGTTTCATCAATACCTAGTTTATTCAGTGTTTTTAGCATGAAGGAGTGTTAAATTGTTTTGAAGGCCTTTTCTGCATCTATCGAGATAATTATGTGGTTTTTGTCATTGGTTATGTTTATGTGATGGATTGTGTTTATTGATTTGTGTATGTTGAACCAGCCTTGCATCTCAGGGATGAAGCTGGCTTGATCGTGGTGGATAAGTTTTTGATGTGCTGCTGGATTCATTTGGCCAGTATTTTATTGAGGATTTTCACATCGATGTTCATCAGGGATATTGGCCTGAAATTTTCTTTTATTGATTGTTGTGTCTCTGCCAGCCTTTGGTATCAGGATGATGCTGGTTCCATAAAATGAATTAGGGTGGAGTCTCACTTTTTCTATTGTTTGGAATAGTTTCAGAAAGGATGGTACCAGCTCCTGTTTGTACCTCTGGTAGAATTTGGCTGTGACTCCATCTGGTCCTGGGCTTTTTTTTTTTTTTTTTTTTTTTGGGTTGGCAGGCTATTAATTACTGCTTTAATTTCAGAATTTGTTATCGGCCTATTCAGGGATTCAGCTCCTCCTGGTTTAGTCTTGGGAGGGTGTATGTTTTCAGGAATTTATCCATTTCTTCTAGATTTTCTAGTTTATTTGCGTAGAGTTGTTTATAGTATTCTCTGATGGTAGTTTGCATTTCTGTGGGATCAGTGGCAATATCCCCTTTATCATTTTTATTGTGTCGGTTTGATTCTTCTCTCTTTTCTTGTTTATTACTCTGGCTAGCCGTCTATCTATTTTGTTAATCTTTTCAAAAAAATAGCCCCTGGATTCATTGATTATTTGAAGAATTTCTTCATGTCTCTCCTTCAGTTCTGCTCTGACCTTAGTTATTTCTTGTCTTCTGCTAGCTTTTAAATTTGTTTGCTCTTGCTTCTCTAGTTCTTTTAATTGTGATGTTAGGGTGTCATTTTTAGATCTTTCCCACTTTCTGATGTGGGCATTTAGTGCTATAAATATCCCTACAGATGGTGGAGAGGATGTGAAGAAATAGGAAAACTTTTACACTGTTGGTGGGAGTGTAAATTAGTTCAACCATTGTGGAAGACAGTGTGGCGATTCCTCAAGGATCTAGAACCAAAAATACCATTTGACCCAGCAATCCCATTGCTGGGTACATACCTAAAGGATTATAAATCATTCTACTGTAAAGACACATGCACACATATGTTTATTGCAGCACTATTTACAATAGCAAAGACTTGGAATCAACCCAAATGCCCATCAATGATAGACTGGATAAAGAAAATGTGGTACATATATGCCATGGAATACTATGCAGCCATAAAAAAGTAAGTTCATGTCCTTTGCAGGGACATGGATGAAGCTGGAAGCCATCATCCTCAGCAAACTAACACAGGAACAGAAAAACAAACACCTCATGTTCTCCCTCATAAGTGAGAGTTCAACAATGAGAAAACATGGGCAGAGGGAGGGGAATATCACACACCAGGGCCTGTTGGGGGCTGGGGGCAAGGGGAGAGATAGCGTTAGGAGAAATACCTAATGCATGCAGGGCTTAAAACCTACATGATGGGTTAATGGGTGCAGCAAACCACCAAGGCACATGTATACCTATGTTACAAACCTGAACGTTCTGGATATGTATCCCAGAACTAAAAGTAAAATTTTTTTTTTTAAAAAAAGAAATTTCTAGGAAGTTCCAAACTTTTCCACATTTTCCTGTCTTTTTCTGAGCCCTCCAAACTGTTCCAACCTCTGCCTGTTACCCAGTTCCAAAGTTGCCTTCACATTTTCAGGTATCTTTACAGCTGTGTCCCACTACCCAGTATCAATTTACTGTATTAGTCTCTTCTCACACTGCTAATAAACATATATCTGAGGTTGGGTAATTTATAAAGGAAAGAGGTTTAATGGACTCACAGTTCCACATGGCTGGGGAGGGCTCTCAGTCATGGCAGAAGGCAAAGGAGGAGCAAATGCATGTCTTACATGGTGGCAAGCAAGACAGCTTGTGTAGGGGAACTCCCCTTTATAAAACCATCCGATCTTGTGAGGCTGAATCGCTATCATGAGAACAACACAGGAAAGACACACTCTCATGATACAATTACATCCCACCATCTCCCTCCCATGACACATGGGAATTATGGGAGCTACAATTCAAGACGAGATTTGGGTGGGGACACAACAAAATCATATCAGCTGGTTTCACTACATTAAAATAATGCATTAACAAACAAGCTTCCATTTTCTTCTCCCAATATCTAAAAGACTCTTTTATATAGGAAAGCTTTTTGTTGAAAGGTGGAGTCTACAATTTCAATGGTTACATTAAGAGTATTAGGAAGAAAATCTAGATCTGCTCATGGACCCTGTGCAGTCTTTCAATTTTGCTGATATTGTGAAAGATCATAGAGAGAAAGAAAAATTAAGTAGTAGTGACTTTTTTTAAAGCACCTAATGAAACCTCAGTGAAGTTCCAGAATATAATCTGGAATTTTCAGTTATATGAGCCAAAAAATTTTATCTTTTTTAGGTCAATTAGAGTTGGATATTCTGTCTTTTCTACTGGAGAGTAGTAAAGAATACAATTCAGGATTATCATTAACAAAGGTTAACTCTAACGAAGTGTCTGGAAGTAGCAATTACATGGAGCCAAGGATAAAAATTTCACATTTTGCTTCTGCTCCTTCTAACATTTTTACATTTTTTAGAGATGTGCAATTTATTACATATAAAAGAAAATTAAAACAATAACGGTTAGATTGAATTGAAGACTAAATTTTATATTTTGATGTTATCTTTTGGATATTTAAGGAAAAGTGTACACTATTATTCCTCACTGGAAAACCCTTCCTCTATTTTAAATATCCTTAATAGAATCTGCTTGTTTTCTTTCCATTGCTTATTGTTACTGAATTGTTTTAGGCTTTCTTATTATTTTAATAAATATTTGTGACATTTCCATTTCCTTTTGTAGCCAATTATGTCCAAGTTTAATGATGTTTAATTGATGTTAATGCTATCATTTTTCAAATTTGCCTTTTATATTGTAAAGTGTGATTCATTTCTCATTGGCGCAGTTCATCTTCAAATATTTTTTTAAAAGTTGTTCATCTATTCTCTTGAAGCATACTATATTTAAATATCTTCTATTTTCACCAAATAGGAAACTTGAACAAGTACAACTATTGTAGCCAATTTTTATTAGATCTTATGTTATTTATTGTTAAAGGAGTCAGATAATGGATAATCTTCTAAATATTTATTGTAGCTTAATCTATTTCTGATTCTGTATGTGTAAATTATATTTTATCTTTATAATTAAAATTTATTAAAAATTGCTTGCTATTGTTTACTATATCCTGGTAAATGGCTATTCAAATTACAGCCATTATGAATCCCCTGAGCATCATCTATGTTAAATACTTTGTCTAAATATCCTTAATGTATTTCATTCAGACTATAGTAAACCTTTAAATGTAAATACTCATACTTTAAGTTCAGACAATATTTCTGGTCATTGTTTGAACATAGTTAATGTCTCAATTTTTAAAATGTGCTTCTCTAAAGAAATTTAACATTGCCAGGCTAGATATCTAATCTGCCTTTTATATCTCCCATTATTAATCACATCTATTGTGACTCCTGTTCTTCTACTCTACATTTTAGAACATCTAATTACATTTGTTCTCTACTTCACCGATTGGATTTTCTACAAAACAAAATTCTCCTTTATTTTCTTTATTATGTATTTAATGTTTGTTTCTGTTACCTACGTTGCTTTTCAATATTTCCTTTTCACATTTATCTCTCATTTAATTTTATCCTGTTATTTTTAATTCACCTTCTCCCTTTTTTATTCTATTCTGCTACAGTTTTATAAAAACATTCCCATTAAAAATAATAAATTGTTCTTACTTAACTTTATTTAACTTAACTTTAGATGGGCATGTCTTCCACCACTATTGGTATAGTCTACTGTTTGAAAAATATTAGAAATTGCAATTCCTAGTTTCTTTATTATCAAAACTCTTTCCACAAATTTATGCTTGTTCTTTAGTTGTGGTAATTTTACCACCAATGTGAAATAATTTATTGTTAGTTGCCATCTCCACTTCTCTTCTAAACCTCAGATTAATTTTATACAAGTATTATCTAGCTGTTCCATTCTCTAACCTGTTACATTCAAAGAAGTTCTAATAGCAAAGAGGGTGCACATTGCTGTGGCTACATAAAAACGCAGCACCCATGCTGCAAAAAAAATCTGTAAGGTTGTTACCATAGGGCTATAGAAAATGAAGATGAAAAACTGGTTTTCTTAATCTACTTTTATGCCATACCACAAAGAACAAGAAGCTGTCAATCACTTCTCTCAGTGAAATTCCACTGTCCTTGGGTTAGGTAAATTTCTTCTCTGATGGATGCAAAGATCTAAGCCAAAGATTGTGTTATGTGTTTTTTCATTTTCCTCTGACTTCATAGATTCTGATGAAAGTTAGAGAGGCTGTGTCAGATGCTATTTTTAAAGCAAACTGTTAATTTTAACATTATTGAAAATGCTTGCTCTTTGAGAAAATATTTATGGGAAATATATGTTGTAAATCTATTTTTAAACTATGAGATTGTGATAGACACACCTTGCAAATGTCACAATTCTTTCTGGGGATGTAAAAATAAAGCGAGTTGTGGCCTTCGTATTTTGTGTAATTTGTATGTCTATTTTAAAGAAAAGCATTCTGAAATCATCTTTGCAAAAATTATGACAGTGAGAGAAATCTGACGTAGAAAAATTACGGCATTCAAAAAATCTGACATAGACGACTCTGTGTTGCTTCTAACCTTCAAGCTGACCTGGTTCATTTCTGGACATAGGCCAAGTGAACTATGGGAGGAATTTAGTTTATAGTTTAAGACAAAAGTGATAAGTGATAATTATGATTTAGGAGTCCATGTAGCCAGAAGTGGCAAGATTTGTAACCTTTCCAGTTGCTTCTATAGATAATATCACTATTATGAAACCTAAGATTGGTGTTTGAGGTATATTGCAGACTCCACACTTTTGATGGACTAGCTGGCACCATTTAGATTGGTACTTTTGATGGACTAGCTGGCACCATTTAGATTAGTAACCCATACTAAGAAACTGGCTCATAAAATCTTGTGACTCCCCCATGAAGGGACTGACTCAGTGGAAGAAGACAACTTTGGCCTCCTGTGATCTCATCCCCATTCCAACCAATCAGCATTCCCCATTCCCTAGACCCTGCCCATCAAACTATCCTTAAAAAACTCTAGCCTCTGAGTTTTCAGGGAGGCTGATTTGAGTAATAACTCTTGTCCTTCCGCTAGGCAAGCCCTGTGATTATTGAACTCTTTCTCTACTGAAATACTGCTGTCTCTGTGAATTGGTTTTATCTGTGCAGTAGGAAAGAAGAACCTATAAGGCAATTATAACTGTTTATAATATGAATATAAATCTAGCTTTGCAAATGACATCTATGAAAACAATGCTATATACCTGATGTTTACTTTGTATAATGGTAATTGACAGAGAAGGGATTCTGCACTTACAGAAGAGAAAGATCTGCACTGAAAGAATTTGAAAATAATTTGGATTTACTTAGTAGCAACTCCAAATGCATAATTTTGTTGTCCACTTTGTCTTGACTTTCAGGATTATGACGTCTGACATGGAAGATGATGCTCATCATGCTGCTGCTGTGAGGCAATATATAATTTTTTTTTTTTTTGAGACAGAGTCTCACACTGTTGCCCAGGCTGGACTGCAGTGGCGCGATCTCGGCTCACTGCAAGCTCCACCTCCTGGGTTCACGCCATTCTCCTGCCTCAGCCTCCCGAGTAGATGGGACTACAGGTGCCCGCCACCATGCCCGGCTATTTTTTTTTTTTTTTAGTACAGACGGGGTTTCACTGTGATAGCCAGGATGGTCTCGATCTCCTGACCTTGTGATCCGCCCGCATCAGCCTCCCAAAGTGCTGGGATTATAGGTGTGAGCCACCGCGCCCGGCCTATATGAATTTTTTTCAAGTGCTTAAAGTGAAGAGAGTTTAAATCAAAGCATCTCTTGTAATGATCTAAGGAACACAGCCAAGTGGAATAGGAATGTACATGTTTTGAAATATGAATGGCTAAATTGGATTAATTAACAGATGCAAGACCTTACATACTTAATATTTTTGTGGTGAGAACACTTACGATTTACTCTGTTAGCAATTTTCAGGAAACACATTTGTGCTTTCAATACCAGCAGGCTGAAGCTATTATTTGCACAAGCTGATTTATTTAAAGCTGTTTAAATAATAGAACCAAAAAAGTCTGTGCAGTTTACATCTTCCATCTTCCATCTATGAATATCACAGATTATCCATTTTTATCCATTGTAAGAATATTGACATTTCTCTCACAGTCTGACTTTTCCACTTTTAATGTAGGAAGGAGCCAGGCTTCTGAATCAAGCCAATACCTTAGCCTGAGCTTCTAACTCATTAATGGAGATCAAAAATATTTGACCACTAACCTAGGGAAGTACTAAAACAATCCTGCTTGCTTTTGGTTGAGAGAAGCAGTGAATATATCAATATGATAAAATACCTGTGAGGTACATTTTCTGGCACCTTGATGTATCACTTGCTTCTGAGTTGAGACTACTGGGTGGTTTTGTTGATTTGATGTGAAACTACCTTTTAAGGATAAGAAAATATACGGAGAAGCAGCCTATGGAATATAAGTATACAGAAATTTGTGAAGATGAAATTTATAAAAGTGATGAAGAAGTGTCTATTTAGAACTTTGTACCCTTTGACTGTTATCTTCCCTTTCTCCATTTTACCCCAACCAGCCTCTGGTAACCTTCATTCTACTCTCTACTTCTATCAGCTCCACATTTTTAGATTCTACATATAAGTGAAGAATATGGCAATTCTCTTTCTGTGCCTGGCTTATTGACATAGCATAATGTCCTCTAGACATAACATTTTCTTTGTTAAGGCTGAATAGCATTCTATTATTTATTTTTTATCTGTTGAAAAGGGGATTGCAGTCTTGATTTTTTTTTTATTCAGCTAGTTTGTTGTTCCTGCATAGAAATGCTACTGATTTTTTATATTTATGTTGTATCCTGCAATTTTTTGAATTTGTTTATCAGCTATAAGAGTTTTTGGTAGAGCTTTTAGGTTATTCTCTATATGACATCATGTAATCTGCAAGCAGGAACAATTTGACTTCCTCTTTTCCAGTTTGGATATCTTTTATTCTTCCTTTTCCTTATTTTTTTCTGGCTAGGAGGCCAATATCTCTGATACACACAGATGAGAAAATTCTCAACAAAACAATAGCAGACCAAATCCAACAAGATGTCAAAAAGATACTACACTATGATCAAATTGGATTTCCCAGAAATGGAAGGATGTTCCAGCATAAATAAATCACTAACCATCACATATCACATCAATAAAATGAAGGAAAAAATAATATAATTATCTTGATAAATGCAAAAAAAGTATTTGATAAAATTCAGTGCGGCTTTATGATAAAAGTTTTCATTAAATCAGGTATAGAAAGTAGGTACCTCAGACCAATAAAGTACATAAATGACAAATTGACAGCTAACAACATAGTGAAGGGAGAAAACTGAAACAAGACAAGGATGCCCACTCTCACTACTCTTGTAAGTTCCAGCTAAGAGAGTGGATTTTAGTGTTCTAATCACAATGAAATAAGTATGTGAGGTAACTGATATGTAAATGAGCCTGACATGATCATTCCACAATGTGTATTTGTATCAAAGCATCATATTTTAACCCATAAATATAGACAATTATTATTTGTCAATTAAAAATACTTTTTAGGGGGGAGGAACCAAGATGGCCAAATAGGAATAGCTCCTGTCTACAGCTCCCAGTGTGAGCGACGTAGCAGACGGGCGATTTCTGCAATTCCATCTGAGGTACCGGGTTCATCTCACTAGGGAGTGCCAGACAGTGGGCGCAGGTCAGTGGGTGCGTGCACCGTGCATGAGCCGAAGCAGGGCGAGGCCTTGCCTCACTCGGGAAGCACAAGGGGTCAGGGAGTTCCCTTTCCTAGTCAAAGAAAGGGGTGACAGACAGCACCTGGAAAATTGGGTCACTCCCACCCGAATACTGCGCTTTTCCGATGGGCTTAAAAAACGGCGCACCAGGAGATTATATCCCGCACATGGCTCGGAGGGTCCTATGCTCACGGAGTCTTGCTGATTGCTAGCACAGAAGTCTGAGATCAAACTGCAAGGTGGCAGCGAGGCTGGGGGAGGGGCGCCCGCCATTGCCCAGGCTTGCTTAGGTAAATAAAGCAGCCAGGAAGCTAGAACTGGGTGGAGCCCATCACAGCTCAAGGAGGCCTGCCTGCCTCTATAGGCTCCACCTCTGGGGGCAGGGCACAGACAAACAAAAAGACAGCAGTAGTAACCTCTGCAGACTTAAATGTCCCTGTCTGACAGCTTTGAAGAGAGCAGTGGTTCTCCCAGCATGCACCTGGAGATCTGAGAACAGGAAGACTGCCTCCTCAAGTGGGTCCCTGACCCCTGACCCCCGAGCAGCCTAACTAGGAGGCACCCCCCAGCAGGGGCAGACTGACACCTCACACAGCTGGGTACTCCAACAGACCTGCAGCTGAGGGTCCTGTCTGTTAGAAGGAAAATTAACAAACAGAAAGAACATCCACACCAAAAACCCATCTGTACGTCACCATCATCAAAGACCAAAAGTAGATAAAACCACAAAGATGGGGAAAAAACAGAACAGAAAAACTGGAAACTCTAAAAAGCAGAGCGCCTCTCCTCCTCCAAAGGAACACAGTTCCTCACTAGCAATGGAACAAAGCTGGACGGAGAATGACTTTGACAAGCTGAGAGAAGAAGGCTTCAGAAGATCAAATTACTCCGAGCTATGGGAGGAAATTCAAACCAAAGGCAAAGAAGTTGAAAACTTTGAAAAAAGTTTAGAAGAATGTGTAACTAGAATAACCAATACAGAGAAGTGCTTAAAGGAGCTGATGGAGCTGAAAACCAAGGCTTGAGAACTACGTGAAGAATGCAGAAGCCTCAGGAGCTGATGCAATCAACTGGAAGAAAGGGTATCAGTGATGGAAGATGAAGCGAATGAAATGAAGCGAGAAGGGAAGTTTAGAGAAAAAAGAATAAAAAGAAATGAGCAAAGCCTCCAAGAAATATGGGACTATGTGAAAAGACCAAATCTATGTCTGATTGGTGTACCTGAAAGTGACGGGGAGAATGGAAACAAGTTGGAAAACACTCTGGAGGATATCATCCAGGAGAACTTCCCCAATCTAGCAAGGCAGGCCAACATTCAGATTCAGGAAATACAGAGAACACCACAAAGATACTCCTCGAGAAGAGTAACTCCAAGACACATAATTGTCAGATTCACCAAAGTTGAAATGAAGGAAAAAATGTTAAGGGCAGCCAGAGAGAAAGGTCGGGTTACCCTCAAAAAGAAGCCCATCAGACTAACAGCGGATCTCTCGGCAGAAACTCTACAAGCCAGAAGAGAGTGGGGGCCAATATTCAACATTCTTAAAGACAAGAATTTTCAACCCAGAATTTCATATCCAGCCAAACTAAGCTTCATAAGTGAAGGAGAAATAAAATACTTTACAGACAAGCAAATGCTGAGAGATTTTGTCAACACCAGGCCTGCCCTAAAAGAGCTCCTGAAGGAAGCACTAAACATGGAAAGGAACAACCGATACCAGCCGCTGGAAAATCATGCCAAAATGTAAAGACCATCGAGACTAGGAAGAAACTGCATCAACTAACGAGCAAAATAACCAGCTAACATCATAACGACAGGATCAAATTCACACATAACAATATTAACTTTAAATGTAAATGGACTAAATGCTCCAATTAAAAGACACAGACTGGCAAATTGGATAAAGAGTCAAGACCCATCAGTGTGCTGTATTCAGGAAACCCATCTCACGTGCAGAGACACACATAGGCTCAAAATAAAAGGATGGAGGAAGATCTACCAAGCCAATGGAAAACAAAAAAAGGCAGGGGTTGCAATCCTAGTCTCTGATAAAACAGACTTTAAACCAACAAAGATCAAAAGAGACAAAGAAGGCCATTACATAATGGTAAAGGGATCAATTCAACAAGAAGAGCTAACTATCCTAAATATATATGCACCCAATACAGCAGCACCAAGATTCATAAAGCAAGTCCTGAGTGACCTACAAAGAGACTTAGACTCCCACACATTAATAATGGGAGACTTTAACACCCCACTGTCAACATTAGACAGATCAACAAGACAGAAAGTCAACAAGGATACCCAGGAATTGAACTCAGCTCTGCACCAAACGGACCTAATAGACATCTACAGAACTCTCCACCCCAAATCAACAGAATATACATTTTTTTCAGCATCACACCACACCTATTCCAAAATTGACCACATACTGGGAAGTAAAGCTCTCCTCAGCAAATGTAAAAGAACAGACATTATAACAAACTATCTCTCAGACCACAGTGCAATCAAACTAGAACTCAGGATTAAGAATCTCACTCAAAACCGCTCAACTACATGGAGACTGAACAACCTGCTCCTGAATGACTACTGGGTACATAACGAAATGAAGGCAGAAATAAAGATGTTCTTTGAAACCAATGAGAACAAAGACACAACATACCAGAATCTCTAGGGTGCACTCAAAGCAGTGTGTAGAGGGAAATTTATAGCACTAAATGCCCACAAGAGAAAGCAGGAAAGATCCAAAATTGACACCCTAACATCACAATTAAAAGAACTAGAAAAGCAAGAGCAAACACATTCAAAAGCTAGCAGAGCAGAAGGCAAGAAATAACTAAAATCAGAGCAGAACTGAAGGAAATAGAGACACAAAAAACCCTTCAAAAAATTAATGAATCCAGGAGCTGGTTTTTTGAAAGGATCCACAAAATTGATAGACCACTAGAAAGACTAACAAAGAAAAAAAGAGAGACGAATCAAATAGACACAATAAAAAATGATAAAGGGGATATCACCACCGATCCCACAGAAATATAAACTACCATCAGTGAATACTACAAACACCTCTAAGCAAATAAACTAGAAAATCTAGAAGAAATGGATAAATTCCTCGATACATACACTCTCCCAAGACTAAACCAGGAAGAAGTTGAATCTCTGAATAGACCAATAACAGGAGCTGAAATTGTGGCAATAATCAATAGCTGACCAACCAAAAAGAGTTCAGGACTAGATGGATTCACAGCCAAATTCTACCAGAGGTACAAGGAGGAACTGGTACTATTCCTTCTGAAACTATTCCGATCAATAGAAAAAGAGGGAATCCTCCCTAACTCATTTTATGAGACCAGCATCATCCTGATACCAAAGCCGGGCAGAGATACAACCAAAAAAGAGAATCTTAGACCAATATCCTTGATGAACACTGATGCAAAAATCCTCAATAAAATACTGTCAAACCGAATCCAGCAGCACATTAAAAAGCTTATCCACCATGATCAAGTGGGCTTCATCCCTGGAATGCAAGGCTGGTTCAATATACGCAAATCAATAAATGTAATCCAGCATATAAACAGAACCAAAGACAAAAACCACATGATTATCTCAATAGATGCAGAAAAAGCCTTTGACAATATTCAACAACCCTTCATGCTAAAAACTCTCAATAAATTAGGTATTGATGGGACGTATTTCAAAATAATAAGAGCTATCTATGACAAACCCACAGCCAATATCATACTGAATGGGCAAAAACTGGAAGAATTCCCTTTGAAAACTGACACAAGACAGGGATGCCCTCTCTCACCACTCCGATTCAACATATTGTTGGAAGTTCTGGCCAGGGCAATTAGGCAGGAGAAGGAAATAAAGGGTATTCAAGTAGGAAAAGAGGAAGTCAAATTGTCCCTGTTTGCAGACGACATGATTGTATATCTAGAAAACCCCATTGTCTCAGCCCAAAATCTCCTTAAGCTGATAAGCAACTTCAGCAAAGTCTCAGGACACAAAATCAATGTACAAAAATCACAAGCATTCTTATACAACAACAACAGACAAACAGAGAGCCAAATCATGAGTGAACTCCCATTCACAATTGCTTCAAAGAGAATAAAATACCTAGGAATCCAACTTACAAGGGATGTGAAGGACCTCTTCAAGGAGAACTACAAACCATTGCTCAAGGAAATAAAAGAAGATACAAACAAATGGAAGAACATTCCATGCTCATGGGTAGGAAGAATCAATATCATGAAAATGGCCATACTGCCCAAGGTAATTTACAGATTCAATGCCATCCCCATCAAGCTACCAATGACTTTCTTCACAGAATTGCAAAAAACTACTTTAAAGTTCATATGGAACCAAAAAAGAGCCCGCATCGCCAAGTCAATCCTAAGCCAAAAGAATAAAGCTGGAGGCATCACACTACCTGACTTCAAACTATTCTACAAGGCTACAGTAACCAAAACAGCATGGTACTGGTACCAAAACAGAGATATAGATCAATGGAACAGAACAGAGCCCTCAGAAATAATGCCGCATATCTACAACTATCTGATCTTTGACAAACCTGAGAAAAACAAGCAATGGGGAAAGGATCCCCTATTTAATAAATGGTGCTGGGAAAACTGGCTAGCCATATGTAGAAAGCTGAAACCGGATCCCTTCCTCACACCTTATACAAAAATCAATTCAAGATGGATTAAAGACTTAAACGTTAGACCTAAAACCATAAAACCCTTAGAAGAAAACCTAGGCATTACCATTCAGGACATAGGCATGGGCAAGGACTTCATGTCTAAAACACCAAAAGCTATGGCAACAAAAGCCAAAATTGACAAATGGGATCTAATTAAACTAAAGAGCTTCTGCACAGCAAAAGAAACTACCATCAGAGTGAACAGGCAACATACAAAATCGGAGAAAATTTTTGCAACCTACTCATTTGACAAAGGGCTAATATCCAGAATCTACAATGAACTCAAACAAATTTACAAGAAAAAAACAAACAACCCCATCAAAAAGTGGGCGAAGGACATGAACTGACACTCCTCAAAAGAAGACATTTATGCAGCCAAAAAACACATGAAAAAATGCTCACCATCACTGGCCATCAGAGAAATGCAAATCAAAACCACAGTGAGATACCATCTCACACTAGTTAGAATGGCAATCATTAAAAAGTCAGGAAACAACAGGTGCTGGAGAGGATGTGGAGAAATAGGAACAGTTTTACACTGTTGGTGGGACTGTAAACTAGTTCAACCATTGTGGAAGTCAGTGTGGCGATTCCTCAGGGATCTAGAACTAGAAATACCATTTGACCCAGCCATGCCATTACTGGGTATATACCCAAAGGACTATAAATCATGCTGCTATAAAGACACATGCACACGTATGTTTATTGCGGCATTATTCACAATAGCAAAGACTTGGAACCAACCCAAATGTCCAACAATGATAGACTGGATTAAGAAAATGTGGCACATATACACCATGGAATACTATGCAGCCATAAAAAAGGATGAGTTCACGTCCTTTGTAGGGACATGGATGAAATTGGAAATCATCATTCTCAGTAAACTATCGCAAGCACAAAAAACCAAACACCGCATATTCTCACTCATAGGTGGGAATTGAACAATGAGAACACATGGACACAGGAAGGGGAACATCACACTCTGGGGACTGTTGTGGGGTCGGGGGAGGGGGAAGGGATAGCACTGGGAGATATACCTAATGCTAGATGACGACTTAGTGGGTGCAGCACACCAGCATGGCACATGTATACATATGTACCTAACCTGCACATTGTGCACATGTACCCTAAAACTTAAAGTATAATAATAATAAATTTAAAAAAAAGAGTTTACCTATATAACCTGCACATGTAACCCTGAACCTAAAATAAAAGCTAAATAAAAAATTTTTTAAAAAAATACTTTTTAATGAAGAAGGAACTCTTAAAGAGAAAGGAACAATTGGAGACTCTGGTTATGAGAAGTTACGATGAATACAATAAAGAAAAAAATATGTATTTTGGATTATCACTTGAAAGTCATCGATAATCATGGAGTAGAACCTTTACTGAAATCAAGTTAAGAAATCAGGAACATATTACAGAGATTCAGAGACAGCTAATTATTCTGTTCTGAAATGAGAAATATGAGAATGTTTAAAGGCATTAAGTGATAACATTATAGAAGTGTACAAGCATATGGTTATAAAAGCCATCATTTTGAGCACAGTTTTGGCGATAAGAGTGATAAAGACAAATTTATTCAATAAAACTTTCTAAAGCATGGTAAGGAAGACTGTTCAGTACCATTACAATGGGTATGTGGACCATGGCAAAGAGATTTTGCAGTGGGAGAGTGAGATTGGGTTCAACTCCAAATACAGCGTGAGCAAGTGTGAGTTTATAGCCGAGGATCAGTGCAGGGCTCTGTGGATGGAAAATTACAAAGAAAAATCATCATGGGTAAGGGTGATTCTGGTTGAAACAACCTGACATGATTATTGATGAATACAAGCGAGGTGAACAGACTTCACCTGGGAAGGGGAAAGGATGATGAACCCGATCAAAAATAGAGGATGATAGGAAATCAAGGTTGGGGGAAAGGGTTCTTGCTCAACTGACTTAACAGTGTTGTATGATGAAACTGAATTTAATTAAGAAGTATATAGTTGGGCCTAGGAAAACGTTCAGAAGCCTGACTAAAGTTTGGTCAGCCAAAAATCTTTATATTTCCCCCTTCTTATTTGAGAACAAAAGAGACACTCTTCATTCCTATAAGTAATAGAAGTCCAATTTTCTTGTTTGGCTGCCTTTTGTTTCTTAAGGACTTGCTGAATCATATGTTAGGACTTAGTAGTAGAGGATATTTGATGGACGGTGCTAGCAGTCATGTGTTTAATGAAGGGAATTTTTATAAAATGCAAAAAACAAAAAACAAAGATTAATCATTAGAAATACAGTTTCTGAATCCACGGGGCTGCCAGTTGAGATTTCTAGATGTGGGGTTCAACGCATCTGTAGAAGGTAAAGTGAGAACGGCAGTAGCCCAGTGGCCATTTGTAAATTTTCTTGTGGGCAGTTTAAATGTCTCTGTGTCTCCAGCAATGACATTGAATCTTGCAGTGAATTTTCTGAGTAGCCCTTGCAACATCAGGCAACAATATTATCTATACATTATCTGTAGTTGTAATTTATCTGAAGCTTATATGACGTAATCCAGCATCAACCTGCTAGTCTTTGGGAAAAAAAGCAGTTTTAATTTTTAATAATTCCAAACCAGAAGGGTAGGATAAAAATGGAAACGTTAATTTGGAGAGCTGTAGCCAGATGTTTGAAGAAATTAGAGTGATTTAGGGTCAATTCTAGTTTTAAGATCATAACAAAACCTTAAATACAATGAGCAGGACTAGCATTTAATGCCTACAAAAGTGTGCCATAGATCTTCATTGAAACATTATTTTTCTTTCTACAATTACCCCTATTTCTTTCAAAGATAAAGTGAATCTAATTTGTTTGCCAAATGAGACCAGTCTTATTAAACTTGTCCTGGTTACTTATATAAGTGCAGCATGAATAGTGGTTGATCACATAGCCTTTTTAAGTTTGCTTTGATGGAACTTTTCATAAAGAATCTCAGATTAGACTTTTAAAAGCCTCCTGCGGCTAAGAAGCCAATGCAAGGACTTGCCATCAGATGTTGCAATACCTACAGATTTGGGCAAATTCCTCTTCTCTTGATGTCCTCAAAATATCCTGAAGTTCCTAGGCATTCCGAGAAGTGGCCTTTTTTACTTACCTCTAAAACAACATTTAAAGCCAGGTACAAATCCAGTTTTCCAAGGGAAGCTTTATAAGCCATGACATCTTAAAGTCAACCTTAGTGCCTTAAAGCTGTCTGATCATATCTGATTTTATATATTATTCTTACTAGTCTATGAAGTAATTTTAGCCCCAGGATATTGTTTTTTTTTTATTTTTAATAGCAATCAGTTAACAATTATTGCATCTTGACAGATGAGTTGGTCAGGAAAAGAACCAAAGAGAATCCTGGTGAAAACCACTGCCACCTTGGGGTGACTGTGAGCATACCCAGCCAGTACTGTAATCCCTGGGGAACAATCTAAGAGGCTTGACACTGTAAGGAGAAAATAGTCTTCACCAAAGTAAAGCAGCCAGTCATTAATCAACTAATCAAGAAAATAACAACCACAAGCCCAGAAAATGGGGGAAGGAGGGAGAAGGTCACTACAACATACTATATAAAATATCCAGCTTCAAATAAAAACATGAAATATGCAGAGAAACAGGAAATTATTGCCTATACATTGGAAAAAAGGAGGTGACATAAACTGCTTGTGAATGTGCCAGAAGTTGGATTTAACAGACTTTAAAACAGACATTATACAGAGAACTAAACAATACCATGATTAAATAATTAAAAGAAAGTATGAAGATAGTGTCATATCAAATAGATGATTCCAACAGGGTATGTAAATTATAAAAAAGAAATAAATAGATATTCTACAGTTGAAAGATACAATTATTACAGTTATTATTATAATAAACAGGCCAATCCATCAGAGATATAAAACAAGTCTATCTATCTATCTATCTATCTATCTCTCTATCATCTATCTCTCCATCTATCAGAGGCCCTAGATATATGAAGCAGAAACGGACAGAAATGAAGTGACAAATGGACAATATAATAATTATTAAAGTCTTCTAATAATGAAAACTTTAATACCCCACTTTCAATAACAGAATAATTAAGCAGAAGAACAGCAAAGAAATATTATAAATAACTTGAACAATATTATAAACCATCTAGACCTAACAGGTATCTATTATACACTCCACGCAAAAAGTGGAATATATATTCTTCTCAAATGTGTGTGGGACATTCTCCAGGACAGAATATAAACTTGGTAGTAAAAGAAGCCTCAACACATTTTAAATAATAGAAATAAAGTATTTTTCCTCATCACAACGGAATGAATTTACAAATCAATGACAAAAATGGAAGCTCAAATGTACATAAATTAAACAACACATTTTACATA
The DNA here is from genome assembly GCF_000001405.40 of Homo sapiens. Classification (NCBI taxonomy): domain Eukaryota; kingdom Metazoa; phylum Chordata; class Mammalia; order Primates; family Hominidae; genus Homo; species Homo sapiens. Next base: position 114,171,990 of record NC_000008.11, read on the forward strand.
ATCAATAGTAAAATAACAAATCAAAAGGAAAATTAGGAAAGACTGAGATAAATGAACATAAAAACACAATATACCAAATTTATAGGATACAGCTGAAGCAGTGCTTAGAGAAAAATTTATACACATAAATATCTATATTAACAAAGGCAAAAGATTGTTAATCAATAACCTAATATTTGGCCTTAAAACATAGGGTAAGGAAAAGTAAATGTAACCTAGAAAAAGCAGGAGAAATAAAATAATAGATACTAGAGTGGAAATTAAAAAGATAGAGAATAGAAAAATAATAGAATCAATGGAACTCAAAGGTTATTCTTTAAAAAGATTTTTAAAATTGGCAAACCTTTAGTTAGATTTTATAGCAAAAGATATAAATTCCAGCAGACATATACAGAAGAGTAAATACCAATTCTTCACACAGCTTCTCCAACAATAAAAGACAGGACTACTGCTAAACTTATCCTATGAGCCCTAGTATTACTTTGACACCAAAACCAGGCAAGTCATCATAAAGAAGGAAACCTACATATCAATATCTTTTACAAATATGAATATAACAACCCTCAAAATGCTAGAAATGTATAAAATAATATGTAAAAAAGAATTATATATTATGAGTAAGTGGGAAATACTACAGAAATGCAAGGTTAGTTTAACATCCAAAAATATATTAAGCTAGTACACTAGATCAATAGAATAAAAAACAAAAACAATATGGTCCTCTCAATAGATGCAGAAAAAGCCTTTCACAAAATTTAAGCACAGTTTATAATAAAAGCCCTTACCAAATAGGAATAGAAAGGGACTTCCTCAACTTGATAAAGGAAATCTACTAAAAACTCACACCTAATATATTTAACAGTGAGATATTGTATAATTTCCCTCTAAGTCAGAAAAAGACAACAGTATATGTTCTTGCTACTTTGTTTCAATAGTGTACTAGAGATGCTAGCCAGGGAAATTAGGCAGGAAAAGAAGTACATCTAGTTTGGAAAGGAAAAGTAAACTTATTTGTAATTTTAGATGACATGACCATATATATAGAAAATTCTGAGGTTTCACTAAAAACTTTTGTAACTAGTAAACAAATTCATCAAAGTTTCAGGGTACAAAATCAGTAATTAAAAACCAATTACAGGCTGGGCACGGTGGCTCACCCCTGTAATCCCAGCACTTTGGGAGGCCAAGTCAGGCAGATTAAGGTCAAGAGATCGAGACCATCCTGGCCAACATGGTGAAACCCCGTCTCTACTAAAAATACATAAATTAGCTGGGTGTGGTGACACACGCCTGTAGTCCCAGCTACTCAGGAGGCTGAGGCAGGAGAATCGCTTGAACCTAGGAGGTGGAGGTTACAGTGAGCTGAGATCATGCCACTGCACTCCAGCCTGGCAACAGGGCGAGACTTGGTCTCAAACAACAACAACAAAAATATTATATTTCTTTATCCTTGCAATGAACAATCACAAAATAAAATTAATAATTATATTTATAATAGCATCAAAAATAATATACTTAGGAATAAATACATTTTTAAACAAGTACAATACTTATTCTCTGAAAACTATGAAACATTCTTGAAAAAGTAAAAATCTCAATAAAGTATTTTTCCCCTTATCTGTGGTTTTGGTTTCCACGATTTCTGTTACTCGTGGTCAACTGGGTTCTGAACATCGGTGAGTGCAATACAGTGAGATCTTTTGAGAGAGAAAGACAGAGTAGCAGAGAGACCACATTCACTTTTATTACAGTATATAGTTATGAGTGTTCTATTTTACCATTAATTATTGTTAATTTTTTTACCATGTCTAATTAATAAATTAAACTTTATAATAGGTAGATAGAAAACATAGTATATATATGGGTTTGGTATCATCTCTCGTTTTAGGCATCCACTGAGAAAAGGGAGGGCTACTATAAATGAAAAAAAGTGTATTTTATTCATGGATTGGAAGACATTGTATTATAATGGTGGAAATACTCCCCAAATTCATCTATAGATTCAACACAAAGCTATCACAATTCCATGTAGTTTTTTTGCATGCTTGGACAAGCTGGTTTTAAATTAAACTGGAATTACAAGGGACACAGAATGGTCTAATATATCTGAAAAAGGAATAAGCTTGGAGCATTCAAATTTCCTGATTTCAAAACTCACTCCAATGCAACAGTAATCAAGAGAGGGTGGTATTATCACAAGGATAGATATATAGATCAATGAAATAGAATTAAGAATACAGAAGTAAATCTCTGTGCCTTTCGTCAACTGATCGTTGACAAGGGTACCAAGACCATTCAAAAGAGAAAGGATAACATTTCAACAATAGTGCTTGGGTAACTAGGTAGCCACATGCAAAAGAATGCAATTAGCCCATTACCTGGAACCATATATATAAAAAATTCATTGAAAATGGAAATGTAAGAGCTAAAACTATGAAATTCTTAGAAGATGATATAGGGGTAAATTTGCATGACTTTGGAGATGGCAATGGAGTCTTATATATGAGATGCCGAAAGCACATAAAACAATGACAATAAAAATAAATAGATAAATTTGACTTTATCAAAATTAAAAACATCTATTTTTCAAATGACACTATCCAGTGAAAAGACTACTCACAAAATGGGAGAAAATATTTGTAAATCATAAATCTGTTAATGGACTTGTATCTTTAATAATATTTTTAAAATTCTTACAACTCAATTATAAAAAGACAAATGTTCTTTCCAAGACAGCATTATCGGTGTCAGGCATTTCCACTTCATTTTGTATCTGTGGTATGTGGAACAGATTGTCTTCAAGATCATGATGATGGAGAATAAAGAAGTACAGGGTGGCACATGAGTTTTGTTGTTGTTGTTGTTTTGAGACGGAGTTTCACTCCTGTTGCCCAGGCTGGAGTGCAAAGGCAGGATCTCGGCTCATGGCTCACCGCAACCTCCACCACCCAGGTTCAAGCAATTCTTCTGCCTCAGATTCCCAAGTAGTTGGGATTACAGGCATGTGCCACCATGCCCAGTTAATTTTGTATTTTTAGTAGAGACAGGGCTTTTCCATGTTGGTCAGGCTGGTGTCAAACTCCTGACCTCAGGTGATCCGCCACCTTGGACTCCCAAAGTGCTGGGATTACAGGCGTGAGCCACCGCACCCGTACTCACATGAGTTGTTAAAGGTCATGCCTATACATGGCTTCATCACTTCCCCTAATATCCCATTCATCAGGAATTACTCACATGGCCTCAATAAACTTAAAAGGCAGCCTGGAGAATGTTGATGAGCACATATATATATATATATTTTTTTTCAACTTTTATTTATTTATTTATTTTTATTGCGCCTGCCTCCCCAACCCCTAAAACCAGGGCTGGGAAGGAGCTAATGCAATGACTTTTAAAAACCACCAGTTTAGTCTAATGTTTCCTGGATGAATCATCAATATTTAAAACAATTTGAAATAATGGATCAATTAATAGAAAACACAAAAATCCATGTTCATCAAGGTATGAAATGATATAAGACTCCTGGTAGGAATCCAGACAAGATTCCTGATTGGCAATGAAAAGCCTGTAATATTCTAAGGTGATTTAAGAATTGTTGCTACATCCCAGCAGGGAAAATATTTTAAAATCTTGAGTCCCCAATTTGAGAATCATGAATCCCCTACAACAACTAAATTCCCACAGAGAAGCTACTAGACAAAGCTATATTATTTTTGCTTATAAATTATAGTTATAATAAATCGAAGTCTCTAATTTTTCTATTCCAGGTTTCCTATTTTACTTTATCAGAAAGGGAAAGCAACGTTTACATACATCACTGGAATTCAGTGTTCTTTCTTCAGCAATTGGAAGCTGTGCCATATTTCATTAAGAAAGGCATAGCTATCTTATCAACTTAAATAAATCCAGAATCCTCTATGCCATTCTGTCTTAAAACATCAATTGGATTCAATGATATCACAAACTCTGTGATACACACAAAAAGACATTCAACCCATCCTGACTGCTCTAGTGATACAATTTTCCAAACATATGAGATACTTTCAATGAGCTACCATATTGCTGTTGCTAACAATCAACCAACAGAAAATTGAGCTATGACAATAGCAAATATTCCATACTTAAAATATCCTGTACACTCTACTAGGAAAATACATGTAGGTATGTCATATTTATATTCATGTAAAAGAAGTGTGTGTGGTAATTAATTTATTTCTTACAAGATTATAAGGAATGTACTATTTTAGATGAGAAAATTGAGGCATGTAAAGGTTAACCATATTATTCAGCTTCATATTATTAGCAAGTAATATAGTTTATTTTACTTTATCAGAAAGGGAAAGCAACTCAATCAGTGTAACTACAGAAATCTCCTTTAGCAAATTATAAAAGTTTACTGTAGCTGATAGAACTATAGCATCATTGTTAAGAGCTATTATTTGAAGGACAATATATAGCATAGAATTATTCTGGATTACAAATGGATGTAAGCACAAAACAGGTAAAGAAATCCACTTACATTCATCTTTAAGTTAATAAATGTGTAGGTGCATCTCTAACCGATTATTTCCTATATGACTAAAATGCAAAATGTCCAAACTAAGATAATTATTAATAATTTCACCTCTGAGCATGTCTTTCATGTTATATTCTTTTCTGTCTGTGAATAGCATCATCATCTAACCATATAACTGGCTGCCCAAGACAAAATCTTTAGTATCATCTCATCTCTACTTCATGAGAAACAGCCATCAGTCAAAGAGTCCTGCCACTAAAATTTCTCATGCGCAGCCCTTCTTTCTAAATCCATTGCCAATTTCAGATAATCTTTTTTTTAATCTGGGAAATTGCAAATCTCTTCGAGCCATTGTTCTTATACCTCTGTAATTCATCCTTCAACCTGCTTCCAAAATCTGCTTAAAATTCAATTATGTTTAGCTTATTCTACTGTCAGTAGACAGACCACATTAAATATAAAATATGCAAACTAAAATATAGTTAAGTCAGACTAACACAAATACAACATCTTAGTATTAATTTTTACCAACGTTTTTACCAACACAAGAATTCCAAGGATTTCCCAGAAATGTTCTTCCAGTATAGGAAGGAAAGAGATTAAAGTCTAGCTACTGAATCTTTTCCTTCTCAGCTTCCAACCTACCTTTCTAGCCTCACACTCTCCACAAATGTATACACTCCAGCCTATACTTTATAAATTCTTGCAACATTATATGTTCTTTTTTTTTTTATTATACTTTAAGTTTTAGGGTACATGTGCACATTGTGCAGGTTAGTTACATATGTATACATGTGCCATGCTGGTGCGCTGCACCCACTAACTTGTCATCTAGCATTAGGTATATCTCCCAATGCTATCCCTCCCCCCTCCCCCCACCCCACCACAGTCCCCAGAGTGTGATATTCCCCTTCCTGTGTCCATGTGATCTCATTGTTCAATTCCCACCTATGAGTGAGAATATGCGGTGTTTGGTTTTTTGTTCTTGCGATAGTTTACTGAGAATGATGATTTCCAATTTCATCCATGTCCCTACAAAGGACGTGAACTCATCCTTTTTTATGGCTGCATAGTATTCCATGGTGTATATGTGCCACATTTTCTTAATCCAGTCTATCATTGTTGGACATTTGGGTTGGTTCCAAGTCTTTGCTATTGTGAATAGTGCCGCAATAAACATACGTGTGCATGTGTCTTTATAGCAGCATGATTTATAGTCATTTGGGTATATACTCAGTAATGGGATGGCTGGGTCAAATGGTATTTCTAGTTCTAGACCCCTGAGGAATCACCACACTGACTTCCACAATGGTTGAACTAGTTTACAGTCCCACCAACAGTGTAAAAGTGTTCCTATTTCTCCACATCCTCCCCAGCACCTGTTGTTTCCTGACTTTTTAATGATTGCCATTCTAACTGGTGTGAGATGGTATCTCATAGTGGTTTTGATTTGCATTTCTCTGATGGCCAGTGATGATGAGCATTTTTTCATGTGTTTTTTGGCTGCATAAATGTCTTCTTTTGAGAAGTGTCTGTTCATGTCCTTCGCCCACTTTTTGATGGGGTTGTTTGTTTTTTCTTGTAAATTTGTTTGAGTTCATTGTAGATTCTGGATATTAGCCCTTTGTCAGATGAGTAGGTTGCAAAAATTTTCTCCCATTTTGTAGGTTGCCTGTTCACTCTGATGGTAGTTTCTTTTGCTGTGCAGAAGCTCTTTAGTTTAATTAGATCCCATTTGTCAATTTTGGCTTTTGTTGCCATTGCTTTTGGTGTTTTGGACATGAAGTCCTTGCCCATGCCTGTGTCCTGAATGGTAATGCCTAGGTTTTCTTCTACGGTTTTTATGGTTTTAGGTCTAACGTTTGAATCTTTAATCCATCTTGAATTGATTTTTGTATAAGGTGTAAGGAAGGGATCCAGTTTCAGCTTTCTACATATGGCTAGCCAGTTTTCCCAGCACCATTTATTAAATAGGGAATCCTTTCCCCATTGCTTGTTTTTCTCAGGTTTGTCAAAGATCAGATAGTTGTAGATATGCGGCATTATTTCTGAGGGCTCTGTTCTGTTCCATTGGTCTATATCTCTGTTTTGGTACCAGTAGCATGCTGTTTTGGTTACTGTAGCCTTGTAGTATAGTTTGAAGTCAGGTAGTGTGATGCCTCCAGCTTTGTTCTTTTGGCTTAGGATTGACTTGGCTATGCGGGCTCTTTTTTGGTTCCATATGAAGTTTAAAGTAGTTTTTTGCAATTCTGTGAAGAAAGTAATTGGTAGAAACTCTCAATAAATTAGGTATTGATGGGACGTATTTCAAAATAATAAGAGCTATCTATGACAAACCCACAGCCAATATCATACTGAATGGGCAAAAACTGGAAGCATTCCCTTTGAAAACTGGCACAAGACAGGGATGCCCTCTCTCACCACTCCTATTCAACATAGTGTTGGAAGTTCTGGCCAGGGCAATGAGGCAGGAGAAGGAAATAAAGGGTATTCAATTAGGAAAAGAGGAAGTCAAATTGTCCCTGTTTGCAGAGGACATGATTGTATATCTAGAAAACCCCATTGTCTCAGCCCAAAATCTCCTTAAGCTGATAGGCAACTTCAGCAAAGTCTCAGGATACAAAATCAATGTACAAAAATCACAAGCATTCTTATACACAAACAACAGACAAACAGAGAGCCAAATCATGAGTGAACTCCCATTCACAATTGCTTCAAAGAGAATAAAATACCTAGGAATCCAACTTACAAGGGATGTGAAGGTCCTCTTCAAGGAGAACTACAAACCACTGCTCAAGGAAATAAAAGAGGATACAAACAAATGGAAGAACATTCCATGCTCATGTGTAGGAAGAATCAATATCGTGAAAATGGCCATACTGCCCAAGGTAATTTACAGATTCAATGCCATCCCCATCAAGCTATATGTTCTTTTTTATGAGTTACAACCTGGATTTCTCTCAATTTGAAATAGTCTTTCCATTTACCTAATGTATTCCTAAGTTGAATGCCAAATTCATAGGTCATTTATTTTCTAAAGATGTCTCAATGCTCTTTCAAAATGAAGTATTCTCTCTCATTTTACCCTCGTCTTCATAATTTGCATGTGATATTGTCCTGTCCCACCCTCTAGATTGTAATTTCTTCATATACATGCACCATTCTATATCATTTTCTGTTTTCTAACTTTTATTTCGAGTTTCGGGGGTACCTGTGCAGGATTGTTGTATAGGCAAACTCATGCCACAAGGGTTTGTGGTACCGATTATTTCATCAGCCAGGTACTAAGCCTAGTACCCGATAGTAATTTTTTTCAATACTTTAAGCCAACCCACATATATGACACATAATAGAGCCTGTTTTTATAAATGAATGCATCCGTTAGAAATTTTAAGTAGCATCAATAGTTTCTATACGTCCTTACAGAGTCTGATAACTGTTTTTCCTTATTTGAGAGTAATTAGTTCACAAGGAAGTTTGGTTCTTCAGACGGTTAGACACACTTCATTCTAAATTAAAAACTGGATAAATAAACTAGCATTAGAAATTATACCATCCTTGAGGTCGCGGTTAGTGTGCAATTGCTCTTGATGTTCATTTCTTTGTCCTTGACTTATGGTGCTTTCTTTGAATTTTCTTAGAAAGTCAAGAAATATTATTTGGACAAACTAATGTATTTCCTATTTCCATGATTGGTGGGCTTTTAAAAAACGTCTCAGCTGAAATCAGTATGTATTAATGCTAACAATATATAATACAGTTTTCTCCATTCTGGGCCAGGTGCCAGCGCCTGCAGTTTTTTAAAGTTCTATAAAAGGTGCCTCACAGCTGAAGGCTTAACTACCATTTTTCTCTATAGTGTCATTATTAAAATTAATTGATATTGGCAGTGATGGCCTTTCAGTTCTTTGTGTAGGAAAAAATAAATTATTCTGTCACAAATGTCCAAAGTATTTCTCTGTGTCTTATATCATAGAAAAATGATATAATAATGTATTTCTTTATAACTACCAGAGAAATCTTAATTGAAGTGAAAATCAGTCATGAATCTTAACACATAAATGTAATATTCTTTCAAACAAAAGGTATATATGATAGATAGAAGTATGTTCCTACTACTTTGCACTGGTCAAATCTCTCTCTTCATCTACTCTATAATAATATCCAATGAGGGGCTCATATTAAAATGATCATCTCATTCACCAGACAGCTTAACACATTTTAAGTATTGTTTTCCTAATGATTACTATTGTTATTATTTTACATATTTTTATATCAGGTATATTTTATCAAAATTACATGTAGCTCAAAAAATCTATGAGTGCTAAGTCAGTAGATTTGTCATTTGACTTAATTTATGTAAGTATAACTTGTTTACATCTACTGCATTTTTCAAGGTATAATATCAACAAAATAATTCAGGGAACACACATCGTAAGTGTTGAATTTAGGCTGAATTTAGCTAAGGACAGAAAAAAGATACTAATCATGGAATTTAATTTAGAATTGATGAGCTTTATTGTTCTTGTGAGTTAAGAATTGTTTAGAATAGTTTTAACTCTTTTTTATATCTAATAATTTTCAAAGAAATTATAAGAAAAAAATCCTCCGGGCACGGTGGCACACGCCTGTAACCCCAGAACTTTGGGGGGCTGAGGTGGGCAGATCAAGAGATCAAGACTGTCTTGGGCAACATGGTGAAACCCCGTCTCTACTAAAAATGCAAAAATTAGCTGGTTGTGGTGGCATGCACCTATGTTCCAGCTACTTGGGAGGCTGAGGCAGGAGAATCGCTTGAACCTGGGAGGCAGAGGTTCCAATGAGCCGAGATAGGGCCACTGCACCCCAGCCTGGCGACAGAGCCAGACTTCATCTCAAAAAAAAAAAAAAATCATTTAAGATTAACAGATTTCTCAGATTGCAACAAAAGATTGTGGCAGGTACAGTAACATAAGTGCTATCTTAAGGGAAAAAAATGTTTTTTATTAATTTACAATTCAGATGGTCTTTGGAGAATTAACTGTATTATGATTTTTCTAGTAATGTGAAATCCTTAGATAAAATGTAAACCAGTAAGAATTCACTTATTAAATAAAACTACCTTTGCTGCTATTTTATGTTGATGGTAAATATTTTATAGCAATTCTTTTAATATACACATTCAACAATCATTAGACTGTGAAAATTTGATTTGTCTAAACTGTTATTCCATCCTATTCATTCATTCTTTCTTCTGCTATTGTCTTTATCACAGCAGTGGAAGTCATCCACACACAAATATAAACATCAAGTTCAATAACTATAATCCAAAGTCTCTAGAACATACAGCCTCCAAATAATCTTTTGTTCTGCCAAAATTTGAGTTGTACTCTTCACACAAAAATAAAATTTACCTTTCTTTTTTAGGTAGCCATTCCTTTTAAGCAGGAATCAGAGGCAATTAAATTTTGGATGTGGTACCAAAAAAGAAAAAAATCATGCCTGGTCCAACGAAAGTGTGTAAACGGAAAGAAGGGAAAGCTAGGTGAATTCACCATATGAGAAAAGAAAACATGCTCAGTCAAGACTAAACAAATAGAACAGAGATGCCCCACAGCAACAGAAAATTACAAGGCAAAGTGAGAAATAAAGCAACAAGTATGAGAGAGAGAGTTGGGAGAGTGATTTTAAGTTTCTTTATGCAGAGAGTACACTTACTGTTCATAGATGGAAAAAATGATACTAAATGAATTGTGGATAAATACAGGCACTTGTATCTTGGAGGTGCCTTGCTGAATATTTTGCTGAGTTTTTCTCAGTATTTACTTTCTTCTATTTTCCTAAGTTGTAGAAAAGAGTTTTATATATTTAGAGTTCTTGCCCGAGAAGAATGCATAATATGACTGAGAAGACAACTTTTTAATACAGAAACACAGAAATATGCAAGAGAGAAGATGATCAATTTCTAAATTATGTAGCTCTTACTGTAAATACAGTTTGAGTTTAGAGAAAAACGACTTATATACAAGAACTTAAGAGAGGCTGTGAAAGCTCCTGCAGTTTGAATGTTGGAAAAGAAAAAAAAAAAGAAACACTCACGGTGGGTGGAAGGAAAAATTGGAGTCTGGGCACAATGGCTCACTCCTGTAATCCCAGAACTTTGGGAGGCCGAGGCAGGCGGATCACCTGAGGTCAGGAGTTTGAGACCAGTCTGGCCAACATGGTGAAACCCAGTCTCTACTAAAAATACAAAATTAGCCAGGTGTGGTGGTAGGCGCCAGTAATCCTAGCTACTTGGGAGGCTGAAGCAGGAGAATCGCTTGAACCTGGGAGGCAAAGGTTGCAGTGAGCCGAGATCGTGTCATTGCACTCCAGCCTGGGCGACAAGAGCAAAACTCCGTCTCAAAAAAAAAAAAAAAAAAAAGAAAAGAAAAATTGCAGATGTGTTTTTGTTTTCCATGTTGAGTGTCTTACCACATTTCTTTGTATTAGTTTTCTATTGCTGCTACAACAAATTATGACATAATCAGCAGTTTAGAACAAGAGAAATTATATTACTGTTCACCTTGAAGTCTGAGTGAGCTCAGCTGTTTCATCTGCGTTATGTCTTTCAACGCCAAACTCAAGGCTTGCTGGGGTCTTTTCTTGAAGCTCTGAGAGAGAATTCCCCCCATGTTCTTCCAGGTCTTTGGGTAAATCCAGTTACTTTAGTTATAGGCTGAAATCCCTTTTGCTTACTGACTGTTGTCCAAGAGCTTTTTTCAGCTCCTAAATGTCTCTGGCATTCGTTGATTTGTGGACCCATTCATCTTCAAAACCATCAATGACTTCTTCTCACACCTTATCTCTCTTACCTCCCATCTGGCCCTAGCCTGAGTACACTCTACTTTTAATGAAGATGAATGCAAGTAATTCTATTAAACCAAACTAAATAATCCAGGATAATCTCTCTCTTTTAATCTGCATTAGCTTGATTACATCTACAAATCTCCCTTTGCCATGTAGCCTAACCTATTTACAAGCTACAAAGATTAGGGCATGGGATCTTTGGAGGACTTTCATTAGCATTTGAGAATGTGTTGATGAAAGTATCAGTAACTTCACCTATTTGCTTGAAAAGAGTTCTTATCTGCTAAAATGTATCAACCTACTGTGTACTGTTGCCAAGAAGTGCCAGAGAATGAACACCCCAGAAAATCAGCTCTCAAAAATAACTAAAGGACTTTGTGTGCAAAAAAATAAATAAATAAATAAAATAACCTCCATATATCTCAGGCTGGACACTTCTAACTACATGTGTTTCACGTCATTTCCCAGAGTTCCCCAGCAAGAACAAGATCCACTTGTCAACCAGACGTAACTTGTTTACAAGTGCACCCCTTTTTTGCTGTCTTCTTTTTTCTGTCACGTCCCTATTCTCTACCACTGTTTCTTGGGAGATAGTGTTTCCTGTTTTGTTGTTCAAAATATTATTTGGCATATGAAACAGTAACTGACAATGGAAGCACATTTTAATAATTTATAAAAATCTCTTCACACCCATTTCTATAGTTAATACTGTTAACAACTCTGAGTTGGGAATTTTCCATAGCCTATTTTTAAAGATGAATACATTGAAATTACAATCTTTACGTAACTGAGGAAAGTCACAGATCATAAATGATATGTGAGAATCCTAACTCAGAAATACATCAAACCCTGTGCATTTTCTTCTCTACTGTATACATTGAGGTAGGCATGGTAAATATTACCAATTTTACCGTATTTCATGTATAAAAAATTGGTCACAGAGGGCTTATCTAATTTGGCTAAGATTACAAGGCTAGAAAGGAACATAATCAAGACTAGAATTTGTGCATTATTACTCCTGGTCATGTTGTTTTCAATATATTGCAAGAAGATGTTTAAACAAGTTGAGGGCAGTTTGTTGAAGGTCTTGAGTATTATCCAAGATGATCTGGAAATAATTCTCTTAGCAGTTAATCTTCCTATTCCATGGGAGATTTTTGGAAAGTGCAATAATGAAAATGTGATTTTATATCAAAACTTATTTTTATTGATTTTTGCCAAAATAATGTTTTAAGAAAATTAATCTGCCAAAGGTATGCAAGATGATTTGGAGGAGTATGAGACTGAGGGCAGAAAAGCTAAAGCTAAAGGAGAGGTTACTTTAATAATCCAGGCAACAAGTGATAAGGAACTGAAATAGAGTAGTGGCAAGGAGACTAGAAATGGATAAATATCAAGGTCAGTTATGGAAGCATTGATAGAAAGAAGAGACTGATTTCATGAAAGACATATTGTGTTATCATGACAGTACATGTCAATCTTTCCTTTTTAAAATATGGAAAACTACTGTTTGCCTATAATGATATGTGTCTGTGTGTGTGTGTGTGTGTATGTGCATTTCTAATCTATGATACAATGTGAAAATAAAGTCTTACTCAAAGCTTTTGAGTAATGTAAATCATCCAATACCCTATTACTCAATGATCCTCTATCCATGTATATAATATTCAGGCCTAGGGATTATTTGCCAAAAGGAATAGAATTATATGAAAGTATTTTTCAAAACTATGTGTTTGGCTATTAACACTATTAAAATACTTATGAGGGCTAGTTACATATCAGGACTATGAAGAGAAAATCTCACATCATATGATATTATGTAATTTCCTAGCAAGGTCAGAAGACACACACAGTGCCAGATTCTTGAGTCTGAATTAAGAAAGCAAAATTAATATCTTTTATTTTGTGTATAACAGGCATTTTTGTATATAGTAGACAATTTTACATGCAGTTACAGAATAAGTATAACTCACTATAGTTTACATAAACATTACCCTAATATTCACATAATCAAAGAAAGGAAAGAATCTGCTAGATTAACCTGAACAATATTACCATACCTCTTCTGGATACTTATAATAGGATTCCACAGGATATCCAAACTTCCATTTTACTTGTATCTCTTTCTCTTTTTCATAGTCCATTCTCAATTAATAGCAGATGAACAGAACTTAAAAGTAAAATAATCTTAAATAACACCACATAATGTCTTCACTTAAAACATTCTTCAGGTCTCCCTTTATAATTAAAATGAGATCCAAATTCTTCATCATGGTGAAGAAATTCCATTCATGCTGTGATGTGTGCCCACATATCTGACTTCATCTACCACTCTCCCTTTTATAAAGTTTTAGCTTCATTGGCTTTTTGTTGTTGCTGTTACTTTGACACATTTTATGTTACTTTTAATTACTAAATTGTATTGCATTTATGGAGTACAGTGTAATGTAAACATTCTTCTCAAGAAATTTCAGAGGGCTGCTGCTTCTCATAATTCAGATCCAAAATCCAGTATTACCTCCTCAGCAAGGCTATGCCTGACATGCAGTGTAGAATAGACCTTGCCATCGTCCTTATATCTATGAAAGTTAATTTTATTTTGTTGATTGTTATTGTTAGCTTCTCCCTACTAGCGTGTGAACTTTACCACATACAGTGATCATGATACTGCCAAACACTTAGTAAGCACTCACTAAACAACTGTCAAATTAGGTGATTGAATAATAGCAGGCACTAAACAATAAATGATGATATAATTTTAACTTAAGTCTTAAATAGATTTTAGGTAGATATTTCAATATCTGAATAACAAGTATAAATTGTGTCTAATTTGCATGTGATCATTGATAGAAGCTGATATTCTGAAAACTACAGACTAGTTTCTTCAATATCAATACTGTATTTTAACTATAATCATTATACTATAAACCTTGTCTAATATTATGTGAGAAAAGGAAGAAGGAAGAGTGAGAAGGGAGAAAAGAGAAAGAGGCAGAGGGAGAGGAAAAGGAAGAGGAAGAGAAAGGGAGAGAGAATAGGATCGACAGCTATAAAACGAAAACTAACCTAGCATTCTTGCTTTGAAATAAAACAGCCATCGATTTGTGGACATCAGTAATCAGTACAGTTTAATCCATTTCAGCACAAATTTATTCTGTTAAGCACTGTTAAGATTAGTTCAAACTATTAAAAAGAGAAATGTGAAATAAACAACAAAGTGGCTCTTGTTTTATTAGAACTGAGTGACTGAAATTAATTGTGATAACAGTCACTTAGGTTATAGTGGCACATGAGAAGTACTGTGAAAATGTCAGTTCAATTGTCTACCTAGTTAGCAGCATGACTTGCCAGGTTGTCTAGATCGGGTTTTGGACATAACACGATACAGCTAATTTGCCTATAGGATCTACTTGTGTTATTTACATTGTCACTTAACAACATTCATCTGCAGATCTACACACACTGGAAGACACACACCACAGATAGCCTTGTGAATTTCCTATACATTGTTGGAGATGCTCTGATATGTGTATTAATAGTATATGTGAAATTACATTTAGGATGCCAAAGAAAAGTTAGGCTAATTAGCAGTAGCACACACTACATGATGGATTTAACAATACCTTATCTGGTGGGTTAATATTATTGATTTTTTAAAGATATAAGTACTTACTAGCTGAGTTACAATACAGTTATACCAAGATAAAAACTTATATTGTTTATGTTGACTTTGTTCTGCATTTACTCATCAAAGAATATATTTTTGAGGAATAAATATTAAAACAGTACACTGTTCATATTTGTATTTATGTGTCATTTTTCTGAAAATTGTTTCTTGGATTTACTGTTTTTGGCTTATGTTTCTATTCTTTTTTGTTTTAGTATCATTTGAGAAAAATGTTTTTTAAAAATATATAGTCTTTAAAAGCATTTATAAATTTCAAATTCTATTATTTTTAAGAGATATCTTGCTTTTGAAACTTTTGATATGCATGTCAAGGAGGTGGACTCCAAATTCATTTATAAATTAATTCACTAATATACTAAAAGCAAATATATTTTAGGACACTTGCCTGTACAATGCGTTGTGTAAGGCACCCAGTGATAATGGTGAAAGGATAGATTTACATTATCAAGTTGCTTTTACTCTACTAGGTAGGTCCAAAAAACATGAGCACTCAATACAGCAAATCATAAAATGTGTGAGCATGATATACTGTGGATACAAAACAAACATTATTAGATTTTCTGGTTTGCATTTAAAAAAGGTTTTTTGTCAGGGATGACTTCCCGGAAGTTCTCACGTTAAACTGAGAAGTAAAGTAACAGAGGAAAGAGTATGTGACAAGAACTGAAAGGCAAGGGATAGCAGAGCAGTATTAAAGAAACTAAAATAAAATGAAAATTCAGAATGACTATGGAATAAATGTTCAGTGTTGGACAGAAAAAGGTAAAAAGACAGCTAAATAGGATTTTGTCAGCTCTGTTAAGATGTCTAGATTTTATCTCAAGTTCAATGGCAAAGTCATTGAAAAGTTTATACAATAGGTTATACAAATGACATTTCATGTAAATTCTATTTGTAGAAGAATCACGGTCAGTAGGGAAACTTGGAAGCACAGAGACCTTTAGAAAGTTTCTGCAGGTATCTAGTTGAGCGATAATGGCAGTGTCAAGGTAGAGATGTTAGAAGTCGAAAACAATAATAATCTCTTCCCACAAAATAATAAACCACAAATATTGTCTACAATCCGAGAATAGGGATAAGTTCCAAATGATATAAAATTCAGGCTATTTTATTCTTTTTCTAGACTCAACGATATTAAAATATTAAAAATAAGGCATATAAAAATATGAGCTATTTTAATGATCTATTCTAAGATATGGCAGTATATATACCATGTTGAAAATACGAAGTTTTCTGACTGGTGTTTTTCAAACTATAGACCTTGAACTGTAACAGCATCATCTGAGAAACTTATGAAAATAGAAATTCTTCGGTCTCAGTCCAGTCCTACTGAATCAGGACACTCTGATATTGGGGGCTAGTGATCTGCTTTTAACAAACACTTCAGGTGATTTTTGTGCATGAAAAGTTTGAAACCACCGTATTGTAAAATTTGCATTGTGTTTTGTTTGTTTATTTCATTTTAAAAATACTCATTTGCTATTTCATATACATTTTTAAGCAGCCTATCAAAATCTCCATTTGCAAAGTGAGAGATGTTCAGAAAAATATTAAAAGACACAAGGACATTACACAAACAATCTGAGGCACAAATTACCAGGGTCACAAGGACTTGATAAAAGAGTGCTATGCACATAATTGTCAGATTCACCAAGATTGAAATGAAGGAAAAAATGTTAAGGGCCGTCAGAGAGAAAGGTCGGGCTACCTATAAAGGGAAGCCCCTCAGACTAACAGTGAATCTCTCAGCAGAAACTCTACAAGCCAGAAGAGAGTGGGGGCCAATATTCAACATTCTTAAAGAAAAGAATTTTCAACCCAGAATTTCATATCCAGCCAAACTAAGCTTCATAAGTGAAGGAGAAATAAAATCCTTTACAGACAAGCAAATGCTGAGAGATTTTGTCACCACCAAGCCTGCCTTACAAGAGCTCCTGAAGGAAGCACTAAACATGGAAAGGAACAACCGGTACCAGCCACTGCAAAAACATGCCAAATTGTAAAGACCATCGAGACTAGGAAGAAACTGCATTAACTAACGGGCAAAACAACCAGCTAACATCATAATGACAGGATCAAATTCACACAAAACAATATTAACTTTAAATGTAAATGGGCTAAATACCCCAATTAAAAGACCCAGATTGGCTAATTGAGTAGAGTCAAGAACCATTAGTGTGCTATATTCAGGACACCCATCTCTTGCAAAGACACACATAGGCTCAAAATAAAGAGATGGAGGAAGATCTACCAAACAAATGGAAAACAAAAAATGCAGGTGTTGCAATCCTAATCTCTGATAAAACAGACTTTAAACCAACAAAGATTAAAAGAGACAAAGAAACCCATTACATAATGGTAAAAGAATCAATTCAACAAGAAGAGCCAACTATCCTAAATACATATGCACCCAATACAGAAGCATCAAGATTCATAAAGCAAGTCCTTAGAGGCCTACAAAGGGACTTAGACTCCCACACAATAATAATGGGAGACTTTAACACCCCACTGTCAGTATTAGACAGATCAACAAGACGGAAGGTTAACAAGGATATCCAGGACTTGAACTCAGCTCTGCACCAAGTGGACCTAATAGACATCTACAGAAATCTCCACCACAAATCAACAGAATATACATTCTTCTCAGCATCACATCACACTTATTCCAAAATTGACCACATAGTTGGAAGTAAAGCACTCCTCAGCAAATGTAAAAGAACAGAAATCACAACAAACTGTCTCTCAGACCACAGTGCAATCAAATTAGAACTCAGGACTAAGAAACGCACTCAAAACCATACAACTACATGGAAACTGAACAACCTGCTCCTGAATGACTACTGCGTAAATAATGAAATGAAGGCAAAAATAAAGATGTTCTTTGAAACCAGTGAGAACAAAGACACAACATACCAGAATCTCTGAGACACATTTAAAGCAGTGTGTAGAGGGAAATTTATAGCATTAAATGCCCACAAGAGAAAGCAGGAAAAATCTAAAATCAACACCCTAACATCACAATTAAAAGAACTAGAGAAGCAAGAGCAAACACATTCAAAAGCTAGCAGAAGGCAAGAAATAACTAAGATCAGAGCAGAACTGAAGGAGATAGAGGCAAAAAAACCCTTCAATGAATCCAGGAGCTGGTTTTTTGAAAAGATCAACAAAATTGATAGACCGCTAGCAAGACTAATAAAGAAGAAAAGAGAGAAGAAACAAATAGACCCCATAAAAAATGATAAAGGGGATATCACCACCGATCCCACAGAAATATAAACTACCATCAGAGAATAATATAAACACCTCTATGCAAATAAACTAGAAAATCTAGAAGAAATGGATACATTCCTGGACACATACACCCTCCCAAGACTAAACCAGGAGGCAGTTGAATCCCTGAATAGACCAATAACAGGCTCTGAAATTGAAGCAATAATTAATAGTCTACCAACGGAAAAAAAGTCCAGGACCAGATGGATTCACAGCCAAATTCTACCAGAGGTACAAAGAGGAGCTAATACCATTCCTTCTGAAGTTATTCCAATCAACAGAAAAAGAGGGAATCCTCCCTAACTCATTTTATGAGGCCAGCATCATCCTGATACCAAAGCCTGACAAAGACACAACAAAAAAAGAGAATTTTAGACCAATAAACCTGATGAATATCAATGCAAAAATCCTCAATAAAAGACTGGCAAACTGAATCCAGCAGCACATCAAAAAGCTTATCCACCAAGATCAAGTTGACTCCATCCTTGGGATGCAAGGCTGTTTCAACATACACAAATCAATAAACGTAACCCATCACATAAACAGAACCAAAGATAAAAACCACATGATTATCTCAATAGATGCAGAAAAGACCTTTGACAAAATTAAACAGCCTTCAAGCTAAAAACTCTCAATAAACTAGGTATTGATGGGACGTATCTCAAAATAGTAAGAGCTATTTATGACAAACCCACAGCCAATATCATTCTGAATGGGCAAAAACTGGAAGCATTCCCTTTGAAAACTGACACAAGACAGGGATGCCCTCTCTCACCACTCCTATTCAACATAGGGTTGGAAGTTCTGGCCAGGACAATCAGGCAGGAGAAGGAAATAAAGGGTATTCAATTAGGAAAAGAGGAAGTCAAATTGTCCCTGTTTGCAGGTGACATGATTGTATATCTAGAAAACCCCATTGTCTCAGCCCAAAATCTCCTTAAGCTGATAGGCAACTTCAGCAAAGTCTCAGGATACAAAATCCATGTGCAAAAATCACAAGCATTCTTATATACCAACAACAGACAAACAGAGAGCCAAATCATGAGTGAACTCCCATTCACAATTGCTTCAAAGAGAATAAAATACCTAGGAATCCAACTTACAAGAGATGGGAAGGACCTCTTCAAGGAGAACTACAAACCACTGCTCAAAGAAATAAAAGAAGACACAAACAAATGGAAGAACTTTCCATGCTCATGGGTAGGAAGAATAAGAATCAATATCGTGAAAATGGCCATACTGCCCAAGGTAATTTACAGATTCAATGCCATCCCCATCAAGCTACCAATGACTTTCTTCACAGAATTGCAAAAAACTACTTTAAAGTTCATATGGAAGCAAAAAAGAGCCCACATTGCCAAGACAATCCTAAGCCAAAAGAACAAACCTGGAGGCATCACACTACCTGACTTCAAACTATACTACAAGTCTACAGTAACCAAAACAGCATGGTACTGGTACCAAAACAGAGATATAGACCAATGGAACAGAGCAGAGGCCTCAGGAATAACTTCACACATCTACAACCATCTGATCTTCGACAAACCTGACAAAAATGAGAAATGGGGAAAAGATTCCCTATTTAATACATTGTGCTGGGAAAATTGGCTAGCCATATGTAGAAAGCTGAAACTGGATCCCTTCCTTACACCTCATACAAAAATTAATTCAAGATAGATTAAAGACTTAAATGTTAGACCTAAAAACCATAAAAACCCTAGAAGAAAACCTAGGCAATACCATTCAGGACATAGGCATGGGCAAGGACTTCATGACTAAAACACCAAAAGCAATGGCAACAAAAGCCAAAATTGACAAATGGGATCTAATTAAACTAAAGAGCTTCTGCACAGCAAAAGAAACTACCATCAGAATGATCAGGCAACCTACAGAATGGGAGAAAATTTTTGCAACCTACCCATCTGACAAAGGGCTAATATCTAGAATCTACAAAGAACTTAAACAAATTTACAAGACAGAATCAAACAACCCCATCAAAAAGTGGGCAAAGGATATGAACAGACACTTCTTAAAAGAAAACATTTATGCAGCCCCCAGACACATGAATAAATGCTCATCATCACTGGTCATCAGAGAAACATGAATCAAAACCACAAAGAGATACCATCTCACACCAGTTAGAATGGCGATCATTAAAAAGTCAGGAAACGACAGATGCTGGAGAGGGTGTGGAGAAATAAGAATGCATTTACGCTGTTGGTAGGATTGAAAACTAATTCAACCATTATGGAAGTCAGTGTGGCAATTCCTCAAGGATCTAGAACTAGAAATACCATTTGACCCAGCCATCCCATTACTGGGTATATACCCAATTATAAATCATTCTACTATAAAGACACATGCACACATATGTTTACTGTGGCACTATTCACAATAGCAAAGACTTGGAACCAACCCAAATATCCATTAATGATAGACTGGATTGAGAAAATGTGGCGCATATACACCATGGAATACTAAGCAGCCATAAAAAAGGATGAGTTTATGTCCTTTGTAGGGACATGGATGAAGCTGGAAACCATCATTCTGAGCAAACTATTGCAAAGAGAGAAAACCAAACACCACATGTTCTCACTCATAGGTGGGAATTGAACAATTGGACACAGAGTGGGGAACATCACACACCGGGCCTGTCGTGGGATGGGGGGATGGGGGAGGGATAGCATTAGGAGAGATACCTAATGTAAATGACGAGTTAATGGGTGTAGCAAACCAACATGGCCCATGTACACATATGTAACAAACCTGTACGTTGTGCACATGTACCCTAGAACTTAAAGTATAATTTTTTAAAAAAAGGAAAAAAAATAGTGCTATGCAAATTAAGAAAAACACGCCATTTACAAAAATTAACTCAGGATGGGTTAAAGACTTAAATGTAAAATACCATTCACGACATAGGCACAGGCAAAGATTTTATGCAAAGATGTCAAAAGTGTTGGCAAAAAAACAAAAATTGAAAATTGAAACTAAGTTAAACTAAAGAGGGATTGAATTAAACTAAAGAGCTTTTTCACAGCAAAAGAAACTATCAACAATCAACAGAATAAACAGACAACCCACAGAATGGGAGAAAATATTTGCAAAGTGTGCATCTGATAAAGGTCCAATATCCAGCATCTAAAAGGAACATAAACAAATTTACAAGAAAAAAAAAACAACTCCATTAAAAAGTGGGCAAAGAACATGAACAGGCACTTTTCAAAAGAAGAAATACATGCGGCCAACCATCATATGAAAAAAAGCCCAACATCACTGATTATTAAAAAAATGCAAATCAAAATCACAATGAGATACCATTTCACACCAGTCAGAATGGCTATTAGTAAAAAGTCAGAAAATAACAAATGCTGGCAAGGTTGTGGAGAAAAAAAACACTTATCACTGTTGGTGGGACTGTAAATTAGTTCAATCATTGTGGAAGACAATGTGACGATTCCTCAAAGACCTAAAAACAGACATACCATTTGACCCAGCAATCTCATTACTGAATATATACCCAAAGGAATATAAATCATTTTGTTTATGGACACATGCATGTGTGTGTTCCTTGCAGCACTATTCACAATAGTAAACAAATAGAATCAACCTAAATGCCCATCAATGATAGACTGGATTAAGAAAATGTGATACAAATACACCATGGCATACTATGCAGCCATAAAAAAAGTTAGATTATGTCCTTTGGAGGGTCAAGAATGGAACTGGAGGTCATCTTTAGGAAACTAATGCAGAAACAGAAACCAAACACATGTTCTCACTTATAAGTGGGAGCTAAATGATGAGAACACATGGACACAACACATAGAGGGGAGTGCACACTGGGACTTACATGAGGTGGAAGCTGAAAGGAGGGAGAGGATCAGGAAAAATAACTAATGGATACTAGGCTTAATACCTAGTGGGTGATGGGTGATGAAACAATCTGTACAGCAAACCCGCATAACACAAGTTTACCTATGTAACAAACCTGCACGTATACTCCTGAACTTAAACATTAAAAAAAAAAAGTTTCCTCACTACCACCCTCCAAGGTGGTTGCCATCTCTCTAGTCTGGCTTCAGAATAAAGCAAAGCCTGAAGCAAAAAGAAAAAAAAAATCTGATAATAAAAGGTAATAATTTAACTATGGCAACTTTATTTTGTAAGTTCACATTGAATTAGTTTTAAAGGGCAATATCCTCAAACAATCCATTCATATTTCTATCAGATTCCTAGGGCTGCCATAACAAAGTAACACAAACTAGGTATTTTAAAACATGAGAAATTTATTATCTCACAGTCGTTGAGACTAGAATTCTGAAATCAAGGTGCTAGCTGAATTTTCTCTTTTCAGAGGTTCTGAAAGAGAAATTGTATCATGCTTCTGGCAGTTGTAAGCCATCCCTTATGCCTTGTAACTTAAATAATATGATATAAAGTTAACTATGGTTATGTACTGCAGATGATGAAAAGATAAGAGATAGAAGAAAACAAAGACATTTTAATAAATGTATACATCTTTATATATTCATAACAAATAAGAAAAAATATTTAGAATAAGTAGAATTAATATTTCTGCACCTGGCCATGTGGTCAAAGCTGGTGCTTAAAACTACCATTTTCTACTCTCCGTTTCATATTTCGTTTGTTTTCAGAATGCACCTCAGTTGCTCATGGTTTTTTGTCTGGATAGCTGATCCATACCTTCATTGCTGTAGGTTCTGGACTATTAGTAGTCCTTCCCAGTAGGGTTGCTGTAGTTTTCCATTGACTTTAATCACAGGACAGAGCAGTAATAAAATACATTCTAAGGAATCTCCCATATTCCAAACATACTCTACTTTTCCTCTATTACGCAGAAATAGCTCAAGTTCCCTTTAGTAATCAGGATCCATCACCCAAGCTAATATAGCAAGTCTTTTATTTGTTTTTTGATTTGGAGGCATGAGGATCCGAAAACAGCTGGGTGGCAGTCTTCAACTTCAGTTCAGTGAAATAATTATTGTGTCAACTGCTGGAAGTTTTCTTTTCTTTGAAACCAAAACTTACAGACCTTCAGAACATGAGATTACAGGGGTAGGAAGCAAGTATTTTGTTAGTTGAACACTAGGGATCAACTAGGGATAATAAGAGGTATTACTCCCATTTCTACCTCTTGATAAATTGGCCTTTGAATACTGGAAATGGGAGAAACTCACCACTAATTTAGACCACATACACCCTCCTGGAGAACAATGACTCGGCACTGTAAGGTATTGCAACCTAGCTGACATTGTAACTGTGTCTCCAAAAGACCATTCCACTATTCTATCAAACTCAAACTAGCTGCTTCAGGATAATAGGGAACATGGTGAAAACAACAAATTCCATGAGCATGAGCCCCTTTCATATACTATGAAGTGAATTCTGCAATCTGAAGCAATGCTGTATGGGATACCTTGATGGTGCATGAGACATTTCATAAGAATGTGGACGGTAATTTTTCTAGAAGCATTGCATGCAGTAGGCAAATCCATATCCATAGTGTTTATTACAATAAAAACTAAGTGTTGCCCTTCTATGATAAAAGTGGTCCAATTCAGTGTACCTATCACCAAGTAGCTGTCTGATCATTCAGGGGAATGGTGCCATATCAGAAAATTTTGTTGTTTTCTATTGAAAGCAATAGAAAACAACAGTCTTTCTATTCAAGGCTGGCTGAGCTGTAGTGGCTGTACACAGGACGATCTAGGTGCAGAAGTTCACACTGCTGCCAATGTGCTTAACTGCCAATCTTGCTGCCATCACCATTCTGTTCATAAGCCCACTAGTCAATGACAGGAGATGCTAGGAAAAGGGGCTGATACCCACAAAACACGCCATACTGTCCACTTAATTATTAAAATTCTATTCTGCTGAGGCCATCCGCAAGGTATGTAGATATCTTCAAGTTTGCTACCCAATCAGAGCAGCCTATCCACATACTTTTCTCTCAGACATCCTTGTCATCAATCGTCCAATCATGTTTTCTCTAAGTCCATATCCAAGCAGCTAAATCACTTGTTGATTTGAGTGCTGCTATTCCTGCCCAAATTTACGACTTAGTGGGTCAACAAATGCCCAATTTATGATGAATAACTCAGAATGAATAGTAAATTGGTGGCCCATGATTAAGCCTTCAGTCTCTAGTAAGGCCCAGCAGCAACCCCAAAACTGTTTACCAAAAGGAGAATAGTTATTTGCAGAAGATGCTAGGAATTAACTCCAGTATCCTAGGGGCTTGTGCTATGATTAACCTATAGGGGCCTGCCAACGTTTCAAACACCATCTGTATTTGCCACCAACCCTCAGAGCACCACCAAATCTGCTAGATCATATGGTCCACATAGAAGGGCAGCTTTGACTGATAAATAATGTGATGTAAAATTAACTATTATTAATAAATATTATGCTAGATGATAAATACATAAGAAAGGGAAGACAAAATATATTATAAAAATCATATGTTTGTGTGTGAATACATATATTCATATAAAAAATACTCATAACAATTAGAGTCCACATTTCTGTAAGTGGACATGTGATCCTAGCTGGTATTTATAATTACCCCAGTATCCACAACCTACTGTAGAGCCTTCTTCTCCTTGTTCTGGGACCCTCTCAAAAGCAGCACAACTTGGCATTGTGCCTCTTTTTGATTATAGGAGAAACCAGGTGCAAGAGCTGATCCTTCACCTTCGATAGGATATCTCAACATGTTCTACACCAGTAGACTCCTAGAAATTTTACTGAAGTGAAAGATCCCTAAATTTTTGTTATATCGATTTTTCATTCTCTGACGTACTCTGTCTTACTAATATGTCTATAGTAATTTCTACTTCTTGCTTATTAGTTCCCATAAGCATACAATCATCAATATAAGAAGCCAGTGTGGTCTCTTGTGGAAGGGAAGATGATTGAGCCCTCTGTGGACTAAGCTGTAACATGATAATGAGGAATTTATACGCCCATGAGATAGGACAGTGAAGATGTGTTGCTGCCTTCACCAGCTATATCAAACTACTTCTAATTATATTTACTAACAGGCATCTAGAAAAAATATGTGCCAGCTCAACAGCTGCATATCAGGTACCAGGGGAAGTATTAATTTTCTCAAGCAATGAAACAGCATCTTGAACAGAAGCTGCATTTGGATTCACCACCCAGTTAAATTAAGGATAATCTATACTCATTCTCCAAGATTCATTTGTTTCTGCACATGCCAAATATGCAAGTTGAAGGATGGTGGTGCTAATCTCTACAATCCCTCCAGAAATTTGGTAGTGCTTTTCATTAGCTATTTTCCTAGATAGAAGCAGATCTAGGTGGCTTCCACTTTCCTACCATAATAGTCTTCACTCCACAGATCAAGGAACCAATATGAGAAATCTGCCAGTTGCTGCATATGTCTTTTTCAATTATGCATTTCAGAACCACAGGATGGATTCAGAAACTCACTTTACATAAAGTGAAAATGGTTTAAATGATAATTCTTGCTCTCATGTGCTTGAATCTTTCTAGAGACATGGATAAATCAAGTAAAACTATATTAATGTTTATACTAAGACTCAATTGGCATTATGTTGTAGTATTTATCACTGGATATTGGGTAAGCCTGTGAACACACAAATAGACAGCATTTCTGAAGCACTGGTGAAAAATATTAACTGTAATGTATGTTATTTATATATAGTAGTAGTCTTCTATTTAGGTTTATACAAACACTCACCTCTAATGCTGTCAAAGTATTCTCCAGTATTGTCATGAAGGTACATGCATTATTAGAGGAACATTATAGTTTTCTCTAAAACAATATAGCATCTGTTCAAATCATACTGGTAATTTACTATTTGACAGACATATGGAAATCTGTCTGCATTAGTATGTTTCATACTGCTACAAATAACTGCCTAAAACTGGGTAATTTATAAAGGAAAGAGGTTTAACTGACTCACAGTTCAGCATAGCTGGGGAGGCCTCAGGATACTTGCAATCATGGCAGAAGGAGAAGCAAACATGTCCTTCTTCACATTGCAGCAGCAAGGAGAAGTGCCAAGCAAAAGAGGGAAAAGCCCCTTATAAAACCATCAGATCTTGGGAGAACTCTTACTATCACGAGAACAGCATGGAGGTAACTGCCCTGATGATTCAATTACCTCCCACTGGGTCCCTCCACAAAACATGGAGATTATGGGATTACAATTCAAGATGAGATTTGGGTGGGAACACAGTCAAACCATATGACTGCTAATAGAGCAAACTATCACCAAATGGATGTTTTCAATATTGTGTGGAAATCTGAATTCAACCAAAGCTAATTTGTAAAATTGACAATATTAGATAAATATGTTAATTAAATTTTATTTTATACTTGTCACATGTGAAACACTATGCTTTATGCTTTTTATGTATTATCTTATTTGTGTCACACAGAACCTGTTAGTTTAAAACTATTTTTATCCCAATCATGTTGAGGAAACTCTGATTCAGATAGTTATGATAATATGCCACAAATTATACATCAATTGTTGACTTAAACACAGGATTTGAAACCAGGTACTATACTGGAACAATCTTTTCTCTTAGTCGCTACAGTAAATTAGGAGGGATGTCATCCAATGGAGGAGTTAGGCTTGTTCCTTGTGGAAGTTGTCAATAGCCAATATTTCATCAATTACCAAACAATATGTTTTGACTATAGCACTTACATAGAGCCCCTGGTATCCACATGACTCACTCCCACGTTTATTTCAAATTTTAGCTTAAATTCTCATTCACAACGAGGCAAACGTTATTGCTTTATGTAATATCCTAGATTTTCTTTAGAAGGCAAGCTGGTTGTGGTTAAGGTTTTGTTTTATTTCATTTTTCTTTTTATTCTCCCCCCACCATGTATTCTTTCACTTTTTTTCCTGCTTCTCCCTTTTACCTTCCTCTTTCTCCTCTCTCCCTCTCTCTCCCTCTCTTCTTTCCTCTCCTTTCTTATCTCTCTGTCTTTCTGTCTGCCTTTCCTTTTTCTCCACTGTTGTACTGCCAGTATCTATAGCATTCTCTGTAACCTGATCCTTAATATATTATTTGTTAAATAAAAGACTAGATTTTTCATTAAACTGTCACTTTTATTTTAAAATTTTTAATGGAAATATAAAGTGCCAAAACATTTAGAGGTCATCCGGCAAGGCAGCAATTGGCAGGTATTTATTGTAGTTTTGCCTCTAAAACATTGTGGGGATTCCTGTTAAAGACTGAATTCTGTGTTCCCACAGATCCTAAGCCAGTGAGCATGTTACATTCCATTACTACAAAGTGGAAAGGTTCTTCATTGCAGATTGGCATTTATGTATTCCTCATTACTCTCTGGATATACTCAGTCCTGGAAAACATTCTTTATATTCTGTTGTAATATTTGAATATGCTTTCAAAATATACCCAATAACATACTATTATTTCCTTTATATATAAAAAAATAAGCATCAGATGTTAGGTAATATTCAAACTTTCATCAGTGAAGCTGTTTGCTATTATCTTCATATATTATCTTTAATAAAATAATCAGGATATTTTGACCATGAAATGAGATATTCAGGTTATTCACAATTCTAAGACTGTCATTTAGACATATAATGTAAACCAAAACAAAATCACTTATCATTAAAAAGGTTTTGTCATTACCTGTGTCATAAATGTGTACTTTGAATTTCTGTTTTCAGAAACTCATAGGAGTCCAATAATATGTAACAATTAACATACTTCATTATGTCAAATCAAGATATTTTACTCAATTTTAATTTCTTTTTAAAACAAACTGAAAAAACACAGTGATTGTGAAGTGGTCATATTTGTTTTCATTATTAATTTTTTCCAAATTGAATAAATAAAAATGGAACATTGTGCCAGCACATTTTTTCTGTGACTGAAGAAAACATATATTAGCATTTAAGACACTCGTGTATTGTATGCATGAAGATTGTATCATGATTCACAAAATAACTATTAAGTGAAAAAATATTTTTCTGACTATCACTGAATATAGACAAAAGAATAAAACAAAAACATAAGCACATTTACTCCTTATATGAACTACTGATATGCCAAGGGTTAATTTATATTCTCTAAATTGGTGTTTTTGTCCGAGTGCAAATTAAATAATCTTCTAGCATACATATATAATAATAGTTGCTTTTCCATATTAGATGCATTAATATTACATTAAGCCTAACTGTCATTTGATGGAGAAATTTTGCCAACAGCTAGTCTGCTTTCTCTGTGAGAATAACATTTTCATTAATATTGTATCTGATTTTACTAACTCCTCAGAAGTAGTTGGATTCAGACGTTGTTTTTGCTACAAGTGGGAAAACTTTGAATGATGTTTCTGTTCCAGGGCATTCTCTTGCCTTTAGCAACAAAATTAATCATTTTTGTATGGGTGAGCATTATTTTGTTTTTCTTCTGGAAAATACACTATTTGTTTCCTCGAGTATTCTCTTTGCATTATATTAAAAAGAATCTCAACTTTGATGCTTCATGATGCTATTTGAAGATTCATAAAAGACAACCTACTGGGTAATAAGATAGTGTAAGCTCAATAAATTTCATATTTCAGATAGTCATCTTCATACTTTCAATACTCACTTTTTTTGTTTATTTTAGTTATTTGTTCAAAGCCATCACAGTGACAGATTCACTTCCCTCAGCACTCAAGATAAAATGTTCTATAGTAAAGCTTCGTTTACTCCTTAATTTAATAACACCATCTTGAATTATGTATCTATTTTATCATTATTTCATCCTTTCATTAATGGATTATAAAATGTTGGCTTAATTGTGTTATAACTCAGAAATAGAAATAAAAACCAAACATTTAACAAACTTAAAGCTAGAAAAAATAGAAAAAAGTGATCTAAAGTAAAAAACAATTGCTAACTAAATATTAGTGGAACCAAACTAATGATATTTATTTTTCATGCACAAATACATTTACATTCGTGGTTAAAAAACTAATTGTGGAATTTCAGTAAAAGTAATAATTTAACATACTTTTTTCAATTTATGAAATGTTTATTAATGAAATTGCTTTATTGCTTTTGTCTACCAAATAATGTGAGAGCCATAATTAGACAAGAAAATTACAGTGATTCTCAGACTAGATTTTTCAATTATTATAGTCATGTTGTCCTAGTCGTGAATATTTTTATCTTAATCCATTAAAGCACATGAAATCAAATTAACTAAAGATATTTATTAAGCCACATTTACACTAGGCATTGCAACTGGATCTTGTGGTGCAAAGATAAATAAGTGTCTTCTAGGTAAACATGGTGAGCACTTAGATTTACCCCCATGACCTTTTAAAACCACATCAAATTGATTGAAAAGGGATAAAAAGAATATATACTTATAATAAAAAAACAGCATGGGATGGAAGATAACACTAATTACAGTTTGGATACTAGAAGACAGATTGGCAAGAAGAAATGAAATAGGGGTTTCTGCAGGATTACATAAAATCCAACAGTTCAGGAAGTAAAGAAATAATCTGATTGATACCATAGCAGTACAAGAAAGATTGGGAGGTGAAGATAAAGGATTGGGAGGTGGAGATAAAGTATTGGAAATCTGGCGTTTTAAGTGACACTAAAAAAGAAACTTGCTTTAAAACCTGTACAAAAAGTAATTAGATCATATCCTGCTTCTTGCTGCACAGATATCTTCCCCTAATCTCTCCAACGAAAGATCAGAGATTTAATCTCTAAAGGAATTGAGACTTTGAAGTTGGAAACACCAAAAATGACTGAAGGGAGAAGCACTGCATTAAATACTGAAACACCCACTCAGCTTTGTTCTGCCACTAAGCTAGAATGTTGGCAAGCAGGTTTATACCCCAGCTCTGGAAATTAGAAAACTCCTGTCTCAGAAAGCTAACTATCCCATGTGGAAAAAACAATCAACCATAAAAGCAATAAAGATTTTTCACAATAAGGCAGTTCTGATGGATCCACTATCATAAATCATCCATGGTCCAGGCATACCAATTACTGAAACACGAAAACTTTAGTAACCTTTGTAACGCCTTATTAAACGTATAAAACATTCAATGAAGAACAAATATTTTAATTTTAAAAAATGAAAAAGAAAAATTATATCTGAGGGAAGTAAAAAAAAACTCAGGTTGTAGAAGAAAACTATGTAGTGAGAAAAGCAGCATTTAGTATACTTGATCAAACAAAGCTTAGGATAGAAACTCCAAAGATCGAACTATTAAACTATTTTCATGTAACTTAATGCTAATTCAGATTAAAGCTCAAGTGTACTTACCAAAGTACAAAAATGCCCAGGTGTCAATGACATAGATTCCACAATGTCGAACATCCAATCAAATATTACCAGTCATGTAATAAA
Organism: Homo sapiens; assembly: GCF_000001405.40. NCBI lineage: Eukaryota > Metazoa > Chordata > Mammalia > Primates > Hominidae > Homo > Homo sapiens. The sequence goes on from NC_000008.11 coordinate 114,202,715, forward strand.
GCAGGTAAATAAACCTAATAATGTGGGAAAAAATCAATATAAAGATACCAAAATATGACCCAGATGATAAAATTAGTAAAGAAGAACATTAAAAATGTTGTTATAACTGTAATGTGATTATATTAGTAAAACTTTATTATAATTATATTTCAATTATTTTATAGAAGTAAAAATTAGCATAATAATTAGAGAGATGGAAGTTATAAAAAAAAGACCCAAGTTAAGATACTAGAGAAAAAATATACTATACCTGTTATGAAAACACACTGGAGGAGACTGCTATCACAGTAGATATTTCAGAAGAATGAATAGTGAACTTGATATAGCAACCAAACTGTTCAAAACAAGACAAAAGAAGAAAAAAATGGAGATAAACAGATTATCAATAGTTGTGGGGCAACATCAATCAGCCTAATATTCATGTAACTGGAGTCCCTGAAGGAAAGGAGATGGACTGAAAAAAATATATATTTAAAGAAATAATGGGTGAGGATTTTTCAATTTTAATTCTGACTATATCCAAGAAAATCAACAATTATCACTAAAACATCATGGTACTAGTAAAAAAATAGATCAATCGAATAGAATAGCAAACCCAGAAATAAAGCCCCATAGCTACTACTACCAACTGATCTTCAACAAATTTGACAAAAACAAACATTGGAGAAACGACATCCTATTCCCTAAATGGTGCTGGATAAATTGGCTAGCCATATGCAGAAGAATGAAACTAGACCCCTATCTCTCACCATACACAAAAATTAACTCAAGATGAATTAAAGATCTAAATGTAAGACCTGAAATTATAAAAATCCTAGAAGAAAATCTAGAAAAAAATGCTTCTGGATATTGGCCAAAGCAGAGAATTTATAATGAAGACCCCAAAAGCAAATGTAACAAAAACAAAAATAAACAAATGAGAATTAAACTAAAAAACTTCCGTACAGCAAAAAGATATAATCAACAGAATAAATAAACAGACAACCTCCAGAATGAGAGAAAAAATTTGAATATTATGACTCTGATAAAGAATGAATATCCTCCCAGCACTTTGGGAGGCCGAGGCGGGTGGATCACGAGGTCAGGAGATCAAGACCACGGTGAAACCCCGTCTCTCCTAAAAATACAAACAATTAGCCTGGCACGGTGGCCGGCGCCTGTAGTCCCAGCGACTCTGGAAGCTGAGGCAGGAGAATGGCGTGAACCCCGGAGGCGGAGCTTGCAGTGAGCCGAGATCGCGCCACTGCACTCCAGCCCGGGCAACAGAGCGAGACTCTGTCTCTAAAAAAAAAAAAAAAAAAAAAAGAACTAATATCCAGGATGTACAAGGAACTCAAACAACAATTTAAAAAAAATCACATTGAAAACTGAGCAAAGGTCATAGACAGACATTTCTCAAAAGAAGAAATACAAGCCACCAATAAACACATAAACAAATGCTTAGCATCACTAATCATCAGAGAAATGCAAATAAAACCACATTGAAATATAATCTTACCCAAGTCAGAATGGCTGTTATTAGATAGTCAAAGAACAACAGCTGTTGTTGTCAATGCTGAGAAAAGGGAACACTTATACACTGTTGGTGGGAATGTAAATTAGTTCAACCTCGATGGAAAATAGTATAGACACATCTCAAATAACTAAAAATAGAACTACAATTAGACCTGGCAATCCCGCTACTGGGCATCTACCCAAAAGAAAGGAATTATTATATAAAAAGCACCTGCAGTTATATGTTTATTGCAGGACTATTCACAGTAGCACAGTCATGTGTTACTAAATGAACCAACCTAAATGTCCACCAGTAGTTGAATAAAGAAAAGATGGTATATACACACTACGGGATACTGTGCAGACATAAAATATGGATGAAATCGTGTCTTTTGCAGCAACATGTATGGATCTGGATCTTAGGCCATTGTCCTAAGTGAGGCAGCTCAGAAGCAGAAAATCAAATATTGCACATTTTCACTTATAAGTAGGACCTAAACAACAGGTACACATGGCCAGAAGAATGGAAACAAAAGACACCGGGGACTCCAAAAGTGGCAGAATTGGAGGGGGTCAGATTTGAAAATTACCTGTTTGGTACAATGTTTAATATTTGGGTCATGGGTATGCTAGAAGTCCAGTCCCCACCACTGCAGAATATACTCTTGACAAACATGTACATACACTCTCTGAATCTAAGATAAAATGTTTTAAAAGATATAAACAACCAAATAGATAATCCAACTTAATGTTATCTCCAAGAGACTCACTTTAGTCTCAAGCTCACCAATAGGTTGAAAGTGAAACATTGCATAAAGATACTTGATACAAATAGTAACCAAAAGAGAGCTGGGATGACTATACTTAGACAAGATAGACATTTAGACAAAAGTATTACAAGTGACAGGCCGGGTGCAGTGGCACAGACCTGTACTCCCAGCACTTTGGGAGGCCAAGGCAGGCGGATCACCTGAGGTCAGGAGTTCAAGACCATCCTGACCAACATGGAGAAACCCGACTCTACTAAAAATAGAAAAAAATAGCTGGGTGTGGTAGCAAATGCCTGTAATCCCAGCTACTCAGGAGTCTCAGGCAGGAGAATTGCTTGAACCTGTGAGGCGGAGGTTGCAGTGAGCTGAGATCGCGCCATTGCACTCCAGCCTGGGCAACAAGAGCAAAATTCCGTCTCAGAAAAAAAAAAAAAGTATTACAAGTGACAAAGGAAGGCATTATATATTGAAAAATTATAAATCTATCAAGAAGAATTGTAAATATGTACATAGCATATATATATATTATATATAAAACAAAGACCCCAATATAAAGCAAAAAAAAAATGACAGTTAAAGGCAGACATAGAAAGTTGTAGAATAAGAATTGTTGACATAAATATACCAACAAGACCTAGCAGAAAAATACAGAAATTCCACTTCATATTTCTTGAAATGGACAGGAAATTGATGTGATTTTCAGATTCTGTGAGTTGGTTTTCAGAAAGTTATTTAGTGACTTTAGTATTTTATGGAATGTTTTTTTAAAAAATTATAAAAATTGCATAACACTCAATTCAATGTTTCTAATATATTTATAGTTATGTTACTATAACAGCAGTATAACTTCAAAGTATTTTCATGTGAGGACCAGAGAGTCATTAATCGATTATCTGTCTCTATTGCTTTGTATATTCCTTTTATTTTATTTTTGTCTCTTTTTTTAACTGCATTGTTGTGGCATGATTAAAATATTGTATAAATGGAATTATACGTTGAAATAGAAACATAAGGAAAATGTTTCCTTATAATTAAAGTACTTAAAATCATTCTTTCTTTTTTTTTTGGAGATGGAGTCCCTCTCTATCGCCCAGGCTGGAGTCCAGTGGCTCAATCTTGGCTTACTGGAACCTCTGCCTCCTGGGTTCAAGAGATTCTCCTACCTCAGCCTCCTGAGCAGCTAGGACTACAGGTATTTACCACCATGCCTGGCTAATTTTTGTATTTTTAGAACAGATGAGGTTTCACCATGTTTGCCAGGCTAGTCTCGAACTCCTGACCTCCTGCCAGTCTGGTCTTGAACTCCTGACCTGATCCCACCTGGCTCACCCTCCCAAAGTGCTGGGATTACAAGTGTGAGACACTTCATCCCGCAAAATCGATCTTAAAAGCAGCCAGGGGGAGTAGGGATACCTAATAGATAATAAGGATGACAACAGATTCCTGCTCAGAAACAACACAAGCCAAAAGACAATGGAGCAACATCTTTAAATTCCTAAAGACAAAATAAAAATCCTGCCAGTCTACAGTTAGATATCTAGAAAAATGTCCTCAAATACAAAGATGAAATACTTTTATCAGGCTACAAAAGCTGAAAGATTAAGAATTATATTATATTAATATATTATAATTATGATAGCAGACCAGCATTACAAAAAATATTAAAGGAAGTCATAGAAGCAGAAAAAAATTATACCAGATATAAATATATATCTACACATAAAAATGAAAAAATTCGATGTTTATTTTTGTGCCCATTAAACCTCAGTGTGGTTGTATTTATATAAAAAGTAAAGGAGTGAGAGTATAAGTGTACCAGAAAATGTATATTAAATATGACTAGCACCAGAATTTGTTTTAAAAACTGGAAACAGTGCAACTGTCCATTATCAGTAAAATGGATAAATATATTGGAGTGTGTTCATAAAATTAATCTACTTTAATATAACATGGATGAATTTTAAAACATAATGTAACACAAATGATGCTACCAACAAAATATACATACATTTTCCTTTCATCTACATGAAGTCCAAAACTGTAAAAAATGTTATGGTTTTCGAAGTCAAAATAATAGTTACATTTGGAGTTTTTGTTGTTGCTGTTGTTTGTTTGTTTTTTGAGAAAGAATCTTGTGCAGTTGCGTGATCATAGCTCACAGCTCACTGTAACCTTGAACTTCTGAGCTCAAGATATTCTCCCAACTCAGCTTCCCAAGTAGCTAGGACTACAGGTGTGTGCCACTTGGCCCAATTGAGTTTCTGGAGTGTTGGGTGTTCTTCATACCCCAGGTGTACATTATAAAGTGTATTTGCTGTGTACTGATTATTGTGCCTTTTTTACATTTTTATTACGACTAAATAGTTTAAAGGGTTCTTTTTTAAGTATTTGAACAAGATCAAGCGGAAGTAAATGTCCTGGGAAGGGTAACACTAAATCCTTATTTTCTATGATATAATGTAAATGAATAATATGACAACTATTTTTTAAAAGCACTGCTAATTTTTAGAAATACACGTGCAAATATCTAAACTAATAGTTAAACAATTGCAAACCTTTTACTTCTCTGGAATGCAATAGGGAAGGGGCAAGGTGAAACAGTGACATGTTTTTAAATATAATCTATCTAATATATTTTGACTTTTAATATCAGCAATATGAGAGATTACATATTTTTAAAAATAAGTGCTTTGTTCTCAAGAAACTCAAAATATATGGGGAAATAAATATGCTTTCCATTTCTTCAAAATAGTTTTCTTTATATATTTATTCATTTTCTCCCCTCTATAAAATGTAAACTACATTAGAGCAGGAACTCTATATTGTTCTTTTGTGTGTAAAACTCAGAAAGATATCTAGCATACAATGTCACTTTATAAATACTTGTGAAAATAATACATAAGTAAATGCATTAATGATAGATATCAGCATGTAAATTAAGGGAAAATTCATGGCATGGCAATCTAGGGAAAATGTAGGTTAAAATAATTGAAAAGCAAAGGTTAAGTTTAGAGGCTTAGGTAGAGAATAATCAATGTGGGGCATTGTGAATGTATCCAACCAAGGAATCAATGAACTCACAATTACATGTGTTTTTATCTTCTTGAGCAATCTTGACAACATTGGCCTCATTGACTACTCTTGGCTTTTGCTAATTTTTTCATCTTTCTATTATTTTATTATCTAAGGGTCAATAATTCCTCAGATTTAATTTGTCCAAGTGTTTTTCAGTGACACAAAATAACTTCCCGTCAGAATACAACTGGCACCATAAGATCACTACAGCAACAGACATTTCTCGATTTTTAAAATTATTTCTATCATTCCATTCCCTTCACCACGTTTACATTTGCAGAACCAATGTGTGAGTCAGATATGGCTATTATGCTAACATTACAACTTTATTAAGCCCCTGCTTCCTTCAGCAATTCAACTTTTTTACCACTGCATGTGGATTACACTTACATTTGGGATTACATAAAATAATTCTCAAATGAGTAACATAAGTGCAGATATTCACATTCATTAATAAATGCAAAAGTTTAATGATTAAAAGTTGTTTATTAATATTTCTTAGATGATATCCCCAAGGTCTACTAATTATACTTGAATTTAATTATGGACAAAAATCTGCTGTGGGGCAACTAAGCATCAGAAGAACAGCTATTTTGATATATGTTTTTGATACTAAGCTCTGTGGTCAGTCACATGCCAAACTGTATGATTTGAAATTCTAACTTCATATTTAAATTGTATTATGCCATTATATATATGAGGGAGATCAATAAAATATGACATAATGAAAACTATATGCTACTCACCCTGATATTTCCTAATTGCAAATATAGAATCTTAATTTACATTAGCATAAATTTTTTAGATATGATGAAAAATAGTTCATCATATCGTATTTATATTTGGAAAAGTTTGCACTAGAGATAGAAAAAAAAACTGAAAAATATCTAAACCCACAGTAAAGACAAATTTTGTGCCAAATAGGGACTTGACATAAACACTATATTCTTGAGTTTATGTCTGTGTAATTTAGTCAATTTAGTCTAACATATATTTATTAAGCACTCACAAGATTTAGGGCTTATTAAATACATGCCAATCAACAGAAAACAAAGCAAAATAGACTAGAAAATCATATTTTTTCCTCCTAGATTTGATGTTTGCAGTTATTGATAACTAACTAGTCAATTTAATTTATTTTATTTTTCCATTACTCTTTTGTCTTGTGTCATGCAATCATCTAATAAATTTTCATAAAAGTTTGTAATTGTTTAACAACTTGACCTGGTTTTTAATTATTCTTCAGAAGCTTTAAAAATCTCATCACATATTTTTATAAAAATAATCAGAAAATTTTTTAAGTACCATGAATTGGTAAGAAATTTTCATTAAAATTTAAGACTTTTATTGCTAAGTTTAAAGGTTAAATCTTACTTACTCATTAAGTTGTCTTCTAATTTTAACTTATGTCTTGTGCATTTAGTGTGGGATTACCATACACTCCTCATCTCAAATTTACCTGAAACTAAAATGGATCTAAAACATAGATGTCTTTTTTTTTTCTTTTTTTTCTTTTTTTTTTTTTTTCTTTTTTTTTTGAGAAGGAGTCTCGCTCTGTCGCCCAGGCTGGAGTGCAGTGGTGCAATCTTGGCGCACTGCAAGCTCCGCCTGCCGGGTTCACGCCATTCTCCTGCCTCAGCCTCCCGAGTAGCTGGGACTACACGCGCCCGCCACCACGCGCGGCTAATTTTTTTGTATTTTTAGTAGAGACGGGGTTTCACCGTGTTAGCCAGGATGGTATCGATCTCCTGACCTCGTGATCCGCCCGCCTCGTCCTCCCAAAGTGCTGGGATTACAGGCATGAGCCACCGCGCCAGGCCAAATATAGAGGTCTTCATAGTCATGGATTTAACCAAAATTAAACATAGCTCAGTATTTAGCTTGTATTTATAGAGTAAACAAAATAGACAGTATCTAACACAGCTTTTGATTTTCCAACAATTTCACCTGAACATTTCTTGTCTAGTATACTATTCTACTGATCTCCTTCAAATAACTATGCTTCTACACTGATTAGATTTAACTGTTACATTTATTTATCTTTGCTTATTGAGTTTCCTTTCTTGAGTATATGGTTTCCTTACCTTTACAAGATGCAGCAAATGTGAGAAAATATTCCTTAACCACTCAAGTTACACATGAATTCTTTTTCTAAGCGGCAATTTGTATTTGTTAGAACGTTATCACTTGTTCAAAAAAATTAATTGCATAATCATGGTATGTCTATATATTTTAGGTTCCTGATTCTTTGAAGCCAGGTTCTGGTTTCATTTATTTAATAAAAATGTGTCATATATCATTTTAGCCCCTTTGAACTTTTTCAGAAACCTATCTCTACCAATTTCTTGACTATAAAACTAATCAATCTTTCATGTCATTTCTATATAAAGGAACCCTACATAATGTATTCTTTTTTTCTTTTTTTTTTTTTTTTTTTTGAGATGAAGTGTTGCTCTGTCGCCAAGGCTAGAGTGCAGTGGCGCGATCTCGACTCACTGCAGCCTTTGGCTCCCGGGTTCAAGTGATTCTAATGCCTCAGCCTCCCAAGTAGCTGGGATCACAGGCACGCACCATCACAACTGGCTAATTTTTGCACTTTTAGTGGAAACGGGGTTTCACCATGCTGGCTAGGCAGGTCATGAACTCCTGACCTCAAGTGATCTGCCCGCCTCAGCCTCCCAAAGTGCGGGGATTACAGACGTGAGCCACCGCGCCTGGCCATAATATATTCTTTCTCTTTATTTCATAATTTATATTTGTCTCTATATGGATTGCTATCTTCAAAATAATCGATTTTGGGTCTTCTACATTCTTTCTCTTATTATTGGTAGAGGCTTTAATTTCCATTCATAGGCTTGTTGCCAACTTATATCTCCTGAGCTTCAAAAGTTATATTTAAAGACCAATTACCTTCTGGAGAGCTCTGAATGGCTATCACACGGACAGATAGGCTGCATCTGAAATAAACACAATTATCACCCTCTCTCTCTGGTTGGCTCCCTTTTTCTATTCTCTATCTTGCTAAGGTAATTCACGTGGACCAAAGATTAGATTTTAATTGTCACTTCACTCTCCACATATAATCAAGTTCCAAGGGCTTTAGATGCAATATCATGGATAGCTCTCAAATTTTCTCACTTATTCATCCCTCGTCCATCACCTTCGCATAGTCTCACATCTTTACTGCCTTCTCTGCTACCAGTTCATTTGCTGTTGGTTTGGCCCAGTATTTTTCTCATTTTTTGTTTTTAAACTCAAATTTTAGAATAATATTAGATTTATACAAAAGTTGCAAAGATACTGTGGAGTATTCTTACACCTTCCACGTGGTTTTAAGAAAGTTAACATCTTACAAAATCTTGGCACATAATTTCTTAGTTAAAACGAAAAAAATTCACATTGACACTTGGCTATTAACTGCAGACTTTAATAGGATTTCACACATTTTTAAAATTAATGCCATCTTTTTCTTCCAGGATACCAACCAGGGTAGCACATTAAATTTAGCCTTCAGGTATTTTTAGCCTATGCTGGTTTGTGAGTGTCTCAGATGGTTTGTCCTTGTTTATCATAATGTTGGCAGTTGTAAAAATTACTGGTGGAGTATATTTTTCAAATTTCCATCAAGTCTTTGAGGTTTTGTCATGATTAGACTTGAGTATGTTTCAAGAGATCACTACAACATAGGTAAAATGGTCTTCTTATTGTAACTTTATCAAAAGGCAAATGACATCAAGCTGAATTGTCACTAGTGGTGCTAACCTTGATCACTTGATTAAGATTCTATCTGCCAAATCTTGTTTTGTTTTTGTTTTTTTCCATACTCTATTCTTTGGAAACTAGTCACTAAATTCAGCCTCCGCTCTAGAGGATAAGAATTAAGCTTCATCTCCTAGAAAAGAGAATATCTATACATATTATTTGGAATTATATATTTTTTTAAATGTAACCTTTTAACCCTCACATTTTAAGTAAACGTTGGCTCTGTATTTTCTGGAGTTCGAAGTACAAATACTTTATTATGATATAAAATGTTTTCTGTAATCAGATACTTGCTTGACCTGCTAACTTTATTTCTTATTCCAGAAATTAGGTCCAGAAATTAAATCCAGAAATTACTCTCTCTAGTAACCTGTGATGACAAATACAATTTGTTATGAATGTAGCACAGAATGAATGGGGGTGGAGGGAAAGAGGGAGGGAAAGAGGGAGAAAGGTGAGAAGAAGGAAGACAGAGAAAAAAGTAATACAAGGAAACAAATTCAAATTCTGTCTTTTTTGGGAGATAAAACGCTAAAAGCTGCAAACAACTCTCATTTGATTTGTTTTCACTTTCTGTGTTATTTTCTATCTAGTGCTCTGCTTTAAGCAAGAATTCCATGTACAAAAATTGCCTTTACTAAAATGCCATTTATAATGGGATAGGTCAAGTATACAGAATTGAGCCCAGAGCCTTTTTCATTAGCATTTTTAAGAATATTTGTAACTTTCACTTTCAAGGCATTTCAGGAGCATGCATGGTCTGTGCCAGCATTTTCCTCGTTTCTTCGTAGTATGCATATTTCTGATTATTAACCTGAGGAAAACATTTTATTAGGGTTTCCTTGTATTCAAGCAATTTATTTTTTTCATACCATGAGAAATGTCACTGCCATTGACTCTCCCTCTTGCTTATTTTACATTCATTAGGGTATATACAAATATATCTCTTCTCAGTAATTCTGTAGTAATATTTTGTAAGACGGGACAAAGCACATTATATGTGTAAAGAGCATTCATGTTTCTGGGCAAATGATATTCTTCTATGCAGTTTTTCAGTGTACTTTACAAGATTTTAAAGATTATTCTTTTCATTATTTATTTCCCTGGCTTATCATGTATCATACTAATTAATCATTTTGTTTCAGTGGCATTTTAATTGTTTTGAAAACCTATTGCTATATTGGTAGATATATTTTACTTTTTCAGTTAAAAGGTGATACAATTGAAAATTCATTTTGTAAAAATTGGTTATAAAATAAAAATCTATATAACATTTGTTTTAAAAGAAAATTTACATAACATAAATAAAAATGCAGATGTTCAAACATGCTGTTTCCAATGCTAATTTTCATTAACTCACAAATTTTTCTATAATTTGTGTGAAGCTACAGCTTATTTTGCATATTCCAAATTATTCTATTATTATACATTTATGTTGAAAAATGCAAACTCACTGTTCTATCACTATTAAAGGCATACATAATAGTTATCGTCAATTTTCATTCACTAGAATCACAAAATAATGTAAGAATTATAATTTTGTATGAGTAAGACAATTCTACATATAAAATTAGTAGCACAGGTGTTTATTTAAATGTTTATAAAGAGTATTTGAAACTTCAGACAATGGTATATAAGTATTCTTGATGAAATAAATATTTAAATAGAAAGCTATTGGGTTTTTCCTAAATTATATTTACCTGGAGAAATGGTGTTTATGAACTTTTAGACTTATAATCTCTTTCTCTTTCTCACTCTCTTCTGATAAATTGATATTTATCTAATCTAGCTGTCTTTTATCATCTACATTAAAATGCACACCATCAGAAAATTTCAAAGAGCTATTTTACTTTTGGTGACTACCAGAAAATTGCATATTTTTCTGAAACTCAATGTCATAGAGCATATGACAGCGGCCTCCTGGATAATTTTGCTTAATCGCCAAAAAAAAGCTTAATTCTTAACTCATAATTCTTAATAACAATGTCACCAATGGCAAGAGTTAAAGAGAAATATGAGTTATTTTGCTCAACATTATTTTGTCAGACATCTATATTGTTTCGTGTGATTTTTTTATTTTTGTATAATGTTTCATTACATGAGGATAGTAAATTGTACTATTAATAGAATTTTATTCTGAGTTTGAGACAGTTATGAATAGTGCTTCTCAATATTTTTTCTCATCTTTGATGAATATGTGTGCGCCTTGTTGTATATATACAAATATGTATTAGTTACTAAATTATAGAGTATGCATAATGTTCAGATTTTGTAGAAGTTATCAAAAATTTCCAAAAAATGATGTTGAGAGAAAAATAATCAGACACAAAAGAGTACATACACTATAATTTAATTGATATAATTTAAAGTATCAAAACAGAAAGATTAACTCTGTTTTAAATTTTAAGAATTCAGAATTTTATCTATCCTGACAGAGGAAGGTAGTGACTAAAAGTAGGCAGAAAGAGAGTTCACAGTATTCTGCTAAAAATCTGTCTTTTCATTTGGGTTCTAATTCAGCGGTATATTCAAATACTTATCAAATCGATAAGTATATGTGCCTTTTTATGATTCTTGCACTTTATATATATATATCATAATTAAAATTTTACATTAAAATGAAATATAGCAATTTATTCCAAGAATAGTGAGAATGGTTTCTTAGACAATCCTAGGCTTCTCTTAGCTCTTCCATATGTCAAAACCACATATAACATTACTAAAATATTAACCAATGTTTACGTATGTTAAAACAACTAATTGTGTGTTGTACACAGTACAAATGACTCTACAGTTTTATATGCATTCATCTAACAATATTTATCAAGAAGCAGCTATGTGCTAAATACTAAGATACATATATTGATCAAACACAATATCTTCCATGAAGACAACCAGGACTAGTAATAAACATAAGCCATTCTGGGAATTGCACTTCTGCATTATATCTGCTAAAACCAGAGTGGATATTTATCACAGTTTGCCTGGCATGGCTCTTATATAAATCAATTGTCGTTAAGCAGTTATCATTGGGTTTTCTTTTCTTTTTTTTTTTCTTTTTTCTGTTTTTTTTTTTTTGAGACGGAGTCTCACTCTGTCGCCCAGGCTGGAGTGCAGTAGCGCAATCTCGGCTCACTGCAACCTCCACCTCCCAGGTTCAAGCAATTCTCTGTCTCATCCTCCCGTGTAGCTGGCATTATAGGCACCTGCCACCATGCCCAGATAATTTTTTTGTATTTTTAGTAGAGACAGGGTTTCACCATCTTAGCCAGGCTGGTCTTGAACTCCTGACCTCGTTACCTACCCACCTCGGCCTCCCAAAGTGCTGGGATTATAGGAGTGAGCCACCACACCCAACCTAATTTTTCCTTTTAAACTAAAATTAGAAATTCCTATTGCACAATAATTTGTATGGTCAACCTAGATCTAAGTGAGTTTAAAAGTAAAACATTATGAAATACAGGAAAAATAATTAGAAACAGCTGCAAGTTGGGTCGTGTGTTTTTGTGTGTGAGCGTGTTTGTATGTGTGTGTGTTTAATTTTGTTCTTGTTTTGATTTGTTGTTTGTCTTGAATTGGTGTATTTTTACTGAGAAAAAAATTAGATTGGGTCTTTGAGGAATACTAAGATACATGAAAGAAAGATTAGAATAAAGTAAAAAGCTGTATCCAAGGGAGTAGAAATTACATGTGATAAACCTCACCACTCTTAGAAGATTGGTTATATTTGAAAAGTGGCAAAGGCAATGGAGGTAGAATAGTTAGCATGCGTAGGAGGAAGTAATGGAAAATTAAACTAAACATGTACATTGAAGACACATGTTAAGACACCTGTGTGTTACTTTGAGCAATAAGAAGCCACTTACAATTTGTATGAAAAAAAGCACAATCATCATAATCATTTGTTTCTTTGTTCTTAATATTGATAAATTTGGCAACTATGGGGATTGTGGGTTGGACTGTGCAGAAAACCGATGTCTATGACCAGGCAATATAAGTGACTCTTACAAAATTCCAAGAAAGAGATTAGGTAATGGTTACATGACCTCACAGTGGCAGCAGCTCTGGTAAGAAAAATCCCAATTTAAAAGACACTTCTAAGATAGAATTTATGGGATAAATTCCGTGTCCGATTGATTGGGTGTAGGAAAAATGTGGAAAGTCATGTAATAGGGAAGAGATTTCAATAATGGCTGCCGTGTCTAGCTTGGTTGTGCTCCGCAGTAGTGACCAGCAAACTGGTCTCTATATATATCCTAGGTGCTCAACATCTTTACATTAATAATTTAAGCTAACCAATTTCCATATATATAAAATATATTTGTACTATATCCTAAAATGGATTTGCTTGAGAATGTACCTTTAGCTCACTTTTCTTCTCCAGTTTTGAGGAAGGAGCATAACCATCTTGCACACAGTAGGCTATTACTCTTGCACATTGCCCAATTTTATTTATGTATTTATTTATTTATCATTATTATTATTGTTGAGACAGAGTCTCTCACTGTCGCCCGGGCTGGAGTGCAATGGCAGGATATCGGCTCACTGCAACCTCTCCCTCCTGGGTTTAAGCGATTCTCTGGCCTCAGCTTCCCTAGTAGCTGGGATTACAGGCGCCCGCCACCAAGCCCGGCTAATTTTTCTGTTATTTTTAGTAGAGACGGAGTTTCACCGTGTTGGCCAGGCTGGTCTCAACCTACTGTCCTCGTGATCCACCCGGCCCGGCCTCCCAAAACGCTGGGATTACAGGCGTGAGCCACCGCGCCCTGCCCATATTCCCAATTTTAAATTGCCCTTGTTTCCAACCAAAAGGGGAAGATATAAAGATTTTCACCTGAATGCGCACGAATATAAATACAAAATAATTTTCAGTTGAAGATTTGCACTACTTTGTGTTCAATAATATTAAAAGAGGAATAATAAAAGTAATGGGAGTAATAAAGATTTAAAATATTTTTGATGACAAATATGTAATTTTGAACATAAAACTTGGAAAGAATCGAAAGAAAATATCAAGTGACATTTCTCTAAAAATTTTTTCCATTCTTGTATAATTATTTATGTGAATGTTTCTCCATATTTTAAGCTATAAGAAACAAAAGTAGGAATGGAAAACCCACTGCTCTCTAGCAATAAGTAAAGTCCAACCAGGTAGTCATAATTCTAAAAAATAAAAGACCCATCTATTCGTTAAACTATACACTATCAAACGTGTACTATATTTAAAATGTGTCAATAAAATTAGTTAGATATTGTTTTGATCCAAAACAAATATAAAACGCTCAATTCAAAATAAAATTGTAATACTTAGATTTTTACAGTTGCAAAATTGTTTTAAAAATTTTAAATTCTCACTTACACTCAATTTTTAATGCAAAGAAGTATAAAAGGTGAGCAACAAAATAATTTCCAGCATACTATTCATTACATTAAGAAAAAATGTATCAGTGGAAATTGAAATGGAAATCTCAGTTCAAGATGGAAATAGAATGATCTAAAGTTCTGTGTATTCATTAAGCATGAGTTTTTTCTTATATTTTAGAAAGGATTATGACAGTAATCATAATACCTACCACTTCTAAAGTGTTTCCTTTGTTCCAGGAAGTTTTCTAAGTCCTTTACTTTCCAAGTGCTTTGCTTGTATTATTCATTTACTTTCTCACATGCCTATATGAGACATGTTCTATTCTTCTTCTTATTTTTAAAAAGGAAACGGATGAACACAAGGTATATATTGCTTGCCTATAGTATCAGACATTATTAGAATTGCTAAGTGTAAACCCAGATAGTCTGACCCCATAATCTTTCCTCCTACCCACTCTGCTGAACAACTAGAGTGTCAAATCAATCTATTTACATTTATTTGAATAAATACAATTTTTGAAACATACTTTTTAAAAGTTCAATATTTACAGAAATTTCCTGGACTATTACACTTTTCAGTTATTTAAAATTATACAACATTTTAGTTATTAACCTAAATATATGTAAAGGGGTATTTTTTTCTAAATTATTTATAGCATATACAGGAAGAATCTTTGAATTATTCTGAGGTATAGCGTTATGCCTCAACATGCATGATCTAAAATCAGACTGAAAATATAGAATTTGCTACTAAATATATGTGCAGGACTAATCACTTTCTATTTATATGTCTTTTGACAATTGAGAGTTTTTTAGAGAAAAAATAAGGAAGAAAATAAAAGGAAACTTATTTGTAAGAAAATAACTCAAATTTAGATACATCTGGTTTGATACCAATATAATGTACATCATAAATTTGGAAACATGGACCTGGACCTTTGGTGACTGATTCTTTCAAGCGGAATTTAGATATCACTCTGTGAGGATTTCTCTTCTTGACCACTTTAGTCAAAATTAAGTTTAAGCTTCCTTCTCATTGTCAACACATCCCTAATGCCTTTTACCCTGAAACATTGTTATTCATTTAATCCTTATCTTAAGCAGACTGAGTCCCTTAAGGGCATGAAAGGTATCTTGATTCGTGTCTGCAACGCATGGTTCCTCACACATGCACTATCAGAAATTAACACCTCCGGAATATATGGTAAATTGGTTAATCAGTTTACAAATCCTGTTGAGCTACAAGAGTTAATAACTTTACCCAGTGAAACATTATGGAAGCTAGAAAAAAAAAGAAGCAATGGTTCGATATGAGGAAACCGCATATAGCAATTTAAAGCTTGTGTGTTAAATGCATAAAAAACCAATATTTTCATTTTTTAACATTACCACAATTAAAATGTTATCACTTTCCGTTGGTGCCACAACTCCGTTTTTATTCCTAATATGGAAATAATAAAAAAAGGCATTTGACATTAGTCTTGTATGGGAAAATGGCATCTTGAAAAAGCAGGTGGTAATAGGTTATGGAGGCAGTACAGGAATAGGAGCAAAAGTGTGATTTCAAATTTATACAACATTCACTGCAAACTCCACGATCTTGGCCAGATTATCTTAATCTCTTCATTTTGGGGCTCATTAACTTTAAACTGGAATTCTAATAGTACATAGTTCATAAGGAGAGTAAAAGTATTAAGTTATGTGTAAAAGTGTGGCACAAGGAGCAGACAGGTAATAAATGTTTCTTACTGTCTACAAGTTTGAAAATTTGCAAAGAAGAAGAGAAAAGAAATGCTAAAACTTTTTCCAAGTTGTATTTCAACATCTACTAGTGCTCATGTTAGTTAAATGTTTACTTGGTATTAAACATGCTGAATTCCAATACATTTCTACATTCCCTTGCTTTGATTTCTTTGCCTTTCAGTGATAAAAGCTGGTGTTTGCAAATTCTAAAATGCCAAATTGATAGAATATCTATTAGTATCGAGTAGTTTTTCAGTGTTTATAAAGTTTATTGATTGCATACATCCCTCAAATCAGTAAACTGCAGGTGTAGGCATATTTATTTAATAAGTATGTATAGATCAGCACTGCACCACTTGGTGAAAATTGAACTTGTTGGGGAAGATTATCCTGCTTTAGAATTGCTGTCCTTACTGCCTCCATGGACTGTCCCTGCAGCTGCAAACCCAGTGGCATGAAAGAATAAAATGTAATTATTTAGTGCTCTGTCTACATTGCTCATGAAGATTGGTGTTTTAAATCAGTTTCAGTAATTCATGCATTTACAGTAATTTATGCTGTTGATGAACAATAAAAAGCATCCTTTACTCTACTATCGATTGGAGAATTGTTATAAATGAGATTTGGTTCCTGAAAAAAATATATTTTTTATATTAGATTTTAGATGATAGCTTTATTTTTTATAAACATAGCTAAAATAGCATTTGCTAATTTTTGTTTATTTGTAAAATATTTTTACTCATCTAGTGTTCTCTTGAAGTTTAAGGTGAAAGTTATGGGGCATAGAAGATGTGTTTTCTTCTCATTTAACAGAGAAGACTTAGCTTGCATATGCTTTTATATCCACAGATTCTCCTGGTACATACTAAGCAACTAAATACAGTAATATCTTTTATTTGAAGAATGTTAATTTTGAATTCATCGTAATTTAGATATGTAGATACGTAATATGTTAAACTTCTTTTTTAAATTTTAGTTTTGAAAGGATGAATAAGGGTCTACACCATTAAACTGCAAAATTTATGGAAACACATTTTTCTAAGAATATTAATGTGAAATATCATTGAAAAGTATATATATATAAGCTGCATAAAAGTTTTTAAACACCTTTTCTTTCTAGATATTTACATAAGAATTAGAAGCAAAATTTTTTATTTTTATAATATTTTACATTGATTGAACAAACATTATGTTAGATGACATGCTTAATGCTTTATGTGACTGCCATATTTAATCCTCTCCAAAATGGGCTACTTCTTGTCAGGACTATACTTTTATTTGTCCTTATTCTCCCCTCCAGTTTAAGCACTTAAATTTTCATTTAATAAATATTATTTCTTCTAAGACCTCTCTATCATGAATATCAGAGACTGAGAAATGATAAATTTGTCAAAGATCATGCTGCAAATAAAAGTTGGAATTTAGGTTTGTCCCAAACAATCTGAACTAAGAGCCTGTACTCTTAAGTACTTATATCTAACAAAAGATTTACACCTCTAAGTGCTACTAATTTGTTTCCTCAGTGCAATTTCTATTTATTTTAATATGAAAACACCCTTTAACCAAACCCTGAGGGCAAGAAGGTAATCCTGAAATGAGAAAATTATTATTTTTTGCTCTTCCTATTCTATGTGGAGTTAGACTAGGATTTGCTACATATAGAAAGTAGAGGAAGTTTTTAAACAATATTCAGATTCTGCCCATGAAAAATATTTATAGTCACGTGGCAGGACAGTTGTATCCAAGCTACACTGGTTGTCTTGAGAAATAATCATGCAAATTGTTAGTATTTTCCCCCATCATGTCTGAATAATCTACTTTATATAGTTTGTCATAAAGAATAATCCTGCTTTGCCTATGATAGCTATGCATGCTCTATATTTTAGAAAGACATATCTGTTAAGAAAAATATTACGGAAAAATCTGGAAATCTACAAAGAAAATACAGCATGTCATTTTACTGTCACTTTGAGACACTGTTGACTAAACTTACCCAAGAATTATTACATATTCTAGGTAATTTTACCTGTAATTGATTTTGTGATTTAATATTTGAATTAACTATAAATTTACATGATAACTTGTAGATTTCTGTTCAGTGGAAAAGCTATGACCAAAGACTTTTTGTTCTTCTTTATTTTTGCCTTCTTATAGGACCAATTTTGTGTTTAACTATTGTTCTCCAACAATATTCTTTTTCAAAATAAGTATAAAAACCCAGTCCCTCGAAATATTTTCCTTTTAACCAGTTTCATCATCTCCTATTTCCCTTGTTAATAATGGATTAAATAAAGTCTTTGATATGTATTTATTCATGTATGTATGAGAGTCATATTTTAACTTTTTTAATACTCTTTTATAAACATGAAGTGTGCCAATGCCCTTTAGTCAAGACTACCAAGTATACACCTGTAGGTGAAGGAGTTGGATGTGTGGGACATTTCAATGGGAGAGTGATGATACAAATAACTTATTATAGGATGTGAGCTTTGTTAGGTAACTTTGGAATAATTAAGGAAGCAGGGGTACTGGGTTGGATACTGCCAGGAAACGGAAGTAATTTTATGATCGAGTGTCTTAATGAATCTTATCTAGGAGGAGGGAAAAATAGAATGAGGCTAAAACTATAATTGGAAAAAAGAAGCAGTCACTCATATCAGCCAGTATGGAATACATTTGGACTTTTGTTTGTTTTGCACAGTTAACTTGTTTTTGTCTAGGCTTATAAAAGGTTATGAAGTGGTCTGATTTTTTTTTTTTTAAGTTTTCAGATGTCAGGGTTGCCCTTCTCTTTTTCAAGAGAAACAAAACAATAACAACAAAAGCATCACCATCATCATCATCGTCATCATCATCATCATCCACTCTTTTCTGACCCAGGGATTTGTGGGAAAAAGAAGGAAGAAGAGCAACATAGTTCACTCTGTATTTCTTTTTTTCAAAATTTATACATGTTGTTCATGAATCTCTGGCTAATTATTTTTAATGAAATACAATATTACTTTTCATAATATTGCAACTTTTTCATACATTCTCTTGCTGATGGACATTTAGATTACCTTATGTTTAATTATTACAAATGATTTGTCTTAAAATTTCTGAGCTATTTCTCCTGTTCTCACGTAAAGATAGTGTTTTAAGTTTGCATATACATCTACTACTAGGTTATAGAGAAGGCATGCATGCCTTCAAATTACTAGAAATGAAGAAATAACTTTCCAAAATGCTTTTATTATTTTGAATCCTATCACTGAAATGTAATTTCTATTTATATTTCATATGTTTATTCTATTAATGTTTCATATTACCAGATGCTTACATGTTAAAATCTTAATCTGATGATATCTTAGTATTTTTCCTATAGAAGTCCTTGCAGAAAGTTTCCTTTACCATGTCTAGAGATGAGGAGAAAAAAGTATAAATAGATGCCCCTCATTCACCTCTGTTTCATAGTTTGAAAACAGATGCATCATAAGCTATCCCTCTTTCAGCTTTAATTCAAGCTGAACTGTTTTCCCCAAGCTATAAGCCCATGGCCACTCTCTGAAGCAACTTGCACAGCTCAATACAAAATAAACAAGAACTTTGTTTTGATTTGTGTTTTGAGAGGGGGGGTGAGATTAGTCTTAATTTTGTCCCCTCAGAAACAAATATACAACAAATAAGGTAAATCTAAATGTCGTTGAAGCCTAAAGATGTAAGAAATAAAACAGCTTGAAATATTATATCCAAAGAATAAAATGTTTAAAACATCTGTTAGCTGATTTTTACATTTTCTCATAAGTAACTACCTGTAATTTATCTTTAAGTAATGAAAATCATATTAAATTTAGTTTCATTTGTTTTGCCATAATGTTTTTAAAGTACTTTATCAAAAATTCTTTGCACTGAGAAAACAAGATAAGCTATTACTGGGTGCGATTAAAAGTAGAATATAGTAATTCATTTTGCTTAAGAAGGATGATTTTAAAAGATTGTCTTCTTATGTTATTCATTTGCTTTTCTTTAGATGCAAAATTTTTGTGAAAAAGAAAAACTTAAGTTTCCCAATAGAAGTATACTCTGAAAATGGCATCCATAATTCTATGATGTTTGGGTTTTTTAAAAAACTTTCAGAACTTTTTCATTTAACATAGAAGATTCTAGCTTTTTAGTATAGCCTTTAGGGATCTACTTGTCTGGCCTCAGAGCCTGCTTCTCACACCTCAACTCGCGTATTCTTTCCCCATTCATAAAATGCTCCAGTCACATTCCATGTTGATGAACGGTTTTCCATTTCTCAACTATCACAATATTTTCTCCAGTATAGGTCTTGTGCATGCATTTTATATTTTTCAACTGTTCTATGCAGCTTTTGCATAACCAGCACCCCCTCTTTTTAAATTTGGATCTTTGTAAAAATGGTACCACCTCATCAAAATTTTGCCTGCCTTCTCCAGTCAAAGGAGCAGTCACTCTTTAACATGCACTTTAGTTTATTTCTGTCACGGTATGCTGTATTTCATTGATCCTAGGATGTCAACGACAGTAAGAGACACTGTTATTTTATTAAACACTGAAAAAGAAAAAAATCACTGCCAATTTATAACACAATTCTGTCTTATCACTCAGCCATTGTATTTTTGAAAAATAGCTTCTTTAGAATTGGTTATGGATTTTTTCACATATATTACTTTTTTTCTCATTTTTAGAGATTGAAATGTAATTTATACTATATACATGCAATATTAGCAATGTACATTTCTTAATGAATTGCAACAATACACACAACTATGACCAAGTCCATATGTGTGTGAAATATGACAACCAAATCACAATTGTTGCCTAATCAACAGGGATTTACAAACAGCATCTAAGATACATTCGCATTTCACAGAAGAAACAATGTAAGAGACAATGTAAGTTTATGAAATACTGTATGTCATTATTTGATTTTGTTCATTTTTTGTTTACTTTTATGTTGTCTGTCTGTCATTCTCTTACATAATCCACTTAAGAGGAACGGCATTGTCTGTTTTGCTCATTACCGGGAGTGCCTGAAAACTCTTAACTATAGCAGAAAATTCATAAATATATTCGAATGAACTGATATAAGCAGTATTTCATTTCACTGGACCATGTTTTACTTCTAATGATAATTTTGAAAAATATTTATGTCCAAAATTTATGTCCCTCACCTTCTTCGTTTGCAAATTTGTAACACTTAATATAACAATTCAATATAAACTATTATAAGAAAGCAATAAAAATATATGTAACTAAGTCCTTGAAAAAAATTGCTCATCTGCTTCTCAACTATATATAGCTAATCTTACAAAGAAACCAACACATTTAGGATAACAGTAACTGCTATAAAATGTAAACCCTGAACTATCCTTGACCTAACAAAATAAAAGTTTTATTTCTCATCCACATAAAGCTTAATTGGAGGCCTCAATGGGAGTGAGTGGAAGACCCAGATGGTTGGAAGATTTGCTGTCTGCAAATGTAGCCTCCAGGGTCTCTCTGTCAATAATCATCCAGATTACTGGAAAGATAGAGAGAAGGACTGCCCAAGATGTTGTATAGACTAGGCCCAGAAGAGTTGTTGATCTGTTCTCCCAGATTCTAAATGCCAGAACTCATCACAAAACCTCACCTCTAGGAAAAGTACATAGGAAAACAGTCTCTGACTGGTCTGCACTTTCCTGGAACAACTCCAAAATGGGAACGTAAATATTAAGTGAACAGCTAGCTATATTTGCCACAAAATCATAATATCATTGAATTTTTAAGCAAAATAATAAGTATGCACTGCAAAACTAATGTTTATTGTCTTATAGTTGATAAACATTTTACTAATTTGCCTAACGTGCTCTTTAGCATCTGTTACTTTCATCGATTTTTAGAAGCAAAGTTTAGGTCAATTTTTAAACAATAATTTTATATTATAAAATTTTACTTAACTATTTCATTTATTGATACATCATATATACTGTGGTATAGATAATACTATCATATGAAATGAGTAATCCACAGTCTGATTTTATTATAAAGAATACATTTTCTTTTTACTGTACATGAAACAGAAGACAAGGTGACAGAATATTAGGAAGAATCATTCTTTTTAGCCAGGTATTTTCAACCACCTTATGTCCCACTGACCACTGCAGGTATAGAGATGCTCCAAAAACTCATAACTGAGTACAAGACAGATCTGTCTGATTCCAAAGCCTGTGCTTTTTTTTGCTAAAGTATCGTTCTGGAGATAGTTTCTCAAGCATGTTTATTCTCAAGCCATGCATATACATATAATGTGAGTGTGTGTGTGTATACACATGTGTTTTGTTCAACTGGTGGACAGTTCCTCTTTCACTCTGGTTAGACACAATATAAAATTAAATATGCTCACAGGTAGATGTTTAATTTCTTCCTTCCTTCCTTTCTTTTCCTTTTTCTCTCTCTCCCTTTCTCCTGTCCTCCATCTCCCTCCCTCCTTCCTTCCTCCCTTTCCTTTCTCTGCCATTCACTTTGCTCTCCAATTCTTTCACTTTCAGCAATGTATGTTGATATTTATTAGGTGTCAGAAACTGAATAGATTCTTCTGTGCTGATAAAATACAAAAGTTTGTATTTTGCATTTCATATTTTTATTTGGATGCATTTTATATTCTGTGTTTGTCATCAAATATATTTTATACCCCATATTTGTGAGAAGTACACACAAAGTCCAATGCCATAAGAAAATTACTACAAGATTTCAATCATCATTATTGTGACCCTGTGATAATTTTCACTCTTCATTTCTATCTTTGATTTAGTCATCGAATACAAAGTCTTTGTATCCATTCTGTTACTTACTATCATGGGTGATTTCAACTTTCACTTTTGCAAGTTTTTTGTGTGTGGCAAGATCTTGTTGTTACAGTTATTTGCCTCATGATATGGTTTCGATTTGTGTCCACCCAAATCTCATCTTGAATTGTAGTTCCCTTAATCCCCATGCATCATGGGGTGGACCCAGTGGGAGGTAATTGAATCATCTGGGCGGTCACTACCATACTGCTGTTCTCAGGATAGTGAGTGAGTGCTCACAAGATCTGATGGTTTTATAAGGGGCTTTTCCCGCTGTTGCTTGGCACTTCCTCTTGCTGCCGCCTTGTGAAGAAGGATGTGTTTGCTTCTTCTCCTTTTGCCTGCCATGATTGTAAGTTACCTGAGGCCTCCCCAGTTCTGTGAAACTATGAGTCAAACCTCTTTCCTTTACAAATTACCCAGTCTCAGTTATGTCTTTATTAGCAACATGAAAATGGACTAACACATCTCAATTTTAAATTATTTTCATCTGCTACACCTCAGCGATCCAATTTTTAAGATAATACCAGAATATTATTACTAATCCCTTTATGTTATTTTCTATAATATCCTGTTCATATGTATTATTATTATATATTATTGATTGAACAATCTGAAATCTCAAATTTTGAATAAATGAACTTTGTTTTTTCTTACTAATATATCCTACATGCCTACCTCTCTTTCATATGGCAATAGAATTTTGTGTTGTATTTTTATTCATTATTAAGCATTAGAAAATACTATGAACAGAATGATATATCTATGAATTGAGAAACTGTGTCTATCATAATAAGATTAGCGATAGCATGCATTATAGAAAAGATGAGTTATCCAAGAGACAAAGGCAAAGGAAAAAGAACTCAAGAAAATAAGCCATACGCATTAAAGATTTTTGGGAAACTATGTTTTAGTCTGATGAGTGTGGCTAGAAATTCATGTATACCTACCCCCATGTAATCTCAGTTTTCATTTCATTATTATAGATCACTTTAGCCTACTCTAGAACATCACATAATGTCATCATATCTTATGTACTATATGATCCGTACTTTCTTGTGCTTAGCATGATTTTGAGATTCAATCATGTCATTTCACGTATCAGTAGTCTATTTATTCTTAATACTAAGAAAAATCCATTATAAAATGTAGCTATAATGTTTTTTCAATAAATGGTGTCTTGACCCAGTTTTGAGGCACTGGCTAGAGGCTGGTCAATTCTTTTTGTTGAACAGCTGATTAAGTCTAAACCTCTGACCACCTTCCTTATTCCAGGCCATTATACATTTGCCCTAATTGCTCTAGAGTCAGATAACAGAGAGCCAGAGGCAGCCCTTGGACCCCAGAGCCAATTGCAACTGTTCAAACTAGCTAATCCTAAACCTGCTTATTCTGCCTTCCCTGTTCCTTCCCTTGGACATCACAATAAAGACTGCTGTCCACAGTTTCCCTCTCTTTCTCTGCCTCCTGAGAGATCCAAAGTGCTTCCTAAGTGACCCTGAGTGGTATGCTTTTTTCTCCCCAAAGAACTATGTACAAAATAAATTGTGAAACTCTTCCCAAATTCTTTCTCTTAATCTGTATCTGGACTCACCATACCTCACCAAAGGTAATATGATAAACTCACTACAATAATTTATTTATTCATTCATCTGTTGACACATATTTGTTAATTTCAATAGACTATAATCATTATAAATACAATATTTGATTAAAAATTCTTAGCCAGACATGGTGGCTCACACCTGTAATATCAGTATTTTGGGAGGTAAAGACAGAAGGATCACTAGAGCCCAGGAGTTTGAGATCAGCCTGAGCAACATAGCAAGACCCCATCTCTACAGAAAATTAAAAAAATTAGCTGGGCACAGTGGTGGATGCCTGTAGTCCCAGCTACTCAGGAGGCTAAGATGGGAGGATTGCTTGAGCCCAGGAAATTGAGGCTGCAGTGACTCATGATGGTGTCACTGCACTCCAGTGTAGGCTATAGAATGAGACCTTGTCTCAAAAAAAAAAAAAAAAAAAGAGAATTATTTGTAGACATACACATTCATTGCTCTTGAATAAATACCTAGGAGTGGAATTAATGAATTATAAGAAAGCTTTAAACTTAACATTTCAAGTAACTTCCTATTATTCTATCCTACATGGTACCATGTACACTCCAATCAAGAATGTGCAAGTGTTCTGGTGGTTCCCTATAATCTATAACATTTGATTTATTCAGTGTTTTTAATTTGAGAATTCTGTACTTTATCTAGTGGTATCACAATTTGGTATTTATTTGCATTTCCCATAGGACTACTGATGCAGTGTACTTTTTCTTAATTACCTTCAAGCCTTCTTTCCAGTTGTCTTTATATTAATTAGTTGCAGGGATTCTCATATATTTTGTATACAAGTTCTTTATCATATATATGTATATGTATTGAGAACATTTTCTTTCAGTCTGTACCTTGCCTATTCATTTTCTTCACAATATCTTTAGATAAACAAAGGCTTTCACTTTTAATTAAATTTAATTTATCTTTTTTTAAAAAAATTGTTATGAGCAATTCATGCTTTCTCGACCCTCTCAAGTGACTGTTTTCACAATTGACTGTCATGGGTATAATACAGTATATTTTATACTGAAATTTTGTTTAGTTTTAGTTATTACTCCTAGATCCATCTAAAATTAATTTTGGTTATTGTGCTATATATGGGCCAGAGATTACATTTTTACACAAAGTTATTTCATTCTTCCAGAACATTTATTGAAATCATCTCCCGTATTGAATTGCTCTTGCTCCTTTGTTCAAAATTCATTGACATTATATGTATGTGTTTACTTGTTAATTTTACTTTATTCAACTGATTTACTTGTGTATATTTCAGTGAATATCACACTATCTTAAAAACCGTTTTTTATATAAAATACTATAGTAAAGTAAATTATACCTCCAAATTTTTTTTTATGAGGTTGTTTTGGCTTTCTAGAAAACTTCATTTTAGAATAAGCTTGTCCATTTCTTAAAACAAAAACATTCTGCTGAGATTTTTATTGGAATTGCCTTGAACCTATAGATTAATTTGGGGAGGAGTAACATGTTAATATCGAAATTTCTAGGCCTTGGAAATACTATACACCTCTATTTACTTAGGTTTTATAAAATTTCTCCCTGGATTTTTATGGTGGTTTTTACCAAAGTACTGTACTTTTTTAAAAATCAAACAACCTTATCCTTGACATCTCTGCTTAAATGTAAGCTTATCTTTCAAGCCTGTATATACACCACTCTATTAACAATTGCAATGCCATTATCCTTTACTCCAGTTACTCTATTCCTGGTGATTCTGTAGTACATACACATATTCTAATAAGCTATAAACTTATAAAAAGGTGAATAATCACTGAAGCATGTACTTACCTGAAACCTATAACAAGGTTTTTTTTCTGACTATACATTTTCAGACATTTAATTTGAAACCATCATGTACAGTTTCAAAAAGGGTGTTAAGTAAATTTGAGACCCAGTATTGTAACTGAGTAAAACAAATTCCTAATACCTAAGTGATTTTTATCTGCATATTTGAACACTTTTAAGATCTGTATCCTAGGGAAAAATATTAAAATGCCATGAAATTTCTTCCAGGTTTCAGGTACTCTGCTGTCCAATAGATAATTAAAAATAAAATTACTGTTTACATAAACTTATTCTATAATAGAGGATGCTTACAAAAAATAAATGTATTGTCAAATAGCATCTCTGTATTTGTTATAAAAAATATTTTTAAATTTCAAGGCACAGCAGAGGAAGCATATTTACATCAGGCTTTGTATAAGAATGTTCATGTTACTATTCTGGATTTATCAGTACGCCACATATATGTTACTTGAATCTATCAGAATCTATCTTTGTAACTATTTGTGATGTATTTAGCACAGTGGCAAATAGTAAATACCCCCTAAATAATAGACTATTTCAAATTGTTTCACATTTTCATGACACACTGTATTTTTGAATATAAAATATGTTGCTATACTTTGTGATATGGTTTGGCTCTGTGTCTCCACTCAAATCTCACCTTGAATTGTAATAATCCCCACTTGTCAAAGGCAGGGTCAGGTGGAGATAATTGAATCATGGGGGCAGTTTCCCCATACTGTTCTAGTGACAGTGAATGAGTCTCAAGAGATCTGATGGTTTTATAAATGGAAGTTCTCCTGCACAAGCATTCTTGCCAGCCACCATGTAAGACTTTGCTCCTCATTCACCTTCTGCTATGATTAGGAATCCTCCCAAGCCATGTGGAACTGCGAGTCAATTAAACCTCTTTCCTTTCTAAATTACCCAGTCTCTGGTATGTCTTTATTAGCAGTGTGAGAACAAACTAATACACTTTGCAATAAATGTTAAATGTGCAAGGGCTTTTGCTCTTTCATATTTCTTTTAAGGACTCTAAGAACTATCTACAGCAATAACAACAAGATTACCATCTAGTGGCAGTCATGGTAAACTACAGACACATTGTCCCTGCAAACTGGAAAGGCTCTTAGAAATATCAAACTTCGTCATTGTTTATACAAGTGATAGGGACAGGTGGCAGAGAAATTCTAGGCAGAAAAGATCCCTGGCAAAACCCCACCCTCAAGTTGAAAAGCCTGAAACCACAGCCCAAAGTGAGAACTCACATCCCTGTTTTTCTGCTCCAATGTTGTCTTTTCCTAAACCACCCAGGCTCCTCCCCACCCCATCCTGTGCTTACGAAAACCCCAGACTCAGCTGGTAGATGGAACTAAGGCTAGATGTTGGAGAGAAGTGGCTTGACTTCAGAGGGACAGCTTGTTGGCATAACTTTGGAGAAGAATCTGGCCAGAGACAGCCGGACTTCAGTCAAAGATTACCTACCTGCCCCGTTCCCTTTTCAGCTCCCCTTCCCACTCAGAGTCTCTTTTGCTGGCAGTAAAATCCCCCACATTTACCACTTTTCAATTTGTTTGTGTGACCTCATTTTTCCTGAATGCTGGACAAGAACTTGGGAGACATGAAGGTGGATACAAAAGGCTGTCACACTGGCCCTTTGCCCTCACCGACAGACAGCAACCGCCTCACATGAAAAGGCAAAGAGCCCACTGAGCTGTTAACACTTAAGCTGTCCTTGGATGGCAGAGCTAAAAGAGCCCTGTGACACACCCTCTGGGGCTTCAGGAGTTGCAGTCACCTCCACCTGGAAGCTGCTGTGAGGGCTGCAAGGAGTTCACTCCTGAGGGCACTAAAGTGTCCAGCCGGTTCCTGCACCCACTCACCAGTGTGCTCCCTCCTCTGATGGATGGAACACAGTGGGTCAGAGTGCATGGAGTTTGATCCCACTGGTACCAAAGTGACTGGCTGGTTCCAGTGCTTGTTCACCTCAGTTCCTGTACTCATTCTCTTGTGTGCTCCTTCCCATGAGCAGTTGAGCATGGCAGGCTGAGTAAACGAGGCAACCCTGTCAGGAGTCACATGAAGGGGTCAGGGAAATATCCTGCTTCACAAGGACTGGATTTGATATACATAATTTAAATCTTTATAAAGATGTTTTAAAGTAGAAACAGCAGGCATCATTAGTTACTAATGTAGTATAGCACAACCATTCCATTCACAAAGCAGGCACTTCATAGAGGTTTGTCAAAATTATTTTTTAAAATATAAATACATACTGCAACATATTGAAGAAGTAAATAGAAGGTAACATTCTGAAAATAAGTCAGATATCGGCCAGGCACAGTGGCTCATGCCTATAATCCTAGCACTTTGGGAGGCTGAGGCCAGTGGAACACCTGAGGTCAGGAGTTTTTAGACCAGCCTGGCCCACATGGTGAAACCCCACCTCTACTAAAAATACAAAAACTTTGCTGGGCATGGTGGCAGGCGCCTGTTATCTCAGCTACTTGGGAGGCTGAGTCAAGAGAATCACTTGAACCCAGGAAATGGAGGTTGCAGTGAACTGAGATCACGCCATCACACTCCAGCCTGGGCAACGAGCAAAACTTCATTTCAAAATAATAATAATAAATAAATAAAAATAAGTCAGACGTAATATAAAGGATGTATGTAAGTGCCAACATATTTTATTAAAGAAAAGATGTACAGGCTTTAGATTTAGCCAGATTTTTAGAAATCTTAGCTCTACCACTTTGTCTTACTGTAGGATCTTAGGCAAGTTATTTAACCTGAAGTTACTTAATTCGTTATTTAAACTAAACTTTAATATCATATATTTCTAATTGTAGCAGTGTATGAGGATGGTTTGAGATAATGCATGCACTACTTTCACCAGCATGTATCAAGCACTCAATAATGTCATATCTCTATTATTTATTTAAGACCCTACTGACATACTGATTCTGCAAATAATATAATCATAATAATCATTCTAGTATTTACTACACAAATTATTATGAGTATATGTTATCTTCTACCTATAAATCCTTAAGAAAATGATCAAAAGAATGTGATTATTTCATTTCAAAATTGTATGTTATTTTTAGTATTTACTATTACTTATTAAATGTTATATCATTTAGGATTTATTTATTCAATAATCCTTACTGCCAAATTTACATAAAGACAACCATAACATCATAAAAGCTAATATAATGTTTTTACATAAAAATCAAATGTAGTACATTTTAATTAAATAAAATATTATTAAAGCATAATTTGATATCTACCAAGCAGGTACATGTTTACATCATTGCAGTTTACATTTTTACTTAAAGTGTTTGGTTAATTCACAATTTTCAGCTATTCTGTTAGAAAGGTAAATCTTTTTAGTTTTTCCATTTTTAAAATTTATTTTTATATTTTGAAACCGGTAATAAACTGATATATCTCAACAAGCAATAAAGGATTTGATAAAAACATTGAAGGTGATTTCTAGAAATAGAAAACTTATGCTTTCGGTAATAATGTCCATTAAATTTATTATGATTGACTATTACACATTACTGTCAACATGTAATATAAATGTGATTGGCATAGGAAGATAGAACTGTCATATCTTCCTGAGCACAGATCTGCATTTTTTGTTTAATTGTGTAGATGTGATTGAAATCATGATTATTCTTTCATCAGTAGAGATGTTTTTTCTAAATTATATTCATTATGAACTAGTCTAAGTAAACAATGAGTGTGCCATTACATATCTTATGTTCTCCCTAGATTGCTGTTTTTAATATTCACTTCAGGTGGTAGGAAAAAAAAAAAAACTTTCTGATTTTTTAAAAACGAAAAGAGATTAAAAAAGAGAGCGCTATACTACCAAGTATAATTATGGAAAAAGAAATGCAAAGTTTCAAATCAGAATATACATAGAATTAGAATTAGCAGAAGAGTTCAGAAAATCAGTAAATTTAAAGGCAGTGATCTCTTAGCTTTTCTTTTTTATTTTTAAATTATACTTTAAACTCTGAGGTACATGTGCAGAATATGCAGGTTTGTTACATAGATATACACGTGCCATGGTGGTTTGCTGCACCCATCAACATGTCATCTACATTAGGTATCTCTCCTAAGGCTTTTCTTAAAGCACCCATTATCCTAGCAACACATTTGTAATAAAAAAAGCAGTTATTTATCCTAAGAACTACTTTCCAAACCATAGTACTAGGAGGTAAGAGATCGAGTATGGTTCCTGCTACAATATTAATACTAAATTGATCAATTCTGATGAACTCTCTTAACCTCTCACTGAATCCCACATATTAGAGATATTCTAAGATATCTGTGAATTATAAGTTTTCTATACGTTATTACATATAAGATGTAGTTCTTTCTTTGATTTAATTGGATTCAATTAAAACAATAAAATTCCATGGATACTGTTTCTGTGTGTACATATGAGAAATGCTGGTATGGATGGCAGCTTTTGCAGATGGCACAATATCCACAACTTAAATCTGGAATCTCCTTTAAACTTTAACCACTTGGGCCTTTGCAATTCCCAATGCAGAGGACATTCAGATTAACTCAATCAGATAAATATCAGTTCAATCTAACAGCTTGTGAACAAACTTATTGGGCAATGATCTCGAATATGGATACAGAGTTAGGAGCAATTTATTTTAGCTTAAGAAGGAAGTAGAGGGAGGAAAAGCCACAGCTAAGAATTTATTTTAATATAGAAAGGTTTTACCTTGTCTCAGTATTTTGTGTTAGGCCAAACCTTGTCTTGGCTTCGTAACACGGAATACATTCCTATATTTATTCTTAGTTCATACTTTGATACTCACAGGTTTAAGCCTTTCTCAAATTGCTATGGTTTGAATGTGTGTATCACTCCAAAATTTTTATGTTGGAACTTAAACTTCAAGGTGATAGTATTAAGACTCGGAGCCTTTGGGAGCTGATTAGACAGAAGGGTTTCACCCCTCTGGATGGGATTAGTGGCTTTATAAAAGGGCTTAAGGGAGCAAATTAGTCCCTTTTGCCCTCCAACATATGAAGACACAGAAGTAAGCCACAATGTGTAAAGCAGAGCACTGTCACTAGACACAGAAGCTGCTGGTGACTTGATCCTGGACTTCCCAGCCACCAGAACTATGAAAAATATATTCTTATTTTTTATAAATTATCCAGTCTGAGTTACCTTTGTTACAGAGGCAGGAATGAACTAAGACACGTATTTACAACATTTTGAACGTTTTTGAAAACAGAACCTTTATTCTGGAAAGCCATACCAATATCTGGGGCACAATTAGTGCTAAATACTAACTGCTTGACTAAATACATTGATAAGTGAATGAATATATTGATTAATACCAGAATATTGGACAGCGATAATATGAATCTTTAGGAATTTCTTCACTGTTGCAATGCTTTGCATGGAACTGACACATTCAGAATGATGTGAATTTAAAACAGTGAGATAATGTTATTTATTGTCTATGAACATTTATATATTTAATTACAAAAGTATTTTTTGAGCTACACACACCAACTTCAACATAACTTAGTTATATAGGGAGACAAAGTAAAGAAGGCATGTGAAGTTTTACGTTAGATGATTTTGATTAATTTCAAGAGCATGTGGACAGGAAGAAATATTAATTGCTATCTATCTTATTAGTTTATAAAAATTTTAGGGTAAATATTTGAGTAGCATATCTATTAGAAAACTTGATGTAGGAAATTTGAAATAGCATTCCACTTTTTCTTTTAATAAATATTCTCTAATGAGCAGAGGCATTCTGAATAAACTACTTGATTATTCATTTTCAGAAGAAGGCATTCTTGCAACTAAATTGCTAAGGATTGGGAGGTGGGTAGGTAGACAGACAAGGCTAAACTGAATCTGCTTCTCTTTTCTTATATATTATTTTACATTCTTTTCTTCTGTTTATCCAGACCTGATAATAATTGAGATAAACTTAATAGGAAAGATTTAACAAATTGTTTCTCAAGATACGTGGAACAAAGAAAATTTTGAGAGACAAACAAAAAGGTTTGCCTTGTTGAATTTGAGAAATGCTTATTTGCTTACGGTGTACCATCAGTATCAAGAAGTTGTTCAAAACTCAATAGTGGATGAATTTACTATATACTCCTTCCCCACTTCTCTGACTGACTTGCAAGGTTCATACCTGAGAAATCTGCTTCTGCAACCATGAAAAGCATAGATGTGACTGAAAGCAGTAAATTATAGGTAGTAATTTTTTAATGAAATTTTCAATACACTAAGAATTGTAAAAATTTTCTAAAGAGAAACTAATAATTTTAGTTACTATATAGGAATTTAAACAAGTGTCTTATTAGTGACATTTTATAAAGATTCATTGTCTCCATCATTTTACAGCCTCACATTTCATTAGAGAAGCTGCATATTATTATGATGACCCATTGGCTTTTGAAGGAGGAAAATTTTTTGTTTGTTTGTATTTTTGAGATGCAGTGGCACAATCTCAGCTCACTGCAACCTCCACCTCCCAGATTCAAGCGATTCTCCTGCTTCAGCTTCCCGAGTAGAAGGGGGACTACAGATGCCCACCACCACGCCTGGCTAATTTTTTTTTTTTTTTTTTTGTTAGTAGAGATGGGGGTTTCACCATATTGGCCAGGCTGGTCTTGAACTAGTGATCTGCCCGCCTCGGCCTCCCATAGTGCTGGGATTAAAGGCATGAGCCACTGTGCCTGGCCCAGGAGGAAAATTTTTTATTTAAAACTTGTTTTCTTTGTGAATGTAAATATCTTTATGAATATACATATATGTGTATCACTTTTTCAAAGTTTTGGATATTCCGTCTATTCCTCTTTCTCTTACCTCAAATCCCTACAAATGTTACAAATTTGTGCCAGGGCATCATCTAGCTACACCTGTTTAATAAATGTAGTACACAAAGTACAGAGTGCTAGAGGACGCTGACATTTTGCTTGGGCTTAATTCGCCAAAAACTGTTAATATGGGAGGAGGGCAGGGAAGTGCTAGGAGGAGAAAGTCAGGGTCCCTGGCGAGGGCTCCACCCTCAGGCCTGTGCCCACGGACCTAGGTGAGGACAGGCACTCCTGTTTTCACGCCCATTTTCCACGTTGCATTTTTCCAAGACCACCCTGACCCGCCATGCCCCCATTCTGTGCCTATAAAAACCCCAAGACCCTAGCGGGCACAGACACACGGCTGGATGTCTAGAGGAGCACACCGGCAGAAGAGCACACAGGCAGAAGAGCACACAGGCAGCTGGACGTCGAGAGGAGCAGAGGAGTGGAAGAGCACACCGACAGGCACCGGCAGAGGCCAGCAGGCCATCTACTGGCAGAACGACGCGGACATTGAGGCAAATTTGGCCCGGGTGGTCAGAGGAGAGTCTGGCCCCTGAGTGGCCCGACACCAGGGGAAAACCACCTTCCCACTCCGTTCCCCTTCTGGCTCCCATACATCGGCTGAGAGCTACTTCCACCATTCAATCAAACCTTGCACTCATTCTCCAAGCCCAGGGTTTATCCGATTTTTCCCGTACACCAAGACAAGAACCTTGGGATACAGAAAGCCCTCTGTCCTTGCGATAAGGCAAAGGGTCTAATTGAGCTTAACAGATAGTGCCTACAGACAGCAAAACTGAAAGAGCACACTGTTTAACACATGCCCACTGGGGCTTCAGGAGCTGGAAACATTCACCCCTAGATGCCGCCATGGGATCGGAGCCCACGCACCCCACATCCTGCCAGTCTGCAGGCTCTCCCTAGCAGGGCACCGAAGAAGTGAGCCTGGCCTCCATTGCACACCCTGCGATGGGGATAAGGGAATTCCTCCCCTTTCACTATGTGCTGGAAGTGATGCAAGTTAGCCTGGAAGGAAGGGTGAAGTTTTGTAATTCATGTGTGTTTTTGCTATTTTCACAAAGGTGACTTTGTATATTCAGGAATTAATGAGTAGTTAATCCTGACAGTAATGGAGAGTTCTAGCTGCATAAATAGTAGAAGTTGTCATAAGGGCGATTTGTTGGAGCTGGGCTATATTGAATACCAAGCTAATAAAGATCGATTACATTTAAGACCCAGCTTAGACTAGCAAAGCATTTTTTAAAATATTGTGGATCCATTTCCAATAAATTACTGCCTTTTCGAATTACTAAAAGTTGTACATTTATATGGAAACCATTATCTTTATCAAACTGTCTAATTGCTAAGCTATAAAGAAATGAGCTTTACCAAGGGCTAGGATCCCAATTCCCATATACCTGAGCCTTTGAAATATTTATTTGAGTATTTATCTTAAACTATAAATAAGATGTTTCATTAATTTTCAAATTAATGCAGAAGTTTGAAGGAAAAAGTGTTCCTCTAAACATTTTAAATATATATTTAAATATTTTAAATATATTAAATACAGATCATTTTAAATATGTATTTACTAAAATACATTTATAAACATTTATAATAGTTTCCCATTATCTAGGATTTTGCTTTTCTCATTTCTAGTTACCCGTGGTCAACAGTGGTTGGAAAATATTAAATGGAAAATTCCAAAAATAAGTTTTAAATTGTGTCCCCTTTTGAGGAAGACAATGCAATCGCATGCTGTCCCACAGTTCCTGCCTGGGATGCAAAACATCCCTTTGTCCAGCATATCAAGGTTATATATGCTACCTGCCCACTAGTCGCTCAGAGGTCATCTTGGTCATTTGGAACAATTTGTAAGAATTTGGACAACTGGAAAAAATTTGTTCCAATTTGGAACATTTGGAACAATTTGGAAACAAATGTAGTATATATAAGGTTTGTTACTATCCGTGGTTTCAGGAATCCACTGGGAGTCTTTGAACATACCCCCTACAAATAAGAAGTACCAACTGTAATAGTTTTTATTTTAATGTGAGTTATGTGTAAGAGATGACTGTTACAATGCAATTCTTAGACCAATGTGAGATAACTAGTAGTTAGGGCTACAAAATCAACCTACTAAAATTGAACACAATAAAAATGGTTTCATTGACTTTAGAAACTGACCTGAAATTAAGACAAAGAAAGCAGCAATGAAGCCATGGAAAACCTCTTTTCTGTCTGATAAAGTAGTAACACAGGATTATGTTGTGTTGGGTCAGTGGCAGCATGCTGATTTATGATCATCACAGAGTAAAGGGCAACATGGATGCATTTATACACACTGATACACAGTGATTCTGACTTAGAGCTACCAGATGTTGCTGGCACCTTTTACCATGAGATTTGGTTCATTTAGTCAAAATGATTAGCACAAAAGTACATGCTAGAATGAATCTACTATCCTGTAAGCAAAGCTGAGGCAATGATGGAGCAAAATAGCTTATCCACAGCAAGTCAGCGGGAAGTTTTATTCTGTCACCTCTCTTCATTAATCTGTACACATGACTGCTTGGAGAGACAGCAAGTTGATTAGGTCTGCAGCACCATCAGCATGCAGACACTCATCACTACTTCTCATTTTCATATGAACCAGATGGTGTAGCCGCTTGACTGCAATTTTCCTTTATATGTGTTTTTAATAGGTTCCTTTTTTTTTTTTTTTTTTTTTTTGAGACGGAGTCTCGCTCTGTCGCCCAGGCTGGAGTGCAGTGGCGGGATCTCGGCTCACTGCAAGCTCCGCCTCCCGGGTTCACGCCATTCTCCTGCCTCAGCCTCCCAAGTAGCTGGGACTACAGGCGCCCGCCACTACGCCCGGCTAATTTTTTGTATTTTTAGTAGAGACGGGGTTTCACCGTTTTAGCCGGGATGGTCTCGATCTCCTGACCTCGTGATCCGCCCGCCTCGGCCTCCCAAAGTGCTGGGACTACAGGCGTGAGCCACTGCGCCCGGCCAAGGTTCCTTTTTTAGATATTGACTTTGTGCACTCTTCTGAATATTTAAAGCCAAACTGAATTTACTTCAGTCCTAGTAACAACTTGAAGTAACCACATATTGAAAAAATTGCGTATAATAAAAAAGACTGCTAATTTTCCTGTGCCTAAACGAAACTCAGCATGTCAAAAACTCTTAGTTAACTGTTTTCTGCAATATTCTAGGGAAGTATAGGTGACATGCATATCCAGTATACAGTTGATAAAATGGAGGCAGCATGTCACATTAAGAAAGCATTAACAAATAAAATTGAATTTTATATAAGATCCTACTATTAATCTGAGAAAACAAACCAGTTTTATAAATGAGCATATTAAAGTGAGGAGAATTTAAATTTTGTGACTGAGGTTACACACGGTCTGCATTAAACCCTAAAGTTATGTTTCTACTTTACCTTATTGCTCAAAACTTATATTTGTATATCCTAGGCATCAGCTGGAGTACCCTATGCCTTGAAACACAGCTGTAATCACCTTGAATTCCCTTTATGTGGAAAATCCATTGTTTTCTCTATAAAGTCTGTGAATTCCCAAAGGTAAGGCCACCTCTAAAATGTGTGCTTCTCAAGACAAATATTTTATATCACATCCTTGTTCACATAAACAACTAAGAATATGTTATAAAATTCACTGGCATATCTGAGGTACAGTGATTTATTGATGAAGATTTAGAATAATGGGTAGAAGAGAGATACATTATTATCTATACCAGTGCATGTGAAAATTCTTCATATGGTGCATGCACCATTATTTTTCCTGTTCATGTCCAGGAAATCCTTTCAGCTTAATTTACTTGCTCTTACTGTAAGAAACAGGGAGCAATACTACTGCTATCACAGTGCCATGACTGTTTAGAAATCATTTATATTGAGCCAGCATGGTAGCTTATGGCTATAATCCCAACACTTTTTGAGAAGCTGAGGCAGGAAGGAGCCCTTGTGCTCGGGAGTTCAAGGTTGCAGTGAGCCATGATCACGCCACTGTACTCCATCCTGGGCAACAGAGTGAGACCCTGTCTCTAAAAACAAAATAAAAAATAGAAAGAAACAAGTTGGAAAATTTTACCTCTGCAGTTCCTCTGTAACATTTATTTATTTATTTATTATTTACTTTTTTGAGACGGAGTCTCGCTCTGTCACCCAGGCTGGAGTGCAGTGGCACAATCTCGGCTCACTGCAAGCTCCGCCTCCCGGGTTCACGCCATTCCCCTGCCTCAGCCACCCGAGTAGCTGGGACTACAAGTGCCTGACATTTATCTAATGGCAGTTACATCATTATTATGATGTTGCGCCATTTATCATGGTGCCTATGAATGTTGAGTTTCAATGACTCTCTAAAAGATTATTACTGTGCTTCATTGAAGATGAATATAAATCCAAGAAAATATGAATAATAATTGTTTTCTGGTCATGTTAAAATATTATTCTACCTTTCATAGCACAAAAGTAGAGTCACACATCACCCAACCATAACTTCTCTTGAAATCTTTAGGCTATCATTGCGTTTTCTAGAATTTAATCTCTGTTAAAGTTGATGGCATATCAACCTTCCACATAAAGATAGATGTCAAGCTAAAGGGAAAAGCGATGGGAGAAGCATGAAGAGCAGTTGACTTTTCCTGGCAAGCATAAGATTATCCTAGGATAATAAAGTATCACACATCAGTTGGAGCTGAGAAAGCATTGCTTGGAAGGGTCCCTTGGCATTGCAGATCTCTCATAGGAAATAGATTTAGTAACCCATGGACCACCCGAGACATGTCATGGACTGGAGGTGAACATCCTGAGTGCTGGTTGTGGGAATTGAGGGTAAAAGACGTCCAACCACTTTGGACTACTATTAGCTGTAATAGACATTGCAGTCAGAATACTAACAAGCAAGGGTATAGGTGTACAGTTCAAACCCAAGAGTTAGCTTGTTGGCCCACAGCACTGAATTTTTTTCCTGGAAGATAGGGACACTAAGATAAATACACCTTGGAGAAATCACTCCCAGTTCCCTAAGAAAAGCATTTCCGGGTGGTAAAATTGGCAGGACTCTGGGATACGACTTGTATCTTACAGCAACAGAGGAAAAAACTTATAATTGCAAGTTTTCTAAAGCAAACAATCTAAGAAAAAGGAGAAAAGGTGGCTTTCATCAGGGAAAATTTGTTTAAAGTTTAGTCAATGTAGGGGAAGTGCTATGGCTGTCTTGGTGATAGTCCACCATATTTTAGTACCCATTTTTCAGAGATGAACACCCAGCTTGCTTCCAACTTTCTACTACCACAAGTAATACTATGTTAAAACATGCACACCCTCCAGTACCGCATGAGGAGTCCTTCAACTTCACATCCCTAATACTTTCCATTACCCAGCTTGCTATTTTTAAAATGATAGCTTATTATTTTTAAAATTTGTACTTATCTGATTACT
The DNA here is from genome assembly GCF_000001405.40 of Homo sapiens. Classification (NCBI taxonomy): domain Eukaryota; kingdom Metazoa; phylum Chordata; class Mammalia; order Primates; family Hominidae; genus Homo; species Homo sapiens. The sequence continues at coordinate 114,241,506 of NC_000008.11, forward strand.
AACAATTTTAGCATATTTTGGTGTTTACGTTAGCTTTTTGTTCTCTCTTCTTTAAATTACTTTTCATACTTGTTCATTTTATCTCCTATTGGGGTAACTGTCAGGCCTCTGAGCCCAAGCCAAGCCATCGCATCCCCTGTGACTTGCACGTATACGCCCAGATGGCCTGAAGTAACTGAAGAATCACAAAAGAAGTGAATATGACCTGCCCCACCTTAACTGATGACATTCCACCACAAAAGAAGTGTAAATGGCCATTCCTTGCCTCAAGAGATGACATTACCTTGGGAAAGTCCTTTTCCTGGCTCATCCTGGCTCAAAAAGCACCCCCACTGAGCACCTTGCGACCCCCACTCCTGCCCGCCAGAGAACAAACCCCCTTTGACTGTAACTTTCCTTTACCTACCCAAATCCTATAAAACGGCCCCACCCCTATCTCCCTTTGCTGACTCTCTTTTCGGACTCAGCCCACCTGCACCCAGGTGAAATAAACAGCTTTATTGCTCACACAAAGCCTGTTTGGTGGTCTCTTCACACGGACGTGCATGAAATTTGGTGCCGTGACTCGGATCGGGGGACCTCCCTTGGGAGATCAATCCCCTGTCCTCCTGTTCTTTGCTCCATGAGAAAGATGAACCTACGACCTCAGGTCCACAGACCGACCAGCCCAAAGAACATCTCACCAATTTTAAATCAGGTAAGCAGCCTCTTCTTACTCTCTTCTCCAGCCTCTCTCACTGTCCCTCAACCACTTTCTCCTTTCCACTCTTCAATCTCTCCCTTCTCTTAATTTCAATTCCTTTCATTTTCTGGGAGAGACAAAGGAGACACGTTTTATCCATGGACCCAAAACTCCGGCGCCGGTCACGGACTAGGAAGGCAGCCTTCCCTTGGTGTTTAATCATCGCAGGGCCACCTCTCTGATTATTGACCCACGTTTCAAATGTGTCAGACCACGCAGGGATGCCTGCCATGGTCCTTCACCCTTAGCGGCAAGTCCTGCTTTTTTGGGAAAGGGGCAAGTACACCAACCCCTTCTCTCCTTGTCTCTACCCCTCCTCTGCTTTTCTGGGAGAGGGGCAAGTACCCCTCAACCCCTTCTCCTTCACTCCTAGCAGCAAGTCCCGCTTTTCTAGAGGAGGAGCAAGTACCCCAACCTCGTATCTCTGTGCCCCAATCCCTTATTTCCGTGCCCCGACCCCTTATTTCCATGCCCTGACCCCTTATTTCCGTGCCCCGACCCCTTATTTCTGTGCCCCATCCCTTATTTCCACGCCCCGACCTCTTATCTCTGCGCCCCAACCCCTTTTCTGGAAGGTAAGAACCCCCGAACCCCTTCCCTCTGTTTCTCTACTCTCTCTTTTCTCTAGGCTTGCTTCCTTCATTACGGGCAACCTTCCACCCTCCATTCCTCCTTCTACTCCCTTGGCCTGTGTTCTCAAATACTTAAAACCTCTTCAACTCACACCTGACCTAAAACCTAAATGCCTTATTTTCTTCTGCAATGCCGCTTGACCCCAATACAAACTCGACAGTAGTTCCAAATAGCCAGAAAATGGCACTTTGAATTTTTCCTTATCACCTCCCCTCCTCACACCTGGTGCTGCTTACAGTTTCGTTCCGTGACTGGCCCTCTCCCTCCTGCCCAGCAATTTACTCTTAAAAAGGTGGCTGGAGCTAAAGGCATAGTCAAGGTTAATGCTCCTTTTTCTTTATCCCAAATCAGATAGCGTTTAGGCTCTTTTTCATCGAATATAAAAATCCAGCCCAGTTCATGACTTGTTTGGCAGCAACCCCGAGACACTTCACAGCCCTAGACCCTAAAAGGTCAAAAGGCCGTCTTATTCTCAAAATACATTTTATTACCCAATCTGCTCCCGACATTAAATAAAACTCCAAAAATTAAATTCCGGCCCTCAAACCCCACAACAGGATTTAATTAACCTTGCCTTCAAGGTGTACAATAATAGAAAAAAGTTGCAATTCCTTACCTCCACTTTGAGACAAACCCCAGCCACATCTCCAGCACATAAGAACTTCCAAATGCCTCAACTGCAGCAGCCAGGCGTTCCTCCAGAACCTCCTCCCCCAGGAGCTTGCGACACGTGCCGGAAATCTGGCCACTGGGCCAAGGAATGCTGGCAGCCTGGGATTCCTCCTAAGCCGCGTCCCATCTGTGTGGGACCCCATGGAAAATCGGACTGTTCAACTCACCTGGCAGCCACTCCCAGAGCCCCTGGAACTCTGGCCCAAGGCTCTCTGACTGACTCCTTCCCAGATCTTCTCGGCTTAGCGGCTGAAGACTGATGCTGCCCGATCGCCTCAGAAGCCACGTAGACCATCACGGATGCCGAGCTTCAGGTAACTCTCACAGTGGAAGGTAAGTCCGTCCCCTTCTTAATCAATACGGAGCCTACCCACTCCACATTACCTTCTTTTCAAGGGCCTGTTTCCCTTGCCTCCATAACTGTTGTGGGTATTGACGGCCAGGCTTCTAAACCTCTTAAAACTCCCCAACTCTGCTGCCAACTTAGACAACACTCTTTTAAGCACTCCTTTTTAGTTATCCCCACCTGCCCAGTTCCCTTATTAGGCTGAGACACTTTAACTAAATTATCTGCTTCCCTGACTATTCCTGGACTACAGCTATATCTCATTGCCGCCCTTCTTCCCTATCCAAAGCCTCCTTTGCATCCTCCTCTTGTATCCCCCCACCTTAACCCACAAGTATAAGATACCTCTACTCCCTCCTTGGCGACCGATCATGCACCCCTTACCGTCTCATTAAAACCTAATCACCCTTACCCCACGCAACGCCAATATCCCATCCCGCAGCACGCTTTAAAAAGATTAAAGCCTGTTATTACTCGCCTGCTACAGCATGGCCTTTTAAAGCCTATAAACTCTCCTTACAATTCCCCCATTTTACCTGTCCTAAAACCAGACAAGCCTTACAAGTTAGTTCAGGATCTGCGCCTTATCAACCAAATTGTTTTGCCTATCCCCCCCGTGGTGCCAAACCCATATACTCTCCTATCCTCAATACCTGCCTCTACAACCCATTATTCTGTTCTAGATCTCAAACATGCTTTCTTTACTATTCCTTTGCACCCTTAATCCCAGCCTCTCTTTGCTTTCACTTGGACTGACCCTGACACCCATCAAGCTCAGCAAATTACCTAGGCTGTACTGCTGCAAAGCTTCACAGACAGCCCCCATTACTTCAATCAAGCCCAAATTTCATCCTCATCTGTTACCTATCTCGGCATAATTCTCATAAAAACACACATGCTCTCCCTGCCAATCGTGTCCGACTGATCTCTCAAACCCAAGCCCCTTCTACAAAACAACTCCTTTCCTTCCTAGGCATGGTTAGCGTGGTCAGAATTCTTACACATGAGCCAGGACCACAACCTGTAGCCTTTGTGTTCAAACAACTTGACCTTACTGTTTTAGCCTAGCCCTCATGTCTGTGTGCAGCAGCTGCCGCTGCTTTAATACTTTTAGAGGCCCTCAAAATCACAAACTATGCTCAACTCACTCTCTGCAGTTCTCATAACTTCCAAAATCTATTTTCTTCCTCATACCTGATGCATATACTTTCTGCTCCCCGGCTCCTTCAGCTGTACTCACTCTTTGTTGAGTCTCCCACAATTACTGTTGTTCCTGGCCCGCACTTCAATCCGGCCTCCCACATTATTCCTGATACCACACCTGACCCCCATGACTGTATCTCTCTGATCCACCTGACATTCACCCCATTTCCCCAAATTTCCTTCTTTCCTGTTCCTCACCCTGATCACGCTTGATTTATTGATGGCGGTTCCACCAGGCCTAATCGCCACACACCAGCAAAGGCAGGTTATACTATAGTACAAGCCACTAGCCAGCCTCTTAGAACCTCTCATTTCCTTTCCATCGTGGAAATCTATTCTCAAGGAAATAACTTCTTAGTGTTCCATCTGCTATTCTACTACTCCTCAGGGATTATTCAGGCCCCCTCCCTTCCCTACACATCAAGTTCGAGGATTTGCCCCACCCAGGACTGGCAAATTAGCTTTACTCAACATGCCCTGAGTCAGATAACTAAAATACCTCTTAGTCTAGGTAGATACTTTCACTGGATAGGTAGAGGTCTTTCCTACAGGGTCTGAGAAGGCCACCGCAGTCATTTCTTCCCTTCTGTCAGACATAATTCCTCAGTTTAGCCTTCCCACCTCAATATAGTCTGATAACAGACGAGCCTTTATTAGTCAAAACAGCCAAGCAGTTTTTCAGGCTCTTAGTATTCAGTGAAACCTTTATATCCCTTATGGTCCTCCGTCTTCAAGAAAAGTAGAATGGACTAAAGATCTTTAAAAACACACCTCACCAAGCTTAGCCACCAACTTAAAAAGGACTGGACAATACTTTTACCACTTTCCCTTCTCAGAATTCAGGCCTGTCCTCGGAATGCTACAGGGTACAGCCCATTGGAGCTCCTGTATAGATGCTCCTTTTTATTAGGCCCCGGTCTCATTCCAGACACCAGACCAACTTAGACTGTGCCCCTAAAAAACTTGTCTTCCCTGCTATCTTCTGTCTAGTCATACTCCTATTCACCGTTCTCAACTACTCATACATGCCCTGCTCTTGTTTACACTGCTGGTTTACACTGTTTTTCCAAGCCATCACAGCTGATATCTCCTGGTGCTATCCCCAAACTGCCACTCTTAACTCTTGAAGTAAATAAATAATCTTTGCTGGCAGGACTATGCTGAATCTCCTTAGGCACTCTCTAATCAGATATCCTGAGTCGTCCCAATTCTTAGACTTTTTATACCTGTTTTTCTCCTTCTGTTATTCCATTTAGTTTCTCAATTCATCCCAAACCGTATCTAGGCCATCAGCAATCATTCTATAGGACAAATGTTTCTTCTAACAACCCCACAATATCACCCCTTACCACAAGACCTCCCCTCAGCTTAATCTCTCCCACTCTAGGTTCCCACGCTGCCCCAATCCCACTTGAAGCAGCCCTGAGAAACATCGCCCATTCTCTCTCCATACCACCCCCCAAAAATTTTCGCCGCCCCAAAACTTCATCACTATTTTGTTTTATTTTTCTTATTAATATAAGAAGGCAGGAATGTCAGGCCTCTGAGCCCAAGCCAAGCCATCGCATCCCCTGTGACTTGCACATATAGGCCCAGATGGCCTGAAGTAACTGAAGAATCACAAAAGAAGTGAATATGCCCTGCCCCACCTTAACTGATGACATTCCACCACAAAAGAAGTGTAAATGGCCGTTCCTTGCCTTAACTGATGACATTACCTTGTAAAAGTCATTTTACTGGCTCATCCTGGCTCAAAAAGCACCCCCAGTGAGCACCTTGTGACCCCCACTCCTGCCCGCCAGAGAACAACCCCCCTTTGACTGTAATTTTCCTTTACCTACTCAAATCCTATAAAACGGCCCCACCCCTATCTCCCTTTGCTGACTCTCTTTTCGGACTCAGCCCACCTGCACCCAGGTGATTAAAAGCTTTATTGCTCACACAAAACCTGTTTGGTGCTCTCTTCACACAGACGCGTGTGAAAGTAACTTGTCATTGTTATAAATTTGTAACTCCATTTTATTTTGTAATAGGGCCTCACTCTGTTGCCCAAGCTGAAGTGCAGTGGCACAATCACAGCTCACTGCAGCCTTGACCTCCTAGGTTCAAGCAATTTTCCCACCTGAGCCTCCCTAGTAGCTGAGATTACAGGCACATGCCACCACACCTGGTTAAGTTTTTATTCTTATTTTTAATAGAGACAGGGTTTCATCCTGTTGTCCGGGCTGGTCTTGAACTCCTGGGCTGAAGTGATCCTCTCAACTTGGCTTCCTAAAATGCGGAGATTACAGGTGTGAGCCACCACACACAGCCCAGACTGGCGCCTTTGAAATAACAAGTATCTTTCCCATCCTGTTTTGTTTTTCCTGATTTTGTCTGTGGTCTCTATATTGCACAAAAATTATTAACTTTTCTACCATCAAACACAGATAATATATTTGCCTTGACATATTCTTGTAAGGCTTTTATATGAAGTCCCTCCCCACATTTAGGTCACAAAAATATTATTCTACATTTTTTTCTATTAGCTTTATGATATCCCCTTTTATGACTGCTTATTTAATCTATCTAGATGTAATTATTGTGAAAGGAAGATATCTTGGGCCCCCAAAATCACTAAGGAAAACTCAAGCTGGAAGCTGCTTAAGACAAACCTGCCTCATTCTATTCAAAGTTAACCCTCTGCTCACTGAGATAGATGCGTATCTGATTTCCTCCTTTGGAAAGGCTAATCAGAAACTCAAAAGAATTTGTGTCTCACTTATCTGTGACCTGGAAGTTCCCTTCTGCTTCCAGTCTTCCTGCCTTTGCTTCAAGTTGTCCTGCCTTTCCAGACGGAACCAATGTACTTCTTACATATACTGATTGATGTCTCATGTCTCCCTAAAGTATATAAAACCAAGCTGCGCCCTGACCACCTTGGGCTGTCTTCAAGATCATTCTGAGGCTCTCACCGGTACGTCCTTAACCTTGGCAAAATAAACATTCTAAATTAACTGAGACCTGTCTCAGATTTTCTGGGTTCACCGTATATAGTAACATGTAGAAAGTAATCAAAATTTATTTTTCTGTGTATTATGTCACTCATTCTATACTATTACTAAATCAATCTATTTTTATCTTTGTTTTGTGTTTAATTATATGTTAGGTTTACAAATTTCCATTTGTACAGATTTGTCTTTTAGTTCTGTGTATTTTATCACAGTTAATTTGTTTTTTCTTGCTCTGAATCTATATTTGAAATACAATAATTTGTTCTATATTTTAATATCTAGTGGAACATTATTCCTTTTTTTTCCATCTTTTAAGAGTGACTTGGCAATTTTTGGACCTTAAATTTTTCATATAAATTTCAGAGTAAGTTTAAAGTGTCTCTCAAAAAAAGTAATGTCTCTTTGCCTGTCTTTCACAACGTTGATACTCTTCAAAGAATACTGATTAATTATTTTATAAAATGTTTCTCAATTCACCTCATAATTGGAGTTAGGTTCTGCATTTTTAGCAGGAATACCAAATTAAAAATATTATGTTTTCACTGCATCATACTAAGAAGTTTATGATACTAAGTTGTCTTATTATTGATTATGTTTATCTTAATCATTTGGTTGACTTACTATCTTCTAGATTTCAACACCGTAAATTTATTATTTTTCTCATTGTAAGTGATCAGTATCTTCCGTGAAATACTTTTAGACTATATAATTTCTGGCTTCCTCTAATTTCTAGCCACTAATTTTAGCATCCAGTGGTGGATATTTTTAAATACATTTACTACTATGAAATTTTTCTAGTGATGATAATTTTCTGTTGTTGGCAATGGTACCATATTTATGTAAGATGTTAACATTTGTGAAGTGAGGTAAACAGTTTAAGGTCTTTGTACTATTGTTGCAACTTTTCCGAAGTCTAAAACCTTCCCTAAAATAAATATGAAATTTATATACTGAGCTGATCATTATAAAACATCTACATGCATTGAAACATCACACTGTACTCCATAAGAATGTGCCATTATTATGTAGCAATTATAAATAAAATTAATTTTAAAACAGTAAAAAAAAGTGATTTTATTTGGAATTATATTGAATTCACAGGTTAATTTTTTTGTTAATTTGAGGACAAATAATATCATAACTTAGCTGCCAACCAACACCTATCCAGTAGTATGACCTGACCACCTTTTATGAGTAAAGTGTTTCATGAATAAGAACATGATACATTTTGCCCAATGTTTCTTCCTTGTAAATGAAGTGAGAATTTAGTTTTAAAAATCTTATTTAATAATATAGAAATTATTGGTGACCTTTCTAAGAGAAGTTTTAGTAGAGAAATAGGATTAAAGACCAACAAGAATGCATCAAATAGAAAATAGGGGGAGAATTATTGAAGGCAGCACACACAGACAATTATTTCAAGAACACTTCGTGGAAACACAAAGAGGGTTACAGATCAGTGGCTGGAAAGATGGATGGATGTAAGGCTTTTGTTTTCATTTTTGTTTATCACAGAAAATCTACAGCATCCTCTTAAACTGTTGATATCATCCAGTAGGTCATGATCATTTGATAGAGAGGAATAATTTGATAAGGAGTATAAAGGGCAGAAATAGTGGAAGCAATTTTTTAAGGGTATAAGAAAATAAGAGAGGGCTCACATACTTGAGGCTCAATGCCAGTGAGTAATTATGATGGTTCTTGACAAAATTTAAGCTGGAACATAGGAAGTTAGAACATGAAAGCCTTTGGGGACAGCGAAAAAAAGGTAAGATCAATTGCATAATAAATCCCATTAAAGTCAAAGGAATGTGGCAATTGGAGTATTAAAGGGAAAGAGCTTTACATGTCTCTTGAGTTTTATTTATTGTTTTATGTCCCCAATCATATGAATTAATCCACTGCCCAGAAATGTAGAATCAACTGCAATTAGGTCAAGTTTTAAATAGCAACTTCCTTTCAAGATATAACATTCATATTTATTCTACAAAGTCAGCCTTGTCACTAGATGATAGATATGAAGAAAGCTAGACAAATAAATAGATAGAATTTATAGATGATATGTACCACATATGAGAACACCTGTATTTAAAATATTGCAGGAAAAGCCCTACTTTTTCTTAACTTTCAACTTATCTCTATATCTTTTGTCTAGGTTTTCTATTATGAAAGCAAACATGATTTATGTCATTACAGATTATTATCATTTGACCAAGGTTTTTTTCTTCTCTATTTCAGAATAGAACTAAAATTCATTTAATACACACACACAAACACACATCTTGCAAGATATAGTTTCTCATGTAATGTAAATTCACTGGGAATCATTCAAAAACACCTGTTTTTACTCTGTACTGTCACAGTTATAATCTCATATCTCTGGCATTGTTATCACTGCCTTGCATTTTAATTATTTACTTAGATGTCTTTTCATTACCCTCTTACTCTTTTGCATGGCATAGATTATATCTTAAAGTTTATTACCCCAGATTTAAACCAATACAGGTAGGTGCTGAATATATATATACACACACATATACACACACACACATATATATGCAGACTTGCTATACAAATACATATATAAGTAATATGAATAACATAAATGAGGAGAAAAAGTGAACCCAAGAAATATCCTGAAGAAATATTCTAAAAATATGAAGTATATTATACTTTTAGAACAAAAAGGTGTGATGAACTAAGGATGGCCTTTTTGCTTACTAAATGAATCAGCTTTATTAAAGATTCAGGTAGTATAGTTTTACAACAGTCTGCATGAACTCCGCTAAGTCTTTCATTATTTGGAAAAGTATCAAATTGGCAATTTAGTTGATCTGTTAGGCACATAACAACTTGGGGGAAAACAACAACAAAGGAATTTGCTTTACAAAGTATGTAATAATGATCGGTAATGTTTAAACAGTGTATCAAATCATGCTGTGATAATAGAGTCATTTTTGGTCTCTGATAGTCCTTATGCTGTTTCATTCCTAAGGCGAGATAGTGTTATTTAAAGTTAACCTTGTTACTCTGAATTTCCAGGATCCTGTCTCATGTTAAAGACGTTTTTCCGAAAACAGGCCAGAAAATCTAAAATGTATACAAAGAAAAGCAATATGTGCCTGAGTAGAATATAGACTTAGTACTAGTGTAGACCTGAAAGAAAATCTTATTCCACAGTATATTGAAGATCCTAACTCGCAGGCCATTCAGTTTCTATCTTAAGGAGAAATAAAGTGGAGAAACATCAAAATCATATTTATTTTGAAAAAGCTAAATATCTACATGTTTCACCGATTGTATAAATATATACAATCTAAAGATATTAAATTATAATTATATTTTACTGCAAATCTACTATGACCAAGTAAATAAGATTTCTCACCTTTCAGGAGAAATATATGAGTATGAATTTTATTTTCAAATTAATACAAATAATGAAACTGTGACTTAGATTGATTTAAATCAGTGGTACTTGGATACCTTTTCACTCTTTATACATTGAACTTTAAGGTGTTTTGTAAATACACACACACAATACTCCATGTCTTAAACTTTTCTTAATCTGGAAGTCCAAAGTTTGCTTCTTGTTGTTTATTTTTGTCAGGCTCAATCTCACATCTTAAATTCTAGTAAGAAAAATTACAAATACTAATATGTTTCACACTGTCATCTACTTAAAATGATTGTCTGCTACCATTATTTATTTTTTATTTATTTGTTTTTTTTTTGAGACAGAGTCTCGCTCTGTCGCCCAGGCTGGAGTGTAGTGGTGCAATCTCCGCTCACTGCAAGCTCCGCCTCTCGGGTTCATGCCATTCTCCTGCCTCAGCCTCCCTAGTAGCTGGGACTACAGGCGCCCGCCACCATGCTGGGTTAATTTTTTGTATTTTTAGTAGAGACAGGGTTTCACCGTGTTAGCCAGGATGGTCTCGATCTCCTGACCTCGTGATCCGCCCGCCTTGGCCTCCCAAAGTGCTGGGATTACAGGTGTGAGCCACCGCGCCCGACCAATTTTTTAAACCCAATTAGTCTTGTATGCTGTAGCTGCAGGGTGAATTTCTAAGACATTTATCCTGCTTTTACTTTGAGCCACTCTCATAATAGTGTTTGCTTCTACATCATTGTTATTACTGAGTGGCATTTCAACTGTCCACTGACATATCTCCACATGCTCCTCCCAACCTTATTAAAGGTAAAGACTGCATCTTACTATTTGTAACAGCATTTAGTGCTCTATTGGATTTCTGGCAGGTTTTGAATATATATTTAGTGGAGGAATACATTAGTGAATGGCATGCATGAATGGAGTGAACCCAAGAAATATGCAAAAGTACTAAAAATAACATAACATGTCATACTTGTGAAGTGTTACAGTGCAGTGAACTAAAGACCTGTTTTTGGCCTGATGTTTGTTTTTCTCAGTGGAAAAAAAAAGTTATGGTTTCTTTCAGATCTAAAATATGGGAATGTAAAGGGGCTATAAGTCAACTTTATAGAAAGGAAAGAGAAAATTGAAGCAGAATGATACTGGTGAGATTTCTAAAACTTCTTCAGAGTCATCTGGGAGCTTGGTTGAATCAAATTTCATGACAAGGAAAGAAATGTGATGTAACTTTTTTTCTTATAGTATAAAGGTGCTTCTGTGTCATTAGGCATAGAAATCAAAGGGCCTGGTGAATAGCGTAGCCAACAAAATAATCTGTGTAAACAAAGAATCATTTAAGAATATGAAATTTAAAAAATATATATAACAATACAGAAAGTGTTAAGAAACATAGGTAAGGAAAATAAGTTGTTTTAATAGCCAAAAGCAGCTTCCATTTAGTAACTGCTAAAGAAAAAGCCCATCAGTTTAGGAGCTCTCTTTTCCTGACCACTCCTGTGGAACCACCTGCCACATGGCTCACTAAGGAGTAGCTAGCTGTCCACATGGGAATGTGTTGCTTGATTTGGTAAAGATTTCTTGTAATGTTAATTAAGTCAATTTTATTGTCCCTTAGTTCTCTTGCCAAATTCACTCTTGGCAAAATAATACAGGAGGATATTAAATGCAGGCTAAAGTTTTTATTGATCTTTCCAAAAATTACATGAAACAGTGGTAAGCATTTTTATTTTGTCTACTGTCAAAGCGAGGCATGATTCTGAGAAGCAATGTATTATTCAAATTATTTTAAATTTTCAATTACTTGCAGTACAAATGTTCTCAACAGTGATAATAGTAGGGTGGGATTATGCCTGTGATAAAGGAATGATCAATAAAGCCTGTAATAGATGTATGCTCAGCGCCAAAGAAAGGCATCTACATCAGATGGAAGATGTTGGTAGAGATGATAGATCAAATCATTGATTAAGCAACATTGTCAACACTAGACACAATTCTAAACCATAAAACTGACATAGGGACTTATAAAGAAAAGAATAACAGCATAAGATGAATCTCTTACTAGTTACTTTGCCTTAATCAGACACTTTTGACTTTTTTAAACAATGCCAATAATTCATATGCTGCCTCAAGATCTTGGCATTTAAGGTTTCATCTTTCTGGAATGCTCTTTCCCAAGATAGAGGCATGAAATTATTGCTTCATTCAGATATATTCTCAAATGTCATATGGTAGAAGAGGACCTTCCTAACTATTCTAAGCTCTTTGCAAAAATGATCTGAAATTATATATTGCATGTGTTTACCTAAATATCATGGGCAATATCCACATTTTATATTGCTTTGGTCCTGCAATTAATAGTTTAATAGTCTGTTCTTATTTGAAATTCTTTCATCTTAGATATATAACTCAAGATATGCTTCTTCCTTTTAGTACTTTTAGTAGTTTTCCTACTGGATTTAAGCATATCACTACTGTGTGCATCAATCATTTGACTATAATTATGCTAAGCTATATAATTTTTAATTTTTATGGGTCTTTAGCACATTGCTTTCTACACTACTTTTGGCTTCTCTGTTTAAACTCAGTAAAAATAGCCATTTTGAATATCACTGTCATTTTTCTTCTTGAGCTACCTGTTATTTAAATTTAGTATATTTAACTTTGATACTAAAATGAGCTCAAATAATTAGAAATCATGATTCTAATTAATGTGAATATATCCTATATACACTATATACAACATCTTGTGTATGCATATATAACATATAATATTTAATATATCTCTTATAAATGTATATACCTAATATAGTTAATACATGTATGTATGCTCTATTTAATATCTCTGCATATATAATGTATAATATTTAATGTATCTATTATAAATATATATTTAATATAGTGAATATCTCTATGTATGTATTTATTGACTATCTCTTGAATAGCTCATTGGAATCTTTTGCCAACATCAATTTATTTCCTTTCTTTAATTAGCTATTAAGTTTCACTAACACAAACCAAAATAGTAAGAGGTAATCACACTTCAAATGGATCATTCAAGTGATCCATTTTTTAATTTTCTGTTGAATCCCATCATGATTACTGGGATTCAACAGAAAAGTAACAGGAAATTCCTGAAGCGAGGTAGGAGAGAGAAACAAGGCAGCCTGCTCAGAAAGACCTGGAAGGGACTCCCCAGTGCAGGGAAGGGATAAGTCAGAGATCTTCAGCAGTCCACATTCCCACCATGGACTTCTGCAATCCTAGACAAAAGAGACCCTCTCAACACTCGTGGGCCCTGAAACTAACATAGGAAACTGCCAGGACATTTTGTGACAGCATCGCTGGGGGGAACGAGTTCTTGCTGGATCCCACACAATACCCAGGATGTAAGGAGCTACAACAAGGCACCGCTTTAAAGCCCCACCTACAACAGACTGCACCTTGCTCCTGCTTACCACAGCTGTCACCTACACACATCACTTGGGCTCATGAGGACAACTCTGCCCAACCAAGCTATTCTCTCATCCCATGCCAGAGCATGCAGTCCAGGGGCCAGGGGATTGCCCTGTCCAGCCCACAACCTTTAGCACCTATGCATTTCTCCTGGGGGCCTAAGGTTGGGCTACCCACACTGCACTGCCACCAGAGCTGGTGCCAACCTGATGCACCACTTGCAGGCCTGGAGACTGGCCTGCCCAGCCCATGGCAGCCACCACCAACATCAGCACACACTGCTCAGGATTCAGAGGATCATCCTGGCCAAGCCTTTGCCAACATACACAACATGACAGCTGTTCAGGGGCCTGAAAACCCACTCACCCACTTGCACAACACTGCCACTACTGACATTTGAGTAGGTCAATTACAGGCCCAAGAATAGGCCCTCCTGGATCTACTAATTTCAATATCAGCATATGCTTCCCTGAAGCCCAAGGATGGGCATGCTAAGCCCACCATTGCCACCACTGCGGCCAAAGGATTAGCCCACCTAGGATCCCAGTTCCCAGGAAAACTTCACTATAGCTTTCATTAATAACCATAACCTAAGCCACAAAAAATATCACAGATGTCAATGACACTGTTTATAGTTGAAAAAATACAGAGAAAACACTACTGCACATAAGCAAAATCAAAGCCAAAATGCCCTACCCAACCAAAACCATGAATTCATCTTCAGGAAAAAGTCTCCCCTACAAAAGCAAATTCAACAAAATCAGAAGTGACTATTGCACCAGATGCACAGATACAAAAAGGACTGAGAAAACATGAAAAGACAAAGAAATATGACACCTCCAAAGGAGCACAATAAGTCTTCAGCAACAGATCCCCACCAAACAAAAGTTTCCAAAATCTCAGAAAAGTAATTCAAAATCTTGACTTCAAATAAGCTCAGTGAGATAAAACGGAGTTCTGAAAACTAATGTAAATCAGAAAAACAAATCCAGATAGGACTGAGAAATTTACCAAAGAGATAGGTATCATAAAAGCAAAAGAGAGAAATTCTAGAAAGGAAGAACTCATTGAATAAAATACAAAATATATTTGAAAGCTTCAGTAGATTAGAACAAGTGGAAGAAAGAATGTTAGGACTTGAAGAAGTTTTTTAAAAAATACCCCAATCAGACAAAAATAAAGAAAGAAAAATTTTAAAAAATGAACAAACTCTACAGGACACCATAAAGCAACCAAATACTCAAATTATCAAAGTCCCAAAAGGCAAAGAAATAACAAAAGAGTTAGAAAACCTACTTAGTAAAATAGTGTGGGAAACTTCCTAGGAAGAGATTTAGACATCCAGATGCAGGAAGCTTTCAGAGATCTTTAAACAGATACAATGCAAAAACATCTTCTATACTGCAGATTGTAGTCAAACTGTCTAAACACAAAGAGATAATCCTAAAAGCAGTAAGAAAAAAGCATTTAGTCACCTCGAAAGGAATCCCCATTCCACTAACAGTGGATTTTTCAGCAGAAGAGATAATTTGTATTACTGCTTCAATCTAACTAATTCTATTCTTTCCTGGCTGAGAATGAGATGAAATTGAAGCAGTAGTAAAAATTCTCCCAACAAATGAAAGCTCATGACCAGATGGATTCATACCAAATTCTGCCAAATATATAAAGAAGAACAAATGCCAATCCTTCTCAAACTATTCCAAAAATTTGAAGACGGACGAATTCTTGCTAATGTATTCTATGAGACTAGCATTACCTTCATAGCAAAACCAGACAAAGATACAAGAAAACCACAACAAAAAAGACACGCCAATATCCCTGATGAACATAGATGCTAAAATCCTTAACAAAATACTAGAAAACCTAATTGAACAGTACATCATAAAGAATGATCAAGTTGGATTTATTCCATAGATTTAAGGATGGTTTAACATATGCAGAGCAATGAAGGACAATAAACCCATGATCATCTCAAGAGACTCAGAAAAAAAATCATAATATGCAATGTCCTTTCATGATAAAAACTCTCAACAAATTAGGCATAGAAGGAACATATTATACTTCGAATTAATAAAGACATATATGACAAACCCACAGCTAACATCATACTAAATGGGAAAAATTTGAAAGCTTTTTATCTTATAACTGGAACAAAAAAAAAAAGGATGTATACTTTCACTACTAATATTTAACTGGAAGTCCTAACCAGAGAAATCTTACAATAGAAAGAAAGAAAAGGCATCAAAATGTGAAAAGAGATAGTCAAATTGTCCCCTTTTATAGACTATATGATTTTATATTTAGAAAAAACAAAAAATTCTACCAAAAAATTATTATAAGCAAATTGAATAAAGATGAAGGATTCAAAATCAAAATATAAAAATTAGTAACATTTCTATATACCAATAATGAAATAGTCAAAAAAGAAATCAAGAAAACGATTCCACTTAAAGTAGCTACCAGTAAATATATAAATATATTTTTTTCACCCATATACATATGAAAATACCTAGGAATAAATTTATACAAGGGAGTAAAATATATCTACAAGAAAAACTACAAAACAGTAATAAAAGAAATTGAAGAGGCCATAGACAAATGGAAATTCATTCTAAGCTCCTGGATCAGAAAAATGAATTTCATTAAAATAACCATACTACTCAAAACAATCTACAGATCCAGTGCAATCCTTACCAAAATACTATCATTTTTCACAGAATTAGAAAAAAAAATCTAAAATTTGTATAGAATCAAAAAAGAGCATAACTAGCCAAAGCATTACTGAGCAAAAAGAACAAAGCTGGAGGTGTCACACTGACTTCAAAATATAGTACAAGTCTATAGTAACCAACACAGCATAATATTTATATACAAACAACACAGACCAATGAAATAGAATTAAAAACCCAGAAATGAATTCATATATTTACAGCCAACTGCTCTTCCACACAGCTGTCAAGAACATACAATGGGGAAAGAACACTCTCTCCTATAAATTGAGCTGGGAAAAGTCAACTGAAAGAAGAATGAAACTTGACTCCCATCCCTCATCAAATACAAAATCAACTCAGGATAGATTAAACCTGACACTATGAAACTACTAGAAGAAAAGATAAGGACAACTCTTCAGAAATTGGTCTAGGCAAAGAATTTATGGCTAAAACCTCCAAAGCTTAAGCCACTAAAACACAATGGGATAAATGGGACTATATTAAACTACAAAGCTTCTACACAGCAAAAGAAACAATCAACATGGTGAAGAGACAAACTCTAAAATGGGGAAGCAAACCGGGCAAGGTTGCTGACGCCTATAATCCCAGCACTTTGGGAGGCCACGGCAGGTGGATCACCCGAAGTTAGGAGTTTGAGACCTGCCTGGCCAACATGGTGAAACCACATCTCTACTAAAGATTCAAAAATTAGCCAGGCATAGTGGTGGGTGCCTGTAATTCCAGCTACTTGGGAGGTTGAGGCAGGAGAATCACTTGAACCCAGGAGTCAGAGGCTGCAGTGAGCTGAGATTGCGCCACTGCACTCCACTCTGGGCAACAGAATGGGACGCCATCTCAAAAAATAAATAAATAAATAAATAAAATGGGGAAACATATTTGCAAACTACTTAATCATCTTACAGGGTACTAATATCCAAAATATACAAGGAAGTCAGGTAAGTCAACAGTAAACACAAAATAATCTTATTAAAAATGGACAAAGGACATGAATAGACACTTCTCCAGAAAAGATACACAGATGGCCAACAAGTATATTTAAAAATGCTCAGCATCTCTAATCATCAGGGAAATGCAAATCATAATCACAATGAGAAATTTTCTTACCCCACTTAGAATGGCTATTATTAAAAAGAAAAAAATAGAGTTACAATTATGTGGAGAAAAGAAAACAAACAATGTTGGTGGAAATATGAATTAGTAAAATCACTATGAAGAACTGTGTGGAGGTTCCTCAAGAGCAGAAGCAAAATTGTAAATTCATGTGAGGGCTCAAGCCCTCTTGCAAATTCTGGCATAGTGGCTATAATGCCTACTAGCTGTGACTAGTCCTGGGGTCCTCCATGACCTCATGTTAGTAATTTCCCTCCATCCTGCCCACATATTTGTATAATGATACTTTATTAACATATTTATGCCTAGTGTTCCATTATTGGAATGCCAAGCTTGTGGGAGTTATTTACATCCTACTGCTCAAGGTCATCACCAACGTCTGATTTTTCACAAAAAGTTTTGCAACCTCTGGTATAAATGGGTTAAATTGTTCTCAATCACCACTTTTGACCATGCCTTCTGTTTCCTGCCTGGATTTGAACTGATATCTTCATTAACAATTGAATGATGTATTACTTTTTTGTTTAACAGCTATACATGGTTATAAAAAGAAGAAAAATAAAGTCTATTATTGAAAATCTATTAGCTGTCTTCTTTGTTTCTTATATTTCATTTCCAGCAATGCTCCTAACAGATTCCAAAGGGAGTGTATGAAAATCTAACAATCAGTAAATAGAGTCTACAGTGGACTTTATATTAATATTACTCATTCTGTGGATAAACATGTGTTTCTTTCTCAGAGGCATACTAGAAACATAAGTCACTAAAACGTCTTTGATCATTATTGTCAGGGGAAAAAGGAGAAATTAGTAAAAAGAAAAAGATGTTTATAGAGTACATAATACATGTTAGGTACTGTGCTTGGCATTTTAAAAATGCTATTTTATTAGTCCACACTTTTCAGAGGGAAATCAGCAAGTGCAACCTACTTCTGAAAGTAAATTAAGATAGAAAAAAGAAGGATTAATTTGTTTATTGATTTCACTTAGAGTAATAAAAAGACCTTCAAACCTTACGGGATATAGTTGTTAAAGCTACACTAGAAATGGACCATCAGGCACAATTATTACTCTTATTCCTATTGACATGCACCATCAAGAAGAGTAATTTAGGACACCCTCAAGGTCACTAAGAAAGAGAATGATTTCATTAAAGCTATCAAACTTAACTATTGTGTTTCTCATTATATTCTAACATATTCTTCTTTAACAGAAATAAAACTGAAATTTGAATTAAATAAATGTGTTTAGCAGCAGCCATTTCTCAGGAAATGCAATCAATGCACAATAATTTCCCAAATACACAGCAATTTGTGAAAGGCATGTACTATTATGAAAATATATAATTAATGTCAGATATATAGCATAAACCATACAATATTCCTCATTTTGTTCATAACATTTAAGAACATAAAATTAAATTCCACACCTTCTTATCCAATTATATATTTTTAACTTAACTAAAGAATGTATTGGTCTATCAAAAATATGTTTGTCAATTAAACTTTAATTGATTCAGGTTGAAACTATAAATATGAAACAGAAAAGTGTTTATTATCTAATGAATTTATCCTTTTCATGAATACATTTTTATTTTGAAAATTCAGCTCTATTTTTTACTTCAGTTATCTTTTTAAAAATACAAATATAAGATAATTTAAAAATACAACAGAAAATTCCACATACCTAGCTTACGTTAGGAAACCCCTGGAGGGTGCCTGGTCAATTGGCTATATGTTCTTCCTAACAAGTACAATTTTAAGACAAGAAATAATTCCTGGATGATCTATCTGCAGATTTTTTTTTCACAAAGTGGAGGCTGTAAATCACAAATATAAAATGAAACACTAGATGAGAGTAAACTATTAGGCTGCAGAACTACAGGGACTAGATGACATCTGTGACTTATGCTTAAGCTCTTCAGAACAGACTCACGTATATGCATATGAAGGTAACTGGTGTTCATGTACAGTGTAATAAACAAATGAAAATAAAGTAAATAAGAATATGGCAAGAATGACCTCAGAATGTAGTTTTAAATATCATGTCATCCTTGGATATGAAAACAAAAGAAAGCAAAATAAATATTGCCTTGGAAGTACAAAAATAAAATAGGATTTTAATAATGGGGAAGTTATGATATTTTTAAAATGTGCGTAAATGACTTATGGCTCTGAGAAGCAAGAACAAAATTGATTTTACCATTTTACTATCATAAAAAATTGATTTTACCATTTTTTCTTCCCCTCTAACTTGAGGTAAGTAGTGTCCACATGTGACTCAAGATGTTCATGAAGCAGGGGTAAGAAACAGGTCCTTGTTTTTCAACCACTGAGATTCCTGGCAAATAATAATAATAATAAAATAATAAAAATAACTGTCATAAAATACACCTAACAAATATAGCAAGAATAAAGAGGCAGTGGAGTCATTGGGAAGAACACTCGTATTTTAGACTGGTAAGATGACTATTCATATTACATAATCTGAAAATATTTGGTAAAACTCTTCCTTATGATAACTTGGAAGACAAAGAATCTCCCCAAAGAGAAACCAGGAATTATATAATAGTTTTAAAGTTAGAACTATTTATTGTTTCCAGTTGTTATATATAAAGTTCCGGTGCCACAAAAGAAATAGCACTCGGATATAAAATTTTCTAATTCTCAGCAAGGCAAGACATTTCTACAGAAGGGTGCACCCTTACAGATGGAGCAATGGTGAGCGCACACTCGGACAAAGGAGGGGAAGGGGTTCTTATCTCTGACGCATGTGGCCCCTGCTGCTGTGTCTTTCCCCCAGCTGGCTAGGGTTAGACTGCACAGGCTAAACTAATTCCGATTGTCTAAAGAGAGCAAGGAGGTGAGTACTTTGGTGGGAGAAAAAAAATGGTTATGCAGGGTGGAGAATGTGTCAGGGCAGAGCAGGTAGCAGGTAATCTGAATGAGTCAGGTTGGAGTAGGTAATCAGAATGAGTCATGGTGGAGGAGGTAATCAAAAAAGGTTGCTTAAAGTTAAGTTTAAAAGTAGAAGGCAAAGAATTGAACATACTGACATATTGATTCTTTGAAGAGAAATTTAGACCTTATATCTAACACAATCAATATAAAATAAGAATATCTGGAGAAGATAAGGGCTTATTACAACTCAGCCTCTTGACCAGGCACACTTCAAATATTTGACTATTGATAAAAACCTCTGAGTAGATTAATTTGTCCAATAGTGAGTTTACTAAAGTTGGACAAAATTACTCAAGTAAAAGAGGGTAACAGTGTGGCTCTCCCTTTTTTGTGTGGTTTCAAGTTGACCACAATGAGGTCTAGAGAAATAAATTTTTAGAAAAATGTGTGGGTGTGGGTATCAGTACAGGTAACAGACTAAAATTGCATAATATAGAAAGCCAACCAAATTTTCGAGAATTTTGTACTGATTAATATAGAAACCTAAATTATTGATTAAACATATTATTTGGAGACAGAAAAGAGAGTCTAATCAAGAATCCTCAACCCTAATGGTAAGAGAGTCTTGAAACATCTGCCCAGGTGGATTTCAGAATTGTTATGTATTGGTACAGTACATAATTTATGTCTCCCATTGTTTCCTCTCCAGATGTGATGTTTATTACAGTTATCCCTTTACTGTTCTTCATTTAGGTTTAGTTGACATGGAGAAGTCATTCGTCTTTTTAGTTTACAGGCCCCAGAGCAAAAGGAGTCACGACAGATGTAATTTAGAGATAATGAGATCCTGGATATAAGTTTACTGTAGATATTGTATGAAATATTTATGTTACCTTTCTTTGAGAATGGTTGAGTTTTGTTTTGTTTTAAAAAATTTAAGGGAAACCAGTGCAGTTTTGTTATACGAATATGTTGGGTAGTGATATGGTTTGAGTCTATGTTCCCACCCAGCTCTCACCTTGAATTGTAATAATCCCCATGGTGTCAAGGGCAGGACCAGGTGAAGATAACTGAATAATGGTGGGATTGTTTCCCATGCTGTTCTCCTGACAGTGAGTGAGTTCTCATGATATCTAACGGTTTTAAAAGGAGATTCTCCCTTCTTTTGGCACTCATTCTCCCTACTGTTACCCTGTGAAGAGCCGCCTTCCACCATGATTGTATGTCTCCCGAGGCCTCCCCAGTCATGCAGAACTGTGAGTCAATTAAACCCCTTTTTTTTAAATAAATTACCCAGTCTCAGGTATTTCTTCATAGCAGCATAAGAATGAACTAATACACGTATTAATGAAGTCTGGGCTTTGAGTGTAGCCATCACCTGAGTAGCATACATTCTACCCATTAAGTAATTTCTCATCCCCTACCCTCCTCCCACCCTCCCAATGATCCAAATCTCCAGTGACTATTATTACATATTCTATGTCCATGTGTATGCATTATTTAGTTCCCACTAAATAGAACATGCTGTATTTGGCTTTCTGTTTCTGAGTTGTTTCACTTAAGATAATGACCTCCAGTTCCATCCTTGGGCTTGTTTTACATGTGAAATTAAAATAAATGAGTATCTGTGGCTAAGGGGAAAACTGTAGTTGCTTTTACTCTTATTCAAAATATTTGTTCAGCATTATATGTTCATCAGAACTGACATACACTGCCCCTTACTGGGGAGCTCATAGTACTCTGTCCATTTTAAGTAACAATTAGCCATATAATGTGTTCAAACCAATGAAGTGTGAGTTAAAGAAATGTGTGTCAAAAGAATAAATTTTAAGAATCATTATATGGTTCCACCCTGATTTATAATTTTTTGTGTTATAATATCAGCAACGTACTAGTTAGGCTTTGCCACTTAGCTTAAATCCCTGCCTTATGAAAACATAGATAAATGTTAAAATTCAACTTGTCATAAATACCTAGCATGAATCAAATTCTTTGTTGTAAACCACTAACACATTGAGATTCAGTTTCATCATGGTAATTTTGCCTATGCTAATTAATACAATGTGAATAATCACAGATCGTTTATTTCAAATATAAATAAATTTTAAAGCTAGAAATCAAACTCAATGCAAATACCAATGTTGGTTTTTCTTGTCTTTCATAGCAAAATAATAGTGAAATTTATTCTTTGGTATAGTTACAAATAAATATTTCTTTAACTGTGAATAACAAAATTAACAAATATGAACAGAAGATATTGTTAAACTTTTCCCAAATAAATTTTCACAAGATAATATGAAAATAGATATTTTTAAATATTTTTGACATGTTGCAATTTTTAAGTCAGGCTGAATTTGGAAGAAAAAAGATAAATTATAAATTTATAATTATAAAATTATAAACAATTCAGTGGCTTTCTAGTCTACAAATGTCCAAGGAACTTTAATATTTATATGTGATTTTATGGCAGTAACAGCTAGGTTCTGTGAGTAAATCATGTTCATTTCTGTCATTGCCTCTGGTAATGATAAAATCAATTTCGAACCTTTAAGACTTGAACCCTAAATTTATAGCCATCATTTTTAGATTATTAGATAATCACAAAATTTTGTAGCTCTTACCAGGCAGTGTTTATTATCTTTAATAGAGAAAACAGAGACTGATCCATTACGTTTCTTTACACATAAAGAGTGTTCAGTTGACATCCAGTCTGAACATCGGCGGAGACGATGTACTACCACTTTTGCTGCAATCATAAAACAATTTTATGTTCCGAATGATGTGTTTTAACTTAGGTTTGAACTTTCTAAAATTTTGGAAAATTTGAGTTTTCCATGAACATATTTGAAATACAGCTTAATATTAGTTAATTCTGTGTGCCCTAAAACTTTATCCAGTGACAACATTACATATATGTTTGTGTGTATCTGTTTGTATTTTACTACCATTCTCTCACTTTTATTAATATACTAAAAAAGTTGTTGTTAGCATTGTCATTAAAATATCTTGTTTTCTCCAGGTAAGAAAGTAAATTTCATTATTATATGCTGTCACCTTTTCTGAATAGTTTTACAAAAGATAAAAAAATACAAATTATATCTTTAATTTATTTCAATGAAAACATAAAATTCTACATATACTTTCATATTCAGCACACAAATTGATAATGAAAATTCTACATTACTGTGTAGTGAGGGTTTTGGGAACTATTTTTAACATGTTCAAAATGCTCCTCTGGGCATTCTTCCAATGTTTTCCTCTCTTATATTAATGAATGTTGGGGCTGGCTAATAGTTAATCTACTCTCTTTCTGCTACACAATGATTATACCTTTAAAAAATCTGGTTAAATCATAAAGCCTCTACCTCTGACTATAGCGATGGATGAAGAGACAAGTTGTGACCCAAATAAAATCAATCAGAATTCTTCCCTGGGATCCTTGATATTGAAGTAGTCAGTAAAGCATAGAGGCTTTACTCTGTTGTGATTATAGAAACCTGGAGCCAGGTTTCTCATAAATTTGTGGAAGTTCATCTAGTAGAAAAGAATGAATTCAAACTTTAGAAAGAAGAGATAGCTGGAGAAAAGAGAGTATAACCTAATTTAAGTATACAATTAGAGTTTGTGTGAAATGAGGACTATTTTGATTTTGAATTATTGTTAGATAAAACTGAAACTGAAATAGTGTATTTTGCAAATATTGAAGAAATTGAAGTATGAAAAACGGGAGGAAATAATTTTTAATTCAATCAAAAATGAACTATTCCTATAATAGCAGAAATAGAATTATACTGAACAAGATAAAACATTGTATTGTTTAAATCTTATAATTGTTTGACATATTACTGGCCAAATTTTCAGCTGATCAATTACTCCTATAATGTTACCATTTTTGTTTTATATACTTGTGGGTATGTTAAAAATGTCTATATGTTTATAATTGATTGATCTTCTTGATGAACTTCCTTATCATTTTGGGTTGATTCAATTTGTATACTGCCCCCATTTTTTTTTTTTTTTTTTTTGGTGTAAGGTTTACTTATTTATTTATTTATTTATTTATTTATTTATTTATTTATTTATTGAAACAAGAGTCTTACTCTGTCACCCAGGCTGGAGTGCATTGGCGCATCATGGCTCAATGTAGCCTCAACCATCTGGGCTCAAGCTATCCTCTCACCTCAGCCTCCAAAGTAGCTAGAAATATGGTGCACACCACTACAACTGGCTAACCTTTTTATGTGTATTTTGTAGAGATAGAGTCTCACTATGTTGCCCAAGCTGGTCTTGAAACCCTGGCCGCAAGGGATCCTCCTGCCTCAAATTCCCCAAAGTGCTAGGATTACAGGCATGAGCCACTGCACTTGGCCTAGTTTGACCCTTATAAAAATGTCTACATCAAGTTATTTGGCTTGTATTTGCCTAATATTTTTAAAACTTTGCCTTTATATTATATTTGATATTAGATTCAAGATTTCCATATTTAAAATATTTTAGTAGTTTTTATTTCAATTATTCAAATTTTTCTGTTATACATAGATTTAAAGATTATTTCCTTATTTTTTGCCTTGTTTCTTTCTTGTCTTACATTGAATTATTATAATTTCTTTATTTCTTATTTTTATACTGGTTTTTAAATTATTACCTTTCTTTCAGCAGTTACTTGGAAATATGCCATGAACTTATTAAATAATGAAAACCTACAATGTATTTAGGCACAAAAAAGAAAAAGAATCTATGCATTGTTTTATCTTTTTATACTTATTTAAAGAAATAGACTAATTTTGCCTAAATGTAGGCAACATGGAGGTAAAAAGAAACCTTAGGAAACTATTACAACAATTGTAGTAATCAATGGTGGTTGCTTGAACTAAGAGGCAGTTGGCAATGTCAGATTCTTTTAATCAATTTTAGAAGTTAAAGTTGATTGTACTTCTAGATTGACTGATTATGGAGTTCAAGGGAAAGACGGACATTAAAGAGGACTCATGTTTTTGGTCTTGTGTGGGATGAGTAGATATGGCTTTAAAATTTTAAAAGTTATGTTTTGAACCTGTTCAGTCTGAGAAACCGACTTCATATCCAAATGAAAAAGTCAAGGAGACACTTGTATATATGAGACCATTATTCAGGAAAGAGACCTAGAATACAGCTGTAATTTTCAGTGCTAAATATGTACAAAAGATATGTAAAGCCAATGGATTGAATAAGACCACAGAGTACATACAGAGAGAATTTAAATAAGTCAAGGAACTAAGAAGGAACTCAGAAGAAGAAGCTGTATATAATAGGAGGAAAACCAAGAAAGTGTGCCATCTGGAAAGCTAAGTTAAAAAAACCAAGAAGGGGGCATGATCGACTATGGCAAACCATTTCCTGTAGTCAAGTGAGAGGAGGGAACTTGATTTTTGAATTCACCTATAAAGATACTTTTGATCAATTTGTATAGGCCCCTGAGAGAATAGGAGGTGATGAAGTGGTGAGAGGGGTACAGGTAACTACTTTCTTAAAAATTTTTTTTTCCACCAAGGAACCAAAATGTAACAAGTGATAGTGGGAAGAGGAAAATAAATTTAAGAGATCATTAAGTCTAATAACCCAATGCTTCATGTGTATGTTATTTCCTTAGCTTTGTTAAAAATGACATTCGTACTTGTGATTCTGTTCATTTTTAGAGCTTCTAAGTTATTTGGGTTCTCTGAGAAAAGAAAGAGAATGCAATAACTTTATTCCCTGAATTTAAAACTAAAAGTTGCATATGAAGGAAACAGATAGAAACACCAACACCTGGATATAGCAACTTGATAAAAAGCTTTTATAGCACAATTTGATCATTCCATTTATGCTATAATTATGCCAAATATATGTTAATATGAATTATATGTGAATCAAATTAACATTTAATTTACATGATGTTAAATATA
This sequence comes from Homo sapiens, assembly GCF_000001405.40. Lineage (NCBI taxonomy): Eukaryota > Metazoa > Chordata > Mammalia > Primates > Hominidae > Homo > Homo sapiens. The sequence goes on from NC_000008.11 coordinate 114,267,604, forward strand.
CATTTGGCTGAATTAGATTATCTCTGTGATTTTTGTATCACTGGGATAGAGAAATAAATGAGATTTTAAAATACATATTTTTTATTTGTATGATAATGTTATCATTACAAAATGTAATATAAAAGTATCATCACCAAAATTTAGTAGTAAAGAATTTCTACTTTTATATTATGTTGCAAGAAAATAATTTATCAGTACTCTAAATAGCTGATTCCTTTGTGTTTGTTCAACTATATCATTTTCATCAAGAAAAAAAATTCCATATTTTCCTTTTTCCTTTAAGAAAGTTTAAAACTATGATTGGTGCTTGTCAAATCTTTTAAAATATTTTAACTTCAACAGTTGGTATTGTGTAGTTGTCATTTTGAAAATAGCTTTACCAAAGTATAATGTATATAAAACTCACCTGTTTATTTACTTTATTTTACTTTTTTTTTGAGACGGAGTCTTGCTCTGTCGCCCAGGCTGGAGTGCAGTGGTGCGATCTCCGCTCACTGCAAGCTCCACCTCCCGGGTTCACGCCATTCTCCTGTCTCAGCCTCCCGAGTAGCTGGGACTACAGGCGCCCGCCACCACGCCTGGTTAGTTTTTTTGTATTTTTAGTAGAGACAGGGCTTCACTGTGTTAGCCAGGATGGTCTCAATCTCCTGACCTCGTGATCTGTCCGCCTCTTCCTCCTAAAGTGCTGGGATTACAGGCGTGAGCCACCACGCCCAGCCAAAACTCACCTATTTTAAGTGTAACATGAAAGCTTTTTAAAAAATATTTTGCTTGCTATCTATTAAAAACTGTAAGGGTTCATTTTTCTGTATTTTTAGAATTTATAGTTTCAAATAGGATGAAAAAATGTATTTTGACTATCTCTTGTTTTTCTAATAATTTTCTTCTTTTTTTATACTCTGTATTCTGAAGTAAATATATTATGTCTAAAATGAAGATGATTTGTTGTACTTTTATTTTCTCCTCATTAAAGTAAATTATGAAGTTATAAAATTGACATTTTGCCTTTGATTCTCAACATCATAGACTACTTCTATATGTATTGTTTCTTAAAATATTCATAAATAAATTATGCTAAAACACTAGAAAATAAATACGGACCTTTAAAGTCATTAAGAATCATAATGCCATAAACAATTACACCACAATTAAAATTATAATCCAACCTAATATATTTTCTTCTACATTTAATATTTGGAACATTTTTATAAAGATTTACACAAACAATGGAATCAAAGTATTAAATATTTTTCATTTACAAAATTCAAGGGCAGAGTCAACACTAAATAATATATTTAAGTCTATAAAAAGGTAGAAACTGAACTTCACATTCCATATCACCAATTCTATTTTCTGCACCATTACTTCTGCTTTTTGTTCCTTCTTTGAGAGCTTATATTCTTCTAAGGTACTTGTCTATTTCCATTATTTCCCTTTCTCCTAATTCTCCAAACAGCTCTCCTTTCATTTGTTTATTTTATTATTTTACCTCTGGTTATTTTTCAAATTCATGTCATCTTAAATTTACTGAGACTTAAAATAGAATTTCAACACATTTTTTAGCTAATTTTCCTAACTGCATTTTGTTTACCACCTTATACGATTATTTGAAGATACATACAAATTATTTTTTTTCTTATTTAGTCAATTGTGAATGGTGTTTCAGGCTTCTAGTTAGCCTGTAAATTGATCAAGATTCTTCTTTATTTCCTTCATTTAGTTCCAGATAGCTATTCAAAGCTTTCTTTCTAATTTTTAACTTGAGCATTCATTTCATATAATGAGTATTACCTGCTAGCTGTTCCTGAAATAAATGGGGGCAAATCTGGAATTATACATAATCTCACTTGCGGAATTTAATTTCAGTATAACCGTTCATTGTAACTTTTGAAGCAAATTATGTCCAGTCTCTTTATCAGGTGTGACTCTCTTTCACAATAGCAGAAAATTTCCCACATCGTGGAGAAATCTCATTTCATTGCTAACTTTCAATTTGACACAGCAACTGGGATTCTCATCATAGTTCACTGTTAACATTTAATCATCAGCAATAGAATTTGATTGTTCCAGCTTTTCATGCCTCAGCCAATGTGACTAATAAATGCAAGTAGAGTTTAGACTAAAAGTTATGACACTGATGTTTAATTTCTTAATTTGAAGCTTCCAATAGGTGTTTGGCATTTTACTGCTTTATCACAGTTGTGTTACAGTGTGCTGAGATACTGATTATCTCATCCTTTTCAGTAAGATCCCCTGCATGAGTTGTCTCTACTCAAGTGCAGTCTCAGTTTGTTTGTTTGTTTGTTTTTTAGATTGAGCTCTATAAATGTTATCAGATTCTATATTTGTCAACATTTTGAAAATGTTGAAAAAACTGTTATATATTATTGTCATCAGATTTTTATACAGGCTATACAATACCCATGTCTCCATGGATACAAATTGATTTAAAGTTAGAATCATTGTCATACATAGAAAGTTTTCTGCATTAATCATTAGCCATACGGAGCAGCATTAAATATCTGCCCATTTCCTAAGGACTAAAGAAAACATAGATATACCCAAATTTGGTCTTTACGTTTATATAAATATTCACCAACAGTAGATAAGAATTCTCAATGAGGTAACCCAGTGAGAACATTCATCATCAATAATCTGATTGTCTTCACTGATGGATAGGAGGATGCTGACTGGTTGAGGCATAAGGGTCACTAACTCAATGTCCTTGACTAAAAGAGCAGGTAACTAGTTGCACTGAGATGTCATTACAAAAACATTAAATGTTTACTATCATTGCTATGCTGAAATAAATACATATATAATAAATAAATCAGTAAGAGCACTACTCATATATGCAAAATATATGTAATATATATTTATCTTTAGCTTTGGGGTGACAGAATTTTTAAAAAATGTTTTTTATTATCAATAAAGTCAAACAAAATGTAATGTCTGTATTAGTCCATTCTCATGCTGCTATAAAGGACTGCCAAAGACTGGATAATCTACAAAGGAAAGAGGTTTAATTGACTCACAGTTGCACATGACTGAGGAGGCCTCAGGAAACTTACAGTCATGGTGGAAGGGGAAGTAAACACATCCTTCTTCACGTGGCAGCAGCAAGGAGAAGTGCCTGGCAAAGGGGGAAACACCCCTTTTAAAACCATCAGATCTTGTGAGAACTCACTCAATATCATGAGAACAGCATGAGGTTAACCAGCCCCAGGATTCAATTACCTCCCACCCACTCCCTCCCACAACATGTGAGGATTATGGGAACTAAAATTCAAGATGTAATTTGGGTGGGGACACAGCCCAACCGTATCAATGTCTCAAAAGACTTTTTAGGCCACACATTCTCTAGAGTCTAAATATTTCAAAAGTTAAAAATTAAATGTAACATGCTTCAAGCATTTTCTTCTTGTTTGGAACCAACTATACCCCACAGTTAATGGGTGCAACTTCAGAATTGTAATATTCATTACATTATAATTCTTCAACTTTATACTTAGTCATTATTGTATTATAAAAATTTTAACAAGTTATATCAGCTGATTTCAAGTGAACTGGGGAAAGCTTAATGATCTAAAATTAAATGATTAAAGTTTAAAACAAAGCAGAATCACTCTAATAGGAATTGAGTAATTTAGTATTATTAAGCATTTTTATGGGCTACTTAGCCATTTTAAAATCTATGATTGTTTTGTTGTTGTGTTCAGAATACATTGTATGACACACAGGCTCAAAATGAAGTACATTATTTGTGAAGATTTCTTCATAACAATTCATTTTAAGTAATGTTATTACATTTACACTTGTTTAAAACACATTGGGATTCATAGCAAATAGTGACTCCAATTACATTTTACAAAATATATGAGGCCAGGCACCCTGGCTCACACCTGTAATTCCAGCACTTTGGGAGACCCAGGTGGGCAAATCACTTGAGGCCAGGAGTTTGAGACCAGCCTGGCCAACATAATGAAACCCTGTCTCTACTAAAAATGAAAATATTAACTAGATGTGCTGGCACACCCCTGTAATTCCAGCTACTCTGGAGGATTAGGCATGAGAATCGCTTGAACCCAGGAAGCAGAGGTTGCAGTGAGCTGAGATCCTGCCATTGCATCTAGCCTGGGCAACAGAGCAAGACTCTGTCTCAAAAAAAAAAAAAAAGAATTTTATATATATATGTATATATTTAAATTTATACATATGAAAACTTCCTGTATGAATATAAAATTATCAACTCCTGTGCAAAGACTGAATAAAACAGCAGTATTGGGGAATTATATATGAAAATGCTAAGAACACAGTGTTTAAGTCTGACATATATGCATCTGAGAAGTAGCCAATAATACATGGTCAATCACAAAATGCTAACATAAAATGTAAGTCATTGTAATATACTTCTAAAATTCCTCATTCTATTTTGAAAGTGGACTATATCTACTTTTTTTAATCCAAGCTGAAAATTAATCATGTAGTGAATACAAAGGAAATGTCTAAAGTTTATTTTTTGGATTGTCATGTTGATAAGTTTCTACAAACTTTTCTTCCCAGAAGTCTGTTATACACATTCTATGAATTTACATTTGCTTCAGAAATTTTCCCACCATTGAGTTTTCAGCCTCACAGTCCCAGTCAATTACTTTTTACCTGGATAAGTAAGCAGTTTTCTAAATATTTGGAAAATAAAACTTTATAATGTAATAATATTACTGAACTTTCATCATCCTGAGGACAATATGCTTAATGTGATGCATTTCCTTGTAAGATAAATGAAATAGCATATTAAAAGGTAACATCAAACAGGGAATCTGCATTGATATCTTAAAAGCAGTATACAAATGTGATTTGCTATTCTTTATTGTAATCAAATATTTATTAACTGTGAAAAGATAAACAATAAATAATGTCAGTAAAATTATCTAGAATAATGCCCTGCTCATGCTAGGTGTATAATAAGGTTTATTTGATTCTGCAATAAAATTTTTCCTCGAAATTAAGGTCAGAAAGTATAGAGTACTTGTTCTTTTTTTTTTTGCGACAAAATCTCACTCTTGTCTCCCAGGCTGGAGTGCAATGGCGCGATCTCGGCTCACTGCAACCTCCACCTCCCGGGTTCCAGTGATTCTCCTGCCTCAGCCTCCCGAGTAGCTGGGATTACAGGTGCCTGCCACCACACCCAGCTAATTTTTGTATTTTTCGTAGAGAGGGGGTTTGACCATGTTGGCCTGGCTGGTCTCGAACTCCTGACCTCAGGTGATCCTCCTGCCTCGGCCTCCCAAAGTGCTGGGATTACAGACATGAGCCACAGCGCCCAGCCTAGTACTTCTTCTCTTTTACGTGGGAGACAGCAAATTAATTGATAAAGCAAATGATAAATTAAAAATAATTACTGATATAATCTAGTTTGTGTTATATGACTCAGACTGAAGTAAATTCTGCTTTCTTGGAATTACTATAACCCTTTATTGTACCTTTTCTGTATTATTTGTCTCTAAGTTATATCTGACAGATAAATAGGTTGACACATACATATATACATGAATATTTGATTTTGGAACTTCTTTGTAGATAGTTGGCATCGATTTAATACACCATATACTCTGTATGATGTTTGTTGTATAATTGCTCAATAATAATGACAATGATAGAGGAAAGATAGCAAGAGGGAAAATGATAAAAGCTTACTATAGGAACTTGAACTAGGACATGTGGACTGGGTATCGCTGGGAAGAAAAAAAATACAGGATAAGTAAGAAAGCATTCACAGAATAAAACAGCCTAACAGAAGAGTGGAAGCAGGTGTACCTGTAGCATGCTTGGGAAACAGAGATTACACAGAATTGGATGAAACTAAGAACAGTGAATGGTATACGGGGAGTTCTTCTGTTTAAGACACTCCAACACAAAATGATGTTCAAATTATGATATTGTGGGTAAAATGTTCAGAGGTCTCATTTCTTCTGGTGAATGAACAGAGGAAGAGCACAGCCTAACTCTGTTGGTAGAGCTGCTCATAACCAGAGAAACTAAGCAATTGGATTCACTCATTAATTCCCAACTATTCTTTTCTGGCATGCATTAGAGAATACAGTAATTATGCAACCCTGGAATGTTAAAATCTGACAGCTCTACTAAAAGTCTTTCTGGTGCTGTATTTTTTAATGGTTCTGCTTCACCAGCTGGGGAAGGTTTCAGTAGTTGCTGTAAAATATAACCATTCTCATCTTTTCAAGCCATTAGTATTTTGGTGAAAGTCATAGCAAGTCCAGATTCCATGCTGAGGACATCTGCATCTGAACATCCTAAAGCAGTCTTGAACTCACTGAAAACCTTAGTGCAAAAATTAGCTACTGCATTGATTTGAATATGAGTGCACAGTATTGGTTTTCTTTTTTCGTCTTTTTATCTCCAAATAATTTGATCTGAGGGCCATTGCATGGTGTGTTACAAAATTAGTGATAATTACTCATACTGAAAAAAGTAAAAACTAAATTAATAATACAATTAAGGGTGAAATCAAGGGAGACAAATTTTATATGATTTCCTCATATTAATTTAGGTCATCTGTTGTATAAAAGCAAATTTTATAAAGCTGTTATAGCATATGAAGAGATTTGGAAAACAGATGATGAACAAAAGCTTAAAAAGTTCAAATTATCATCATGTGCTGAGTCATAGGTTATATCTAAAGGCTAAGCCCTTAGAAATCTTCCCTTTCTTGCTTATAAGTATGTGGATTATTGAGTAAGTTTTATATCCTAAAATTATATTCTCTACTGAGAATATATTTTTCCCTCCTTCTAGACTTGAAAAGTTTCAAATTTTTGAGCCTTCATAGCACTCTGAACCTCTTCTTAGTACTTTTCAGAGAACACTTAGTGAGAATTTTGCCACTAGACACTAAATTCCATAAAGGTCACTGTCCATCTGGAACACGAATTTATCCTGAGCATAAGCCAACGTCAACATACAAAAAACAGACATAAAATATGTTTTAAATGGATGGACCTGTTAAGCGATTATAAAAATGCTGAGTGTTATAAAGAAGAAATGTAAGCAGTGAATAAAGGTGGACCTATAGGAACTCACACTTAAACTGAGATATGAAGTTTAAATATGGATTGGCTATGAAACCAGAGATTATTGAAGTGTAGAAAAGGGCATTCTAGGCTAAGGGAGCTATGATGCATTCGATAATTTTTGAATCACTACAGCCTGTACGTATGTGTATGTACGTGTATGTACATATCTGTGTCTATGTACATATTAATATATATATTTATGATATAATGACTGTGCATAAAATATATTATTTATGTGATTCATATACTATGATTAAGAATATGAAGACTTCTTTATTATTTCTTTGTCCTGCCTTCTCAAGAATCTTTAGTCCACCATTTGGAAGCCACCTAAAATCAAAGTCTTAAAGATAATTCTAAAGGCCTCTAGAATTACATGGAATCACAGAAGTTGAATTTGCATGACTAAATTTAAGTGAATATTTTCTTCTGTAATTTTTCCGTCCTGCCTAACCTAATAATAATGTGTTCTACTTCTCTGTTTCTTCTGTCACTTCTCTTATTCTGATCTTAAAAATGCGGACATCTCTAGACAAATTTCAGACTATGTTTGCTATCTTTGAGTAGATATGTGTATGCCACCTTTTCTCTCTCTCTCTTCTAAAACCCATCTCTAATTTCATTTTATTCATTGCTACTAGTCCCGCTGTCAACTCTGGGACATGATCTCTTCTTATTTAAATTTCTGATGTCATTTTAAAACTTTAGTCATGAGTTTCAAAATGATCAGTAGATATTTCTACCTAAATAAAATGCCATTGTGTTAAAATGAAGTGATTAAAAAAAATGAAGGTCCCAGAAAGAATATGTAGAATACAACTAGAAAATGACTGAAGCTAGAATTCTGAGGATTATCAACATTTACATTTAGGGAAAGTGGAGACTGGAAATGAACTAAAATTGAACAAATAAAGAATAGTATGGAAAACCTGGGGAGTCATATCATGGAACAAAAACAGAAAGTGAAAGTGCTACCTACCTTCTATCTATCTATTATCTATCATCTATCTATCTATCTATCATCTATCTAATCTATTTTTGAATCAAGAATAATGTTCATTAATTATTATTTTTAGTATGTTATCTGAGACCTTGAGGAAAACTTCTAAACAAGAATTGGTAAATATGGAATCAGTATTTGTCAAGCTATGAAATAAGTGGATGGGAAGATGTCCATTTATTTGTCCATCTGGGAGACAGATAACATATCTATTCATCTGAAAGTTTGGATTTCAGGATGTCTTTGATACAATTACAAACAAAAATATCAAAGAGGAACATCAAATTCAACCTTACACCTCAAAAGGCTTCTTAAGAGATGGAATGTGAGTTGTGTCTTCAAGGACATATTTTTTATAAGATGCCAAGAGCAATCAGAATGCATTCTAGAACAAAAGGGCAAAAACGTAAGACATCACTGAGAAATTACAGTAGAGCAAAGAAGGACAAATTCTTTATGAAGATATAAATGAAGCTGGAAAGAAAATGAAGAGCCAATTTGTAAATGGTCTTATATGTAACTTTCTAAGATACTTTAAACTTAATTTTAAAAAAAGTTAGTTTCAGTCAACTATAGTTAAATTGCTTCAGACACTATTTTAATTTTTTAACTAAGCCATTTATTCTTTTATAAAAATATTATATAATGAATGTTAAGAATATGAACTCTGAAAACTGACTGCCTGGACAAATTACTTAACCTCTCAGTGACTATTTTCTCATCTGTAAAACTAAAATAGTATATCAACTTCATAAAGTTGGTGTAAGATTTATTTAATAAATATGTATGGAGAGGACTTGGAAAAGCATTTATGTAATAGCACGAAAATATTTACTATTATACATCTCCACTTTTATAAATTAATTGCTTATATTAATCAATTGACTCGTGAAATTTATTTAGTGAGTAGTTGGCAGAGCATGAATAAGAGAGCAAGTCTAGTCTCAATGTTTATATTCTTGATATTTGAAATTCATATAAAAAGCAGGTTTCCAAGGAAATACATATTACTTAATTTTGGACACAGTAATTATGAGATACTTCTTGCAGTAGAAAGGTAGGTATTCAGGGCTTCTACTCAGGACAGTAATCTAATACGTGACTAGAGATTTTGTCAGTGTACGGTTGGCAGTTATTGAAGCTATTTTCTGGGCAAGCTTGACCTCATACTTTATGTAGCACTAATGAGAATTAGGTCAGAAATGGAGGCTTATGGAATGTCAATATATTGAAAGGAAGAAAAGACATCCATTAAAAGCCCAAGAAGAAATGCCCTTCATCTTCGAAGTAGTCTTATTAAATAGTCTGAGTTTGACTCTGTCTCCAAATTCAACCACCCATTTAAAAGAAATACAGAGATATGCCCAAGAGCAGTGGCTCACGCCTGTAATCCCAGGACTTTGGGAAGCCGAGGTGGGTGGATTGCCTGCGGTCAGGAGTTCGAGACCAGTCTGGCCAACATGGTGAAACCCGTCTCTACCAAAAATACAAAAAAAAAAAAAAAAAAAAAATTAGCCAGGCATGGTGGCACTTGCCTGTAATCCCAGCTACTCAGGAGACTGAATCAATGGAATTGCTTGAACCAGGGAGGTGGAGGTTGCAGTGAGCCAAGATTACACCATTGTACTCCAGCCTGGGTGACAGAGCGAGACTCCATTTCAGAGGAAAAAAAGGAAAAAGAAAAGAAATACAGAGATAGAAAATGCCATTAGCAAAACTGAGCCTCTGGAAACTTCTAATGACAAATTTTCCAATTCACTTTTCCAAATTAATTGGCAGTGTTGGTATGGTGACAGAGAGAGCAAGATATGGAACAGAAAGCCTATAGATTAAAAGAATCTTAAAGACTCCATAACTGATTACAAATTATGAACCTTTTTTTGGCTCCAGTTTCCAGCAAATATTTTGTAATTTACATAATGAAATTTGTAGGACAATTAGAAATTTGATTACTAACCAAAGATACTGATATTAAATAGTTGTCAATTTATAGATGTATGAATGCCTTGCCATTGTGTTTTATTTTTATTTTATTTTTTTGAGATGTAGTTTTGCTCTTGTTGCCTAGGCTGGAGTGCAATGACTCAACGTCGGCCCACTGCAACCTTGCTTCCCAGGTTCAAGCGGTTCTCCTGCCTCAGCCTCCAAAGTAGCTGGGATTACAGGCATGTGCCGCCATGCCCAGCTCATTTTTCATATTTACTAGAGACGGGGTTTCACCATGTTAGCCAGGCTGTTCTCGAACTCATGACCTGGTGATCCACCCACCTCGGCCTCCCAAAGTGCTGGGATTACAGGTGTAAGCCACCGCCTGGCCTGTCTTTTATTTTTTAAATAACATTTATGTTTTAAAGATACATCCTGATGAAACACTCTCCAATACATTTTTCTGTGAGATTTGCTTTAAAATAATAGCTGCAAGGAATGTGGTGGATATCATGAAATAAGATTGGTGTGAGTTGATGACTGTGCAAGCTGGATGTTGTTATAGAGGAGGAACAATTACACTATTGCAGATTTGTGCATATGTTTACATTTGGTTAATGTATATTTCATATACTTAACAGATATATGTGATGCATGTTTAATGTAATATGTTTAAAATAAAAATTAAAACAAATATCAAAGAATCATCCTTTCTAGAGAAATAAAGGTATGACACAAAACATAATCCAAAGTAAAGAGTTTCAAGATAAGCAAAGCTATATAAAATCAAGTAAAATATGGCAAGCTATAGTTCAATGAACTTGACAATATTGAAATGATTGACGACTTGCTTATTTTTATTATTAACACAATCTTCCCAATCACATAATAACACATTTTTGTCATAGTCTTGTATTTCTAATTCTTCTTCAAACCCCACATTCATTTTTTCCTCCCTCAAGTTTAAAGTTGTGCAAGGGCTAACTTTTCTTTCACATCAGAGTTTTCAGAATGTTCTTTTCTTTCATGCATCATCTTTTCTCAGTGTTACAGTTGTCACTGCATATTGATCTCTATTGTAAAAGCTTGCTAGTTTCTTTTCTTTTCTTAAGCTGTGTTCCCCTCCACTGTATCCTGCAGCAACCCTTTCTACTCATCATAGCATTGGTTATTTAATTGCTAGGATCAAACTTCTTAGTTTTGATCCACTAAGAAAAATATATTTTTGCCTTTCATAGTAATATTATTCTGTGACACTTAAGTCACATTTCTAAATGTATTTAGCCTCAGATACATGCCAATAAAATAATTTATTGATTATGGTTAAAAATGTTTTTTCTTTGGATTTTTCCAGACAATAGCCATTCATTAATTTATGAAAGTCATCAATCTTTATACCAACAGATTTCTAAGCTGTGGAACAATTTCCCCTCTTGAAAAAATTAAGATCTTTCTAGTATCAACTTACTGGTTTTATGCTAACTCAGATAAAGAATTCTGCTGTGATTTTAGAAATGGTAAGTCAAAAATTTAAGTATTCTTTCTTTTAAGGTCAGAGACAACATAAATTTTAAGATGCTCCAAAGGGTAGCACTTTAATACAAATTTCAATAAATGTCACTAAACGTACTTGAATCAATTTAAACATTTTTTGACTTTGTATTTATACTCTGTGGTAATTTAATATGTATTTTACATAGACAAGTTGATAACAGAATATTCTATAAAGATTTTTGACCAAGTCTGAGCCATGGAAGTTTGACTGTTCAGTCACCCTAAGTACACTGTTGTAACAGAAACTGACAGTTGTTTTTATTGATTATAGATGTCATTAATTGAATGACATCAAAATTCTGTTTTTTGGTTTTGTTTTGTTTTTTTTTTCCTGAGTGTGCCATTTCTTTCTTGCTATGTTACTTTCTTTTTCACCACCAACCTTCTATCCCTTGGACATACATACAACTTCTTGAAGCTATTTCATCTTCTGTAAGGCAGAATTAATTCTGGTCTCCTCATCAATGAATTGACAGGAGCATGCTCAATAAATTGTGGCTGTTATTGTTGTTGTTGTTCATTAGCATTTGTCTTTAATATGCACTTCTGTAAATGCCCAATGTTCTTCTAGACTTGCAATCCTTACAGAGACTGGTTTATTCATTTTATATTGCGGTTTTAACAAACCATCCCCAAATTTAGCAGCTTAAAACAACACAGTATTTTATCTTATAGTTCTGGCAATCAGATGTCTGAAATGGGTTTTATTGAGCTAATATCAAGGTGTTGACAGGGCTGCATTCCCTTCTGCAGGCTTTATGGGGAATCAGTTTCCTTGTGCTTTTCAGCTTCTAGAGACCATCGGTATTCCTTGAATAATGACCCCAGTACTCCATCCATGGCCCTTTCCTCAACCTAGCAGTGCAAGGTCTTCAAACCTCTCTCTATCTCTGACACTCCTTCCTCCCTTTTACAGTTATAAGGATCATTGTGATTACATTGTGCCAATCTGGCAAATCTAATAATCTCCCTATCTCAAACATTTTAACTTAATCTCATGTGCAAAGTCTTTTTGACAAGACAGTAATATATTCAGAGATTTTGAGGATTAGGGTGTGTATATTTTGTAGAGCCATTATTCTGCAGGTCGCACTAGTTTTTCATTTAATAATTTTAAAAAACCAACTACTGAGTTTTTTTGTTAGTCAAATGTCTAGATTATGGTCTCTTCAGACTATTTGCTCTCTCTACGTGTGTATTCTTTTCTATATTAGTTATTTCTGCATGTCACATTCTATATCATTGTAAGGCTTTTCTTAAGTAGAGGTAAACTTGTGGCATGGTTAATTCTACTCAGTCATTTAAACCTATTTGACTTAATGCAAATGTCAACTTTTCTAAGCCACATTTTATTTATGTGTAAAAATGAAAACAAAAAATGTGAGATAATGCACACAAAATGATAATAATACCTAGAATGAGAAATACTTAATAAAGTTAGCTATTAAAATTATTATTGTTATTGATAGTATCTGGTGGGCAAATAGGACCTTCTATTGTTCAATTTCATTACACTTGCCATGTAAGGAAATTAAACAATTTTATTTTTGCTTTAAGATAAAGTATTAAAATCAGCTTGTCATTAGGTTACTGTCAATTTTAACCATAATCAATAAATTATTTTATTGGCATGTATCTGAGGCTAAATACATTTAGAAATGTGACTTAAGTGTCACAGAAGAATATTACTATGAAAGGCAAAAATATATTTTTCTTAGTGGATCAAAACTAAGAAGTTTGATCCTAGCAATTAAATAACCAATGCTATGATGAGTAGAAAGGGTTGCTGCAGGATACAGTGGAGGGGAACACAGCTTAAGAAAAGAAAAGAAACTAGCAAGCTTTTACAATAGAGATCAATATGCAGTGACAACTGTAACACTGAGAAAAGATGATGCATGAAAGAAAAGAACATTCTGAAAACTCTGATGTGAAAGAAAAGTTAGCCCTTGCACAACTTTTAATTCTTCTTCAAACCCCACATTCATTTTTTCCTCCCTCAAGTTTAAAGCTCTATACAGAGTTATATCTGTTATATATATGTATGTATGTATATATATATGTATATGTGTATATGTATATATATGTATATGTGTATACGTATATATATGTATATGTGTATATGTATATATATATATATGTGTATACGTGTATATATATATGTATATGTGTATATATATATAAATTCCACCTTCCCCACTCCCCAGTGGCAGAAGAGTTTATCATGATCCTCATGATCATGTACATCATCTATATTTGTTGAAGTGTTATCCATATAACAATGAGACTTTTATATTCACAAGGTGATATTTTCCAAAATACTAAATTGATAATATGGGCCACTAAATAACGTTATTTCATTATATTTGTTACTCTAATATAATATCTATGTCATCTGAATAGTAGCTTCTGAAATGACTGTGTGAGTTTTCCTGTGGATAGCAGAAAACATGAGGTAAATTGCACGGTATCTGCATAAGGAGAGATAAGTAAAGACACTGGCATATGATCAGTGAGAAGTGTCGGGCCTCTGGGCCCAAGCCAAGCCATTGCATCCCCTGTGACTTGCACGTATACGCCCAGATGGCCTGAAGTAACTGAAGAATCACAAAAGAAGTGAATATGCCCTGCCCCACCTTAACTGATGACATTCCACCACAAAAGAAGTGTAAATGGCCATTCCTTGCCTTAACTGATGACATTACCTTGTGAAAGTCCTTTTCCTGGCTCATCCTGGCTCAGAAAGCACCCCCACTGAGCACCTTGCGACCCCCACTCTTGCCCGCCAGAGAACAAACCCCCTTTGACTGTAATTTTCCTTTACCTACCCAAATCCTATAAAACGGCCCCACCCTTATCTTCCTTTGCTGACTCTTTTCAGACTCAGCCCACCTGCACCCAGGTGAAATAAACAGCCATGTAGCTCACACAACGCCTGTTTGGTGGTCTCTTCACACGGACGCACATGAAATTTGGTGCCCTGACTCGGATCGGGGGACCTCCCTTGGGAGATCAATCCCCTGTCCTCCTGTTCTTTGCTCCCTGAGAAAGATCCACCTATGACTTCAGGTCCTCAGACTGACCAGCCCAAGGAACATCTCACCAATTTTAAATCAGGTAAGCAGCCTCTTCTTACTCTCTTCTCCAACCTCTCTCACTGTCCCTCAACCACTTTCTCCTTTCCACTCTTCAATCTCTCCCTTCTCTTAATTTCAATTCCTTTCATTTTCTGGGAGAGACAAAGGAGACACGTTTTATCCGTGGACCCAAAACTCCGGCGCAGGTCACAGACTGGGAAGGCAGCCTTCCCTTGGTGTTTAATCATTGCAGGGGCACCTTTCTGATTATACACCCACGTTTCAAGGGTGTCAGACCACGCAGGGACGCCTGCCTTGGTCCTTCACCCTTAGCGGCAAGTCCCGCTTTTCTGGGGAAGGGGCAAGTACCCCAACCCCTTCTCTCCTTGTCTCTACCCCTTCTCTGCCTTTCTGGGAGAGGGGCAAGTACCCCTCAACCCCTTCGCCTTCACCCTTAGCGGCAAGTCCCACTTTTCTGGGAGAGGGGCAAGTACCCCTCAACCCCTTCTCCTTCACCCTTAGTGGCAAGTCCTGCTTTTCTACGGGGCAAGAACCCCCAATCCCTTATTTCCGTGCCCCAACCTCTTATCTCTGCACCCCAATCCCTTATTTCCATGTCCCACCTCTTATCTCTGTGCCCCAATCCCTTATTTCCGTGCCCCAACCTCTTATCTCTGTGCCCCAATCCCTTATTTCCGTGCCCCAACCTCTTATCTCTGCGCCCCAATCCCTTATTTCTGCACCCCGACCTCTTATCTCTGTGCCCCAATCCCTTATTTCTGTGCCCCAACCTCGTATCTCTGCGCCCAAATCCCTTATTTCCGTGTCCCAACCTCATATCTCTGTTCCCCAATCCCTTATTTCTGCACCCTGACCTCTTATCTCTCAGCCCGAACCCCTTTTCCCACTTTTCTGGAAGGTAAGAACCCCCGAACCCCTTCCCTCCATTTCTCTACTCTCTCTTTTCTCTAGGCTTGCTTCCTTCATTATAGGAAACCTTCCACCCTCCATTCCTCCTTCTACTCCCTTGGCCTGTGTTCTCAAAAATTTAAAACCTCTTCAACTCACACTTGACCTAAAACCTAAATGCCTTATTTTCTTCTGCAATGCCGCTTGACCCCAATACAAACTCGACAGTAGTTCCAAATAGCCAGAAAATGGCACTTTGAATTTTCCCATCCTGCAAGATCTAAATAATTATTGTCGTAAAATAGGCAAACGGTCTGAGGTGCCTGACATCCAGGCATTCTTTTACACATCAGTTCCTTCCTAGTCTCTGTGCCCAGTGCAACTCGTCCCAAATCTTTCTTCTTTCCCTCCCACCTGTCCCCTCAGTACCAACCCCAAGCGTCGCTGAGTCTTTCTAATCTTCCTTTTCTACAGACCCATCTGACCTCTCCCTTCCTCCCCAGGCTGCTCCTCGCCAGGCCGAGCTAGGTCCCAATTCTTCCTCAGCCTCTGCTCCTCCACCCTATAATCTTTTTATCGCCTCCCCTCCTCACACCTGGTCTGGCTTACAGTTTTGTTCGTGACTAGCCCTCTCCCTCCTGCCCAGCAATTTACTCTTAAAAAGGTGGCTGGAGCTAAAGGTATAGTCAAGGTTAATGCTCCTTTTTCTTTATCCCAAATCAGATAGCATTTAGGCTCTTTTTCATCGAACATAAAAATCCAGCCCAGTTCATGACTTGTTTGGCAGCAACCCTGAGACACTTTACAGACCTAGACCCTAAAAGGTCAAAAGGCCGTCTTATTCTCAAAATACATTTTATTACCCAATCTGCTCCCGACATTAAATAAAACTCCAAAAATTAAATTCCGGCCCTCAAACCCCACAACAGGATTTAATTAACCTTGCCTTCAAGGTGTACAATAATAGAAAAAAGTTGCAATTCCTTACCTCCACTTTGAGACAAACCCCAGCCACATCTCCAGCACATAAGAACTTCCAAATGTCTCAACTGCAGCGGCCAGGCGTTCCTCCAGAACCTCCTCCCACAGGAACTTGCTACACGTGCTGGAAATCTGGCAACTGGACCAAGGAATGCCCGCAGCCCGGGATTCCTAAGCCGCATCCCATCTGTGTGGGACCCCACGGAAAATCGGACTGTTCAACTCACCTGGCAGCCACTCCCAGAGCCCCTGGAACTCTGGCCCAAGGCTCTCTGACTCCTTCCCAGATCTTCTCGGCCTAGCGGTTGAAGACTGACACTGCCCAATCACCTCGGAAGCCCCCTAGACCATCACGGACGCCGAGCTTCAGGTAACTCTCACAGTGGAAGGTAAGCCCGTCCCCTTCTTAATCAATACAGAGGCTACCCACTCCACATTACTTCCTTTTCAAGGGCCTGTTTCCCTTGCCTCCATAACTGTTGTGGGTATTGACGGCCAGGCTTCTAAACCTCTTAAAACTGCCCAATTCTGCTGCCAACTTAGACAATACTCTTTTAAGCACTCCTTTTTAGTTATCCCCACCTGCCCAGTTCCCTTATTAGGCTGAGACACTTTAACTAAATTATCTGCTTCCCTGACTATTCCTGGACTACAGCTATATCTCATTGCCGCCCTTCTTCCCTATCCAAAGCCTCCTTTGCATCCTCCTCTTGTATCCCCCCACCTTAACCCACAAGTATAAGATACCTCTACTCCCTCCTTGGCGACCGATCATGCACCCCTTACCATCTCATTAAAACCTAATCACCCTTACCCCACTCAACGCCAATATCCCATCCCACAGCACGCTTTAAAAAGATTAAAGCCTGTTATCACTCGCCTGCTACAGCATGGCCTTTTAAAGCCTATAAACTCTCCTTACAATTCCCCCATTTTACCTGTCCTAAAACCAGACAAGCCTTACAAGTTAGTTCAGGATCTGCGCCTTATCAACCAAATTGTTTTTCCTATCCCCCCCGTGGTGCCAAACCCATATACTCTCCTATCCTCAATACCTGCCTCTATAACCCATTATTCTGTTCTGGATCTCAAACATGCTTTCTTTACTATTCCTTTGCACCCTTAATCCCAGCCTCTCTTCGCTTTCACTTGGACTGACCCTGACACCCATTAAGCTCAGCAAATAACCTAGGCTGTACTGCCGCAAGGCTTCACAGACAGCCCCCATTACTTCAATCAAGCCCAAATTTCATCCTCATCTGTTACCTATCTCGGCATAATTCTCATAAAAACATACGTGCTTTCCCTGCTGATCCTGTCCGACTAATCTCCCAAACCTCAATCCTTTACAAAACAACAACTCCTTTCCTTCCTAGGCATAGTTAGTGAGGTCAGAATTCTTACACAAGAGCCAGGACCGCACCCTGTAGCCTTTCTGTGCAAACAACTTGACCTTACTGTTTTAGCCTAGCCCTCATGTCTGTGTGCAGCAGCTGCCGCTGCTTTAATACTTTTAGAGGCCCTCAAAATCACAAACTATGCTCAACTCACTCTCTGCAGTTCTCATAACTTCCAAAATCTATTTTCTTCCTCATACCTGATGCATATACTTTCTGCTCCCCGGCTCCTTCAGCTGTACTCACTCTTTGTTGAGTCTCCCACAATTACCGTTGTTCCTGGCCCAGACTTCAATCCGGCCTGCCACATTGTTCCTGATACCACACCTGACCCCCATGACTGTATCTCTCTGATCCACCTGATATTCACCCCATTTCCCCAAATTTCCTTCTTTCCTGTTCCTCACCCTGATCACGCTTGATTTATTGATGGCGGTTCCACCAGGCCTAATCGCCACACACCACCAGCAAAGGCAGGTTATACTATAGTACAAGCCACTAGCCCGCCTCTTAGAACCTCTCATTTCCTTTCCATTGTGGAAATTTATCCTCAAGGAAATAACTTCTCAGTGTTCCATCTGCTATTCTACTACTCCTCAGGGATAATTCAGGCCCCCTCCCTTTCCCACACATCAAGCTCGAGGATTTGCCCCACCCAGGACTGGCAAATTAGCTTTACTCAACATGCCCTGAGTCAGATAACTAAAATACCTCTTAGTCTAGGTAGATACTTTCACTGGATAGGTAGAGGCCTTTCCTACAGGGTCTGAGAAGGCCACCGCAGTCATTTCTTCCCTTCTGTCAGACATAATTCCTCAGTTTAGCCTTCCCACCTCAATACAGTCTGATAACAGAAGGGCCTTTATTAGTCAAAACAGCCAAGCAGTTTTTCAGGCTCTTAGTATTCAGTGAAACCTTTATATCCCTTATGGTCCTCCGTCTTCAAGAAAAGTAGAATGGACTAAAGGTCTTTTAAAAACACACCTCACCAAGCTCAGCCACCAACTTAAAAAGGACTGGACAATACTTTTACCACTTTCCCTTCTCAGAATTCAGGCCTGTCCTCGGAATGCTACAGGGTACAGCCCATTGGAGCTCCTGTATAGATGCTCCTTTTTATTAGGCCCCGGTCTCATTCCAGACACCAGACCAACTTAGACTGTGCCCCTAAAAAACTTGTCTTCCCTGCTATCTTCTGTCTAGTCATACTCCTATTCACCGTTCCTAACTACTCATACATGCCCTGCTCTTGTTTACACTGCTGGTTTACACTGTTTTTCCAAGCCATCACAGCTGATATCTCCTGGTGCTATCCCCAAACTGCCACTCTTAACTCTTGAAGTAAATAAATAATCTTTGCTGGCAGGACTATGCTGAATCTCCTTAGGCACTCTCTAATCAGATATCCTGAGTCGTCCCAATTCTTAAGACTTTTTATACCTGTTTTTCTCCTTCTGTTATTCCATTTAGTTTCTCAATTCATCCAAAACCGTATCTAGGCCATCAGCAATCATTCTATAGGACAAATGTTTCTTCTAACATCCCCACAATATCACCCCTTACCACAAGACCTCCCCTCAGCTTAATCTCTCCCACTCTAGGTTCCCACGCTGCCCCTAATCCCGCTTGAAGCAGCCCTGAGAAACATCGCCCATTCTCTCTCCATACCACGCCCCAAAAATTTTTGCCGCCCCAAAACCTCAACACTATTTTATTTTTCTTATTAATATAAGAAGGCAGGAATGTCAGGCCTCTGAGCCCAAGCCAAGCCATCACATCCCCTGTGACTTGCATGTATATGCCCAGATGGCCTGAAGTAACTAAAGAATCACAAAAGAAGTGAATGTGACCTGCCCCACCTTAACTGATGACATTCCACCACAAAAGAAGTGTAAATGGCCGGTCCTTGCCTCAAGAGATGACATTACCTTGGGAAAGTCCTTTTCCTGGCTCATCCTGGCTCAAAAAGCACCCCCACTGAGCACCTTGCAACCCCCACTCCTGCCCGCCAGAGAACAAACCCCCTTTGACTGTAATTTTCCTTTACCTACCCAAATCCTATAAAACGGCCCCACCCCTATCTCCCTTCGCTGACTCTTTTTGGACTCAGCCCACCTGCACCCAGGTGAAATAAACAGCCATGTTGCTCACACAAAGCCTGTTTGCTGGTCTCTTCACAGATACGCGCATGAAAGGAAGATTAAGAAAAACAAAAAAATGTAAATTTACTGGACACTGAATATATACTAAGTACTGCTTAAGTGATTTACATGTCAAGATTAAAATATTTTGCTTTACTTTAATTATCATCATATTCTTCATCCATCTTTCATTTCATCTTCATCATGCCATTTCTTTCTCCTTCCCCTGGGCCTGAAATTTTATCAAGAAGACACACTTGCTGTGTGACTTGATTAATTTACTTAAGCATGGTAAGCCTTTGTATAATATGGAATTAGAAAAAAAAGTCTTCTTAGAAGTATTTTATGAAAACGACATGAGAGACAGTATGTATATGGTTTGCATCACATGTCTGGCATTATTTACCATTAATTGTTTTATTCTCTTAATTTGAGCAATTTACTTTTGAAATGCTATCTGGAAACGGTGTTAATTTTAAGAAAGGTTGGGCCTCTATGTAAAAATACTGTAAGAGGTCACAACAACAAATATGTCTTAAATTCTGATGATGTGTTAAAAAGCTTGAGAAGCACTCAATAACAAAAACATACTCACTGACATACAGGAAGGTGAAATGAGGTGTCCATGGCTAGACAGCTAATAAATGTAAGAGACAGATTCTGATCTCAGATGATTTGATCAGAAACTTTTAACCACTATATGCTGAATTAGCACTAAAATATAAATCTAAAAGTTGTGTTCTTTTTAACTCTTACTAGGTACTATTTGTTAAGACATTTTAAGAATACAGTATAAAGATTTTTGCCAACTTTTTCATGCTTAATGCTTATGTAAATTAATTTCTTAAGTAAGATAGCATGCCTATAAAAATCCTAGGGATAGTGTATTACCCATGAGATTTCTAAGCTATATTTTTTAATGTAGTAAATCAAAGTGGGTGTATTCCAATTTCTTACAACTAGAAAAGCTAATTTCGATAAAAATGAAATATTTACATGAATCAACTGCAAGGTTTTTAAAATATATTATTTTTAATTAAAAATAATCGCTGGCGAGCAAAAAGGTTATTTTGGCTATATTGTTCGTATCTTGAAAGTACCCATACCGCATTAGTGTATATCCAAAGTAATTTATATTTTGTCCTAAATTAATATGGTGTTGGTTGAATTTTCTATGTAGAAATATTTTTGTTTTAATAGAAAATACAATTTTCCATTTTGGCAGTTACACAAATATAAAATATATTTACACTTAACTGTATAGTTCAAATGTTATTCAATTATTTTATATTTATAATTATTGCAATATAATTTAAAAAAATAGTTAAGAGATTTTATTTACTTATTTGTTTACGTATTTATTTATTTATTTATTTATGTTTTGAGACTGAGTCTTGCTCTGTTGCCCGGGCTAGAGTGCAGTGGTGCGATCTCAGCTCACTGCAACCTCTGCCTCCCAGGTTTAAGTGATTCTCCTGCCTTGGCCTTCCAAGTAGCTGGGGTTACAGGTGTGCGCCACCACACCCAGCTGATTTTTTTGTATTTTTAGTAAAGACGGAGTTTCACCATGTTGGCTAGGCTGTTCTTGATCTCCTGACCTCAAGTGATCTGCTGGCCTTGATCTCCCAGAGTTCTGAGATTACAGGCATGTGCCACCGCTCCCGGCCTAAGAGAGGTTATTTTTTTAAAAAAACAGTTTTAAGTTTACATCAAAACGGATGGGAAGGTACCGAGACATCCTATGAACCTTCTGCCTCCACACATGCATATTCTCCCCTATTATCAACGTCCCTTACTGAAGTGGTGCATGTGTAACAATTGGTGAACCTACACTGAGACATCATTATCACCCCAAATCCACAGTTCATACAAGTCTTCACTCTTGATGCTTTGCATTCCCGGGCTGGACAATTAATAATGACATGTATCCATCATTATAGTATCACACAGGTTACTTTCAGGGCACTGAAAATAACGCTATCCTCTGCCTATTCATCAATCTCTCTGGACCAACCCCTGCAACTATTGATATTTTTACTATCTTCATAATTTTTCCTTTTCTGAAATGTCATCTAGCTGGAATAATACAATATGTACCCTTTTCAGATTGACTTCTTTTATTCTTTCTTGAGATTTAATTTGCTTTACCTTTATCTTCCTAAGGTGGAAGCTTAGATAATTGCTTGAGTTCTTCTTGTATTCTAATGTTAATGCTATACATTTTACTCTAAACACTGCCTTCACTGAATCTCACACATCTTGAGAACTAGTGCTTTTATGTTGATTTAGCTCACAATATTTTTAAAATTTCTACTCTTTCTCCAACCCATGTGTTATTTTGAGGTATGTTGTTAAATCTCCAAATATTTTGTAATTTCTCAGCTATTTTTCTGTTATTGATTTCTAGTTCAAGTCCATTGTGGTCAGACACCAGACATTATGTAATTTTTATGTTTAAAATGTGTTTAAGGTGATTCTGAAGGCCCAAAATACAGTCTATTTTGTTGAATGTTTCATGTGAGCTTGAGAAAAATATGTATTCTGCTGTTGTTGGATGAAGTAGTCAGTAGATGTCCATTATATCTATTTGATTGATGGTATGGTTAATTTTAGCTATGCACTTACAGATTTTCTGCCTACTGGATCTGTCCATTTCTGTTGGAGTGTTGAAGTCAATTATGATACTGTATGCATTTATTTCTCCTCATATTTCTATGGGTTTTGCCTCACATATTTTTATACTCTGTTGTCAGGCACATACACATTAAATATTGTTATGTCTCATCGAATGAGTCCTTCATTATTACATCATGCTCCTTTTTATTCCTGACAACTTTCCTTACTCTGAAATTTGCTGTGTCTGAAATTAATATAGTGCTAATTCTGGTTTCTTTTTATTGGTATCAACATGATATATCTTTCTCGATTTATTTAGTTTGAATCTATAAGTGCCTATAAGAAAGTGCGTTTTCTGTAGGCAACACATAGTTGGGCTTTGTTTTCTGATTCTCTCCTGACAAAGCTGGATTAATATCTACTATATTTGTTTCAGTTTTCTAATTGCTGCCATTATTTTTTGCTTCTATTTTTATTTTTCACTCTTTTTCTGTCTTTTGTGGTTTAATAGAGCATTTCTTATGGTTCAATTTCCTCTTTCTCTCTGTTAATTCCAGCATGCCTGCTATGTCTGAGTCTGGTTCTGATGCTTGCCCTGTCTCTTGGAATTATTATTATTTTGTCTTTTGTTATGTATTGTAAATTGTTTTCTTGATAGTTGGAAATGGGCTGGTTAAAAGGAATTGTAAATAGGCCTTTAGTAATGCGACGATATGGTGTACTAGGAGAAAGGGGGTTTTCTTTAATCCTGTTAGTAGCTCTAGTCTTTTCGTGAGCCTGTGCCTGAGTTGTGAACTTCGAATCTGCTTCTCAACTTTTTTTTTTGCTTTGTTTTCCCACCCCTTTAGGTGGGACACAATGGCTAGAGTGAGCTGGGTTTCGGCATTTTCCACGTAAAGAAAGGAGGGGCTGGAGTTCTGTGTTTCCCTTCCCCAAGGTCATGTAGGCTCAGATAAAACCCCAGCAGTTTAGGCTTTCTTTAACTGGTTTCTCCTGTAGGTAAATCTTGTAAAGAAAAGACTGTTCTGGAAAATTTCAAAATGGTTCCTTTACCCACCCACTGCTGAAAGCTTGAGGGTAATTTTCTCTGATATTCATTATGAGAACCTGGCAGAGCTCCTGAAGGCAAAACTCAGAAACAAATGGGGGGGGGGGTCCCAAAGACTGTAGCACAGGAGTTTTTAATCTTTCAGACTCTTCCATAATGAGCCTCCAGCAATTTGTCAAGAACCCTTAAGTTTTTCCTATTTTGACACTGGTTCCTATGGAGATTGCTGCTCTTATAAGTTGTGAGAAATTTAATTGTTTTTTACTTTTGATATAAATACCTCTACATGAGTAATACATCTGTATATTTGCTGTATTTCAAAATAAGTAAGATGGGTCCATGGGCACTATTCAGTTACATGCTCAAGCAATTTTTTAGGGTGTAAGTAATAAGTACCCTTTAGTCAATAACATGTATATATTACTTATTTTCATGGTAAAATGACTAGATGATTTGATATTCCTTCCTCCCTGTCCCTTTTTATAGATTAAATTTAGCACATATTCAGGATAACAACTAGATGTCAGATATTTGATTACACAGAATCTGTGAAATAAACCAATAGATAAGATCTTATGCAGCATGCAAACCCATTTTTTTGCAGTATTCACTGCAAAATCTTATAAAATCCTATTTCAAGGTTATAAAATTTAATCAACTAGGCATTTTTAAGCCAAAATCTTGTACTTTCTACATTTTAAGCATGTCGTAAGAAAAGAATATAGACTCTGGCTGTTTCCATTTTGAAACATCTTATTTTGATCATATAAATAAGCAAAAGATTACCCTGAGCCAGATTGGTTTTCTCTCTTATCATTAAGGCCTCCACTCATTTCTGCCACCTGAGTCTTCTTATACAATTCTGTAATTATACACATATTAACATCAATTGAGTAAGTAAATGGATAGCATCATTTTAATTTATATTTTTCCAAAGTGAACAAAACACATGTTTTACAGAAATTAATAGTTGTATGCAGTTTGATTACAAAATAATACAGCTGATATTTCAAGCAGTTTGTAGCTCGCTAGCTCATTAATTTTTGCTCATTAATTACACTTTTTCTCTCTCAACTCTCTTACTCTAATCTACTTTCTCTCTGCACCCTCAATACACACATAAAATGTAAGTAATAGCAGAGTCTGACATAAATCAGTTTAAATTACAGTTTTGCCAGTCACTGTTTTTGACACTACGGATAAATTATTCAATAACTCTGAGGCTCATTTTCCGCATCTGTGAATTAGGGATAAAAACGCTTATCTTATATTGTTCCTGTGAGTATCTAATGAGGGCATATCTGTAAGTGCATGTTACCTAGGCTTGCACAGTATTTTCTAAAAATGAACTATATATATAATCATAGTTTCCAGATCGTTAACCTTCATTTTAATGGTGCAGAATATTTTTGTTCAGTTGGTCTACAATTTATACACATATATTTAAAGCTACACAAAAATATATTAACTAATAAAAAAATGGACTATAAAATCTGAAAAAGGAAGACTTAAGAACGGTGATGGGTTAATAAATAGCTCAATGCAGACTTGTTAAGGGATGACTAGCTGAATAGGTGTGTCAACAATACAATCACACAATCGTCTTCAAATAATTTTTAAATAAACATATTACTGGCATTTACTAATACAAAGAAGGGTTTCTATCTATAAGATAATTTAATAGGATCTTTCTGCACAGATTAAGTTGATTACCATAAATAAACTAGAACTGATGTATTCAAGGGGCATGGCTGTTTGAAGAACAGAAGGTAGCCACATGAATGTGTTCTATTTAGTAATTAACAGTATGTAAAATGAAAGAATACCTAAACCAAAATGGCTCCACTTAATCAACTGTTTTGTTGGTAGATTACCTAGACCCAGATCCTCTATCACTATCTTCTCAGGAGTCCTAAGCATATTAATGCACTGCTCTTGAGTTTTTAGAATTTGTTCAGAGTGTTTAAAACTACATACATGTAACATCTGTTTTATACAAGATACTTCAAAAACCAAAGTGATTACTATAATACATTCTATTAAACCTAAACCAACATGTGTTCAAATGCAGAGAACAAAAAGGAATGTTTTGTCAGATGTTGCATCTGATGGATTGAAAGAGTTCTATAAAATAGCTCCTCTATAGCTTGTGCTTTCTGTATTTTTGAGTCTTTAGGAAAGTTTAATGCTGGGGAATATCTGTGATGTGTGTGTGTGCCTAGGCAATTCAACCCTTTGTGGTAACACAGCATTCCTAGCTATCATTCTATCGTATGACAATTTATTAATTATCATAATTTACTGGCAGTAATATTTTTCTTTAATTCCTCTTTTCAAACTTGTCAGATTCAGTAAGAAAAACCAATGTAATATGCAAATGTCTCCACTCTATCATTCCATGAGTTATGAGTCCTTTCTTACCAACTATATCATTTATAAACTAAGTACATGAATACTACCAAGTAATATACTATCTTATCATTAACATTAATCAACTTATGCAATACTTTTTATATATTGAAAAATGTCTACTAGAGTATAAAAAAATTGTAAAAAACTCAAACTCTTTTTTTCTTCTTATTTTGACTGCTGCCTGATGTAAACAATCAAACTTTTCATATAGATCCCTATTTCTATTTCTATGTACTACTATTGTAACACGCTTTCTCATTATCTTAATTTATGTTTATAAAAGTCAAAACATATTTTTGTCATGAGTAAGATGGTCTTTTCATATTATGCACTGTGTTAATCGGAGGGGAAGTAGGGCAGGGAGAAAAGGAAACTATAGTATATAAAAAAACTACTAAGTCCCAGAACTGCAATACCCAGTAGTGTAGCAACTAATCTCTTGAAACTATTGAACACTTGAAATGTAGCCAGTGGAAATAGTGAAGTGCGGAAGGTGCAGTATACACATTGGATTTTGAAGACAATACAAGAAACAGACAGACAATGAATAATACTGGTATCTTGTATTTATCCCATTTTGAGATGATAATATTTTTGATATATTAAGATATATTATGATTAATTATACCTGTTTATTTTCACTTATTAATTTTGTTTTTTAGGAGATTAAAATTACATTTGTGATTCATATTTTATTCTTATTGGAGAGGACTGTGCCAGATACTTCACACTAACACTTTGAGTTATGGAGGAACATGATCCCTTCTACCTGTATCATGAAGTTTGAGAATTTGAAAATTATAGTCCTACTTGAATTAATTTTATATTACTATATAAAAATACCAAAAACTTAGTAACTTAAACAACATCCATTTATGATCTTACATTTCTATATGTTACAACTCCAGGTTTGATTTTACTGGATTCTCTGCTAAAGGAGTTTCACTCAAGGTATAGAGGCTCTGGAGAAGAATCCACTTTGAGCCCCTTTGGGTTGGGCCCACTGTTTTCTGTTACATGGACCCCTAAATCTTCAAAGAGAAGTTGAATACTTTCTGTATTTTGAGTTACGATTTTTTCCTCTGTCTCTGACCTGTAGAACCTTATGTGAAAGTTCATGTGACTTGGTCAGGTCCATCTAAATAATCTCCCTTTTCATTAACTCATTTACAAAATTCCTTTTGCCAACTGATTTGGCTCAAAATTAGTAATTGATGTTATAGAAGCCTGTGGGTTTAGGGAAAGGGGAAATTCACCAAGAACCTAAATAGCTCTGTCTGCTTTGTCTTTTTTCCAAATGTACCATGTGGTAAATTGCTAAACCTTATTGAGACAGTGTTTTCTCAGTTGACAAACTGAGTGTACCAACACGCTACATTTCTGTATCATGGGGTTGATAAGGATTTTATATGTATATATGCAGAAAGAGACTATAGAGGCTTGTATATATGTATATGTGCATATGTATATGAACACAAAATTCTACAAAGTGCTTATACCAATATAAGTACTATCGCTTAGAATGCACCTTTTTAGCTACCTTTCAGATTCTTGTCCACTAAGCATTGCCAAGTCTTCAAAGGTAATTGCTGCAATTTTGGCAAAATCTCTAAGACTACTTTTCTGTTCTCATGAAACTCTGTTTAAATAGGAAAAACACAAAATAGGTAGGCAAACTTTTTTCTTTCTTTCTTTCTTTTTCCACAGGAAACGACGAGGCTGAATCCTGTTGGAGTGATTTGTTCTTCGGACTTTGTATCTTAAATGAAATCTTCTCCCTTAGAGGCCACATAAACTGATGGTACAATCTGCAACTCTAAGCAAATTCATAGGTTATACTTTTTCTTCTTCATACTTGACATTTGAACCTAGCAAGTTTGAATAGCCTGTAATTTGAAAACTCCCTTGCACATCTAGCAGATCAAGGTAGCTTGTTCTGCCTTCTGGACAAATGGTGCCCTTAAGTCAGCTTAGGGAGACTGTTCCGATATCAAGATTCTGTTTGAATACTATATACTCTCAGCTGCTTATTTATTCATATATATATGACACGTTTATCATGGAAGTATTTCAAAACTATCTGAAAATGAATATTGATTATTAAGGCATTCAGTTTTAGGAAGAAAACATACATAAATATATGATCTTCATTATTTTCCTTTCTCCATGCAATTTCAATAGATATTTATCAAGAACTCAAAATATGCCTAGCACTGCCTAGGTGTTGGAAACATTAGAGAAATTAAAACAGATAAATTCCTTCCTTTAGTAGACTTAGTCTAACTAAATAAATGATTTTTAAAAGGGCATAATAAATGGTATAAGCAAAAGAAAATGAAGGTGAGGGGAATAGGGCATGCCAAGTAGGGAGCTGCTATTTTAATGAGGCCTAGGAGAAAACCATTTATAAGGTGACATTTGAGCAGAGACCTAAAGAAAGTGAGAAAACGTGATACATGTATGTACATGGAAAAAGAATATAATAAGCAAAAAAAAAAAAAAAAATGGAGGCCAAGAGGGAATCTTATGCATTACACAGATTTTGAACTAAAAGCAAGAAGGCCATAATGGCTAAAAATAAATGAGGATTCATTAAAGAGGGTGAAGAATATAGAGAGTTAGGACTATTGCTGTGATGTAAAGTCATTGGAGAGATGACCTGAGAGATTAGAACCCTGGGGTAACTTACATTTCATTTGCTGTTTTATTCCAAAGTGATATTCATTATCTAAAGAAAAAAATCAAATATACAGAAATGATAAAATACAAAACAATGCTGACCTTTAAGAAACATTGACCTATAAATACTAAGATGTTAAATATTTGTTTCTTGTGATTTGTATCTTTATTGATGTGATAATTATGTATCTATAAGTTTGTGAGTAAAATACATAACAAGCCTGGAATGTATTTTCTTTATAATTCACATTAATTTTTTGCACTAAAATTCAATCTAGTAAATTTCCTGTTATAGTCAATTAATTTTGACAACACATATTTTAATGCTCCATGGTATTAACAACCCATTATGATTTGCATTTAAGATTATTTAGAGTATTCAGTGTAATAAATAATGCAAATGTAGGCAAAAGCTTTTCCATGTATACACACACACTACACACTATATTTTTAATTATTTCATTCACATAGATTAAAATAAACTTTTGTTTAATGTAAAACAATATTGATGCTCCCAACTCCCTAGTTACTTTGTACAATTTGCATGCCTACCAGCAATGATGAATATCCTAATTGCCTTAAACATATCTATATTATGTCAAATCTTTCATGCACTTTCAGTGTCTGACTTCTTTAGCACTGAAGTTCATGCTCAGATTTAAAGGGCCTGTATGAATAGGTGAGGCCCACCTGAATACTCTGCAGATAACCTGATTTGGTACCTTAATTCCATCTTTAAAATCCTTTCTAGCAACACCTACATTCATGATTGATAGACTAACTGAGAGAAGGTATATACACCACGGACTGCGAATTTTGGAGGTCACTTTAGAATTCTGTCTACCACGGATACATTTGAATATATCTGCACATTTACATATAGTTGTCACCACATTAAGGAAAATTAACATATAGATTACCCCGAAAAATTTCCTCAAACTATTTTATAATTCCTTAATCCCACCCCTTCTTGCCCTCTTTACCACCTTCAATTCTAGGAAACTGCACCTATGCTTTTTGTCACTATGATTGGTTTGTTGTGTCTGAGATTTTATATAAATGTCACCATACACTATGCACTTTTTGTCTGACTTCTTTCAACTAGCATAGTTTGAGATTCCTATATGTTTTATCTATCAATAGTATATTTTTATGGCTGAGTCTTATTTTATTATATGACTATATTCACCTTCATGACAATAGACATTAGGTTGTTTCCAGTTTGGGGCCTGAGAAATAAAGTTGTTTTGAACATTCATGTACAAGTATTTGTAAGGACATATGCTTTTATTTCTTTTGCATAAATACTAAAAAAAAGAGTGGCTGGGCTATAAGTGTGTTTAGCTTTTATAAAACCTAAATAATTCAAAAAGCAAAAAATGAAAATCTCATTTAAAACAATGGGCAAAGGACATAAACAGACATTTCTCAAAAGAATACCTACATGCAGCCAACAAACATGAAAAAATTCTCAATATCACTAATTATTAGAGAAATGCAAATCAAAACTACAATGGGATACCATCTCATATCAGTCAAAATGGCTATTGTTAAAAAAATAAAAAATTACAGGTGTTGGTGAGGTTTCAGAGAAAAGGAAATGCTTTCACACTGTCAGTGGGAATGTAAATTAGTTCGGCCACTGTGGAAAGCAGTTTTGAGATTTCTCAAATAACTAAAAAAACAGAACTACTGTTCAACCCAGCAACCCCATTGCTGGGTATATACCCAAAGGAAAATAAATTGTTTTTTCAAAAAGACATGTGCACTTGAATGTTCATTACAGCACTATTGACAATAGGGAAGACATGGAATCTACCTAGATGTATATCAGTGTTAGACTGGATAAAGAAAACATGGTACACATCCACCATAGGATACTATGCAGCCATAAAAATGAACAAAGTCATGTCTTTGCAGCAACATGGATGCAGCTAAAGGCCATTATCCTAAGCAAATTAACAGAGGAACAGAAAACCAAATACTACATGTTCTCACTTATAAGTGGGAGCTAAACATTGAGTTTAGTTTACACATAGACATAAAAATGGAAACAATAGACACTGGTCACTGGGGACTTCCAGAAGGGGGAGCGTGGGAAGAGGACAAGGGTTGAAAAATTACCTGTTGGTTACTATGCTCACTACTGGGTGACACAAACATTTGTACTCCAAACCTCAGTGACGCAATTCATCCATGTAACAAACCTGCACATGTACCCACTGAACCTAAAATAAAAACTGAAAGAAAAAAATATATTTTTAGCTGTAGCTGAAAAAAAAAAAAGGAAACAGAAAAAGAAACCGCCATGCTATTCTTCAAAGTATTTGTGTCATATTACATGTCCAGCATCAGAGAGTGAGAGTTCCAGTTCTCCAGCACTTGGCCTTGTTCTCTCTAACTTCAGATATTCTACAGGATGTGTAGTAGTATCTCAATGTGCTTTCGTTTCCAGTTCCTTAGTTACTAATGATGTTTAACCATGTTTTCATGTGCTATTTTATCCTTTGTGCATTTTAGTTTGTGAAGTGTCTTTAGCAATTTTTACCCTTTTTAAAAAAAAGTATTGTTTCTTTCTTATAATTTTTTTTTTTTCGTTGAGATGGAGTCTCACTCTGTCACCCACACTGGAGTGCAGTGGTGCGATCCCGGCTCACTGCAACCTCCATCTCCCAGGTTCAAGCAATTCTTGTGCCTCAGCCTCTCCGGTAGCTGGGATTACAGGCATGCACCACCATGCCCAGCTATTTTTTTTTTTTTTTTTTTGTATTTTTAATAGAGACAGGGTGGGTTTCACCATGTTGGCCACGCTGGTCTCAAACTCCTGCCCTCAAGTGATCCACCCGCATTGGCCTCCTAAAGTCCTGGGATTACAGGTGTAAGCCACTGTGCCCAGCCTGTTTCTTATAATTGGATTTTGAAAACTTTTTTATATATTATAGATACATGTCTTGTATCAGTCATGAAATTTTAAATATATTCTCCAAGACTGTGTATTGTATTTTCATTCCCTGAAAAGTCTTAATAGAAGAAAAAAATTGCTAATTTTGATAAAGTCAAAATTTTTAACTTTTCTTTTTCATGAATCATAATTTTGATGCCATCTATAAGAAATATTTGCTTGGAACGCATTCATAAAGAATTTCTCCTCTCCTTCTAGTAATTTAAGAATTTTCATTTTTATATTTTGGGACAATTGTCATTTTGAGTTAACTTTATATATGATGTGAGGTATGGATGGAAGTTTATTTTTGTTGACAAATGGTTATCCACCTGTTCCTGTGAAGAAGCATTATCTTATGTCCATTGAATTCCTTTGTACCTTTGATAAAAATCAGTGAAATATATGAGACTATTTATGTACAGTCCATTCTGGTCCATTGAACTGTCTTCACACCAATGCCATACTGTCTTGAATACACTGTAGCTTCATGGTAAGTCTTGAGGTCAGATAGGATATACAGTTCAAATTTATTTTTACTTTTAATTGTTTTGGCTATTCTAACTCTTTAACATTTTCATTCAAATTAACCTATGAATGTTTTCAAACAAGCCTACTATAATTTCAAATGAGTTTCTGTTAAAATTTTGTTGATCAATTTCAGGAGTATTAAAATTTTCCTAATATTGAGTCCTTGGATTCATAAACACAGTTCATCTCTCCATTGATTTTTGTCTCTTGTATTTGTGTCAGTTAAATTTTTGTAGTTTTTAATATATAGGTCTTTCACATTTTTCATGGTTTAAGCACTAATAAAATTATACTTGTATATTATAGAAAATGATATTTTATTTTAATTCTGATTATTGTTTTTGAATATAAAAGTACAATGGAATTTTATGGGTTTTGTATCTTGTGACCAAATTAATTAGTTCTAGGTCTTTATGTAAATTATAGGATTTTACATGTATGATAACATCATTGTGATAGTTTTACTTCTTCCTCTGTAATCTGAATGCCTTTTGTATTTTTCTTGCATTTATTACACAGACTAGAGCTTCCATTATAACGATGAATAGAAGTTGTAAGAG
This sequence comes from Homo sapiens, assembly GCF_000001405.40. Classification (NCBI taxonomy): domain Eukaryota; kingdom Metazoa; phylum Chordata; class Mammalia; order Primates; family Hominidae; genus Homo; species Homo sapiens. The sequence goes on from NC_000008.11 coordinate 114,300,470, forward strand.
CAGATGACCTTGACTTTCTGCTACCATTAAAGGGGAAATGTATAGTTTACGATAAACTATGATGTCAGCAAGAGGTTTCTCTGAAATGCCCTTTTTTAGATTGAGGAACTTCCAAATGATTCCTAGATTGATGACAGTATTTATCAGGGATGAATTTTTGGATTTATCAAATGTTTTTTTCTGCATTTATTGAAATTATCATAGTATTTCCCTTCTGTGAGTTTGTTAAATATGATGACATACTAATTCTCAAAGGTTAGAATACTTTCACTTTTCTGATTCACTTTGTCAGGTTATATTAACACTTGATTTTCTTAAAAAAACAACTTTTGATTCATTGATTCGATTTATTGTTTTTCTATTTTTTATTTTGTTGATAATTCTTATCTTTATTAACATTTTCTATTTATCATTGGCTTTAAGGAACTTAACTTTTATATGACTTGATGTAGTTTTCTTCATATTTCTAGTACTTGGGCTTTGCTGAACTTCTTGGCTCTGTTGGTTGATGTTTTTTAATAAAACATGGAAACATTCCCATCATTTTTTCTCAAATATTTTTCTGCCTCTCTTATTATCCTTCTAGACCCAAATTGTGCATGTATTTGATCACTTAAACATATCCCATAATTCACATAAGCTATTTACTACTTTTAAGACCCTTTTTAATCCATATTTTACTTATATAGTTTCTATTGTTGGACTTTAAGTTAATTAATATAGTTTTATGTTTTGCTTGGTTTTCTGCAGTTTCTAATCTTTTATTTCATAGATTGTGTTTTTCAGAGCTTTCTTTTTTATGTCTGGAAGTTAAATTTGAACTTTTTTATATTTTCTATATTTATTAATACCATCAATTTTTATATACCTCGTTGAATATATAAATTTGATTGACAAAAATAATTTCAATGTCTTTGTCTACTGAGTCTATCATATTATTTCTATGTGTGATTTGGTTTATTATTCTCCCAATTAGTGATCAGATTTCTATGCTTTCTGAATGCCTGATTAATTTTGACTAGAGTTTATATACTGTGAATTTTTTACCTTTATCCTGCTAGCTCCCATATATTTGTGTATTCACAAAAATGTTATTGAGCTTTGTTCTAAGACACAGATAAATTTCTTGGAAATAGTTTGTTTCCTCTAAGGCTTATTCTAGTCTTTGTACACAGGACCCAATAACCTAACAATCTGTTGCTAATTTATTTTTGCCACTACTGAGTCAATATCCTTCCAAATAAGAATAGAAAATATTATCCCATTTTTATTAGCATTGGGGATTATTTTTTCTGCTTTTTTTGGGTGGTGCTTTCTCTGGCTTTTTTTTTATATATACACTCATATGCTGCTTAGTCTTCAAGTAAAATCTTGACAGAGACATCTGGATCTCTCTCTCTCCCTCTTTCTTCTAGTGTGTTTTCCTGCAAACTCTTTGTGCCTCCTGAACTAGGAAGATTCCTAGGCTCCAACTTTATTTTATCTTCCTGTACTGCAGCGTCAAACCACATTGCAGTTAGTATGCTGGGGGATCATAAGACCATTTCTTTCCTCTTTTTCAGGAAATCTCTCTTGCAATTCTTAATATCTAAAGTCTGAAAACTAAAGGTTTATTCTTTTATTATTTTTCCAGAATATTTGACTCTTTCAAGCAGTAGAGTATATCCCATATCCCATCCCTGTTATTCTACCTTGCCCTGAAAAAAAAAATCACTTTTTGACTTGTAATTTTTTTTTTTTTTTTTTGAGACAGAGTCTAGCTCTGTCACCCAGGCTGGAGTGCAGTGGCGTGATCTCGGCTCACTGCAACCTCCGCCTCCTGGGTCAAGTAACTCTTCTGCCTCAGCCTCCTGAGTAGATGGGACTACAGGCGCGTGCCACAATGCCCAGCTAATTTTTGTATTTTTAGTGGAGACGGGGTTTCACCATATTGGCCAGGCTGGTCTCGAACTCCTGACCTCATGATCCACCCAACTCGGCCTCCCAAAGTGCTGGGATTATAGGCGAGAGCCTCTGTGCCCGGGCTTTGACTTGTAATTTTAAAAACAAAATGTAGAGGTATCAGTTGTTTCAGACGTGTTGTATTAATGAGGAAAGTAATAGAGTAAAACTATTGATAATATTTCATGCTTACTATACCATTGATGTACAATATTCCACATACAGTGTTATAATTTAGTGGATTTTTTATATATTACTATTTAACCAATGTCACTGGATTCAGAAGTATTTATGTTAAGATGTAAAGGATAAATAAAATATTTTATGATTTAAAAATATATCAGAAATTTAATCACCTGGTAAACATCAATATAAAGCCAATTGAAACTAACAACATTTTTCTTTGAAAACATAAACCAATGTGCACATGCTGAAATTGGGAGCAACTTTGTTAAAATTCATCAAAGAAAATGGAAAGAAGAAAAGTTCACTTTAATTCCACTGGGTAATATAAAAATACATTTTTACTGTGAGATTATTTGCAAGTTATATTTAAAGATACCATCTCTGTGAATATTTATGTACTGTTAACATGACTCCTCTTCTAGTAGTCAGAAATTTGTGTTCAGCTGTCACTCACCGCAGCTACTTCAGACTTTCTGCTTTAAAAAAATCGTTGAACATTTTAGCATCTTTCTTCAAGGACATTCTTTCATAGGATGTCAAGGAGCACCCTGAAAAAACACAAGATGTAACTTTATGCTTCCTTTTGGAGGAAAGTTACCACCCCATAAAAACTTCAATTACAATTTCCATGATATATTTTGGAGCAGGCTGGGGTAGGCTTGAGCTTGGATAATGTTTCAAAACCCTATTTCATTTTTTAAAAACACAAATAAAAAAATTGTAATCAGAAATATTAAATAAAATTTCTAATGCTATGTTTTACTCTTGGGGCAAATTGAGTTACTGTTAATATTGATGAAATTTAGACTTTTCTTTTAAAATAAGTGTTGTACCTACCACACTGGGTTTCTCAGACCATTTTTAAAACATTTACTATGTTTTTAAGTTTAAAATGTTTTTTTTAATTCACAGAAAATTGGCAGAGATACTGCAGAGAGCTCTCATATGCTCAACACCCAGTTTCCTTATTATTAGCATTTTAAATTAATATGATTTGTTATAATTAATAAACCAATATTGATACATTATTATTAATGAAAGTCCATACTATATTCATATTTCCTTAGTTTTTATCTAATGTCATTTGTATTTTCCAGGATCTCACCTAGAATGCCATATTATATTTAGTTATTTTTCTCTTTAGGATTGGCCACAACACTTTTTTAGACATTCTTGTTTTTGATAACTTTGACAGTTTTGAGGACGACCAGTCATGTATTTGGAGAATACCCTTTATGGATACCTTCTCATGTTTAAACTGACTTTTTACGTATTTTTTTTTAAGGAAGATCATGGAGGTAAAATGACATTTTCATTCCATCATATCAGATATATACTGTCAACATGATTGATCGCTGATGCTGTTGATCTATCAGCTGTTGAGATAGTGTTTCTTAGTTTTCTTCACTGGAAAGTTATTATTTTCCCATCTTTTTATATTGTACTCTTTGGAAGAAAGTCACTGTGTGCAGCCCACTTTAAAGGGAAGGCATTACAACCACCACCTGAATATGAGTTTCTACCTAACGTGACTGGTATTTTTCTTGATGAGATATTTATTTTCTCCACTTATATTTATTTACTCAATTATTTATTTACAATACTATAAACATATTTTACACCATTAATTTTACACTTTGGGAAATAATCTATTATGACATTATTCATTTTGCTACTCAAATTGCGATAGTTTTTATCATTGGGAACCCTTTCCCTTTGTTTCTATGTGCCTTTGATATACCACCATTATTGTGTGAAGGTTTTTGTTTCGGTTCGGTTTTTGTTTTGATTTTTTTAAATACTTTCTTACTTTCTAGAACTGCAGGATTCTCCAGGCTCATCTTGTATATTTCATGGCTCAGGCGCTGAATCACCATTTTCTCCATGGAGCACTTGTACCTTGTATTGGAGAATAACATCAGAAATCAAGATTTAGTTGTGTTCTCAATTTCTTTAAAGTGTTTTCAGTTTTAAGTCGGAGCTTAAATACTGAGTACACATGGACACAAAGAAGGGAACAACAGACACAGAGGCCTGCTTGAGGGTGAAGAGCGAGAGGAGGATGAGGATCGAAAAACTACCTATTGGGCACTATGCTTATTACTGGGTGACAAAATAATTTGTACACCAAACCCCCGTGACATGGAATTTACCTATACAGCAAACCTTCCCATGTATTCCCAAACCTAAAATAAATGTTAAACAAAAATCTGGGTGCTAGGTGTGCTATTGTTACAAGAAAGTCAATGTTTCTAGGCTCTGTTAACTGACAAAGTAAGGAAATACATACGCAAACACTAACTCATGTATACACTACACATTATCTATCATCTATCTAAATTTACATAAGATGAAACACGAATTGATACCGATTTCTCCAACTCTAATTGAATACCACATATATCATTCTAGTAGTCTCATCTTGCTGGTTTGTTACCTTCCACTGTAAAAGTGAGAAACCTGCATTGTATAAGAAGACTCTGTTCAGCTTTGAAAGAAACTGTAAAACCATTTTCCAAAGTGGATGTACCAAGTATACAATTTACTCAATTATTCAACTCAAATGTACATGTACAGGATTGTTAACATATGCCCTGTCGGGACAAGATATGAACTTGTACAGTGCAGAGTTTATGTAAAGATTACATTGCCTTCAGTCTTAACAGAATCCACCCTTCTCCAAAGTTACTTAGGTCAGCACCATTTGTGCATTGCCTTCAGGTAGGTTGCTTCATACATTGGTAAATACAGTTAGATTCTTTTATCACACTCAACATTTCATCCTGGGATTCCTTGACTTCCTATTTCTTAATAATTTGCATATATCAGCTTTCATGTCCTGTGCTGCAAGTGCAATAGGTTTTGACAACTGCAAAGTAGTATGAATCCACCATTATGATGTTATACAGAATAATTTCAATGCCCTAAGAAAATGCATGTGCTTCATGAATTCAACCTCTGCCCAAACCCTTGACAAACACTGCTTTCTTTATAGTTTCTACAGTTTTGCCGATAAATTGCAATCATGTATTAGATAGTCTTTACAGAATGCCTTTCTTCATTTAGCAATATTCATTTAAGATTCATCATGACTTGGAATAGCTTGATGGGTTATATCTATTTATTGCTGAATAATATTATACAATATATTTTTCTGTTCCATATTTAAGAATATATTGGTTGTTTCCAGTTTATTGTGATGATGTATAAAGCTGTTGTTAATATCTACATAAAGATTTGTGTGGGGACAATTTTTCAAATCACTGGTTAAGTAACTAGGATCACAATGGCCTGATTGTAAAATAAGCCTATGTTCAGCTTTGAAATAAACTGTCAAACCATTTCCAAAAGTGAATGTAGCAGTTTACATCCCCACCAGCAACAAACGGAGCACTAGTTGTTCTGAATCTACAGCAGTTGATATTGTTTAATTTATTTATTTTTACTTTAGCTATTCTAATAGGTGTGATGTTATACCTTACAGATTGAATTTGCATTTCAAATAGCAAATAATGTTGATCATCTTTTCATCTGTGTATCCTCTTACCTGAGGTGTCTATTTAGATCTTTTGCCTATTTTGTAATTGTGTCATTTGTTTAGTTTTAGGTGTTCTTTGTGTATTTTTTATTGTTTAGTTTTAGGTGTTCTTTGTGTATTTTAGATACAAGTCATTTTGAAAAAAAAAATGACTGTGTCTGGTTGAGGAGATTAACTCCTGGTTCAAAACCTATATGTGATTTTTTAGACCTGACCACAGGCAACTACAAAGGCTTTACCTGGCAGGACTCATGGGAATAAACTGCACTCCCACAGACCAGACTGGGTACACAGACAGTTCATTACAGTCTCTGAAGGGAGTTGCAGTTGAGAACTCAGGGCCTCTTGACTGGTCAGGCTCTTACGGTATTTAAATTCCTAGTGCCTTCATTCCTAGATCTCTTTATCTGAGGTCTAGGACAGAGAGATCTTCTTCAAGTATCTCTGCTGAGACCTCCTGGAGGAGAAAAAGGTGGGAAAACTTCAAGATATGCTTTTTTTCCCACTTTGACTCAGCACCCAGTAATTTGTCACTCCCAGCTCTTCCTCCTCATCCTGCCCCTGACACCAGGGTCTATAAAGCTGCCTGACTCTATTGTTTGCGGCTTCCTCAACAGGGAAATGATCCACCTCTCTGTGCAACAGAAACCCCTCCACCTGTGTGCCCTTCCATGGGAGGGATGAGACAGAGAGTTGGGGCTTCCTTTGGTTTTAGACTCCTGCTTATGCCATCACAGTATGTGAATAAAGGCTTAACTCCTTTATTTTTAACTTGTTGCTTTAATTGGATCCTCCAACACTTGCTTTAATTGGAGCCTCCTGATGCTAGGTTTTCCTTTCTCTTTACAGTGCATTTCAGGGAAACATAGTTATTAATTTCAACAAAGTCCAACTTATCAATTTTTTTTCTTTTTTTTTCTCTCAGGATTGTTCTTTTGGTGTTGCATTGAAAAACTTGTCACCAAAACCAAGGTCATATAGATTTTCCCTTATGTTTTATTTTATAAGTATTATAGTTTTACATTTTACATTTAGGTCTATGAGCCATTTTGAGACAATTATTAAGAATATAAAATGTGTTGGGTCTTTGCACAGGTATTTATTTTTCCTTTTTGCACATGGATATCCCATTGTTCCAGAAACATTTGTTATAGTCTATTCTTTCTTAATTAAATTGGCTTTCAATCATTGTCAAAAATTAATTGATTGTATTTTATTGGTTTATTGCTGGAAATCAATTTTGTCCAATTTACCTATGTTTCTATTCTTTTGTCAATAATATCCTGTTTTGATTCTTATAACTGTAATTAATGTAGAAATTGAGTAGTGTGAGTGCTCTTATATTTTTCAGCAATATTGCATAGCTATTCTAGGCATTTTGCCTTTCTATATAAATTTTAGAACCTTTTTATTAACATCAATAATAGTTTGCTGGGATTTTGATTACGATTGCATGAAATGCACAGACCAAGCTGGAAAGAAGTGACATTTTAATAATATTAAATCTTTCAATCCGTGAACATGGAATATTTCTCCATTTATTTAATTATTTGTTGATTTTTTTCACCATATTTTGTAGTTTTCTACAAACAGATTCTGGAGATATTCTATTAAATTATGTAAAGATTAGAACTTCCCTCTGCCTCTACTTTCTGGGAGATTTTGTAAAAATTGGTATTATTTTTCTTTAAATGTTTGTTAAAATTCTCTAGTAAAACCATATGTCTAGTGCTCTCTCTTTTAGAAAATTTGTAATTATTTAATTTGTTTAATATATTTTGAAATATTCAAGCATTATTTCTCCATTTTTCATTTTTGGTAGTCTTTTAAGAAATTGTTTCATTTTACCTAAGGCAGAAAATTGGTGCCTTTGAGATGTTTGTTGTATTTTTTATTTAAATTTTACTGCCCGACAGTTGGTAGTGATGGACCCCACTCACTCTGATGTTGTAATTTGGGTCATCTCTCTTTTTTTCTTGATTAGTCTGGATAGAGGTTTTTGAATCATATCAATCTTCTTAGAGAAAAAGCTTTAAATTTTTTTTTAATTTTAATTTTGATTTTTGTGAGTACATAGTTGATATATATATTTATGAGATACATGAGATGTTTTGATACATACATGCATTATGTAATCATCACATTATGGAGAATGGGGTATCCATCCCCTCAAGCATTTATCCTTTGTTTTAAAGAACAAGATTTTGGTTTCATTTTATTTGTTTTGTATTTCAATATTCTTGATATTTCTCTAATATTAATTTTAATTTTATTCTACTTTCTGACTGCCTAACTCAGTCTTTATTTTCTAGTTTCTTAGAGACTTGGGTTATTGATTGTAGATCTACCATATTTTCTAATATATTAATTTACTTCAATAAATTTTTCCTAAGCATTGTTTTTCCTACACCATACAAATTTTGATACATTTTATTTTTATTTTTTTTACCAGTTTATTGCTGTAGAAGCTCCTGTTCCAGGTAAGTAGATGTTGGCCATGACTCTCTGGAGTTATCTATCACCCCAGATATTGGATTAAAAGTTTGCCTTGCAAATTCAGTTCTCTGTTGGTCAAAGAAAATTAATTGATTTTAAGTTTTTCCAATTCATCTTGTTTTAAAGATAGAAGTCATGACTTCCAAGCTCTTTAAATGTCAGAGCTGAAACTAGAAGGCCACAATTATATATTTTAAGAACATAAAATGTCTCCCTTATTCCTATTACACAATAGGTTACAAATACCTGTCAGCTATGCTTTCTTCCTTCAGTAAACCTAAATTGGTGTACAACCACTGAGTTCCAGGTACTCAGCAAGGTGTCTAAGATTTACTAAAGACACAACTTGACCTTTGTTTTCCAGGAGACTTTAAAGCTTTTATTCACCTTTTACATTATACCAAGTAATTTTCACAGCTGCAGGGAAGTCACTCTTCATCTTTCCAATTAGAGTTGTTATACTCAAATGGTACTTGCATTTAGTATGTAATTTTATCATTTCACTCCGCTATAAATGACAGCTACCCAAGCTACCAGTTAACAATAGAAATAATATGCAGGAGCATCACACTAGAGAAAACTTCAACAAATAAGAGTTAGAGCACAAATAATTGAACGAGAAGCTTCTGAATTTTTAAAATATTATTCAACGTTATAGAAGTGTTTCTCTTTCATATTTACCTAAGCCCATTCTCTGAGTCATATGTCAGGCACTTAATAATAGTTTCTTGTCTCTGGTGCATCTGTAACTGAGTTCCTAATATAGAAGTTATCATCTGGTACAATTATACTACTGATTGCTATAAAGTTCACAGAAATTTCAGAAAGTCTCTTCAAAAATCCATTATCCTGTGTTGTGTGTTAGATTAATCCTAAGGACTGTATTTTATGTAGTGGATAAATTTGGATTTTATAATTAATAGTGACTTTTCCTATAATACATGAAGTGATATTAATGAATAGAATAGATAGTAAAAACAAGATGAAACAAAACAAAATGATAAGAACCTTTACATGTTCAGATTTAAAAAAAGCTTTAGAATTGATTTTGGAATGACATGGTCTACAAGACAGTTTGTTCCGCTGGCAAGTGAATTCAGTTCTATTTTTCCAAGAACTGAATTCAATTTTGAGTTAAATAGCCCATTTACCTGTGATTTCTCAGAACCTCTGAAACTGTCTCACGTTTTACATCTACACTTTCAACTAGAAAGAAAAGTTTTGATCTGAGGCAAACAAGATTCAGCTTTAAGTCCAGTTTTATTCCGCTATTTCCATAATTCAGAGGGAATTTAAGTTAAATCTTATAGTCAGACACTCTTTAGATAACTAGCTTAAGACATGCTCTCATTCTCTGAAGTTAGTTCCTTTCTGAAACACTTCTAGCATCATCATTCATATTTCCATTTTGTTGTTTTACAAATATATCACTTCTCGTAATATATTTTCTTGTGTATCTATGGAAAATTTTAGAAGACGGAAAGTATCTTTTATGATGATTTTGTTTAAATAAAGCCATTAAAGAGGTATTTTAAGTTAAGCTGTGGTTCATGCCCATCTTCTTTGGAAGAAGTTCAAATTATAGCTTTATTATTTAGTAAATGTGTGACCTTGACAACTCACTTAACCTATCATGTTTCAGTTTCTTCATCTGTAAACTAAAAAACTAACAATATACTGTTTAGCTACTAAACACAGTACTTATCAGGTTAAATGACTTAATATAAATAAAGTTATCTGAGGGTACTGGTTAAGAGCATGGATTTTTAAAAAGCTAAACCAAGAAAATAGCGCAAGATCTACTTTTAGGCAGAGATAGATTCCAAATCATATTAACTTTTCTACTTGTGCCTGTAGTAATTGTTTTTCCTCCTACTTAAAAAAAATAAGCCATTAAGCCATTTCTGATTTACATAAAATAGTGTCATTCTAGATTGATTTCTTTATTTTTCTCTTAGACACCAAAAACAATGACACCCATCATTGATTCTCTCAGGTCTTATAATGGAAATGGTCTCCTTTTGCCTCTGGTACAATGATATTTTCTTTACTTGTGTATCATATCACATCTGTTTCATTCAGTCTCTCTTTCTCATTCTCTTTCTCTTCCTCCCTCCTTTCTTCCTCTTCTCTTTCTCCTTTTCTTTCTCTCCTTGACCCTTAACTCTTTTTCTCCCCACTCAAGCTTCTTGAGTTGTCTATGCTTGTTTGCTATGTGTATTTTATTTCTTTCTTTCACCCTTCAACTGACTGTTGTCTGTTTGCATCCCAAAACACAAATTAATGTTGTCCTCCAAGATCTCCACTGACCTTTTCAATCTTTAAGCTACTTTAAATCTCTGCATTATTTTTCACTGTATGCCATTCATTTCATCCTAATATGTTTTCTAACGGGACAACAACCTTATCTAGTTAGCTTCAAAGTATTTGAGATTCCACTTCAAAGATGACAATTTCCTTACCTTTTCTATAAATAATCAAGATAATCCTTTCTAGTTCTCTCTTTCCTCCCGCATAGCCCACTCTCCTTGGGCAATGCTGAGAGGTGACAGCGTGCTGGCAGTCCTCACAGCCCTCACTCGCTCTTGGCGCCTCCTCTGCCTGGGCTTCCACTATGGGGGCACTTGAGGAGCCCTTCAGCCCACTGCTGTACTGTGGGAGTCCCTTCCTGGGCTGGCCAAGGCCAGAGCCGGCTCCCTCAGCTTGCAGGGAGGTGTGGAGGGAGAGGCGCCAGCGGGAACCGGTGCTGCGCGCGGCGCTTGCGGGCCAGCTGGAGTTCCGGGTGGGCGTGGGCTTGGCGGGCCCCGCACTGGGAGCAGCCGACCGGCCCTGCCGGCCCGGGAAATGAGGGGCTTAGCACCTGGGCCAGCGGCTGCGGAGGGTGTACTGGGTCCCCCAGCAGTGCCAGCCCACCGGCGCTGCGCTCGATTTCTCACAGGGCCTTAGCTGCCTTCCCGCGGGGCAGGGCTCGGGACCTGCAGCCCGCCATGCCTGAGCCTCCCACCCACTCCATGGGCTCCTGTGCGGCCCGAGCCTCCCTGATGAGCGCCACCCCCTGCTCCACGGCGCCCAGTCCCATCGACCACCCAAGAGCTGAGGAGTGCGGGCGCCCGGCGCCGGACTGGTAGGCAGCTCCACCTGCAGCCCTGGTGCGGGATCCACTGGGTGAAGCCAGCTGGGATCCTGAGTCTGGTGGGGACGTGGAGAACCTTTATGTCTAGCTCAGGGATTGTAAATACACCAATTGGCACTCTGTATCTAGCTCAAGGTTTGTAAACACACCAATCAGCACCCTGTGTCTAGCTCAGGGTTTGTGAATGCACCAATCCACACTCTGTATCTAGCTTCTCTGGTGGGGCCTTGGAGAACCTTTGTGTCCATACTCTGTATCTAACTAATCTGATGGGGACGTGGAGAACCTTTGTATCTAGCTCAGGGATTGTAAACGCACCAATCAGTGCCCTGTCAAAACAGACCACTGGGCTCTACCAATCAGCAGGACGTGGGTGGGGGCCAGATAAGAGAATAAAAGCAGGCTGCCCCAACCCGCAGTGGCAACCCGCTCGAGTCCCCTTCCACACTGTGGAAGCTTTGTTCTTTCGCTGTTTGCAGTAAATCTTGCTACTGCTCACTCTTTGGGACCACACTGCTTTTATGAGCTGTAACACTCACCGCGAAGGTCTGCAGCTTCACTCCTGAAGCCAGCGAGATCACGAGCCCATTGGGAGGAACGAACAACTCCAGACGCGCTGCCTTAAGAGCTGTAACGCTCATTGCGAAGGTCTGCAGCCTCACTCCTTAGCCAGCGAGACCACGAACCCACCAGAAGAAACTCCGAACACATTGGAACATCGGAAGGAACAAACTCCAGACGCGCCACCTTAAGAGCTGTAACACTCACCGCCAGGGTCCGTGGCTTCATTCTCTAAGTCAGTAAGACCAAAAACCCACCAATTCTGGACACAATGCTACCTACATCTATAGCTTTAATTATTCCCATATCTATATCTCCATGACTTCTCACTCTCTCTTAAGTTTGAGAGCCATGTATCCAGCTGTCTTTGGTGTTTTATTTTTTCTAGATGCTTAGCAGTTCCATTGTGCTCCAACAATTTTGGCTGCTCATTTTAGGACAAATAATTAGGGAAAGAACTTTAATTTGGGGCACCAGCAACTTAATTATACTTCCCAAAATATAGATAAAATATATGCCTCCTGACAAAGTGACTATCTGTTAAAATACTTGTGCACTACAAGATGAAGCTTGATACTATAGCATGGTGTATAAGATACTCCGTGACATAACCCCTGCTTGTAAATCTCGGCAATCCTTCTTAAATTTAGGCCCTCTGTGAATATGGTTAAATGTAAAAAACTGCCGATACTCTGCCTTTTTCCAAGTTAATCTTTAAACTTAAAGTGTCTTATGAGATCATTTGTAGTCTCACTGCTTGAAACTACTCTAAAATAGAGTAAGTAGTGAATTTTTTTCTAAGTCATTAGCTATTCTAGGTTTCCAAAATTATGCCATTAATGGCTCAACCATTAAAATATTCAATATTTTTGATATTTAGAAACATAGGTGAATAGTGTATTTATCTTGTAGTCTTAACTTAGTGACAGTAAATAATTATATGTCAACTGTGGCATTATTTGGCAACTGTTTATAAACAAAACTGAGCTTCAGTTACAATATAAACTTGGATTTTTACTTCTATTTTGTAGATTCCACATTTTCTGTCTTTTCAGACTACTAGTTACAATGACTGACTTATTTATAATTTGATCTGGTGTCCAGATGTGCAAACTTTCTTAAACCAAATGTTACTTTTATTTTCATCAGTTTGTTTTCATTATATGAGAAAGCATATTAGAGTGGCTATTAAAGATCTAATGTATTCCATTTACTGTGACTTTTTTTTCAACCCAAATGCTGTTTTGTTATGTATTATTTAGTCAAGGCCTTAAATGTAATATATTTTATCTTTTTTTAACTTTTATTTTAAGTTTGGGCATACAAATGCAGGTTTGTTACATAGGTAAACTTTGGTCATGAGTTTGTTTTACAGATTATTTCATCAAACGGGTATTAAACTTAGTATGCATTAGTTATTTTTCTTGACGCTCTTCCCACCCTCCACCCTCCAAACAGCTTCAGTGTGCATTGTTGCCCTCTGTGTATCTATGTGTCTCAACATTTAGCTCCCAATTTGAGTGAGAACACGTGGTAATTGGTTGTCTGTTCCTGTGTTAGTTTGTTAGAGATAATGGTCTCCAGCTCTATCCATGTTCCTGCAAAGAACATGATCTCATTTTTCTTAATTACTGTGTAGTATTACACGGCATGTATGTACCACATTTTCTTTAGCCAGTCTATCATTGATGGACATTTAAGTTGATTCTATGTATTTGCTATTGTCAAAAGTGCTTCAATGAACGTGCGCATGCGTGTATCTTTATAATAGAATGATTCATATTCCTTTGGGTACATACCAGGCAATGGAGTTGCTGGGTTAAATAGTATTTCTGTATTTAGGTTTTTGAGGAATCACCACAGTGTCTTCCACAATGGCTGACTGGCAGGGATGAATCTCTTAAGTGGAAATATTTATAGCAAAGAAAAAAATAAAGAAATACATACCTGTACTCTAAGAGGAATTTATTGGTGAGAAAAAACGGTAAGATAGTTACAAAAAAAATCTATATGGAAATCACAAAAAGAAGACAATAAAAAGAAAAATGGTAAGTGACTTTTCAGGATTTTGATATATGTGTTTGGCCTGCTAATTATAACAAGGCTTATATTTCTTCAATGATTATTCTCATAATTATTCTTATATCTCTGAAATGGTAAGTAAAACATGGTGGGTAAAAACAAGAAAACAAAACAAAAGAAAAATAAAGCTTATAGATTTGGTGTTATGTATACCAGGTTTGAATCCTGGTTCTATTTTTTATTGATCATAGGGTTGTGGCTAGGATACTTAACATCTCTTAGCTTCATTTCCCTCATTAATAAAATAAAACTAAAATAATATTTTAGGGCTAATATAAAAATAAAATGAGGTTATATAAGTAAAGGACTAGGAGCATTGTCAATTTTAATTACCTGTTAATTCTCTTCCCATCTGTAGTAATAAAAATATGATTACCTTTTTTCTTAATTAATACTTAGGAAATGTGTTCTACTTTTTTCTCTGAATTTTGAACATATTCGTATGGAATCCTAAAAGGAAGTTGAAATGTTATGTCCTTGTAGTATGTATGTAATTGTTGTAAAGTGATTCTTTTAAATTAATAATGCACAACTTTTAAGCTTTTCTTTTTAAACTTTGGTAGTTGTTAATCATTAGAGGTAGGTTGGAGTTAATCATATTTTCAAAATGGCAAAATTAAGTCAAACCTGGCTTATAAAATCCAGATTGTATGTCCACTGGATTTACAGAATTATCAGATGGATAATAGATTGATCTTAATTCTGCCCTTTAAATTAAATGCCAGAGTATTATAAACCTGGGAGAATGACATTTGGGAACCAGAGTTGTATCCTCTGATCGTCTTTCATAATAAAAGTCTTCAAAATTGTAAGGAATAATCCTAGCACTTTGGGAGGCCAAGGCAGGTGGATGGCTTCAGCCTAGGAGTTCGAGACCAGTTGGACAACATGCAAAAATGCATGTCTCTACAAAATTGCAAAAATTAGCCGGCCATGGTGGCATGTGCCTGTAGTCCCAGCTACTCCGGGGGCTGAGGGACGAGTATTGCTTGAATCTTGGAGGTTGAGGCTGCAGTTATCCATAATTGACTGAGCCACTGCACTCTAGCCTGGGTGACAGAGCAATAATTTGCCTCAAAAAAAAAAAAATGCAACAAAAAGAGTGCCAAAGATAAGATGTTATCTCATGGAAATAGCATGGAATAGGATGATCTACATGAGTTGATTCACTAGTTGTATTTATTAAAAATAACTGCTTCGTATAAACTAATACTACCTAATATTATTGATAGTTTACTTATGTCAGACATTATTCCTTGACCTTTTACATATAGTATTCATTCCTCAAAATAATCTCATAAATTACATACTATAATTATTATTTAATGAAGATAAAACCACTGAGGCAGAGAGCTTTTAAGTAACTTGCCTAAAGTCTAACAGTTAAAGAATTGATAATGTAGAATTAAAACCTAGGCATGTGGCCCTGGAGGCCATATTCTCCAATGCTACAATACAATTGATTATGTCATAGTGTGTCTATGGGGCTGACTTAATGGACCTATGACCTGTCCAGTTGCACAGGGCACCATGCTTACATGGATCTGCTCTTGGTTTAATGTTGTGCTGCTGACATTTTGGAATTTTTAATAATTTGCAAAAAAAGACCCCACATTTTCATATTGAATTGAACCCCACAAATTATGTGGCCAAATCTGTGTATGACTCTCTTGGCCATGAAATAATACACTTCATAGGTAGAGATGATATGAGGAAGCTCCTCTCACTGACAATTATTACAATGTGTAATTTAAACCAGTGGGAGAAAAATGAAACTATCACTAAATAAGATATTAATTACACTCTTTATATAGCAAATAATGAATTGTTATTTATAACAAATAAACATAAGCCAACTAGTCTCACAACTTCCTTATGAATATAAGCCTAAGAATATAATTACTTGTCTTCATGCTTACCATAAAAGGGAATATTCAATAAATCCTAATATATTGGGAGTTTCAAACATACTTCTGTTGCCAAAATATTATTGGAGGAATGAGAGTCTGTTGTTGAAAACTTAGAAAATAAAAAGACATGGTGCTTAACAGTGAAATATCAAATTAAATCTAGTAAATATGTTATTATTCTCACCTGTTAATATTAACAGCAAAGTAATTTTAATGTTTTCAAGAGCTGAAAAAAGATACCATGAATTGTGTATTACCATAAAAATTTGAGGTAATATTACAAAACCTAGTTTTTTATATATGCATAAAAATAGTTTTCACTGATTAGTAATTTAATTTTTTAAATAAATGCCTGAAATTTAAAACAGCATTATTGTAAAATTATAAATGGTTCTTTTTTTGCTGAGTAAAACAAATGAGCAACATTCAATTCTTGTTACAAAAGTGCTATATTTCTGAGTACATTTATGAGAGAGATTTCTGGATTTAATTTTCCTCATCTACGCCATGTAGCTTAGCAATAGTGTCATTTGGGATAAACATATTTTCTTTACAAACAAGCTAATGAAGAGTTTATGGATGGATAATCTACATAAGTTTTGTTTCTGCCACGTTGTATTTATTGAAGTTTTATTTGATAACACATGATATGTTTATGTATGATCACTTGGATTTTATCGTTTGAGGTAAATTGCCTTATATCATATTGAGTTCCAATTTATCAAAGTAAAAAGTGACTTCCAATAATCATAACTCTGAAATCTATTAAAAAAATATTTGGCATATGCAATTACTCATTTCAGACATTCTTTTACATTTGAATCTAAAATTCATGTACAAAATTTTATAAAATAAACCAGAGTAACATTCTATAAATATTCAACATCTGCTATTTTAAAAAGCCTGAACTTATTTCACTAATTGTTATGTGGTGATGTTGAAAATAACTGAAAAATCAAACAGCTTCTTCCAGGATGTGCAGTGTAGCCAATATAAAGCCTGTCCAACAACAGCAAGAAACAAAAGTAGATATAAATCACTGAATTAAATCTTATTACAGTCTAAGTGCTTCTCCTCTAATGATACTCACATAATTCTTATTGTGTAATTCAAAAATATTAGAATAATTAAAATGATGTAGAATGCCACATCTCTTGGAAGCATTAGATTATTGTTAATTCTGACAGATTTCTATAATCCAAGTCACAGTCTTCTTTTCAGACTGTATGATTAACTTACTTATGACTTATTCCTAATGTAAACAATATCTCCATGGAGAAAACTATTACTATTTAATGGCAATTTTAAAAAGCATTAAATTTGTTCATATTGTCAGATAATGAACAATATAACAGTGTATATTAAGCACCAATCCTATGTATACTACTTTGGTAAAACTAAAAGGACCAGAAAGAAAAAACATAACTATATTGCAATTTAGATGATATTAAAAGTCATAAGTAAAAAGAAAAGCAAAATCTTATAACAGACATTGAACAAAATAGGCTTTCATTACTATGGAACACAAAAGAGGAAGGAAAGTGTTGATATGAAATATCTGTGTCTAGATACTGGCTTCTTGATGATTTTTTTTATCTTTTATTCCTTATCGTATTCATTCCTTTAGTTATTTAAATATCCAGCAAGGGTTTTTGGACATCTTTGAGTAGAGAATACTTAAGTAATTACATAATATGGATCTGAAGATATGAGCTTTATGATTAATTCCTATAAATAAGTTATGAAGTTCCTGTTACAGTGGTCATAAATATAGGTAAGAATCCATTATGTATCTGGGTGGGAGTACAGAATGGAGAGCTGAGGATTGTCTCTGATTACATATGAAACTTCCACTAACTATGAAGTTATCGGTCAGTGTTTTCTGGGGAAAGCACTTCAACATAGGCAAAGTCTTTCTAACCTAAAGAAATTTAAATATAGGGAATAAAGTAAATCAAAACAACATTTTGATATTTTGTGTATTTTGTGTTTCTTTTTTTACCTGCAATGTATGAAATGTGTTTCCTTTGTTTTGATTTCTTGGGCAGACTGAAGGGTAAAATATCCTTGCTGAAATATATCACTGCCAAACAAATTCACTAAATCCAGCTACAGGAGATGCATAGGGTTTTGACTGACACAGATTCATCTGATTCCTTCCACCTTGAAGTCTCTGATGAAGTAGCAAGGCAAAAATGTTCAATCTTTCTCCCATCTTCTTCGGATTCATTAACATATCATATCCTTGAAGTAATTGCTGACTCATTGATGTCTCATTTGATTTATCTAAAAGAATCTTCAGCTGGACATCGATACCCATATTTTAAAAAAATGTGGGTTGTTTTATTGGGCCCAGAGAGCTACTTTTCCCTGTGCCATTCTTTGCAAATAACTGAAATCCACATCAGCTTTTAGATCCGCTGTTCCTGGGGGCAATTAAGACATCATGAAACTTGTGGCCACAAAACCCTCTGAAGGTCTCTGTCTTTGTTCCATCATGACCATAATCAGCAACCTCTGCAGCACCTCCAGTTAGTGCAATGCATTGAGAAAGTTCCTCAGTGATAACACCAGCCTCAGGAAACACTTCAACTTGATTGCTTGTTTAATCTAGTGACTTCAGCCATTGCGACAATCTACTGTAATTGTGATTCGAATTAAAATTTTAATTAAGTGAATAAAATGGAGCTACTTATTTCACAAATATATAATGTTATTGCAGTATTTAAGACTATAAGGGCCCCTTATATTGATAAAGTTAATACTTACTTGGGAAGGTTTTGGTAGTAAGGCAATTAAGGCATATTTAATAGAAATATTAGCTGGGCATGATGGTATGTATCTGTAGCCTGAGCTACTCCGGAGGGAAAGTTGGGAGACTGACCGAGCCCAGGAGTTTGAGGCTGCAGTGAGCTGTGATCAGGCACCTGCACTCCATTTCAGTTAAAATATGCTGAAATTTATAAATTAAAATAATTTATAAGTTAATACCAAACATTTGGAAAAAAATTCACTTTTAAAAGTTGTAATGTTAAATCAAAGATTAATATTTAAAAGAAATTATGAAGTAATTTTTAGCATGCAAAGAAATGTTGCTCTCCAAAACACCTGTAAGTTCATATTTACATACAGTCCTGCTCCATGTGTGGTATGGATAGCATAAACTTGACTTTCTTCTCCATCTATGCTTTTACTATTCTCCTCACCAAGAATTCCCCAATTAATACTCTATTTCCACCTATTGAAATAATAGTCAAATTTAAAGGACTGAGCCTAAATTTCATTATTCTATAATATTTTCCAGATCCCTCCTTTTAAAATAAGTTATCTTTTTTGTATTTTTTACTGATTTTTCCCAATGATACACTTTGCTTAATCATAACACAAGTAATAAAATATTACATTAATTTACTTTAAATATTTGCAAATATCTGTCCCTTTCTCTATATTGCAGACTCCTGATATTAAAGGGACTGTTATAAATTTGCTTTCAATAGACAACCATTGGATTATAATATCAAAATCAGCAGCCATGCCTAGCCAGCCTATAAATGAATACTTAGCTTTGACTGTAAAAACAATATAGTACGTTAGATGAGAAAAAAGTTACCAATACTAGATAAATTCAATTCAAACTCCACATTTCAATACTTACAAGTCTGTTTTACATAATTTCTATTACAAAACAGTTATTTGCTGACTCATTGGGATCCTTTTGGACAAAAGTTGATTCAGTAAATTTCATGTCATCAATAACATTGAGTTGAGAAAAAAAATCAATGAATAACTGTACAGTTCATCAAGTGAACAGTCAATAAATTGAACTTTGTATTTTCCACAAGTTCTATTTTAAGGCATTTGATTTAAAACCCAGATTTTTTGTCAGTTCATTGAATAAAAGTTGGTAACATGAATAACAGGTATTAAAGCTAATAATATAGCTCTATGAAAATAAAGCTCAAATACAGCCGATTACATGTTATAATTAAAATGTGCATTTAAAAGGTGACTTTATAATAAAATGTATTGTACATGTTAGAGTATTAAAAAATCTAAATATTTTGGATTAAAACATTCCACTGTTTTTTTTTTGTTTTGTTTTTGTTTTTGTTTTTGTTTTTTTTTTGAGATAGAGTCTCACCCTGTAGCCCAGGCTGGAGTGCAGTGGCTCATTCTCGGCTCACTGCAAGCTCTGCCTCCCGGGTTCACGCCATTCTCCTGCCTCAGTTTCCCGAGTAGCTGGGACTACAGGCGCCCGCCCCCACACCCGGCTAATTTTTTGTTTTTTGGTAGAGACGGGGTTTCACTGTGTTAGCCAGGATGGTCTCGATCTCCTGACCTCGTGATCCACCCGCCTCAGCCTCCCAAAGTGCTGGGATTACAGGTGTGAGCCACCACGCCCGGCCACATTCCACTCTGTTTTTGAAAAGCAGTTTTGAAGAGCAGAGCAGATTCAGTTACATGACCAAAGGTAGCCCAGCCTACAGGATTTTATAAATTTCAAAATCTTATATGACAAGAGCAGTTGAATAACTTCATATTCTTGGAAAATATTGACATAATGTACCTTTTTTATTGTAATTCTCTTGCCATTAAAATTACAATGACGTTTTCTTTCTACATTTTTGTCTTCAATACAGCAGCCTGCCATATTGCTGAAGGTTTGTGAGACACAGCCTAGAAGTTTGTTATCAATCCTCATTGGTTGAGGCTCCTCCTGCTGTAGTTGAAGACTGTCTACTGCTAAAAGGAGAGAATATACTAGAAAGAAATAAAATTACTTGATGTATTTAATTTTTTCTGTTACTTCCTGTCCATTTGTTACTTCCTGTCCCTTTGTCACCGGAAGACATTCTGTATTTTCGTCCTGAGGCATCAAGTGCATTGAGAACAACAGAATGTAGACATTTGTGTGCTTCAACAAACAATGGAGTAAGAAGTAAATGAAAAGTTTTATGTAATAGAGATGTTGACAGATTCCATTTCATCTAGTGAACATATCCAGTATTTACAATCTTACCCCACACATATCATGCAGACTACCTGACTGTATGTTTTGCTTCTAGATCAAGACCTATTGTCCACTCTAAAACATCATGCACACATATGAAATCCCGATTGTCTACATTTATGGAACACAGTTTAAAATACTTCAGAAATATTAAAATGATAAATGTCAGCAAAATACAAGTTCATTTGAGATTCAACATGCATTCAACTCTTTATTTAGCTAGGAGTTATTTAATACCACATGCTGGCTACAGTGTTAGGGTCTGAAGTACATAGCTTAATAGGGTTAAACTTTGATATAGGAAGCAAAAAGCTATTCAATTATAAAACAGTGTTTACATACTTATAGGAAAATGCTTACAAAAATTATATGAAAGCACAATGAAGTGATCTATTTTAATAGTTCTACACTAGAAAAACAGGAATTAGTGGTTTAGAGAAGGATTTTTTGTTCAGGTTAGATTTGGAGAGGTCTTTCCAGAGTTAGTAAATACTTTCAGAAGGAGAAGAGAAAAAGCACATTTCAGAAAATAATTAATGACGTGAGCCATATCAAAGAGATATAACAGAGCATGGTTTATTTAAGAAACTATTCATGGTCCAGAATGGTAATGGTGTAGGATGGTTGTATTGAAAAAAAAAAAGTAGTCTATACAACAATCAAGTTAGCTTTTACCGTATTTTTAAAAACGATGTTAAGTAATTTTGAGTGATGTGGGTCACATTCTGCAGGGAATGGCTAATCATAAAAGTAAGCCAAAAACTATTTGGGGCAGGCATTTTTAAAACTTTAAATTAATTACCCTAACAACATCTTTCTAGAAAGCAACTGTGCCTGAAGTGCACTTAGGGCCAAGAAACAAGCAAGTATCTGCAATTTTATTAAAGTGTTGTTTGCCAGTCTTTCCTCAGAAAACAATAAGAGATTTGAGAAGAAAAGAAAAATAATCATTTATGTAGTTTTTGGCTCAGGTTTCAATAAAGAGACAAGGACAGATGATATATTAAGTCAAGAGCTTTCTTGATCTTGACCAGCGAATGAACAGAAAAGTAAGAGCTTCTCCCAAAATTCTCAGATGGATTGCCTCTGAAGCGCCTCCATTTGGGTTCAGTTTCTCATCTTTGGTTATTTCCTTTGATTAAGCATAAAGTGATGTGTGAAATAATTAGGAGAAGCCTGGATTGGCAGAATAGTTAATGCATCTTCATCTAAGATAAACACCTCTTCTCTTTCATCTCTCTATAGGTATTCTTGATTCATCTTTTTATTAGATTTCTTTTGAAGCAGTAAGGCTTTACCTCATATTGCAGGATTTCCTTCACCGTTATCTTTAATCTGCAAGTTAACATTTGAACCATCAACAAAATATATCACTATGATAAACCAAATAACAAGTAACCTTTATTACTTTGATATTTTGAAGTTCAACAAACCATAATCTTAAGGAGTATGTTTGGAGCGTGTCTGAAATAAAAGTGACATCATTGCAAAGTGTTATAGTTAAAAACAAGCAATCCAAAGTGAAACTAGGGCAATCTCAATTTCCTATAAGCCACGCTAGGCAGGTGAGATTTCTGCTTTGTTAAAAAGAGTGGAAGTGTAGAGCATAGATTAGAAATAGAAGCAATCCAGGACCAAAAACATCAGTTAGCTGAATTTGGAGACAATAAAGACAAGTGTTAAAGTGATCTGAGCTGGGGGCTAGAGGCTATTCATTAAAAAGATGAAACTATTTTCATTTCTACATTCATTTTTAACCATGACACTCACTTTGAAATATAATTTGCAATGACTCTATAAAGAGAGAACAAAAAGCATAAAGCACTGTGAGGAGGTGGAAATAAATAACTCTTATTAAAAACAAAACAAGGAAGTCAAAGCAAAAAAAAAAGTCCATAAAAAGTTTAGATACAGTTTGAAATAGAGCTTACCAATTAGCTTCACTACATGACTAAATTTATTTAAAAAGAAAAGTGAAAAGAAAAACAAATGTGGAAATGAAACACACCCATTTTGATGCCTTGAACTGATAAACGATAGTGGATGCATACCCACACACGCACACCCACAGAGAACTAAGCACTGAGAACATTAAATTTAGCTTATCTTAAATAAAATACTATATTCAACTCATTAATCTTTCTTTCTTGGTAATAGAGTTGTGATTTATAATTGTGACTATTATGGCACAGATTCATTTGAAAATACTCTATTATAATATTTAATATTTTGCCATTTCCTCTAGAGCTAAATTTCATTTATGCTAAACTGAAATAAAATCTGGAATAATTTGAAAATCAGTGGCATAGGCATGAAGACAGTAAAAATTGGCTACATAAATTTTTAGGGGCAGGTATGCTTTACAAGATCTCAGGTAAATTAGGGTCAAATATAGAAAACATGATTTGTATTAAGTAAGAATATAATTAAAAACTCCAAAGCAAAGTAATTGCAGTATTTTTCACAAACACCTACTTTTTAATATTTTATGTATAACATAATATTAGAAAAACACAATCAATAGGAAACAAGATTGTTTAACTTGACTGGATTTTCTTCTCACTTTCCCACATGTAGTATTTTGTAAACATATTTTAGAGTTAGGGAGCATAAAGAAGGTGGACATTTGATTTTTTATTAGAATGTATAATAAAATCTTGAGATAAAATTATCCATGATGTTTCGACATATCTTGTATTAGCTTTTGTTCCAGACTATCTTTCCAAGAAAGTTTATACAGCAAATGACGTTGAAAAACAGTGATCCCCCCAGGGACAGAGGACAGATCTGTGTCTTGACTTGAAAAAATAAAGATAACATCTCCTTCTGAGATAAAGTTTTGGCAAGCTTGCCAGTAATCCCCTTAGAAGACTGAAAGTTCTATAAACTCATTGTGTGTACCATCTACCTGGGCTGCTCCACACAGCTCCCATGGGATATGGGAGAGCAACAGAAACCAACTGAAACACAAAGCTGATGTTGCCTGCTATGCCTTGAGTTACTAGAAATTTTTTTTGTTTTTGATCTAGGAATTTCATGTATTTTACCAGCATCTGTGATACTGTGGGGTATGTTGTAAACTTGCAAGTACAATAAAAATTTCAGACCCTTCACAATTCTTAACATAAAAATGCTCAAATTTTCAATGAGAAATAAATTTTTAAATTTATTATTCTGATGAGGAAACTGAGGAAAGCACTGGTTAATTTATTTTATTTTATTTTTTGGAGATGGATTCTCGCTTTGTTCCACTGGCTGGAGTGCAGTGGTGCAATTACCTGCACATAAACAGTCAATTAACACGTTTTGTATGTTATATGTACTATCTACTGTATTCTTACAATAAAATTATCTAGAAAAAAGAAACTTATTTTAAAAATTATTGAAAAAAGAAAACCTGTTTACTATTCATTAAGTGGAAGTAGATCATCAAAAAGATCTTCATCCTTGAGTTCATGTCCTTTGTAGGGACATGGATGAAGCTGGAAACCATCATTCTGAGCAAACTATCTCAAGGACAGAAAACCAAACACCGCATGTTGTCACTCATAGGTGAGAATTGAACAATGAGAACACATGGACACAGAGTGGGGAACATCACACACCGGGGCCTGCCAGAGGGTGGGGGGAAGGGGGGAGGGTTAGCATTAGGAGATATTCCTAATGTAAATGACGAGTTAATGGGTGCAGCACACCAACATGGCACATGTATACATATGTAACAAACCTGCACATTGTGCACATGTACCCTAGAACTTAAAGTAAAAAAAAAAAAAAAAAAAGATCTTCATCCTTGTCCTCACATTGAGTAGTCTGAACAGGAGGAAAAAAAGAGCTGTTGGTTTTGCTATCTCAGGTGTGTCAAAGTCAGAAGAGATGGAGGAGATGAAAGGGGAAGCAAGAGAGTCAGGCACACTCAGTGTAGTTTTACACTAAATTGTACATTGTAACTTCTGACTTTTTGCTTCTTCATTTCTCTAAAAATATTTCTGTGTGTCACCAGTCCTTCTTCCACCATTTTCTTTTGTTTAAGTGCCCAAATCATGAGAGGCCTGTGTCATAAAAGAAGTCAAAAGCAGTCTTGAATAATTGGCAAACTTCTGCAAGATTGTCTAACATCAAATTCTTTTCTGACATTGCTTCTTCCCCATCTTCCTTATCATCTGGCACTGGTTCAGAGCACTTATCTCCATCAAGTCGTCTTCTGTAAATTCCTCTTGCTTGGTGTCTATTATCTCTAGAATTTCTCCAAGATCCATAACTTGAAACCCTCAAACCCCCACCTTTTTCGCCATATCCCCAATTTTTTTCATGATTTCCTTGGTGGGCTCTGTTGTAATTCCTGTGAGGTCATGCACAGCATCTGGACAGTTTTCTCCAGCAGGAATTTATTGTTTCAGATTTGATGGTTTTCACGGCTTTTTCCCTAACAATGATGGCATCTTCAGTGGTGTAATCCTTCCAGACTTTCACGATGTTATCTGTACAGGGGTTCTCATCTATAGCATTGGTAATCCTTTCCATAGAGTATCATGTGTAATGAGCCTTAAAGGTCTTTATGATCCCCTGATCTAGAGGGTGAATTTGATACATTGTGCTTGAAGGCAGTTGGACCACTTGACACCTTCTGTGTTGAACCCATGGGGTTTTAGGTGGCCAGGTTCATTGTCCAATATTAAAATAGCTTCAAAATGCAATCCCTTACTGGGAAGGGACTTCCTGACTTTAGGAACAAAGCATCAATCCATTCCATTTCAATGCAAACAATCCAGAATGAGAGTTCTCACTGTCCAGGCCTTCTTGTTGTACAACCAAAAGACTGGCAGTTGGTATTTATCTTTTCCCTTCAAGGCAGCTTTATAGATAAGCCTTGACCTTAAACCCAACTGAATTTGAACAAAAGTTTAAACTATCTCTTCCTGCCTTAAATCATGGTGCTTTCCGTTCTTTGCTAACAAATGTCCAGGTTTTTTTTAACAGTATAGTGCACTTTCATCTGCATTATGAATCTGTTTATGCAGGTACCATTTCTTTTCAATGATTTTCTTAATGTTGTCTGGGAACTAGTCTGCTCCGTTGGTCAGCAGGAGCTATTTCTGCTGTTATCCTGACATTTTAAAAGCCAAAACTCTTTCTGTAATAAAATTATTAAACCATCCTTTGCTGGCATTACATTTTTCAGCTTATATTCTTCACATTCACTTTTTCTCAAATCATATTACAGTCTATAGGTATGCTTGTCTTATAGTAGTCTTACACCCACATAAAAGCTGTATTTTGAATACAAGATAAAAAAGTATTTCACAAAAAGTGCAAAGTTTTTACACCTGCTGGTGTAGCTGCAGTGACAGCATCAAAGGTTTTTTTTTTTCTTATTTTATAGTGGGTCTTATGCTGGATTCTTTTATCACAAAATGGCTGTCAAATGTGGCTCCAAGACCTCAATCTATAGTACATATCAAGCAGTTAAACTTTTTCATATAATGTGATGATTTTTCCACTTGGGAGCACTTCCAGCATCACTAGTGGCACTTTGGATGGGCCTTATGGTGTTATTCAAGGTTTATGATATTGCACTAAACATAAAAAATATGTAAGAACTGTGGAGATCACGTTTTATTTTGATATACAATTTACTGAAGAGATGAACTACTCAAGGAGAGATGATTAGTGTCACAAGGCATTTTAAACAGATACTCATAACAGGCACTCACAGCAATAGCAACACAAAGTAGCTACAAAATTATTACAGCAGTACAGTATGCACTACAGTTAATTTTATGCAGTTACAATTTAAACCTGCATCTTTACACTTGTTACATTTTTATTAACCTGGAATTTTGCAATGTATCATCTATAAGTGTTTGTGTGTGTATCTTTTTATAAATTTTAACCTTTTATAATAGATTTATACATATTTTATAATAAATGATAATATAGATTATTATCAACATATATTTTATGCATTTGTAAAATATCTGGGTTTTTCTAAACTTTTGCAATATTTCTAGGCTATGTGGTTTTTCTGTAAGTTTTTTCAAATTGTTCCAATTCTCCCTTTTTTCAATATGTTTATTGAAAAAAATTAACATATAAATGGACCTATGCAAATCAAACCTGTGTTATTCAAAGGTCGACTATATAAGTTACATTTTATAATATATAACATGAAAAGTATATTATACATAAAGTAATTAAATGTAGTATATAATATATAAAAATAATAAAAGATAAACTAAAAGTAGTAAATAAGTGTTATTAATATAAGATATAAATATTAAAAAGTCATGTATTTCATATATATATAGTATCCTCTCTTTTTTATATGAAAAGTAGTAGCATGCCACGTTGGATTTTCATATATTGACTGATTTGCAGCTTGCTTCTTTTTTTTTTTTTTTTTTTGGGTTTTTGAGACACAGTCTTGCTCTGTCACCCAGGCTGGAGTACAGTCGCTGGTCTCGGCTCACTGCAAAGTCCGCCTGCCAAGTTCAAGCAATTCTTCTGTCTCAGCCTCCCAAGTAGCTGGTATAACAGGTGCACGCCACCACACCCAGCTAATTTTTTGTATTTTTAGTAGTGATGGAGCTTCTCCATGTTGGCCAGGCTGGGCTTCAATTCCTGAGCACAAGTGATCCACTTGCCTTGGCCTCCTAAAGTGCTGGGATTACAGGTGTGAGCCACCATGCCTGGACAAGCTTGCTTTTTGGTACTTGATATATCCTGGATGTATTTCAAAAAAATATATATAGTCATTTCCTTCTTTCCATTTGTAGTCCCATACATACTTAACTGTGTAGACACAGCATACTTTACTCAGTCACCAACTAATTTAAAAAATATTTTCAAACTTTGTATTATTTTAAGTAATGCTAAAATTATAAAGCTAATACATAATTTATTTTATATTTTTCACTTGTTTCTTGACATTTAAATGTTAAGTCAAAGTGGATATTCATGGGTAAATTTGCTAGATAGTACTAATTTTCTTTACAATTCCTACAATGAATATTGTGGGGAACACCGGATTGCTTGCTTCCCTCAGCCTCTGCAGCAATGCATGTTGCCAAACTTTTGCACTTTCTCTAATCTAATCACTAGGAAGTAGTTTATCACTGTTGTCACATTTTGATTTTTCTGTGAGAGGCTGAATATCTCTTTTTATTTTGTAATATTTGTTTCTCCCTTTTGTGAAGTGTCTCTTCAGATCTATAGTCTGTTTAGACTGCCGTAACAAATCATCACAGGCTGCTGGATGGTTGAACAAACAGAAAAGCATCTTTTTACAGTTTTGGAGGCTAGGAAGACCAAGATCAAGGTGCCAGATGATTCAGTTTCTGGAGTGAGCTCTGTTCCTGGCTTGTAGACAAACTGTCATCTCACTATCTCCTCACATGCACCACTGAGAGACAGAGACAGGGAAAAGGAAAGGGAAAGAGAGAGAGTGAGAAAGAGAAAGAGATAGCTCTCTTTTCTTATAGGGACACAAATCCTATTGAATCAGAATTCCACCTTTCTGATCTCCCTTTATCGTAATTACCTCCATAAAGAACTTATTTCCAAATTCAGCCACTCTGGAGATTGTGGCCTGAACATATGAATTTGGAGATGAGGGGTGGCACAAACATTCAGTCTATAGCAGTTTCTCTTTTTTTCATTCAGTCGTTGATCCCTCAGAAATTTTAGGAGTAGTTTATGGCCCTTTTCTGTGACAAATGAGGAAATTATTTATTTCCACTTTGTAAATTTTATTTTACTTTGTTACACTCAGTACTATGAAACAATGAATTTCATATGCATTTATTTTTAATATTACTATTGTTTCTTTAAATGCTTTTTGAATTTATGTCATAGTTAATATTTTTCTCACTCTAAGATTATAATAAAAACTTTCCAAGTGCTTATAAAATTTTTCTTCTGTATTAGTCCATTCTTGCACTGATATAAGGACATACCTGAGACTGTGTAATTTATAAAGAAAAGAGATTTAATTGGCACATCGTTCTGTGTGCTGTACAGGAAGCATAGTGACTTCTGCTTCTGAGGAGGCCTCAGGAAACTTACAATCATGGTAGAAGGTGAAGAGGAAGCAGGCATGTCTTACATGGCAGAGCAGGGGGAAGAGAGAGAGCGGGGAGGTGCTACACGATTTTAAATAACCAGATCTCATGAGAATTCACTCACCATTACTAGAACAGCACCGAGGGGATGGTAGCAAACCATTCATGAAGGATCCACCCCCATGATCCAACCACCTCCCACCAGGCCCTACCTCCAGCATTCAGGATTACAATTGAACATGACATTTTGGTGGCGACATACCCAAACCATATTACCTTCCTAAATGCACTGGAGAAGACCTCTTTGCATAGATTACCATTTAAAAGATTTTGTTTTGGGGCTATGTGATATATAGCATACACATGCGCATACTCAAATGCAGGTATGTAATGTGTATATGTGTATGATAGCCACCCGCAGAAAAAAGATGAACCCCACCCAAAATGTGGTTCAAATCTTCTAACTGATGACACCACACACACACCAAGATTATATAAAAAAGCACAACACTGGCTTATTACCAAAAGTAGTTAAGGATTTCTGGGGAAAATAGGTGACTCCCAGGCAGGTCCAAAAGTAACTTGAGAGAGAGCAAAAAATGAAGAAAATTTATACTAGTCCTGTAAATTTATTTTTTCTGAAAAAAGTTAATATCTGTTGACTCAACAGTACATTAAGAGAAATATATCCTGCAAGTCTTTTAGTAAACAACGAATGGGATAATCTCTAATACTGTTCAGACTCTGAATTCCTCCCCGGGCCTTTCACTCTTAGCACTGCCACTGCCCCCTTAAACAAATCTCACATTGTTGCTACAATCCTTGTCTTTCCCTTCCCTTCCACCCACCCACTACCTTTTATTTTACCTCACTTTTTTTTTTTTCCCTTTTCTACTTTAAACACCTTTTTCTGATCTAGGTACACGACGAAAACTTTCTATCCTCATTATAAAGTTTTTATCAAAATTCTCTTTATTTTCTGAGCCTTGTTAAAAAAATATCACTTCATAAAAACAAACAGAGGAGAGAAACCATATTCACCTCTAGGCTCTTGCATTTCTAAAATCTCTGTATTCCAATTCCCTTTTCCTGAAATAAGTTCTTACCATCACTTATTCAATTGTCTTTTCATTAGATTTTTGTGTTTTATTTTGATTATATGAGCATTTTTTTCAGTATAAATTAGTATAGCACTTATATGAATGCAGTACAATATCTAAAACAATACAGCATAATATATACAAACAAATAATTTTTCATCTGAAAATAACACTGGCTACAAGGTAACATGTTTTCTATCAATTTTGTATTTTTTTAGACTAGATAATAACATAATCTGTTAACTTATTAACCATTTCACTTGTACTTAAGAAAGGAACACATACATATAAGTTTCGATTTTTAAAAAATTATAGTGTTATGTGTGAGGTGAATTTAACACAGGTGAGCTACATGGTACCACAATAATCAATTCTGTAACATGGACAATGAGACTTTCTCCCCCTACTTCAATGTCATGAATTTATACTTCTTGCTAGTCCATTTTGTTTTTAACAAATAACATGCTATTATTTCACCAATCTTAAAAATATATCTCATTTTACTCATTTCCTCCTCAAATTATAGCCCCAAATTTCCTTTTCCCTTCACAGAGAGGCTTTTTTAAAAAAAATAATTACTTAGATTTGCTGTCTTTAATTCCTTTCTCCCATCTACTTTTGAATTACTCCAATCAGATTTACACATTCTGCACTCCATAGGCAGTCCTCAGATGTATGCTGTACAAATGAATGATGATGATGATGATGATGATGATGATGACAATGATGGTTTTATGCCTAACACTTAACTGACTCAGATGTTATAGTTTTATTTTGTGTCTTGCTCTGTTAATAAAGCCTGACTTTACATTTTTTTCTGTTTAAAAGGTTTTTACATCAACATTGCATTTGCAAGGTCATGAATGACCTTCATCTTTCTAAATCTAGTCAATGATTCCTACTTACCTTGCTTTCAGCCATATTTGATACAGTCGATCACTTCTCTGTTGTTAAAACATTTTCTTCATTTACCTTTAAGGACCCTAAATCCTCCTGGCTTTCCTCCTGCTTGATTGACTTCCCCTTTGAGTCACTTTTGTTAGGTTCTTATTATAAATACCAAGATAATGCCTCTTATTGTTGGAATGACAAATATCTCCAACTTTGATCTTTTCCTCTCTCTATCCACTCACATCCTTGATGACTTCATATAGATATAGATATAGATATAGATATAGATTCTTAAACAACACTATTTGTATACCTAAAGAGAATCTCCTTTTAAAAAAAATTCTAAAACCACATTTCTGACCTCCTCCCAATGTAATCTTCCTACAGTATTCCCTATCACAAGAAATAGTAACTCTAGCTTCCAAGATGATCAAAGCCTTAAAGCAAATTTATCTCCCATAGCAGAGACTGACTAGCTATATAAAAAAAGATTATTTTCCTTAATTCCTGGGTTACAATAACTTTCCTAGTCTCCTTTGCAGTTATGTGTGGCCATGTGTATGAGCTCTAGTCCAACAGAATACAAATAAAATGAAGCACATCTCCTTTAGGTCTGGTCTATAAAAACATCCTGTGAACTATCTTCTCTTTCTTTCCTAAGCTCACAACAATGAAAAGTGGTCAATCTTTCACCAGCCTTTGTCCCTGAACAAATGAGTGAAGCAGTATTGAAATGTGTATGTGTGAGTGTATATATATATATATATATATATATATGTGTGTATATATATATGTGTATATATGTGTATATATATATGTGTATATATGTGTATATATGTGTATATATGTGTATATATATATGTGTGTGTGTATATATATGTATGTATATCTGTATGTGTACATATAATTTAAATATAAACTTCTATTGTGTTAAGTCACCAAGAATTGGGGTTTTGAATATTTGTAGTTATAAGGAGGAACCTCCATGGATCTCTTCTATTTCTAAACATATTGTGTGAGCAGAGACATTGACAGACTTGCTCTGGGCTAGTTTTTTTAAGTTGTTGGTACAGATAACATTTTTGGAAGAAAAAGATACTGTCTCCTCAAAATGTGTATTTGCTTTCTGTCCAGTTTAACAAAGATAATGTCTCCAATGGGAACAATGGTTGGGCAGGGCTACTTGTTATCTCATTATAGTAGATTATGTTTTTCTAAATTTAGGGTTCGTCAGCTGTGACACAAAACAAATATATGTGCAACCATCATCTAGGAACATTTGCACCACCCTTGTGGACAGGGTGGGCAAGCACAAACAGAAAACCTATGAAGCTTGCTGTTTTGTAATAAAATTATTTATCTCTGACCCTGTAATCTTATATGTTTTTGGAAGCAGAAGGGAGACAATAGAGTTCCTGTTATGTAAAAAGCATTCAGTGGAAGTTATCTGGTTTATTAAGTCTGTTTTATTCAACTACAGTATCATCCCTAGTTAGAAGACAAGTGATCCTCAAATGTATGGTGTATAAATGAGTGATGATGATGATGATGATGATGATGATGATGATGATTTTATGCCTAACACTCAAGTGGCTCCGATGTTGTAGATTTATTTTGTGTCTTTTTTTGTTTAGTAAAGGCTCAATTTTAAATTTCTTTTCTGTTTAAATGTTTTTTGCGTATACAAAGTTAAATGTAAAGTTATTTTGTTATAGCTTAAAAACTAATCTTCTGGGATATTAATTAGGATTGAATTCAGTCCATAGACTGGTTTAATAATTTATCTGTACAATATTATTTTTCTCTACTTATTCTTATCTTTTTTTGGTTATTTTGATTTTGTGGTCCTCATTTTTATTTACCTTTTGGTAGAAGTTTTCTTTTATTTTTCTTTCAGTGTTTTATTTTCCCTTGTTATGTCTCCAAACTTGTTTTTGATTCATAGATGAAAATATTTTTTATTAGAAAAGGAATAAGGAGTTATTGCATTGTACTACCATCTATTTCTAAACTATTGGGATTCTCTCAGATTTTTTTAGAATGTTCACTAAACAAATGCTGTCTTCTTTCTCTGGTGGTAACTTTGTTAATAATATTGTGAAGGGAATGTGATTACTTGGAATTTACTGAATAGTCTAATTCTAATTTGGCATAGATATTAGGTAAAATCTTTTTTTAAATTTTGTCTTGCCAAAGTCCTTGTGATATATATTTATGGCACCAAATATCTGGTATTTCTTTTTTTTGTTTTCTGAAATATACACCTGAATGGGATATTCTGAATTTTCTAAATGTAAAAACAGCATTCTATTAAAATACTTAATTGAAAAATATCATAAACTAACTTTTATATAAAACATCTATGCAGTTTCTATTGATGTTTGATAAAAATACATATAAATTTCTTCTTTGTGTCAGTGACACATAGAACATTCAAACTTTGTGTAATATTAAATTTTATGGTTAACTAATATATGTAGCGATCTAGAGTTTATAGAGAATTTCGAATATATCATTTAATTCTCACAAATGGTATTTTATTTCATCTTTCTTTTACCTAGGTGGCAAAGGATCAAAAGGTTATCACCTTGATAAGAGAGCTTAAATTTTTTTGTTTTGAAGACTGGGATTTTTATTCTCTTATATAATGTCTTTTGTGCTTTTATGCATAAATGATCTTGAAATTTCAAAAAATGCTTAACAATGAAACTATTTTTCATGTTAGTTTTATTTAAGATATCTAAAAGTGAAACTTTTAATTGTTTTGCTGTTCTCAACCTTGAAAACTTGAAAAATTAATCAGATTTATTCCAGTGATGATGACAAATGTAAATGGGAAGCAGGAATTTTTTGTTTTCATTAAGTATTCTGATATTCTCTATAACTTTTAATTATACAAAAATTGTGTTATATCTGTGCAGAAATATTCAAATTTTAAGTAATGGCTACTATTCAACTCTACTTTCATATTTAATTATTTTAAATACCCGTGACTCCAAAGTTTATGAGTTAGTATTTATTATTTTAACTAGTGCTTTGCATGTGTCCTTGTACATGAATTTTCAGAATGTTACAAATCATTATGCAAGTAGGGAATTTACAGATCCTGTGTCCACATTATAAATAGTCCCAATATATTTCACCCTCTTATGAGTTTCCATATGAATGAGGAAATTGACCTGATGCAGACCATAAGTCATACATAGACAGCCATCTTTAATTGTAAATTGTGGACTGAATTTTGAATTACTTATTTTTTTAAACTAGGTTTTTTTTTTCTATTTTTCAAATACCATAAATACACAATAAGTAATACGTATATAGTGTCAATTGAATCTTGTTTTCAAGAAGATAAATTCACACCATTAATGGTTAATGAATGATATCTAGCTGCATAAAGATATCTGAAAAATGCTAATTGAATTATAGCAAAATATTTATTAATATGGGCATATTTGTAAACTGTTTCAGAAAACTAGAAGCCATTTATTAATACAAGTAACGTAATAAGGGTGTATATAAGCAAAATCAGCTACCTCCATGAAGCTGTTGATATAATCTTTAACTTTTACTAATTTTTCTTGAAAATAGAGGTGAAATAATAATCCATAGCTATTGTAAAAAGGAGGTCAATGATATGATAGAAAAAATGATCTTTAACTTTTTAATAGAAATATTTTTAAAAAACTCACATGCAATTTATTTCTTACCCAATTAGTACAATTCTCTTGTCTGTGACAACCTAGAGCAAGACAATTGCCTTTTCCATATTTCTTACCTTCGGGTATTTGCATATAATTATTTTGTTTCCCCATAGGCTCCTCCTTTTTCATCAACACTTTCTCATTGCCTTTAACTATTCTTCTATGACATTCTTAATTTCCAAGTTACAGTGATACATATGTATGTATATAAATTAAAATATGCATATACTTATGTACTCCTATGCAATCTGAAAAATAAAACATTGAGGACAAAGTATTTTTAGGAAGAAAAAAGAATACTATTTGTAGCATCTTTTGACAGGGCAAAAGGATTCCTTTCGTTTTAAAAATAAACATCAATAAAAATGAAATTTGATGTCTTTTAAAATCTTCAGAGAGAAAACAATATGAGTTATGTGAAATGTTGACTCATAGACTTATTTTTAGCAGAAAAGAGAAGATAAATTACAACAAAATACATATTAATATTTCATGTTAGATTAATTGATTTTTAAAAGCATATAATGTGATTGCTTCGACTACCTTAATGTGTTGTCATTTTAGTTATTGTTTTGGTTTTAATTATGTATGTTACATAAAATGTAACATAGTAAAATTCTCAATATGTTATGGTTTCTATTTTCTGTTATATGTATAGTAAAGGCAAAACAACCTCAGACTATGATTCACTCTAATTTATCTTTATTCTACCTTGAAATAAATATTTTAGTCCATTGAAGATCAAGTTTAGCTTTGTCCCATATGGCTATTCATTGTTTCCAACTACATTTCACCATTTTTACCATAAATCAAATTGCAATATCTAATGGGACCATGTTTATCAGTATTCTGTTTTACATGGAAATGTTTATTTTTGTGTTAGTGCCACACTTTTGATAAGCTCTGATTTTGACTTTGTCTATTTAATAAAGGAAAATTAGCGCTTTAGGTCTTTTTAAAGCTTCTATTCAAAAACCTGTTATATACCAAGTGTCTTCTTGGCTTTCCCTCATATTTCTTCAAATCTCTTTCCCATGGGTGTCCTTCTACTTCTTACAGTTTGCTCTTGTTTCTCTATGTAGAAGAACTGCCCTCAGGCTGCCAATGCCCACTGTACTTGTGGTTTTTTGCACAAGTGACCAGAACCTTATGTCACAGATGACAGATTATAACTAAAGCCTGAGAGGTGAGGAAGTATTAATTCTCCAGGTCTCTTGCTGCTGACTGAGACAACTCCATGGTGTGACCAACACTCCCCAGAGCACCCCAGCATGAGCCAGAAATACCCTTTCTGGGACTTTCGCTGATATTGCACCCTTGCTTGGCTTCTTCCCTTTCTTGTCCCAATTTCTTTCATCTAATCTGTTTTTTTGTGGGGACGACTAAATTACTTCCACATAAATGTTCCTCTCTGTTGACGTCCCGAAAGTCCAACTTATATTTACTAAAGAATTCAAGTGTGATGGTACTGACACCAGACAAAATATAAATCAGAGTGTTTTATACTCATATAAGTTACAATCAGCCACGAGATCATTTTGTATCAAATATATTCATTGTCAGCCTACTAAAGCCCTGGTCATGTTCTATGTACTTGAGATGTAACAGTAAATACAATAGATAAAGTTTCTGTTTTTATAGAGTTTCTCTTCCAGTTTGGAGACATATACAAATAAGTAAATATATACACATATGTGTACACACATATATGCTTCGGGTAAAAAATAAATACATAAATAAATCATAAAAACAGAAAAATAATCTAGTGATGAGTACTATCCAAAAAAAAAAAGCTAAATTAGAATGTCATAGAAAGGAACTGGAATGATGCTTCAGATTTTTAGTCAGAGGAGGTCTCTGCCAAAGGGCTAGGTTGCATTGAAGTTGAGATCTAAAATGACAGGATCAATCTAAACCTTTGAAGATTAGGAATAAAAACACTCCAACCAGCAGGGACAGTGGGTGCATGAGCCCTAACATAAAGAAATTTTGCCAGAAATAAATAATAAAAAGTGGCCAGAGTATTTAAAACAGGATGAGTAAAAAAGCAAAATGTTTTTAAAAAGAGAGATAATCTGAGTCATTATTTATCAGGGACTTAAAAGTCATACCATGTGCTTTTATGTGTGTAGTAGAAAGACGTTGGATATTTGAACAGAGGAGTTACTTGATCTGATTTTAATGAAAAGACATTTTAGCCATTCTGTGATTAAAGGGTTCCAATACAGTATCTTAGGTTTGGTTCCCTGCAAACAGAAATAAGGGAAGCAGGATTGGGCAGAGGGAGAAAACAAACTGTGATAAAGGTGAAAGAGAAGGCTCAGACAATCCCACATGCGGCTCAGGAGCTGGCCCTCTGGAGTTGTCCCAAAGGGAATCAAGGGTGTTTGGGCCTTTATACCCTCACATCAGACAGTAACTAGATGTCATTTGCTCTATGGGCAAGGCACCTCCCTTTGGGTAAAGGCAGTGCTGCGAGAAGTACACAGCTGTGAGCCATCAACAGCCAACATTCCCAGCAGCTGGGAAAATGAGTGCCTTAGACAGGAAATTCTCTTTCTTACACACTTACTATGTGTGATATTCACTGATATTTTTCGTGAAATTTTGTTTTATTTTATTAAAAGAAAATCTGGTCATAATCTATTAAATTAATATCATCAATCTTTGTCTTAAGCCTCAGTTTGAAAAAACCTAGGAAATGTGCAGAAGGAGAAATGAAGAAGCAGGAAAAGCACATGAAAAATAGAGAGATCAGGAGGCTGTTATTAGCCTAGGCAGGAGGGGGATGTTACCTGGCCAAGGACAGTATCGGGGCAGTGGAGAGAAGTGTTAGATTTGAGATATATTTTGAACCCAATTATATTTAATGTGCTGATAGATTTGAGTACAGAAAATGAGTAATGAAAAGCAAAGAGACAAAGGTAACTCCTGGTTTATATTGTTTAAAGTCCTTTTTATTCATGAACAATTGAATAACTCATGATTCAATGTAGTAATAATGGAAAAAATGCCACAAAACATTTGATAGGGGAAACTAAAATTTACTCTGGGATATGTTGCAGTTGAAGTGGCTATTATATATTCATTGTCAAGTATACAGTACATTATGCAAATCTAAAATTTAGAGAAGCAATTGTAGATATAAATGTGGGAGTCACCACATACAAATTAAAATCATGGAGCTGGATACCATTATCTGAGGCAGTGTCTGTCAAGTTTTTTTTTTTGATCCACAATAAAAAGCATTTTGCTTCTTAACTCATATTCATGTATAACTACTAAAACAAAAGTTTCACAAAATTGCTTGCATTGATTATGCAGGATTGAATATTTAAAGACCCACAAGGCTTTGCAAGTCATACACTTACTAAAGCTTTAACAAAGTTAAATAATGCAGTACAACAGAAGAAAGAAAGTACAAGCAATCCTCGGTGGTGGAGAGATTTTTAGGCAGCTTTCTAGAGTTCTTTATAAGTTTCACTGAAGGCACATCATCTTTTATGTATTTCACTCAGACATGCACATAGCATCTTTGTCTTAGGGCAGTCCAGGAGTTTCCAGTGGGATTTGTCTTACCTCCCTGGTCACATTCCCAAACTAGATTGTTTAAGCAGTTTAATTAGGTGTAAGCTATCAATTTATATATTGGTAAGTAATGCCAATAAGTTTGCCTTGGCTGCTTTCAGGAAATGTTTTACACTTAAAGTACACATTATATACTACTAGTTATTCAAACTCATTGTTTTTTTGTTTTTGTTTTTGTTTTTTTTGAGACAGTGTCTCACTCTGCCACCCAGAATGGAGTGCCATGGCATGATCTCGGCTCACTGCAACCTCTGCCTCCCGGGTTCAAGTGATTACCATGTTTAAGCTATTCTCCTGCCTCAGCCTCCCAAATAGGTGGGATTACAGGCATGCGCTACCACACCCAGCTAAATATTGTACTTTTTGTAGAGACCAGGTTTTGCCATGTTGGCCAGGCTGGTCTTGAACTCCTGACCTCAAGCCATCTGCTCGCCTCAGCCTCCCAAAGTGCTGGGATTACACGTGTGAGCCACCGTGCCAGGTGCCTGGCCTCAAACTCATTCTTATCTTGACCAAGATTCCATACAAAATTTCAGACATTCTCAGAGATTAATCTAGTGCAGTCCCAGTCTGGCTATAAAATAGCTCTTTCTTACACACTTAATATGTGTGGTGTTCACTGATATTTTCAGTGAATTTCTACTTTATTTTATTTAATAATGGCCATATTTATGTAATAGTCATAGCCTACAAAATTAATTTCATAAAGTTTTGTATTAGGCATCAGTTTGAAAAACAAACACTGATCTAGGGATTAAATGTCGAGGGAGAATGGAAGAGAACAGAGGACTGGATGCCTGGAAACACAAACATTTAAAGGTTGGAAAGAAGAGGAGGAAATAGAAAAAAACTATTGAGAAAAAGCAAAGATAAAAAGAAATGCAAGAAGGCTATTATATCCTGGAAACTAAGAAGAAAATGTCTGATGAAGTGGTCAAGTGTTGCTGAGAGGCATAGAGCATCATGGACTGAGAAGTGAATACTAGTTGAGGATCTTGATGATAATTGAATGGATACCTGTTGGAGTGAATTGAGAAGAGAATGATACATGAGAAACCAAAGACTTGGGCAACAGACATTTTTAAAGATATTTGCCCTAAAGAGGAGGAAGTGAGGCAATAATTGGATTAGGTTATGGAGTAAAGACAGTGTTTTTTGGGTTAAATTACAGCATGCCTTTATGACAAAGGCAACAATCCGATAGAAGGGGAAAATGTGACAATTTAAGAGATCGAAAGGAATATTGCAGAAAAGAACTAGAGAAGGCAAGAGACAGTGTTGCCCAGCAAACAACGTGAAAGTTTATACCCTATGTATTCACTAGGACAGCTTATCCATTTGGGTAGAAATCAGCAGAGTATATGGCAACAGATTTAAAACATTAGTTTATTGAATGGTGTAAAGTTGAGTGAGTTCTCTGGTGACTCGTCATTTCACAGGTGTGTTCATTCTATGAGAAAACTATAGGGAGCAGGAAGCATTAGATCTGAAG
Organism: Homo sapiens; assembly: GCF_000001405.40. Taxonomy (NCBI): domain Eukaryota; kingdom Metazoa; phylum Chordata; class Mammalia; order Primates; family Hominidae; genus Homo; species Homo sapiens. Next base: position 114,340,163 of record NC_000008.11, read on the forward strand.
AGAGAAATAAGGAGACAAATACTTATCTGAGGGATAGGAGAGTAAATCTATGGAAGAATATAGTTGTATTACTGAGTATCACTGAGAGATCACTTGAGATTTCTTTGTCGGACCAGTTGCCTGTGTGCTTTTCTACAGCCATTTTCAACCGCGTGGTTGAAAGCAGAGAGTTAACCAAAGGCTGATTGTAATTAGGGTGGAAAGTCTAATGGAGAAATGTAGTAGAATAAGAGAAAAGTAAGAATTGAGGATGTACACATAAAAGTGAATAGAATTTCTTATCTAGGTTGGGTAAAGGCAAATAAGGGTAGTGGTGGAAAATGAAAATGATGATAGGGTACAAACGTGATTGAATAATATAAAGAGTCGAGTTTTAGAGCAAGTAAACTCTAAAGAGAGGATGTTGGGGAGAGTTGAACTTTTCAAATATAGATTTTTGGACACTATACTTAATACTGATGATAGCAACAATAGTATTACTGATGGGAGTTGGTGGGTGAGACTGGGTGAGGAAGAGGTAGTTGGAAGTGAAGATATGATCAGAGTGCTAGAAGGATTATCCATATGGATTTTGTTATCTCGTGAATGAGGACTTAGACTGGAAGGTGGAAGACAAGTGGAAATCCCTTTCACATAGAGCAGGGTGCCTCCTGACTTTTATGGGTTGGATGAGAGATTTTGCCAGCTTCCAGCATGTGAGTCTCTACACTGCTGCCTGAAAACCTCCTGCCTTTGTGCTACTGGCAGCTGAGATACTCAGAAGTTCTCTTCAGTGATTCTACTTTCTACTTTATAGGACATTACCAAGATTTCCCTGATCTTTGCTACTCTAACTTCTAATGTTAACTTTGTGCTTCATCAACACATATGTATTCCTTCCACAGACAGATAGGTGTCATTTTTCTAGTTCTCATTTAATGGAAGAAGCAGCATTTTATGACTGCTGTTTGTAGAGGCTCTCCGTGATGCTCAAAGTTTCCTGTATAAAATGATCACAGCACTTTTTGTCTTACAAAGCTCTCATGGAACCCTGTTGACTACAATAGAAAATTGAAACTCCTTGAATCGACATTTAAGGTATGTGATTTTCTATCCCACTTTTTCACCCTTAATTTTTGTTTTGTTTTGTTTTGTTTTGTTTTGTTTTGTTTTGTTTGAGACAGATTATTGCTCTGTTGCCAGGCTGGAGTGCAATGGCGTGATCTCGGCTCCCTGCAACCTCCATGGCTCAAGCGATTCTCCTACCTCAGCCTCCTGAATATCTGGGATTACAGGCATGCGCCACCACTCCCAGCTGATTTTTGTATTTTTAGTAGAGACGGGGTTTCACCATGTTGTCCCTGCTGGTCTTGGACTCCTGACCTCAGGTGGTCCACCGGCCTCGGCCTCCCCAAGAACTGGGACTACAGGCGTGAGCCATCGCGCCTGGCCTTAACTTTCTTGTATGGCTTCCACTTCATTATTTTTGTACCCAGTGTGGGTGAGGATCTTTCAACATTGAGGATCTAACTGCTCTTACTCACTAGCCTGAATTATGCCTTTTTCTTTTTATACATATTTTTCTCTCCTAAAACATCTTTTCGATTTCTATCATTCATTAAGACTCAGTTCAATGTCATCTCATCAATTAAGCTTACCTATATTTCCCTATTCACATTTATCTGTATATACACAAAAGTTTATTAATATTTCTTCTTTGTAAATTACTGACTTTCGGCATTCTATATAGTTTACGTATTCGTCTTATTTTTTAGCTTGCAATTTTACCAGTTGTTACAGGTAGTTAGATAGGCATGAGCAGGGACAGGCGTGGGCTCTTCCCCCACCCACTAGGCATGTCAGATGATGTTCTGACAATTATCACACTGCCTCTCTAACAGTGATAACTCGGCAGCCAGTGCCAAGGTACCAGGCAGAGACAATCTCCGGATGATCCATGGTTATTAACATTTAAGTGTTAATTGAATGTAGATGCCAGGGAGAAGAAACTTCCTGGACATGCGCATTGAGACAAAATGGCGAAGTACGACCTTCCGGGTGCACTCCATTGAATGGAAGAAAGCTTCTGATAGACGTGCATTCAACTTCCTAAACACACTGCACAGGCTCAGTTCCCCGGGGTAAGGAACGCACTGTGCATGCGGGAAGACCACCCTAAGGGAAGAATCATGAGAAACAGGCAAGTCTATAAAGTCCTGGAATCAAGGTTAAATGCTGTCTTTGACCTTCAGGCACCCTCTTGGATCTTTTCCAAGTGAGCTTAACTTTCTTTCCTGTTCTAAAGCCTTTTAAGTATATGTTCACTCCTGCTCTGAAACTTGCCTTGGTCTCTTTTTCTGCTTTATGCCCCCCCGCCCAGTTGAATTCTTCATTCTGAGAAGGCAAGAACTGAAGTTGCTGCAGACCCGCATGGATACCAGTAACTCGGGATAACTCGGACCTCTTCCACTGGTAACATCAGTGACTCTTGTTTTTTGTTTGTTTTTCTATCATTTAATACTGTTGCTAAAATAAGGAAGTATTTATTAAAATGATTGCTGAAAGTGTGAATAACTAAATGATCATTTAGCTTTATGGCAGGTGTCTTATCTGGAAGGCGTAATATCATGGTATGTACAAACTTGAAAGAACTTAAGTAACATGTAAATTTCGAGTCTCTTTAAAACATACATTTTGTCTATATTTTCAACAAATGGTATAAATTCAATAAAAAGTATATCAGCTCTCAAACACAGTATTTATAAGAACATAGGCAATTTAGTGGCCATTGTTTTTACTAGTTTTAATCATGTGAAATTGCCATTTTTCTAATATCCACAAATGTGTGAATATAAGCAATTACGTTTTAAACTAAATATCAGTACAGAAAAAATCTGCATATACATTAACTATCAAGCTTTTAAAACACTAAATTCTTTAGGAAACTTTAAATATGCACATTTGATTTACATCAAACATCTTTTGATAGGGATGATATAAATATCCAGTTGCCTTTTTGATCAAATTTTGCATAGTAAGGATTTTGCATTTGAACAAATGCTGAGACAGCATAATATCAGTGTAATTGCATTGACATCATAACAGTTCCTTGGCAGCAATTGTGCTCTCAATAATGCAAATACAGTGCATAATTAAGGTAGAAGATACCACCGTGATCAGCAGAATGCCTCCTCTGGAGCCTATACAATGTCCCTGTATTATTGCCACGAGAGTAATGATTGCATCCTGTACCTTCCAAGGGAAACACATAATGAACAATATGTGAGAATCATAAATGATAGAAACTGACATGTGCAACAGCTGTATATCTTGGTTTCTTCAGATGTTTATTCGTAAAATACATATTGCTCTTGTCAGCCTACTGGGATACTGTGAATACACAGCACAGAAGAACAGATTAGAAAAGAAAGTCAATTAAACAATTCACTGCGTTTGAAACAGTTTTAAAGTAGAAGCCATTTTTGGTCTTATAAACTATTTTTCAATTTATAGTGCATAAACATTGAAAAATATTTTATTAATGTTTTAAACCCTTTAATACTTTAATACTGCAAAGCAAATTCTGTCTCATACTCATTTATTGATAGTCTCTTTTCTGAGAGACATTATCTAACCTAGTTAATTTTTTATGTTCCTGTCTTCTCATTTATAAACTTAGAAAAATGTGCTAAGCAAGTTATATGGGTTTTATTAGATTTAAATTAGATAATGCAGAATACTGTTTGGCTCAGTGCCTGCCACAATGCAAATACCCATCAAATTTTAGCTATTATTGTTTATCAATCCTTACCTATCTTATTACAGACATATATAATTAAGCATTATAATTTAATTTAACATAAATATCAATATTCCAGAATGAAACGTCTGTAAAGGCAGAGACTTTACCGATATTGCTCCAATAGTTAAAAAATTTCTTTAAAATACTGTTTATTTGATATCTGTTGAATGGATTAACAAATCCAGCGTAGCATGTATGATTTCAAACACAATCTCAAAAGAGTGATTTCAACTTTCTAATTATACCTGGATTCACATCTCTTGCACATATGACTCATAGGTACAGAGTTTTATGAAGTGACTGATTGTATCTATTTAAGATATAATCTTACTAAAATTGTTTTATCATTATTATTATCATCATTATTTTTTAGTACAGTTTGTAAACATTGACAAATAAAAGGGAATTGATTAGGAAATACAGTTGAATTATTATGGGGCTGCATGACCTATTGAACTTTCCCAAGCCTAAAATTCTAAGTTTTTTCCTGTTTTGATATTCTCTTGATTCTCTAAAACATTAGTTACATTTTTATTTACCTCTATTTATTAATCATTTCTTTTTCATTTAATAGTAAAGCAATTTGATATCTTAATGGTGCTTTTTTCATGTTTGTAAAACTGCTTGAACATGAGCAAGCAATTATTTCTGTCTTGCAAGAAGTAGTCACCAACATCAGATATTTTGAGAAAGCTAACATCGTCTTTGGATGTGTTAGAGTGTATTAAATTCAATGGGTTTCTATTATGACCAAAAGATTTATATTGTATTTCTCATTAACCTTGACAACATTGAGTCTTGTAAGTTAAATAGTAGGTTATGCCATACAAAATTTTCCATGTTTGATAATGTAATCTCAATTAGAATTTAATAAAATGCAACTGATTATCATATTAATAATTAAAAATGAAAGATTTGGCTCAAAGAGATTATGAACTTTCTGTTATCATGTATTGGTTGTGGAGTAATTATTTAAAGCCAGTTCTATCTGGCTCAAACTTTTTGTATCATAACCTAACTTTATTCTTTTCCCATAGTTTCTTCTCTACCATTTAGGATTCTTTCCTTTCTATTCCCTTTTGTAGAATTTGTTTTATAAAGGAACTATTACTTTAAAAGTTAATTTGAAAAGCCAGCACAGTTACATAACCACATAACCATCTTTGGGACTTGTTCATCAGAATCATTTTCAAAGAGTGGCTAAATGAACAAGTTTTAAGGGAGAATAGGAGGAGAAAATAAGATATTTGTCAAAAAAATACCCTCAATAAATATTTCTTTAAGCAAAGACAAATTGTTTAAACCTAATATTCTTACTGCCTTTAAGAAAAATCTTCAGCCGGATATGGTGGCTCATACCTGTAATTCCAGTACTTTGGGATCCTGAGATAGGAAGATCAGTTGAGGCCAGGAGTTTAAGACCACCCTGAGCAACATAACGAGACACTATGCGTATAATTTTTTTCTTTTTTTTTTTTTTGAGGTGGAGTCTCTCTCTATTACCCAGGTTTGAGTGCAGTGGTGCAATCTCGGCTCACTGCAACCTCCACCTCCCGGTTTCAAGCGATTCTCCTGCCTCAGCCTCCTGAGTAGCTGGGATTACAGGCGTGCACCACCAAGCCTGGCTAATTTTTGTATTTTTAGTAGAGACGGGGTTTCACCGTGTTGGTCAGGCTAGTCTCAAAATCCTGACCTTGTGATCTAGCCGCCTCAGCCTCCCAAAGTGCTGGGATTACAGGCATGAGCCACAGCACCTGGCCTCTATAATTTTTTTTTTTTTAATAGCCAGGGATGGTGGCATGTGCCTATAGTCCTAGCTACTCAGGAGGCTGAGGCAGGAGGATTGCTTGAGCCCAGGAGTTTGAGACTGCAATGATCTATGATCAATTCCAGCATAAGCAAAAGAGTGAAACCATGTTTAAAAAAAAAAGAAGAAGAAAATTTTCAAGGAGTTGATTTTCATATATCCAAAATCCCCTTTCTTAATTGCTACTTGGATGCCTAGTAGATATCTCAGACTGAACTAGTTCAAATGAGACCCAGACATACTTTGTTCCTAGATTTTCAATCTCAATAAATAGCAATACTTTTAATCCAGTCAGTTTCCTACAGTGCAACCAGAATTATCATAGATAGAAATAATTGTAGGGTTTTGTCACTTGATATAAAAGCCTGGTAATTCAGATACTAAATGAAGGTAGAAACCAAAAAAGGTCTATGATGAAACAATCATGTATACAGCTAGAAAAATGTAACAAAGAATGGGTTCACACCTCAGACTTGGGAAGAGTCCTACCATTTTCTATAATGTGACATCGTCTGTGGGCTCATTTTACATGTAGAGCCCTATACATATCAGGCAGTTGAGCAGAAAACAGCCTGGGAATGTAGGATGACTCTTCAACAGGGTTATTATCTGTGGGGGCTCTGATGGCTGGCTGTTACATGATAGATTTGCCTTCATATAAATGTCTACAGTCTTCAAAAATTGCTAAATGTGTGGGCTAGATTTATTTTTTAAAAATACAGTCTGAGTTTTTAAACAAAAGCATACTTTTCTTCATTTTATGTACAATGAGTTCAAAACTATAAAATGGGCTGGCACAGTGGCTCACAGCTGTAATCCCAGCACTTTGGGAGGCCAAGGCGAGTGGATCACTTGAGGTCAGGAGTTCGGAGACCAGCTGGGCAACATGGTGAAACCCCGTGTCTGCTAAAAATACAAAAATTAGGCCGGGCACAGTGGCTCACGCCTGTAATACCAACATTATAGGAGGCTGAGGTGGGCGGATCATGAGGTCAAGAGATTGAGAGCATCTTGGCCAACATGGCAAAATCCCATCTCCACTAAAAATACAAAAATGAGCTGGGCATGGTGGTGTGTGCCTGTAGTCACAGGTACTTGGGAGGCTGAGGCAGGAGAAGCGCTTGAACCTGGGAGGTGGAGGTTGCAATGAGCCGAGATTGTGCCACTGCACTCCAGCCTGGTGACAGAGCGAGACTCCATCTCAAAAAAAGAAAAAAAATTAGCCAGGTGTGGTGGCACACGCCTGTAATCTCAGCTACTCAGGAGGCTGAGGCAGGAGAATCACTTGAACTCAGGAGTTGCAGGTTTCAGTGAGCTCAGATTGAACTGCTGCACTTCAGCCTGGGTAACAGAGCCAGACTCCATCTCCAAAAAATAAATAAATACATAAGTAAATAAATAACTATAAAATGATACTAGGATATATTTTTTTAATGGAAACCTCATCTTTTCAGATGATAGCGCTTCAAAATTTGCAAATGTGGGTTCATAACCTTAACTCTCTTACAAATTTAGAATTTAATGTTGATGTTTCTAGCAACTGGATTACTGTGGAACTTTTGTTTCCCTCTTGCTGCTGCTTTTCTTTCTCTTTTTCTCCTCGTCTTCCTCTTTCTCCTCCTTCTATTTCCTTTTCTTCTTCTACCTCCTCTTCCTCCTCCTTCTTCCCTTCCTCCTTCTCCCCCTGCACTTCCTTTTTACATTTCCCACTTCTCCAAACTCAATAATGTAACATTTTCAGATAAAATATTTAAGATTCAGAAATTTAAATGAGGTACCCAAATCCATACAACTGAAAAATAAATGAAACAATTAAGATTTGGATGGAGCTGGAGGCCATTATCCTTAGCAAACGAACGCAGGAGCAGAAAACCAAATCCCTCATGTTCTCACTTACAAGTGGGAACTAAAGGATGAGAACACATGGACACATAGAGAGGAACAACACACACTGGGGCCTTTAGGAAGGTGGAGGGTGGAAGGAGGGATAGGATCAGGAAAAAAATGGGTGATGAAATAATCTGCACAGCAAACTCCCATGACACAAGTTCACCTATGTAACAAACCTGCACTTGTACCCCTAAACTTATAATAAAATTTTAAAGAGATTTTAAACATTTTTTATTGCACATTTTATGTCCTGTCAATATCATGCATCATGCTTCTGTTACAGCTCTGTTAGCAACAGAAACTATTTTGGCAAAGAAGAATTTAGTTCTTATATTTTGGAAGAATTCAATAAAACTGAAATTCACAAGAATAGCAAAAGGTTAAAATGCCTACAAACACTAAATATTATCATTTATAACTTTCTGCAAAAACATTATTAAGAAGGTACCAGTGTTAATTTATGCAAGTCTTTTTCCAATGGCATTTAAGCCTCAAGTGAAATATTTTTGGGGTTAATTCACATAATTAACCTATGTGAATTAAAAAGGCCTACCTCGAAGAGAGATTTATAATATGATAACATGCCACCAGACCTAAATTGGGTGAACATTTATCAGTTTAGAAAATTTGGATTTCTCTTAAGTGAAATTAATCTTTTTATTATATATATTTATTGCATATATTTATTTTTATTTTTTGAGACAGAGTCACTCAGTCACCCAGGCTAGAGTGCAGTGGTGCAAACTCAGCTCACTGCAACCTCCACCTCCCGGGTTCAAGTGATTCTCCTGCCTCAGCTTCCCAAGTGGCTAGGATTACAGGCACACACCACAGCACTCAGCTAATTTTTTTGTTTTGTTTTGTATTTTTTATAGAGACAGGGTTTCGCCATGTTGGCTAGGCTGGTCTCGAACTCCTGACCTCAACTGATCTACCTCCTCGGCCTCCCAAAGTGCTGGGATTACAGGCATGAACCACCGCACCCGGCCTATTGTATGTATTTAAAACAACGTGATACATGATCTCAAATATGTGTACATTGTGGAATGACTAAATCGCGCTAATTAACATATGTATAACCTCATATATTTATTATTTTTTGAAATAAGAACACAATCTACTCTCAGTGATTTTCAAGTGTAAACAATACACTGTTATCATCTGTAGTCACCATGTTATACAATAGATTTTTTTTTATATTTTATTTCATTTATTTTTAAATTTCAATAGGTTTATGGGGAACAGGTGGTGTTTGGTTATATGAATAAGTTCTTTAGCAGTGATTTCTGAGTAAAATTAATCTTAAACAACAAATAACATTGCCCCATAATAAAATGGTCATTTAAAGTGTTCATTTGAAATGCTCACAAGTGTATTTGAGAATAAAGCCCCTTTAAAAATGTTTTTGAAACAGTTTGGAGAACATAGATATTAGAATTCTGTGTCAATATTTAGAGACATTTTCATATATAGATACTGTAAAAATTCGAAAGATCATCTAATTATATAAAACTAATACTTTCAGATTTGCCTATGAAAAATGGAGACTTAAAAAGCTTATTATTTAAATAATGAAGTTCTACCAACTATGAATTACTCACAAATATTATCAAGTATTTATATTAGATACCTAAATATACTATATATTTAGATACATTATGATGCAATATGATGCTGCACCACAAAATTTAGGATTAGAAGAATCTTCCAAAGGACTGTGAGAAAAAAATAAACATGTTCACCTCAAAAACCAAGGATACATGGGGAGCAAAAATGTTCTCCCACTCTATTGGAAGAAAAAAATAAATTTATTCCTAGAAAATTAAATGTATGTGATGTAGAAAAAAAACAGGATAGAAAGTAAAAGTTTGTTTTAATTTTAAAAACTAGTAACTTTAAATTTTAAAAAATAAGATGGGAGAGAGAAAAGTACACACTGAAAGTTTCATAGATGTTTCTCATTGGAAACAGTAAATAAAAGATTTTAACAATACTTCATTACACCAATGACCACTCTAATATTTCTGAAAATATGAGCTTAGAGTTTGACTAGATTATTCTTGAGTATTCAAAATATTTAAAATTGAATATTTGTGAACCGATTGAATAAAATATGTAAGTTTCTTCAAATATTTACTCAAATAATTTCTATTGTGAAATAACATCATGGACATCTTGGAAGACATTCTCAGATGTAATTTTCTTTGTTATTTTTTCTTAAATTTATTTTTAATTAAATAATGATTATATTAATTAGTTTTTAAAAGATTAAAACTCTAAAATGTGAAAATACTGCCAACCCTTCTTACTACTTTTACCTGAAAATGTAACCACCTTATCATCATTTTCAATGTAACTTTTCAGACATTATCTTATACATTCATGAATGTGCTTAGAACATGGCTTCCTGAATATTTCAGTCCTGAATATTTTACACTGTGCAATTCTGTAAAGATGTGTGCATTTTGATTCTATTACATATCTTTGAATTTTCCAATTGTAATTCTAATGCTTTATTATTGATACAATCCCAATCTTAGAAAGTTTAAAAGCTTTGAAATGCTTCCCATTACCCTTGGAATACAATCTAAATGTTTATCTCTGATCTGTAAGGTTCTGCATGAGCTATCCTAGTTATAAGCTTCAAATAACCATGGAACATGACTGAACTATACAGTGCTCTATCCTTACTGCATAGCAAAGATCCTGCCACATGGTATAAACCTAATATATACTTTAACTGACTATATGTATGAAATAACTCCATGGTTAAGGCTGTATTTTTAATGTGGAAATTCTCATATTTTGAGAAATAAGAAACATTGAACAAATAGAAATGAAGCTATGGCTTAGAAATTTAAATAGAAATGCCATTACAATAACAACTTAGAGTAAAAAGCATTTATGATTCATGAATACTACTTTATTATTAAGACTGTCCTCTCACACATTCTTTTAGTGTCTTTGTATCATGGGGACTATTTTGGTTCTTATATTTGTGACAAGTTAAGGATTAACTATAACAATTGTCATTGTTATATTTAGCAGTACAACTTTGATATTTTATGTGTCAATATTGAACTATGAATTGGACTAAAATATAAATCTATAAATACTATAAATTTATAAATCTATAAATACTAAAATCATTTATGATTTTATGAACATGGACAACAGTTCAGTTAACTCAAATAACAGTTATTCAATTAACAGAATATATATAAACTTTATGACTATATACATGGGAAAATATTTTCATACATATAGCTTCCATAAATTATTCTCACTTAATAAAAGTGTTTTTGTGAAATTCAAAGTTAGGCAATAATTATCTTCCAAAACATTAATTTTTTATATCAGCTACATAGGAAAAATGGTCTGTTTTGTACATGTAAAATATATGTATGTATATGTTTATGTATGCGTATGTGTATTGCAATGGTAAGATGGCTTTCAAAGTTTCATCATAAATGCTATATTTACCCATTTGTCATAAAAGTGTTTTCAAATGCCATAGAGGCATACCTTTTATTTTGAAGCTTTAAATCTTGAAAGTCTTCTTTTGCTAAATATTTATCTTTTTCTAAAAATAAAATAAGTAATTTTAAAGAAATTCAAGATCTTTTATAGTAGTTACCTGAAATGGATAAATCATAAAAATGTTATTTCATATATTTATGGAGAAATTATAACATGGTGTCTTTACCATATACGTTGCTCACTATCACTTCTGCTGCAAGAAATAAAATTGCTTGGATCTCATTCTAACAGGTTAAGCTAACACTTGGAGTTCTAACCTTGTAGGCCACACAGCTTTACTTTCACAATGATGAAACTTACGATTTGAATAGCATAGTTATTCAGTGTTTTGATCACATAGTAAAGCTAAACTAGGTGAAAACTGAGCCACACCTATGGCATTTCCTACACTCATTTAAAAAAAAAAACAGATGTAAGCAAAGGCATCAATACTCTTCTTTACCCTATGCTTTTTTCATTAGATAATTTTGTTTCTAATTAGTTGTGTATGGATCTTATGATCTAATTACAGACTAATTTTGAGAAATAAAAACCATTGCTTGGGTATCTCTAGTCTTAATCATGGGTGTTAATATACTGTTCTTTGAAATTCAACTTGACAGCCTCTTCAAATTCAGAAATTGGCTTGCTAGAAACCTCCAAGGTCATGATCCTTCAAAGTACTGTTTGTCAAATTGCCCTGACACAACTCCTGCAGGAAAAACTACTCTTTGATTATTAATGTGCAGTCAAAAGTGACATAGCCTTGCATACTGATCTTATATATCAAGAAAAAAATAACAAAGTGTTAAGGTGCAAATACCTTGAGTTAAACCTCATATATATAATCCTACCAATGTATAATTAGATATGTGAATATTTATATCCGATGAAAGAATTTTGAGTTTCTAAATGACACTGCAAATGTGTTAGGAGGGGTAATACATGACAGTCAAATTCCTCAATATGAAACATATGAAATATGTATATACAGATTCCTATTTTCACAGATGAAAATAGTAAATACTGACTTATAAGTTATATTATATAAATTGTACTTCAGAAATCATAAAGAACAAATTTCACTCCCCTCTGCTACATTATGTCACAAATCCACAAAATGGATTCATTCAGTATTTATGATACATTGATAACTATTTTCAAAACTGTGGAGAATATAAAGCATGAATCCATTGAAGTCTATATGTGTTCTATAGACATAGTCTACATATATGTATGTATATATGTGCACATAAATATATAATTCATGTAGGTAAGGAGTCTTATTTTTATAAATTTTTAAATGAATACTCTTCTTTGATTTTTTTTCATGATTTTTGTTGTGCAATAAGACAACACAACTGTTTCATATATGTGTGTGCACATGTGTATGAAAAAATCAGTATATCTGCAAAAGTAAAGCAATGTTGAAGCATAAGTAGATCTTAATTATATACTAGGACTTCTAAGGATAAATATGTAATTCTAAAACTTCCAGAAAAAAATAAAAATATTCTGATATCTGATTTTTCATCAGCAAAACTACAGCAGATGATATCTGAAAATGCCTTCTAAGTTCTGAGGTGAGATAATTCTGTTTCACCAATTTCATACCCTTAAATGTTATCTTTCAAGAATCAATATAAAATAAAATACATTTTCCAATATATAAGAATGCAAACAGAATTTTTTCCCATGCATCATTTCTTAGGAAGGCACATTCAGCAAAAAAACAGTGAACATCAAGCAAAGGTCACTGTAGATATACAAGCAATCAGTCCAGACTTAAATATGAAGAGAGTACGCTCCAAATCAGTGTCTTTAAAAGAATGTGCCATATTTTAAGTAAAAGGTGATGTGAAAACAGAGAGGGAGGATGAATGATTTAATGGTTAAAATAAGTAGTAGATATGTATTTAAAAATATATGTGTAGATGAGATAAGGGGAGGCTTTATGGTTCCTTGGTTTTTATTCTTATGATTATTGCTTAACTGGTACTTTTTCGCTGCATCTAAGCTTCTGCCTATATGATCTTTACCTATCTTTGGTTTTTATTTTTTCATGAATAGCTAATCACTTTCTGAGTGATCTCTTTTTCAAACTAACACATTTTGATACACAAGAAACATTAAGAAACAAACATGTTATTCTCTGTCATTCCCATGCAATCTCAATAGATATTTTGAGTATGAATGAATTAATAGGTACTCAGTAGCTATTTTGATGACTGAATTAATGAGACCATGAGCACTTACAATAATGTTGTCTCATTGGAAATTCAAATCTGAATAAGTAGTCAACAGCAAACCTTAAAGAAGAGTAAGCAAGACTTTTTTTTCAACTTTCTTGATTCAAGGGGGTGGGGTGTGAAAGAGAAGCAAAAATGCCAAAGGTAGTTATGCTTTGCACCAATAATTGATAGATTTGGTATGAATGTTAAAAAAAGAGAAATCTAGAGGGGAAAGAGCTGACTTGGATATTTGGAGATAAAGATTTTTAAGTTTATCGTAATGTGTAATAGAGCAACAGTCTATCTATATATAAATATTAACACCATTATCTATTAACACAGTTGCAGTTCTTTCCAGCCTCTGGAAATATTGAAGATTCTTTGTTTGATGTTTTTCCATAGCAGTTTGTGATTGAAGTATTGCTGCCTAGGTCCTTTACACAATGTACTGATGTTAATTTACTATATTCTAAATTTTCTTGAGAGCAAGAGATTCTTTTTATACAGGTGTTAAACTGAACAAACAGGTACAGAAATAAGTAAATGGGTTTTTAGATTGCAAAGAGAAATGTAGCTTGGTAACCCTTTTCAAATTAGAGTTATATGTATCTAAAAGGCTTCAATTGTGGGCTGTGCTGATATGAACAAAATATAAAAAAGTATTTGGTATGGATAATAGTAGTAAAATATATATAAAGCAAATGCATGTGAAATAAGTTTTAAAATATTCTACTAAATAGTTATCTTTAATGTTTAATTTGCACATTTTCTTATGAAACTACATTAGCAAATATTTTAAAGTTTATTTTTTTCCATTATAAAATATTGTTTAAACCATACCTATGGGCTAGGAATTAAAGAAAGAAAAAAAATACTCATTTAGTTCTATTTCCTGGAATTTTTTTAAAAAGATACCAAGATCAAACATGTTTTACTTTATACTGAATTCTCTCTTAAAGTGAATATAAAAGCCATTTTGCACCAATATTCTAAGAATTCTTTTCCCACAGGTCTTTCTTAATACCTTGATATTAAAAATAAATTCCATGATATTCTTGACTATAGCACTTTTGCTTTTTTTTATTCTAGATATTTACAGGACTATGAGAAACTCTTTCATCTGTGGGAAACTCTTTCTGTGAGGTTGGACAAGTCATTCCCATAAACTTCATTATATCAAGCCTTATTTACAAGATATTAATATTTATATTTTTATTACTTTAGGTAATTGAATTATATTGTGAGACATTCAAATACTGGACTTTTAGAAATAGCAGCCTATAAAGAATTAACAATCGGAAGATGTGGTTTGATTATACTTTTAAAGGAGAGACATGTTGGAATGAGGCTAATTTTATAAGTAGGTGGTTCATTAGTGAACATTATGCTGTTAATATTATTGCGTCTCACTTGGGAAAGATTTGATTAGTACACATGTGGGACTAAATGAAGCAATTTCTGGAAATACCCCAATGTATCCCCTCCATGTTTGTAACTGCTTTATTAATCAGAATATAAAGAACATGTAAAGTGCCTTTGACATTTGCTTAATGTATGTACAAATGTATAAGACCAAGGCTCTCCATTCAGAATCCGTATTTCTCTTTGCAATCTACTGCGCACCACTTCTGTGCATTCATTTCTTCCTGTTGTTCTCAGAATCTAGTAATATTGCTCCTTGCACTTATGAAAGGCTCATTTCCTACATTGTTTGATAAAGACCCAATAAAAACTCAACAATTTTTTAAAAATGAAGCTTTACTCAACTACATAAAAATTATTTCGTTTTCCATTGCTCATGTAGTGCTTATGCAATTAGTGTTTATTTTATATTGGCTCTAGCAGTAGAAATAAACATGGTGACATGAAAACAAAACTTTAAAAAGTAAGGATTTAACATGTTTATTTGTAACATGATGGACTTTAATATATTCAAATATTATATAATATGCTTCATAGTACTTTTTAGTTCAAACCAATTTTTAGAAATGGTTATAAGCATCTAGAGGGTAAATTTGCAGTTCTCCTATACTCTGTATAGCACTATATAGTGCTTTTGTGCTTTTTATTAAAATCTATTTTGACTTTATAATAAATGCAAAGGTTCAGTTTAACATTTATTAGAGCCACCACTTAACCAAGCACCATATTGATCAAGGGGTTTGAAATGAAGACGTAATATCCAAGACTGTCATTACAGGAGGGAAGAAAATATAGAAAGTCAATTCAAACTCCTAAGGCAAATACTTTTTGAATGAGAAGAGAAGCTTACAAAGTGAATCATCAGCTAAAATACATATGATTGCTTGTGGTTATGTTTCATTGTTCAACTATAATCAATATGACAATCCATGTCAGATAGTGTAATAGCAATAACTTTTAAAAGCCTTTGAACATTTATTGCTCATCTTTCTTTCATGTCATTTGATTCAGAATGCTTCAATTTGAAAACAATCTGAAATAGAATGTAATGATTTCATTTGAAATTGTTAGCGGGGGCAATTGAAAGAACTTCAGTTTTCTACTTGATGTTACTGCTAGTATTTTATGTCTTGTAATAAGGCCAAAGGTAAATACACTTAGAAAAGAAAACTCCACTAACAATGTATATATTTTACTCTACCAGTTATTTGCTATTAGTAAAATATACTTTTATAGTAAAGTACACACAGACACACTCACACACAAACAAGCACACATGAGCACATGCCCAACACAGGAAGGTGCACACACACTAATTTTACAATTTCATAAATAAAAGTAAACACAATACATATTTCCTAATCTCCTAGGATAATAAAAAGCAAGTAGGTATGAGACAAGTCTTACTGAAATCAAAACTAAAGTTTGGGAGGGAGGCAGAGCAAGATGGCAGAACAGAAAGTTCCACTGATTGCACCCTATCTCTTGAAGAACATCAAGTTAACAATTATCTACATGGAGAAAAAGAAATAAAAGAAAAAAAAAAACACCTTCATAAGAACCAAAAATCAGGTGAGCACTCATAGTACCTGCTTTTAACTTCATAGCGCCGGAAGAGTCACTCAAGACATAGAAAAAGTAGTCCTGAATCACGAATGCCACCCTTCCCTCACCCCTAGCTGCAGCAACAGGCAGAGAGCTTCTCTGGGCACAGAGGGAGAAGAACATAGCAATTGTGAGGCATTGAACTCAGTGCTGTCCTGTTAAAGCAGAAAGGAAAACGGAACCAAACTCAAAGGATACCTGCCTGATGAGGAAGCATCTAAACCAGCCCTAGCCAGAGGGGAATCACTGATGCTAGTGTTCCAAACCTGCAAAACTTGCCACCAAGGGATACGGCACTGTGTCTCCAGGTAAATGTGAAAGCCTGTCCAGGCCATAAGGACTGCAATTCTTAGGCAAGTCCTAATGCTGAACTAGGCCAGAGACAGTTGACTGGGGTGAGGGTGGGCATGCAACATATTGAGACATAAGTTGGGGCAGCTAAGGGAGGGCATCACTCCTCCTCTAAACTCTTCTAACCCCAGATTACACAGCTCACAGCTCCAAAAGAGGCTCTTTCCTTCTGCTTGAGGAGAAGAGAAGAAAGAGTGGACAGGACTTTTTCTTGCATCTAGGATACCAGCTCAGCCATGGCAGGATAGGGAAATGACCAGAGTCATGAGGCCCCGGTTCCAGGACCTAACTTCCAGATGACATTTCCAGACACACCATGGGCCAGAAAGGAACCTGCTGCCTTGAAAGAAAGAACATAGTCCTGGCAGCATTCACTTGAAGCCAGCACTCACTTGGAAGCATTCACTTGAAGCATTCACTTGGACCAGAAGGGAACCTGCTGCCTTGAAAACAAAAACAAAAACAAAAAAACACTCTGGGCAGTATTCATATGAAGGCAGACTGCACTGGCTTCAAGTCTGACCCACCACAGTTATATGTTGGCCACAGAAGTGCTTGTGTCACTCCACTTCCAGCTTTAGGCAGCTCAGAACAGAGGGAGGCTCTATGTTTGGGAGAATGTAAGGGAAGAGAACAAGAGTTACTGCCTAGTAATACAGACAATTCTTCCAGATCTTGTCCAAGAACAGCAAAGTGGTGCCTCTACAAGTCTGCAAGAACCACAGCATTACTCAAATATCTATAAAGCCTCCCTAAGAAGGATAGCTACAAATAAGCCCAGACAGTAAAGACTATAATAAATATCTAACTCTTCAATGTGAAGATACCAAAGAACATCTACTAGAATCAACACCATCCAGGAAACATGACCTCAGAAAATGAACTAAATAAGGCACCAGGAACTAATCCTGGATAAACAGAGATGTGTTGCCTTTCAGACAGAGAATTTTTTTTTTTAAAAAAAAGCTGTGTTGAAGAAACTCAAAGAAACTCAAGATAACACAGAGAAGGAATACAGAATTCTATCAGATAAATTTAATGAAGAGAATGAAGTAATTAAAAAGAATCAAGCAGAAATTCTGGAGCTGAATAATTCAATTGGCAAACTGAAGAATGTATCAAGCAGAAGAAAGAATCTGTGACCTTGAGGACAGGCTATTTGAAAATATGTGGTCAAAAGAGACAAAAGAAAAAAGAATAAAAAACAATGACGCACATCTATTGGATCTAGAAAATAGCCTCAAAGAGCAAATCTAAGAGTTATTGGCCTTAAAGAGGAGATAGAGAAAGAGATAGGAGTAGTTTATTCAAAGGGTTAAAAACAGATTGTGGAGGAAAGTGGGGGATAGGATGCAGGGCTAATGTGCAGATCCCACTTGAATTCAAAGAGCAGTGTGTTGAAACTCACACTGTGAACTTCTGCTCCAAGGACCACCACAGGAACCTAACAGGAAAACTGAACGAATTCACAGATCCTTTGAAAGAAATGACATGATACTGCAAATTCCACAGGGTAGGCAAAAAACTGTGAGTTCCCAAAGTGTGAGAAGGGTAAAACCTGCCTCCAAACACACATCCCCACTGGGGAATGTGAAAATCCAGATCACAGGAGAAGGATTTAACCTTACTTAGAGATGAAATGGATTTAAGGAGCTGTGTGAAATATATAAGTAGAAGCAGCAGCAGAAAGAGCCTTGTAGGCACTCCCAGTGTCCAGCTTGATCCCAGGGAAGCCAACCCTGACTATATGTCACAGTGGCCCTTGGGGAACGCAGCCAGCAGAATTAGGGAGGGGTCACAGGGTGAGAGACGCTTCCAACTGGATTTTGTAATAATTTCGACTAGGCACAAACTTTCTTGAGCAGAGTCAAGGGGGTGAATGGCAACTGCTGTAGGAATGCTGCAAGCATTGTGGGCAAATGGGGAGGGGCAAGGCCTGAAAGCCATGCTTGCTTTCTCAGTGGGGAAGCTTATGACCAGTGGCAAGGTCTGAGTTCTGTGTGCAGGCTGCCTCCATTGAAACTTGACACAGTTAATGGAGCACTGCAGGAGTGAGACTTAAGTCTGAACAGCAGGCCTTAAGTTCTATGCCAACTGCATGTGACCTGGGGGAGGACTCTCACTACTAGATATCCCTCACTTCCCTGGTGAACTCTATGGCACAGCAGAGACAGCCATAATCCCCTCTGGAACATATAACCCCATTGGCCTGAGAACCACCCCTCCATCCCCAACAGTGGCTCTGGCAAGCCCCACCCAAGGAGAGTCTGAGCTTAGATCCACCTAACCCTACCCCCATCTGATGGTATTTCTCTGCCCACCCTTGTAGCTGAACACAAAACACAGAAACTCTTGGGAGCTTTATGGTTCTGTCCATTGCCTGATAAACCAGATTACTTATCCTGGCCAACTTAGGGCAAGCTTATATGCCCCTACTACTACCATAGCTGACCCTCTCTTGAAAGCACCACCTCCTGGCTGGAGGATAACCAACTCGGGCCATTACAGCAGCTCATTACAGAATAACCTTGCTCCCAGGAAGAAGAAAACAGCAGCTAATATCACTGCCTGCAACATCCTGGCTAACCAGAGGTTCTGAGTCTGTCACCATGACAACTTCACTGCTAACATAACCAGCATTCAAGAAAGCCAGTATCCTAAACATATCTATAACCAACGATTCTCACAGAATCTATTCACTCTCCACCAGAGCACGTGCTGGTATCCATGGCTGGAAGACCTGAAGATTGATCACATCACACACATCACAGGACTCTTTTCAGACATTCCCCAGCACCAGCCCAGAGCCTGGTAGCCCTGCTGGGTGGCTAGACCCAGAGGAGTAATAACAGTAACTACAGTCTGGCTCTCAGGAAGCCCCATCCCTAGAAGAAGGGGGAGGGTACCACATCAAGAGATCACCTGATGGGATAAAAAAAATCTGAACAGCAAGGTATAAGTTCCAGATCTTTCCACTGAAATAGTCTACCCAAATGAGAAGAAACTAGAAAGGTAATTCTGGCAATATGACAAAGCAGGTTCCATAACATCCCCAAAAGATAATACTAACTACCCAAGAATGGATTCAAACCAAGAAGAAATCCCTGAATTGCCAGATAAAGAATTCAGAAAGTTGATTATTAAGTTACTCAAGGAGATACCAGAGAAAGTTAAAAACCACCTTAAAGAAATATAAAAAAAATAGGGTATGGATGAAAAATTTTCTAGAGAAATAGATACCGTAAAGAAAAAATAATCACAAATTCTGGAAATGAAAGACACACTTAGAGAAATACAAAATGCAATGGGCCTGTGAAACAAAATAATCTCACAGGGCCTATGAAACAATAATACAATGAAAAAAGAAAAAAAAGCAAGATATACAGGCAACAACTCACATAATGAATAGAACTGTACCTTACATCTCAATACTAATGTTGAATGTAAATGGCCTAAATGCTCCACTTAAAAGATACAGAATGGCAGAATGAATAAAAATCCACCAACAAAGTATCTACCGTCTTCGAGAAACTCATCTAACACGTAAGGACCCACATAAACTTAAGGTAAAGGGGTGGAAAAAGATATTCCAAATAGAAACCAAAAGCTAGCAAGAGTAGCTATACTTGTATCAGACCAAACAGACTTTAGAACAACAACAGTAAAAAAAAAACAAAAAGAAACATTACATAACTCTAAAAGACTAGCCCAACAGGAAAATATCACAATCCTAAATATATATGCACCTAACATTGGAACTCTCAAATTTATAAAATAATTACCATTAAACTTAAGAAAAGAGATAGCAACACAATAATTAGTGGGGGACTTGAATACTCCACTGACAGCACTAGGAAAGTCATCAAGAAAGTCAACAAAGAAACAATAGGTTTAAACTATATCCTAGAACAAATGGACTTAACTGATATTTACAGAGCATTCTACCAAACAACTGCAGAATATACATTTTTTTCATCAGCACATGGAACATTCTGCATAACAGACCATATGGTAGGTCACAAAACAAGTCTCAAAAAATGTAATAAAGTCAAAATTATATCAGATATCCTCTCAAACCACAGTGAAATAAAACTGGAAATTAATTCCAGAAGAAACCCTCAAACTATACAAATACATGCAAATTAAATAATCTGCTCTTGAATAATCTTTGGATCAACAATAAAATCAAGACGGAAATTTAAAAAATTCTTTGAACTGAACAATAACAGTGACACCACTTATCAAAACCTCTGGGATACAGCAAAAGCAATGTTAAGAGGAAAGATCACAGCATAAATGCCTTCATGAAAAAGTCTGAAAGCACACCAATAGGCAATCAAAGGTCACAACTCAAGAAACTAGAGAAACACGAACAAACCAAACTCAAATCCAGCAGAAGAAAAGAAATAATAAATATCAAAGCAGAACTAAATGAAGCAGAACAAAAAATACAAAAGATAAATGAAAGAAAAGCTGATTATTTGAATAGATAAACAAAATTCATAGACCATTAATGAAATTACCAAGAAAAGAGGATGGAAGATCCAAATAAGCTCTGTTAGAAACAAAATGGGAGGTATTACAACTGATACCACAGACATACAAAAGATCATTCAAGGCTACTATGAACACTTTTATGCACACAAACTAGAAAATCTAGAGAAGATGAATAAATTTCTGGAAATATATAACCATCATAGATTAAATCAGAAAGTAATAGAAACTCTGAATAGATCAACGAGTAGTGAGATTGAGAGAGTAATTTAAAAAAATGTCAACATAAAAAGTCCAGGACCAGATAGATTCACACCTGAATTCTATCAGACATTCAAAAAAGAATTGGTACCAAACTTCTTGAAACTATTCCAAAAGATGGAGAAAGAGAGACTCTTCCCTAGGTCATTCTGTGAAGCCAATATCCCCCTATGAAGCCTGTATCACCCTAATACCAGAACCAGGAAAGGACATAACAAAAGAGAGAAACTACTGACCAATATCCTTGAAGAACATCAATGCAAAAATTCTCAACAAAATATTAGTTAACCAAATACAATAACATATCAGAAAGATATAATCAAGTGGGTTTCATAGCAAGGATGCAGGGGTGGTTTAACATATGCACGTCAATAAATTTGATACATCACATAAACAATTAAAAGCAAAACTCATGTGATCATCTCAATAGATGCACAAGAAACATCTGACAAAATCCAGGATCACTTTATGATTAAAACCCTCAGCAAAATTGGCACAGAAGGTACATATGTCAAGGTAATAAGAACCACCTATGAGAAACCCACGACCAATGTTATACCAAACAGGGAAAACTTAAAATCATTCCCCCTGAGAACTTGAACAAAGGGAGGATGCCCACTTATACCACTTCTATTTAACATATTACTAGAAGTTCTAGCGAGAGCAATCAAACAAGAGAAAGAAACAAAGGGCATCGAAATCAGTAAAGAGGAAGTCAAATTGTCACTGTTGCTGATTATATAACTGTATACCTAGAAAACACTAAAGACTCATACAAAAAGCTACTAGATCTGATAAAGGACATCAGTAAAGTCTCAGGATACAAAATTAATGCACACATATAGGTATCACTGCTATACACCACCAACAACCAGAATGAAATGTAGAACACAATACCTTTTACAACCGCTGTAAAAAAATAAAACTCAGAAACATACCTAACCAAGGAGGTGAAAGATCTTTACAAGGAAAACTCCAAAACACTGTTGAAAGAAATTATCAACAACTTGAACACATGGAAACATTTCCCATGGTCATGGAAGGGTAGAATCAAAATTGTGAAAATGAGCACCATACTGCCAAAAGCAATCTACAGATTCAATGCAGTTCCCATCAAAATATCATCATTATTCTTCAGAGAACTACAAAAAACAATCCTAAAGTTCATATGGAACAAAAAAAGATCCCATATAGCCAAAGCAAGAATAAGCAAAAAGAACAAATCTGGAGGCAACACATTACCCAATTTCAAACTATACTACAAGGCTATAGTTACCAAAATAGCATAGTACTGGCATAAAAATAGGCAGGTAGACCAATGGAACACAAAAGATAACCCAGAAATAAAGCCAAATACTTATATCCAGCTGATCTTTCACAAAGCAAACAAAAACATAAAATGGGGAAAGGACACCCTATTCAACAAATAGTCCTGGGATAATTGGCAAGCCACATGCAGAAGAATAAAACTGGATTCTCATTTCTCAACTTAGATTAGATTGGTGCAAAAGTAACTGCAGTTTTGCCATTAAAAGTGACAGCAAAACAGCAATTACTTTTACACCAACCTAATACAAAAATCAAGTCAAGATGGATCAAAGATTTAAATCTAAGACCTGAAACCATAAAAATTCTAGAAGATAATATAAAAAAAAACTCTTTTAGACACTGGCATGGGCAAAGAGTTCATGACCCAAAAGCAAATGGAACAAAACCAAAAATAAATAGATGAGACCTAATTAAACTAAAAAGCTTCTGCACAGCAAAAGAAATAATCAGCAGTGTAACAGAAAATAGAAAATATGCACAAACTATGCATCTGACAAAGGACTAATATCCAGAATCTACAAGGAGCTCAAATAAATCAGCAAGAAAAAGTCAAATAATCCCATCAAAAAGTGGACAAAGAACATGAATAGACAACTCTCAAAAGAAGATATAAAAATGGCCAACAAACCTATGAAAAAATGCTCAACATCACTAATGATCAGGGGATGTGAATCAAAACCACAATGTGATAACCACTTTACTCCTGGAAGTATGGCCTTAATTAAAAAATTAAAAACTAATAGATGTTAGCATGATGTGGTGTAAAGGCAACACTTTTACACTGTTGGTAGAAATATAAACTAGTACAACCACTATGGAAAACAGTATGGAGATACATTATAGAACTAAAAGTAGAACTACCATTTGATATAGCATTCCCACTATGCACTATGGTATCTACCCAGAGGGCAATAAGTCATTTTATGAAAAAGACACTTGCACACACATGTTTATAGCAGCACAATTTGCAGTTGCAAAAATATGAAACCAACCAGCCTAAATGCCCATCAACCAAAGAGTGGATAAAGAAAATGTGAGAGAGAGAGATGTATATGCATACATATATATCACATATCAGTATTCCATGAGTGTGTGTGTGTGTGTGTGTGTATGCATATGTGTACATATATACACACAGCTATAAAAAAAGAATGAAATAATGGCATTTGCAATAACCTGAGTGGAATTAGAGAACATTTTTCTAAGTGAAGTAACTCAGTAATAGAAAACCAATTATCATATATTCGCAGTTATAAGTGGGAGCTAAGCTATGAGAACACAAAGGCATAAGAATGATATAATGGACTTTAGGGACTTGGGGGAAGGGTCGGGAGGGGTGTGATAGATAAAAGACTACACATTGTGTACAGTGTACACTGCTCAGGTTATGGGTTCACCAAAGTCTCAGAAATCACCACTAAAGAACATATCTATGTAACAAAAAAACCACCTGTTCTTCAAAAACTATTGAAGTAAAATGAAGAAAAACACCAAAGGGTTGATAACAGAGAACTTCCCAAAACCTAGAGAAAGATATCAATATCTAAGGACACAAAGGTTGTAGAACACCAAGCAGATTTAACCCAAAGGAGACTACTTCAAGACATTTAATAATCAACCTCCCAAAAGTCAAGAATAAATAAAGGTTCTTAAAAGCAGCAAGAAAAAAGAAACAAATATCAAACAATGGAGCTCCAATATGTCTGGCCACAGGCTTTTCAGTGGAAAGCTTGCAGGACAGAATAGAGTGGCATGACATATTTAAAGTACTGAAGGAAAAAACAAAAAAAAAAAAATTTACCCTAGAATAGTATATCCAGTAAAAATATCCTTCAAACATGAAGGATAAATAAACATTTTCCCAGACAAACAAAAGCTGAGGGATTTCATAAATTACAGACCTGTCCTACAATAAATGCTAATGGGAGTATACCAATCATAAAGAAAATAACAATAAATATTAATAATCACTGGAAGGTATAAAACTCACTGGAAATAGTAAGTACATAGAAAAACATAGAATATTATAGCACGGTAACTGTGGTGTATAAACTACTCATCCTAAGCGGAAAGACTAAACAATGAATCAATCAGAAATGATAACTACAACAGCTTTTCAAGACATAATCATTACAATAAGCTATAAATAGAAATGATAAAAATTTAAAAAGTGGGAGGACAAAGTTAAGGCATAAAGTTTTTACTAGTTTTCTTTTTGATTGTTTATGCAAATAGTGTTGTTATCAGGTTAAAATAATGAGTATAAGACAGTATTTGCAAGCCTTATGGTAACCCCAAAGCACAAATCATACAATGGATACACAAAAAATAAAAAGCAAGAAACTAAATCATGTCACCAGAGAAAATCATCTTCACTATAAGAAGACAGGAAGGAAATAAATAAGGAATAGAAGGTCAGAAAACAAATAAGAAAATAGCAGAAATAAGTCCTCATTTATCAAAAATAACGTTGAATGTAAATGGATTAATCTCTCCAATCAAAAGACATAGACTTGCCTAATGGATGAAAAAACAAGACCCATTGATCTGTTACCTGCAAGAAACACACTTCACCTATGAAGACACACATAGGCTGAAAATGATAAAACGTAAAAATATTCTATGACAATGAAAACAAAAAAAGTGGAAGTCACTATACTCATATCAAACCACATAGATTTCAAAACAAAAACTGCAAGAAGAGACACAAAAGATCACTATATAATGATAAAGGGATCAATTCAGCAAGAACATATAAAAATTTTAAATATATATGCACCCAACACTGTTGCACCAAGATATATAAAGGAAATATTATCAGAGCTAAACAGGGTGATAGGCTCCTATACAATAATAACTGGAGACTTCAATGCCCCACTTTCAGCATTGGACAGATCTTCCAGACAGAAAATCAACAAACATCAGACTTAATCTGCACTATAGACCAAATGGATCTAATATTTACATAACATTTCATCCAAAGTCTGCAGAATATACATTCTTTTCATCAACACATAGATTATTCTCAAGGATAGAACACAGGTTAGGTCACAAAACAAGTCTTAAAACATTTGAAAAAAATGAAATAATAGCAAGCATCTTCTCTGACCACAATGGAATAAAACCAGAAATTAATAATAAGAGGAATTTTAGAAACTATACAAATACATGGAAATTAAACAATATGCTCCTGAATGACCAGTGGGTCAATGAGTAAATTAAGATGGAAATTGACAATTTATTGACACAAATAAAAATGGAAATACAATATTCCAAAACCTACGGATACAGCAAAAGTAGTGTTAAGAGGGAAGTTGATAGCTACAAGTGCCTACATAAAAAGAGAAAGAACTTCAAATGAACAACCTAACAATGCACCTTAAAGAACTAGATAAGAAAGAGCAAAACAAATCAAAATTAGTAGAAGTGAAGAAATAATAATGATCAGAGCAGAAATAAATAAAATTGATATGAAGAAAATAAAAATCAAAAGATCAATGAAACAAAAATTTGGTTTTTTGAAAAGTTAAACAAAATTGAAAAACCTTTAGCCAGACCAACTAAAAAGAGAGATCAAAATAAATAAAATCAGAAACAGAAAAGGAGCTATTACAACTGATACTGCAGAAATGCAATAGATCATTAGTACCTACTGTGAGCAACTATATGTCAATAAATTAGGAAACCTATAAAAAAATTGACGAATTACTAGACACGTAAAATCTACCAAGACTGAAGCAGGAAGAAATCCAAAACCTGAACAGATCAATAACCAGTAACGAGATTGAAGCCATAATAAATATTCTCCCAGGGGCCGGGCACGGTGGCTCACACCTGTAATCCCAGCACTTTGGGAGGCCAAGACGGGACAATCAGGAGGTCAAAAGATAGAGACCATCCTGGCCAACATGGTGAAACCCTGTCCCTACTAAAAATACAAAAATTAGCTGGGTGTGGTGGTACATGCCTATAATACCAGCTACTGGGGAGGCCAAGACAGAATAATCGCTTGAACTCGGGAGGCGGAGTTTGAAGTGAGCCAAGATCGCGCCACTGCACTCCAGCCTGGGTGACAGAACAAGACTCCGTCTAAAAAAAAAAAAAGAAAACAATTCTCCCAGAAGAAAAACCTCATAGCTTTATTGCTGAATTCTGCCAACCACTTAAAGAAATAGTACCAATCCTACTTCAACTATTCCACAAAACAGAGGAGGAGGGAATGCTTCCAACCTCATTCTATGAAGCCAGTATTGCGCTGATACCAAAACCAGAAAAAGACATTTCAGAAGAAGAAAGAAGAAGAAGAAGAAGAAGAAGAAGAGGAAGAGGAAGAGGAAGAGGAAGAAGAAGAAGAAGAAGAAGAAGACGACTACAGGCCAATACCTTTTATAAATATTGAGGCAAAAGTCCTCAACAAAACACTAGCAAACTCAATTCAACAATACATTAGAAATATCATTTATCATGAACAAGTGGGATTTGTTCCTGTGATGCAAGATGCTTCAACATAAGGAAATAAATGAAGGTGACACATCATGTCAAACAAAGGAAGGCTACAAATCATATGATCATTTCAATTAATGCTGGAAAATCATTTTATAAAACTTAACATTCCTTTATAATAAAAGCCTTCAAAAAACTGGGGATTGAAGGAACTTACCTCAACATAATAAAAGTCATATATGACAAACCCACATCTAATATCATACTGTATAGGAAAAAAGCGAAAGCCTTTTCCTTTAAGATCTGGACCATGAAAGGGATGCCTACTGTCACCACTCATATTTAATACAGTACTGGAAGTCCTAACTAGAGCAGGAAACAAGAGAAATATACCAAAGACATCCATACTGGAAAGAAAGAAGTCAAATTATCCTTGTTTGCCGATGATATAATCTTATATTTGGAAAACCTAAAGACTCCACAAGAAAACTATTAGAACTGATAAATAAATTCAGTGAAGTTGTAGGATACAAAATCAACATACAAAGATCAGTAGTATTTCTATATGCCAACAGTGAACAATGTGAAAAGAAAAAATTAAAAAGTAGCCCCATTTACAACAGCCACACATGAAATTAAATGCCCATACACAAACTTAACCAAAGAAGTGAAAAATCTCTATAATGAGAATTATAAAACATTGATAGAAGAAATTTAAGAAGACACAATAAAATGGAAAAAAATTCCATGTTCATGGATTGAAGAATCAATACTGTTAAAATGTCCATTCTACTCAAAGCAATCTACAGATTCAATGCAATCCCTCTCAAAATGCCAGTGACAGTCTTCAAAGACAAAGAAAAAAAATTATTCTAAAATTTACATGGAACCACAAAAGACCTAGACTAACCAAAGCTATCCTAAGCAAAAAGACAAAAAGAACAAAGCTGGCAGAATTATATTACCTGACTTCAAATTATACTACAAAGTGATAATAAACAAAATAGCATGATACATACATCCACTGATACATACATCAGTGGAACAGAGTAGAGAACCCAGAAACAGATCCATACACCCATAGTTAACTTATTTTTTACAAAGGTACCAAGACCATACATTGAGGAGAAGACAATCTGTTCAATAAACAGTGCTGGGAAAACTGGATATCCGTATGCAGAAGTATGAAAATAGATTCCTATCTCTTACCTTATAGAAAAATAAAATCAAAATGAATTAACAACTTAAATCTAAATCCTCTAACAATGAAACTACTATAAAAAATCAAGGCAAATGTTCAGCACATTAGTCTGGGCCAAACTTTCTTGAGCAATACCCCAGAAGCACAGACAACCAAAGCAAAAATGGACAAATGGGATCACATCAAGTTAAAAAACTTCTGCACAGCAAAGGATACAATTAACAAAATGACAAGAAAACCTACAGAATGGGAGAAAGTATTTGCAAACTACCATCAGACAAGGGCTTAATAAAAAGACTATCTGAGGATTTCAAATAACTCCATAGGAAAAAAATCTAACTATTTGATCTAAAGATGGGAAAAATATTTGAATAGACATTTCTCTAAAGAATACATACAAATGGCAAACAGGCATATGAAAAGCTGCTCAACATCATTGATTATCAAAGAAATGCAAATCAAAATTACAATGAGCTGTCATCTCACTCCAGTTAAAATGGCTTATATCAAAATGACAGTCAATAACAAATGCTGCATATCAGATCAAGGAAATTTTGGGCAGAGGCTATGAGGTTTTCTAGGTATACAATCTTATTGTCTGCAAACAGGGATAGTTGGACATCCTCTCTTTCTATTTGGATGCATTTTACTTCTTTCTTTTGCCCAATTGCTGTAGGTAGGACTTCCAATACTATGTTGAATAGGACTGGTGAGAGAGGAATTTCTTGTCTTGTTTTGGTTCTTAAGGGGAATGTTTCCAGCTATTGTCCATTCAGTATGGTGTCAGTGGGTTTTTTCAAAGACGGCTGCTTTTATTTTAAGGTATTTTCCTTCAGTGCCTAGTTTGTTGAGGGTTTTTAACATGAAGCAATGTTTAATTTTATCAAAAGCCATTTCTATATCTACTGAGATAATCATGTGTTTTTTGTTTATATGATGAGTAACATTTATTGATATGTGTATGTAGAACCAATCTTGCATCCCAGGGATAAAGCCTACTTGGTAATGGTGGACTAGCTTTCAGATGTGCTATTGGATTCAGTTTGTTAGTAATTTGTTGAGTATTTTTTGCTGGCAAAGACTTCATGACAAAGACACCAAAAGCAATTGCAACAGAAACAGAAATTAATAAATGAGATCTAATTAAATGAAAGAGCTTATGTACAGCAAAATAAATTATCAACAGAGTAAACAGAAAATCTCCAGAATGGGAGAAAATATTGCAATTTATGCATCTGACAAAGGTCTAATATCCAGAATCTAGAAGAAACTTAAACATATTTACAAGCAAAAAACAACAGCCCCATTAAAAAGTAGGCAAAGGACATGAACATACATTTTTCAAAAGAAGATATAGATATGTCCAACAAGCATATTTTAAAATGCTTGACATCAATCATTAGAGCAATGCAAATCAAAACCTCAATGAGATAATATCTCACATGAGTCAGAGTGGCTATTATTAAAAGGAAAGTAAATAAATAATAGATGCTGGAAAGATTTTGAAAAAAAGGAAATGTTTATACACTGCTGATGGAAATATAAATTAGTTCAGCCATTGTGGAAAGCAGTTTGATGAATACTTAAATAACCTAAAACGGGATTACCATTTGACCCAGCAATCCCATTATTAGGTACATACTCAAAGGAAAATAGATAATTGTACCAAAAGAACACATGCACTCATATATTCTTCATCATGCAGTTTACTACCAGAGACATGGAACCAACCTAGGTGTTCATCAATGAATGAGTGCACAAAGAAAATGTGGTACATATACACCATGGAATGCTAGGAAGCCATAAAAAACAATAATATTACGTACTTTACAGAAACAGGGATAGAGCTGGAGGCCATTATCTTTTTTTTTTTTTTTTTTTTTTTTTTTTTTTTTTTTTTTTTTTTTTGAGACGGAGTCTTGCTCTGTCTCCCAGGCTGGAGGGCAGTGGTGTGATCTCAGCTCACTGCAACCTCCACCTCCTAGGTTCAAGCAATTCTCCTGCCTGAGATTCCTGAATAGTTGGGATTACAGGCACACGTCACTGCGCCCAGCTAATTTTTGTATTTTTAGTAGAGATGGGGTTTCACCATGTTGGTCAGGCTGGTCTCCAACTCCTGACCTCATGATCTGCCTGCCTTGGCCTCCCAAAGTGCTGGGATTACAGGCGTGAGCCATCGTGCCCGGCCGAGGCCATTATCTTAACCAAACTAACACAGGAACAGAAAACCAAACACCACATGTTCTCACTTATAAGTGCTAAGCAATGGGAACACATAAATACTAGAAGGAGAACAACAGACACTGGGGTCTACTTGAGGATGGAAGGTGGGAGGAAGGTGAAGATAAAAAATTACTCATCAGGTCTGGGTGCAGTGGCTCACGCCTGTAATCCTAGCACTTTGGGAGGCCGAGGAGGGTGGGTCATCTGAGGTCAGGAGTTCGAGACCAGCCTGGCCAACATGGCAAAACCCTGTCTCTACTAAAAATACAAAAATTAGCCAGGCATGGTGGCGGGAGCCTATAAACCCAGCTATCTGTGAGGCTGAGGCAGGAGAATAACTTGAACTGGGGAGGCCGAGGTTGCAGTGAGTCGAGATCGCACCATTTAACTCCAGCCTGTGTGAAAGAGCGAAATTCCGTCTTAAAAAAAATTACTTGTCAGGTACTATGTTTATTACCTGGGAGACAAAGTAATCTGTACACCAAAGCCCCCAACATACAATTTAGCTATATAACAAATCTGCACATGTACCCTTGAACACAAA
Organism: Homo sapiens; assembly: GCF_000001405.40. Taxonomy (NCBI): domain Eukaryota; kingdom Metazoa; phylum Chordata; class Mammalia; order Primates; family Hominidae; genus Homo; species Homo sapiens. Next base: position 114,371,264 of record NC_000008.11, read on the forward strand.
ATAAAAATTAAAAGAATAATTTTTAATAGAAAAAATAAAAGACTGTCAAACCAGACAGGAAGGTGCCAGAGTTTGAAAGGATTTTTTAAAATATTAGTAGAGAGTCATCATCAGTATCCCTAATTAATATTTAAAAACAAGTTAGCCAGGGAAAGACATCTTTCATGTTTCTCATATGTATTTCATCTTCTTTGTTTCTTGTCCTCCTCGCTCTTTGCAGATAAATTTTAGGGAAATCAGATGAGGAGAACTGAAGAAATTAAGGAATTGGCTGTGGAAAATTGGAAAGCCCAGGACAGCAAATGATGAACAAAACCAAGGCAAAAGAACAATATAGTTTATCAGCCCTAAACACCTTTAGTATAACTATTGGAGATGTATTGTCAACAAGAGAACACTGGGGATACTTGGCAAAATAAGAAAGGAAAGAACACTCCTCACCTTTCATGTGTCTTCTTTTATATTCCCAATCCTCCCCACTCCCTCCGTCAGCACCCTACCCCTTCAAAAAACAAAAATCCAGAATCCTCTATAGGGTAATTTTGCATCAATTTTATAAAGAGACCCAATATTCATCATCTGTTTAGTCATCATTTTAAAAATATAATTTAATAGGAGGGTCAAATTGCTTTTTGTGGTTTTACTTATTCTCAGAATTATAAGATGTAGTTGGAATGACAGAAGATGAAAAGTTTAGTAGCAGTAGGAGTTAAATGAGCAGAAGAAATTATATTGGAAATATAAAAAGGAGAATAAAGTAAACTTTTAAATAAGTAAAGTATAAAATGTATACAATGTGTTCAAAAACCAGAGATTTACCCGTTTATGCCAGAGGTTGCAAATTTTTTTGTGTGAAAAATCAGACCTTGATGATGACCTTGAGCAGTAGGATGTAAATAACTCCCATAAGCATAGCGTTCCACTATTGGAACACTAGGCGTAAATCGCTAATAGGTTAGTATAGTGACAATCACTGAGTGATCTAATTTAAGATAAATAATTTGCATATATTTTTGCATGACAAGAATGTTAGAGATTTTTAAAAAATACATAGTTTTTGCATTCAAAAATTGCAAAATGATAAAAGAATTTATCTGTGATGTTTAGTGCAAGGTTAGATGCTAAGCACAGTTACAAATTGGGTTCCCAAAAAGCAACTCTGAGACCCATGCACATGCAGGAAGTTTACTTCTTACTACTTACCAAGAAAACTACTCTTGGTAACCACACCTGTGAAAAGTTGAGGAGCTAAAAGAAGTAAAAAACAGGGTATTAGGGTTCTTCAGAGAAACAGAACCAGAACCAATAGGAGATGGACGGATGGATGGATGGATGGATGGAAGAATGGATAGATGGATGGATGGATAGATGGATGGATGGATGGATAATAGTTAGATAGATAGATAGATAGATAGATAGATAGATAGATAGATAGATAGACATAGAGATTTATTATAATTTTATGTAGACTGACAAGTCCTGAGATCTATAGCTGGCAAGCTGGAGACCCAGGACAACTGATTGTATAATTCCAGTCTTAATGTAGCAGGCTGGAGACCCAGAAAGAGTCATAATTTCAATTCTAGTTCAAAGACAGAAAACAAAACAAAGCAAAACAAAAGTAGTATCTCAGCTAATGGCAATCAGGCAGGAAAAAATTCCTTCTTACTCGAGGGAAAGCTAGCCAGGCTCTCAATTTTTTGGAAGGACCTTACCCACAATAGGGAGGGTAATTTGCTTTAGTTAGTCTACCCGTTTAAATGTCAATCTCATTCAAAAACATTCTCATAGAAACACCCAGAATAATGGTTGACAAAATATCTGGGCACAATATATGGGCCAGGTGACATATACAATTAAACATCACAGTTGGGCAGCATCACAGTCAAAGGCCCCAGACTCTGCGATAGAAATCTCTGGATTTGGGATAGCCCTGCAAATTTGCTCCAGATGAAGTAAGAGAGTGCTTATACTCCCTGCATTCATGCCATTGGATGAGGCAAGGAGGCTCCTTCATCCAAAGCAAATGGGCTAAGAAGTGAGTTGACTCTGTTTAGCCAAGGACATAGTCTGGGAGAGGGAACTTAGCTGCATGCTGTTGGCTATCGATGCTCCCAGTTGCTGGGAGAAGGAGTGCTTTAATCCTGAGGGTTGTAGAGACTTGGCTTACATACCAGAGTCTACACGATGCTCTCTATTACATCCTAGATATTCGAAGAGAAGAGTCTTGTAATTTAGCTTTTGAGATTTTCAGAATATAGAATAGAAAACAGATAGGTAAATCCCATAGAAAGAAAGGTTTGTAATCTCTAAAGTTTTACATTCTTGTGCTCTTACAGACTACCTGGTATACCATATGAATATATTATTAACTAAGTAAATTAAAAAGTGATATAAACATCAGCAAATATCAGTATTATAAACTATGGTATATAGAGAATTTTTTATTGTTTGTTGATTACTCAATTAATGAATATTTAATTAATGGATATTTAATAATATTGATTCAACACAACTCGTTCATGTATTATTTGCCAGATACTCCTTAAAGTATTCAGTAACTTGGACCTAAATCCATTTAAATGAGTATTTAATTTCTGTCTCAGTAAAAACTATATATTGTTCATGGTCAAATGAAGTTCTTCAAGGGTAAGATTATTCAAATGAATGCTTTTGATTTTAATTCATGTATGATTAGTCATTTATTTGAATATGTTTTGTCTGTACTTTTATTGTGATAGGCATGGAGCTAACATCTAATGATTAATAATAACAAAATATAGTCACTTGCTTCACTGATTCAGTTGAAGAAATTTAAAAGATAAACTAGGAATTGCACCACAATTTAAATAAGATCCAAAATGAAAATGCATATTAAGAGAGTATGGAGATGTAAGAATCTCTGAATCAATTAATAATGATTGAAGTGTGTATATGTGAGACAATATTTAAGAACATATAAAACATCCATAAAAGTTTAATCAAAGATTTTATTACATCTGAGGAAAGACACAAAACCAATGCAATAAATAAGTGGAAAAAATTAACTTGTGAAATTTTTGCATATTTGAAAATGAGTAGTCTGTTTAAAAAATAATTTTATGTCAAAAATTATGCCTACTTTAAATATTATTTTACCCCTAGTATAAATGTAAGAAGCAAGTATTATTTTTCTCCATTTATAATCTTGAGAAAATTTTAGCCTAGGGAGTTAACCTCTCATAGAGAGTAAATGGCTTCGCTTTAATTTAAACTGTAATCTGTAAAAATCTAAAATCCACAGGGCATGAATTTTAAATGCTTTATGGTATTCACATTTGCTATGGTTTGGATGTCTGTTCCCTCAAGTTGAAATATACTTAATGCCATTGTAAAAGTATTAACGGTTGGGACCTTTAAAAGGTGATTAGACTATAAGGGCTCTGCCCTAAGGGTTGGGACTAATGCCACCACAGACAGGCAAGATAAGCCCCCTATTGCCCTCTCTCTCTTTTCCCTTCTTCCATGTAATGCCTTTTGCCATGTGATCACTCTGCAAAAAGGCCCCCACCAGAGGCTGCTGTCATAATGATGGACTTCCAAGTCTTCAGAATTGTAAGCCAATAAATTACTGTTCATTATTAATTATCCAGTCTGCAGTATTCTGTTATAGCAGAACAAAATGAACTAAGACATTATGGAATCATGCCATAGTTCTGTATTTGATTAAAACTTTGTTGTAAAAATAAGACATTTCAGGGTAAGAGGATGGTAAATATTAAAATCATGATATTAAGATGAGAATATTGGAAAGAAGTAAGAGAAAATATTTAAAAACTCATGTTACCTAATTAGATTTTAATACTCACTCTTAGTTTTTGTACATAAATGTATACTTGGCATCCTAAATCAGTATTTAGCAGAGAAAATGAAGTATCTGTATAGTAGGAAAAACAACTAATATAACATAAACAGCTGTATAAAGCTGGAATTAAAATAAATTTATTCTAAAATAATAAACACCTGAATATCTCCTTAAATCTGCTTTTTCAAAGCAGAGATGAAGATTGGCAGAAAGGTGCATAAAAGGTAAGAGTAGAAGGAGAAAAAATACAAACAGAGAGGGAAAGAAAAGGGGGGAGCGAGAGAGAGAACGAGAAACAATTACTCTTACCAGAAGTTAGGGTATTTAAATACAAATGGATGTAAATTTATTGGAATATATTTCTAAACACTTTTCATTTATATTTATATAACTCCTTTGCAACCATAGACCTCTGTGATTGTACCTGTGGAACTGAAAACCTCCATCAATTGTTAGTTGCTTTAGAAAATCAGTAATGAACATAACTCATGCATACTGAGTTTATTAATAATACACTTAATGTGCAATAAAGGTTAAGAATTTTCATATGCAATCTTCTGTCTTTATTTTTTCCCACTTTGAACAATTTTGACTATTTTTATTCCATCTATTTTACAGAATAGGAAGGGGGATATTTTATTTTTTAATTCTTATTATTATTTCAACTTTTATTTTAGATTCAGGAGGCAAATGTACATATTTGTTACATGGGTATACTGTGTGAAGCTGAGGTTTGGGGTACCTCACCAAAATAGTGAGCATAGTATCCAATAAGTAGTTTTCCAGTCCATTCCCTCCTTCTCCCCCCCACTCCCTCACTTCCCAGTAGACCACAACGTCTACTGTTCTCTTCTATATGTCCATGAGCACGCAGCTCCTACTTAAAGGTAGAAACACACACTATTTGGTCTTCTATTCCCCTGTTAATTCATTCATGATAATGGCCTCCGGTTGTATCAATATTGCTGCAAAGGACATAATTTCATTCTTTTTTTCATGGCTGCATAGTATTCCATAGTATGTTTATATTACCTTCTCTTTATCCAATCCAACATTGATAAGTACCTAGGTTGATTCACTATTGTGAGTAGTGCTGAGATGAACACATGAGTGCATATGTCTTTTTGACAGAATAATTTATTTTCCTTTGGGTATATACCCAGTAATGAAGTTGCTAGGTCAAATGGTAGTTCAGTTTTAAGTCTTTGAAAAATCTCCAAACTGTTTTCCACAGTTGCTGAATTTATTTACATTCCCACCAACAGTTTATAAGCATTCTCTTTATTTTCACAGACTTGACAGTATCTGTTATTATTTGACTTTTTAATAATGGTCATTGTGACTGATATGAGATGGCATCTCACTGCAGTTTTGATTTTCATTTCTCTAATGATTATTGATGTTGAATATTTTTTCATATTAATTGAGTGCTTGCATGTCTTTTTTTGAAAAGCATCTGTTATGTTCTTTGCCTGAATCAGTAATTTAAAAACTACCAACCAAATAAAAAGCTCTGGAACCAGATAGATTAATAGCAAAATTCTACCAGATGTATAAAGAACTGGTATCAATTCTACTAAAACTATTCAAAAAAATAGATGAGGAGGGGCTCCTCCCTAACTCATTTAATGCAGCCAGTATCTGACTGACACCAAAATCTGGCAAAGAGCAACAAAAAAATTTAGGCCAATATTTCTGTTTAGTCTAAGCAAGACTCCTCAACAAAATACCAGTAAACAAAATCCAGAAGCACATCAAAAAGTTAATTCCCTACCATCAAGTTGGCTTTGTTGTTGGAATGCAAGGCTAGTTCAACATACACAAATCAATAAATGTGAATCATCAACAGAATTAAAAGCAAAAACCATCTGATAATCCCAATAGAGACAGAAAAATCTTTTTGAGAAAATCAAACATTTCTTCACGATAAAAACCCTCCACAGACTAGGTATCAAACAAACATACCTCAAAAAAATAGAGCCGTTTATGACAACCTCACAGCCAACATCACACTGAAGGGCAAAAGCTGGAACCAGCCCCTTTGAGAAATGGAACTAAACAAGGACACCCACTCTCACTCTCCTATTCAACACAGCACTGGAATTCCTAGCCAGAGTAATCAGGCAAGAGAAAGAAATAAAAGACATCCAAATAGGAAAAGAAGTAGTCCAAATATCTCTCCTCACTGATGATATGATTCTGTACTGAGAAAACCTTAAAGTCTCTGCCATAAGGTTTTTAGAACTGATTAATGACTTTAGTAAAGTTTTAGGATACAAAATCAATGTACAAAAGTCAGTAACATTTCTACACACCAATAATGTTCAAGCTGAGAGTCAAATCAAGAACACAATTTCATTTACAATATCCAAAAAATAAATAAAATACCTAGGAATGCATCTAACCAAGGAGGTAAAATATCTCTACAAGGACAACCACAGAACACTACTGAAAGAAATCAGAGATGACACAAAGAAATGGAAAAACATTCCATGCTCATGAATTAGAAGAATCAATATTGTTAAAATAGCCATTTACAGATTCAACACTACTTCTGTCAAATGACAAGTATCATTTTTTCACAGAATTAAACAAAACTATTTTAAAATTCATATGGAACCAAAAAAGAGCCTGATCAGCCAAAGTAATAATAAGCAAAAAGAACAAAGCCAGAGGTATCACATTACCTGACTTCAAACTATGCTATAAGGATACAGTAATCAAAACAGCACACTACTAGAACATAAAGACCAATGGAACAAAATAGAGAATCCAGAAATAAAGCTGTATACCTACAACCACCTGATTTTCGAAAAAGTTGACAAAAACAAGCAATTAGGAAGTGACTTCCCCATAAATAAATGATGCTATGAAAACTTCTGCTACACGCAGAAGAAGAAAACTGGATCCTTACCTTGTGCCATATACAAAAATTAGGTAAAGATGAATTAAAGGTTTAAATGCAAGACATCAAACTATAAAAATCTTAAAAGAAAACCTAGGAATTACTCTTCTTCACATTAGCCTTGCCAAAGAATTTTTTGTTGAGTCCTCAAAAGCAACTGCAACAAACACAAAAATTGACAAGTGGAACCTAATTAAAGAGCCTCTGCACAGCAAAAGAAACTATAAACAGAGTAAAGAGACAATCAACAAAATGGGAGAAAATATTCATAAACTATGCATCCAACAGGGGTCTAATATTCAGAACCTATGAGGAACTTAAACAAATAAGGAAAAACCAAATAACCCCGTTTTTAAAAAATGGGCAAAGGACATAAAATTTTTAAAAAGCCTGAATTCTACAATTTTCTATGGTTGGATGTGTAACATTTTGAGTTAATGCTATCACAATTAACATTAATTAAACATTTTTTACAACACATTTTAGCATGCAAATACAACTCAAAATAGTTCTCAAAATTTAGTTTGTTCAAGAATAACCTAGGAGCTTATATAAAATATATGTCCAGGGATACCATTCTCAGAGGTTTTGATTCAGTATATTCAGTTTCAGTCTCAGGAATATACCTGTCAAGTAATTACCTCAGATAGTTTTGATTTAAAAATAAAGATATTTTTAAAGATCTCTACATCTATGTGGCAAAGTTTATTGGCACACTTTCTGTCCCACTTTAAGTTTCTAACATTAAGACTCTGCCACTATTGTTAAGACTCTGCCATATATTTGCCATATATTGTTGCTATATCATTTTATTTAATCTTAGCCAGGCAAACTGAAAGGAGGTATATATATAATATCCTTTAATGTATAAAATATACATTAAAACATAATTGTATAAAATATACATTAAAACATAATTGTATATATACACACAAATATAAATATATATTTACATATATTTATATAATCATATGTAAATATCTTAAGTGTGTATTTACATACATATTTACATAAATTAAAATATATTAAATTATTTAATATATATTTATGTGTGTATATATACAATTGTATTTTAATGGTATTTATCTATAAATAGGTATATATAACACATTATTATATCTATAATTAATATTATGTATATGTGTGTATATGTATACTATTGTATTTTAATGGTTTGAAATAAAAATCCCTTTCTTAAAATATTTCCCCAATATGTGATCTGAATTTTAATCATGTTTAAATTATTGTTTTTGATTTGTGAAATATGTAAATATTCAAAGATTGCACTCTTGTCATAATGGTTGTCCCTTACTTGTAGGGCTAACGGACAAGTAGTAAATGCCAGATGCCAGGGACCTGCTTTGTAAAGAATGCTTTCTTTATTGAAAAAACACACACTTAATGGTAACTAACACACTTAATAGTAATGAAAAATATAGAAGACATGAGATTGTTTTAGATTTTATATAATAGAATATTATAAAGTCATTAAAATACTTTGAAAAAGCATTTTACGAAAAACAAAATTGACAAAAATAAAATACATTATTTAAACACAGAATCAAAACTTCAAAATGACACCAATGCTCAATGATCAAGGCCTACTTAATACATTTTTGACATTTATTGTTAGACTATTATTTTGGCACTAAAAATATATATTTTCACAAATTAAAAGTTCTTATATCAAAAGTATAATATGACATTTTGAGTTTAATGACTGATATTTATGCTTAAAATACGTCAAGTGATAAAAATTTCGTATGTTAGAACAAATACATAGTAAGAAAACTTTGATGTATTTATCCATAGGGATAACATTAATATTATTTTTTTACATTTAAAAAACTATTTTCCCCTACCTTCTCACTTTTTAAAATAAAGCACAAATATATGTTTTTAAAAACCTGCTTTGTCACTGTGGATTTTTTTTATCCTGATAACTAGGAAACAGCATCATACAATTGAAAAAGTATTGATCTAGTAGCTGGATTATTATACTTCCACCTATGTAATCTTTTTCTTTTAATCTTGGTTAAATCTTTTAATCTAAATATCTACACTATGAGGGAATTTGTTTTATCCTTTTTCATCTGACAGTATTGTACCATATGAGTGATAATTTGTTGTAAATAGATAATATATGTCAACACATCAATAAGCATAAAATATACGTTAAGTAAGAACGTTTAGATTTCTGACTTCAAAAATATTATCAAGTGGAAAACATAAGATTAAAAATAACTTTTAACTAGAGCTACATGGGAGTTGAAGATTTCCACACTAAGAATATTACAGTCTCTGAATCTACCAAATGTTTCTGGAAAATGTTCATGTGACATAATTATTTTAAACATTTTCTAAATCATGGCAACTAGAATATGTTAAAAATTAACAATTTATATATGTGTATATTTATATTTTATATATATGTATGTATACATACACATGCAAACTAATATGTGAGGGTCAAATATGTCTAAATATATACATTAAGTATTACTATTTTTATAGTACATTACTTAAATTTTGAAGGAAAGAAAATACTAATGTTTGACTATGATAAAATAAATAAGTAAATAAATAAGCATATAAATAAATGAAATGAATACAAAATGCTAAAAACAAAAAATAAAAGAATAAAGGAAGACATAGCAAATGAAAAATATATAACCACTAGTCATATAAATAACTAATGAAATATATCCCAAGAAGAGGGCACAATATATTTGATTCATCACAGAGGGATCATCATGCTGGAGTTGCCTGATGAAGGAAGACAGTGTTCAAATAGGAGGGGCAGGTGGTACATGTCCCAGTTTGTTAACATGAATATGTTGCATGATGCTGAGGTTTGGGGTATGGATTCTGTCACCCAGGTGGTAAGCATAGTACCCAATAGGTAGTTGTTTAACCCTCGCTCCCTCCCTCCTCTACTAGCTCCACTGTCTACTGTTCCCATGTTTATGTTCATGTGTGCTCAGTGTTAATCTCCCACTTGTAAGTGAGAATATGTAGTATTTGGTTTTCTGTTTCTGTGTTAATTCACTAAGGATTATGGCCTCCAGTTGCATATATGTTGCTGCAAAAGACATGATTTCATTCTTTTCCAAACTGCCTAGTATTCAATGGAATATATGTATCACATTCTCTTTATTCAATCCGATCCACCACTGAAGGGCACCTAGGTAGATTCCATGTGTTTGCTATTGTGAATAGTGCTGTGATGCATATGCAAGTGCCTGTGTCTTTTTGGTAGAATAATTTATTTTCTTTTGGGTATATACCCAGTAATGACATTGCTGGGTTGAATGGTAGCACTGTTTCTCTTGGAGAAATGTCCAAATGGCTTTCCACAGAGGCTGAACTAATTTACATTCCCCAAAAGAGAGTATAAGGATTCCATTTTCTCCATAGCCTCATCAGCATCTGTTATTTTTTTATTTGTTATAGTAGCCACTCTGACTGGTTTGAGAATGGGTCACTGTATTTACAGTGACTGGTATCAAGCTGTAGTTTTTGACTTACATTTCTCTGAAGATTAGTGATGATGAGCATTTTATCATGTTTGCTGGTCATTTGGGTATCTTCTTTGGAGTTCATGTCCTTTGCCCACTTTTTAAATGTGGGTTTTTTTTTTTGCTTATTGATTTGTTTGTTTCGTATAGATTCTGGATATTAAACCTTCGTCAGGTGCAGAGTTTGGGAGTATTTTCTCCCATTCTTTAGGTTGTCTGTCTACTCTGTTGATACTTTGTTTTGCTGTGTAGAAGCTCTTTAATTTAATTAGGCAATGCTTGTCAATTTTTGTTTTTGCTGTAATTGCTTTTGAAGACTGTCGTAAATATTTCACAAGGTCAATGTTCAAAATGCTATTTCCTAGGTTTTCTTTTAGAATTTTTATATTTTACATATTGAGGTCTTACATGTAAATCTTTAATCCATTTTGAGCTAATTTTTTATATGGTGCAAGGTTGGGGTCCCGTTTCATTCTTCTGCATATAGCTGACCAGTTATCCCAGCAGTATCTATTAAATAGCTTTTTCTTTCCCCATTAATTGTTTTTGTCAGCTTTGTCAAAGATCAAATTGTTGTACATGTGCAGCTTTTCTGGGTTCAGTATGCTGTTCCATTGTTCTATGTGTTTTTGTGTTGCATGTGTTCTATCTGTTCTTGTTTTAGTGCCACACTCTTTTGGTTACTGTAGCCTTAAAGTATAGTTTGAAGTTGGGTAATATGATGCCTTCAGCTTTGTTCTTTTTGCTTAGGCTTGCTTTGGCTATTTGGACTTTTTTTGGGTTCCATGTGAACTTTTGGAATAATTTTATTTAATTCTGTGAAGAATGATATTTGTAGTTTGATAAGAATAGCATTGAATCTGTAACTTGCCTTGGGCAGTATGGCCATTTTAACAATATCGATTCTTCCAATCTATGAACATGAAATATTTTTCCATTTCTTTGTGTCATCTCTGATATATTTCAGCAGTGTTTTGTAGTTCTTCTTGTAGAGATCTTTCACCTCCTTAGTTAGCTGTATTCCCAGGTATCTCATTTATTTTGTGGCTATTATAAATGGGATTATATTCTTAATTTGACTCTCAGCTTGAACATTCTTGGTGTATATAAATGCTACTGATTTTTGACATCAATTTTGTATCCTGAAACTGTATTAAAGTCATTTATCAGTTCTAGGAGCCTTTTCACAGAGGCTTAGGATTTTCTAGGTATAGAATCACATCAGTGAAGAGAGATAAGTAGACTTCTTTTCCTATTTGAATGCCTTTTATTTCTTGCTCCTGCCTGATTTGTCTGGCTAGATGGTCACTTTGAGAAACCTGCAGAATATTTGGTGCATAATGGAAATGATAAGTAAGTCAGACTTCATATTGTCCTGCCCAAACTATTTCCTGGGCGGTTAAGGACTTGTTGAGTTAATATAATATGTGTGGCTGTGTCTGATGGAGACTTGTGTTCGAATGTGCTTCTGAAGAAAAGACTTTGAATATACTTCTATGTCTCTAGTTAACAGATCTGAGAAGAAGTCAGGATACCTGTTCCATGAAGGGGTCCAAAAGGAAGATGCCCAGAGGCTTATGGGTCTCTATACTGAGCATGCCCAGCATGACAGGCTGGCATTGAGGCTGAAAAGGCCAAAGGCAGAGATTATCCTGCCCTAAGCGGGGTCACACACACAGGCTAAAGTAGCCCGTCATGGCACCAGACGCTACTACTGGGATCATCTGAGACAGTTAGTAGATGAAAAGGATAAAATCCTAGAATTTCTTTAATTCATGTCCAACATTTACTGATGCAGACACTGAGGCCCAGAAAGAGGAAGGGATTTGCCAACATACAGGCGGCAGTTAAAATGGGAGTTGGAACCCAGTTTTCTGTCTCCTGGTTTTCTTTAGAAAACCGGAAGACAGAAAGTGATTCTTATTTTTCCTTCTACTTTAGTTCACTTTACAAATAGTGTTTCATACAGAAGACAACGAATTGAGAGAGGTTAGGAAGCCGGCTTTGAAATCACACCATATGCTAAAGCTTGGATGTGTCCTCCAAATCTCATACTGAAACGTAATCTCCAGTGTTGGGTGTCGCGCCTGTAGGGAGGTGACTAGATCATGGGGGTGGATTTCTCATGAATGGTTTGGCACCACCCCCTTGGTGATTTCCTACTGATAGTGAGTGAGTTATTGTGAGATCTGATTGTTTAAAAGTGTGTGGCATCTTCCCCTTGCTTTCTCTTGTACTCCTGCTTTTGCCATGTGATGTGCCTGCTTCTGCTTTGCCTTTTCGCTTCAGTAAAAGCTTCCTGAAGCCTCCCCTGGAAGCCTAGCAGGTAACATTACCATGCTTCCTGTACACCTTGCATTTGCAGAATTGTCAGCCAATTAAACCTCTTTTCTTTGCAAATTACCCAGACTTAGGTATTCATAGCAACAGAAGAACAGACTAACAAATTATGAATGTATTAAAAGAGCACTTAACATCAGGAACAAAAGATTACCAAGCCACAACTCTTTTAATTTATAGATGATGAAACTGGAAACCAGAAAACCAGATGACCTGCCTAAGAACACATGGAAAACCTGGCCTCCTGACTCTTCCTGGCTGTGCCCCCCTGTATCATAGCTGTGTCCAGGCAGCTACCACCACTGACTGAATGTTTCAGCATTAAATGCTAGGTTTCAATCCATGAGCTTGTGAACACACTTCTGTGTTTTCTGTAAACTAAAGTTGAAGGTATATAATAATGCATAGTTCAGTATCATCCATACAAATCTCATTGAACATTTATTTCAGATTTCAGTATCAGGAAAAAAGTACTTCCCTGAGAAGTGAGCATATTTCTGATAAGTATGAAAGCAATTATGTTTCCCTATTTACTCTGGCTGGCACAAAGCTCAGAGCCTAATTCAATGTACATTAAAATATGGGTATTTCCTCTTTTTATCTTTTATCACCAATTTTTATTTAATTTACTTTAATACATATGTCTTTGGAGTTAAGACAACTCAATTTCTTTTTGTGAAAGATGGAGACATCATCATCATAACAATAATTGTTGTTATGCTAAAAATAAATTATGATAATGTTAATAACAAAAAGTAAAAATTAAAATAGGAGGAGGGAAAGGTAGAGCCTCGTAGTCCATGATAAGAACTAAAATACCAAAGTTGTCTAGTGAAGACAAGGATTTTCAGTAAAGAATGACAAAGACTTATATTTTGAAAGGATAGCCTAAACAAGTGCGTATAAAGTAGAATATGATGGTGAGACCATGATGAAAAGAGGCAGAAGCATTGGGAAAAACTGTTCATATTCATAGAAAGAAATGATGGTTGTGTTGACAGGAGTTGTTAGAATAGTCAGATTCCAGAAGTATTTGAAGGTAGAGCTGCCAGCACCTATTGGTGTATCAAGGACAGAAGAATGAGAAAGGTCAAGAAAAAATAATTTGCATGTGGGAAGGGCAGAAATAGTAAGTTCTGTGTGGCACAATTTAAGTTTGTAAAAACTAGTAGACATTCATGTAGAGACATTGAATCCATAATTGAATAGATGAGCCTGTATTTCAGAGAAGCTGTCAGGATTGCAGTTATGCATTTGGGAGAGGTCAGCATTCGCCTACATATGCTGACTACATAAGGTCCCTTCGAGTGTGAGTGTAAATAGAGGCAAGAAGTTATCCAAGGGCTGAGCACAGAGCACATTGTTGTGATCAGCAATCCAAAGTTACGATTCTTTCTAAGGTTACCTGAGGTAGAAGCAGAATTGAAGGAGAGTAACTTCTTGAAAGAAATACAGAAATGTATTTCAGGAAGTCTGAAATACTTGTCTGTAAATATCACTTAATTGTGGTGGATAAGGGAAAGAAACTGGCATTTAGATTTTGTAATATGAACATCATTGAGGTTACTGCCAAGTTGCAATTCCGAGGAATGTGTGGGAGTGCCTCCCCTCTCCCCTTCAAAAAACCTAGGTTCCGAAGAGAAAGGGACAAGGGGGAATGAAGAAGACGATGAATGGTGATTATTCTCTGGAAAAAGAGAAATAAGGCTGTAATTCAGGGTGAAATATCAAAATTAAAAAAAAACCCTACTAATGTAGAACTAATGAAAACACATATATGTAAACAGTCAAGTTATTAGAGTGTGATATGTAGAATAAAAGAGAACTATAGCCACAGCTCTTATGTAAGCTTACAGTTGGAAGCCTCAACCATGAAACAACTAATTAAATAGTCTGTAATAAACAGTACTTACAAATTTGTGCAGAAGACATAATACACGACTTGATATTTTGAAGAATGAAAATTAAATTTTGGATATTTTCATAAAATACTCATATTTTCCTTTTGATTGAATTGGAGAATGGCTTTTATTATCTTTATAAGCTGAAGACTTCCATCAGATCTTTCCACTAAATCCATATGCTTGAGTAAAGGCAGCCATATTGAGAGGTGACAGCGTGCTGGCAGTCCTCACAGCCCTCACTCGCTCTGGGCGCCTCCTCTGCCTGGGCTCCCACTTTGGCGGCACTTGAGGAGCCCTTCAGCCCACCGCTGCACTGTAGAAGCCCCCTTCCAGGCTGGCCAAGGCTGGAGCCCACTCCCTCAGCTTGCAGGGAGGTGTGGAGGGAGAGGCGCGAGTGGGAACCAGGGCTGCGTGCGGCGCTTGCGGGCCAGCTGAAGTTCCGGGTGGGCGTGGGCTTGGCGGGCCCTGCACCCGGAGCAGCCGGCCGGCCCTGCCGACCCCGGGCAATGAGTGGCTTAGCACCTGAGCCAGCGGCTGCGGAGGTTGTACTGGGTCCCCCAGCAGTGCCAGCCCACCGGCACTGCGCTCGATTTCTCACAGGGCCTTAGCTGCCTTCCCGCGGGGGCAGGCCTCGGGACTGCAGCCCGCCATGCCTGAGCCTTCCCCCGCCTCCGTGGGTTCCTGTGCAGCCCAAGCCTACCTGACGAGCGCCGCCCCCTGCTCCATGGCGCCCAGTCCCATCGACGCCCAAGGGCTGAAGAGTACGAGCGCATGGCTCAGGACTGGCAGGCAGCTCCACCTGCAGCCCTGGTGCGGGATCCACTGGGTGAAGCCAGCTGGGCTCCTGAGTCTGGTGGGGACGTGGGGAACCTTTATATCTAGCTCAGGGATTGTAAACACACTAATCAGCACCCTGTGTCTAGCTCAGGGTTTGTGATGCACCAATGGACACTCTGTATCTAGCTGCTCCTGTGGAGTCTTGGAGAACCTTTGTGTGCATACTCTCTATCTAACTAATCTGATGGGGACGTGGAGAACATTTGTATCTAGCTCAGGGATTGCAAACGCACCAATCGGCGCCCTGTCAAAACAGACCACTGGGCTCTACCAATCAGCAAGATGTGGGTGGGGCCAGATAAGAGAATAAAAGCAGGCTGCCCCAGTCAGCAGTGGCAACCTGCTCAGGTCCCCTTCCATACTGTGGAAGATTTGTTCTTTCACGCTTTGCAATAAATGTTGCTACTGCTCGCTCTTTGGGTCCACACTGCTTTTATGAGCACACTGCGAAGGTCTGCAGCTTCACTCCTGAGCCAGCGAGACCATGAGCCCACTAGGAGGAACGAACAACTCCAGACACGCGCTTTAAGAGCTGTAACACTCAGCGCGAGGGTCCGCGGCTTCATTCTTGAAGTCAGTGAGACCAAGAACCCACCAATTCCGGACACAATATTGCTTGCCTTGTAATTCTGCAAAAGTAGCCCCTGAGAAAATGTATTGGAACAGTTACCAGTTGTACCTTTTTGGCAAAAGAATTGATTTAATTCTCTGCTTTAATTTATAGTTTAATAAAAAAGTCATTCCAAAAGGCAATTCATCTTAGCTCTCAAAACCAGATCGTTGGAAACATCTTGTTTAGACAAAGCAAATGTCAGAGCAAATAGAAATTAACAAATTGAAAGCAAAATTATTTCTTTGCTTGCATGTAAAATGGACCCGTTACTCCTCCAAATAGCTGTACATTAATCAAATGATAAGAAGGCATTCATGTATGCCCAACTTTCTAGCCTTCTATAAATGTCTTAGATGTGAGCCAAATAATTTTGGCCTTTGATAAAACATTTTTACTGCCAAAAAAGCTAATTGTTGTTTCATATTTGGTTTACGTAGTTAGTAGTAAAAGACACTGTGGCTTATCTCAAATGTATTTATATTTCAAATCTTTTGGAGGTGAGCCAGTTAAAATCGATACTTTTAGTCATAAAAAAAGTTCGAACTTGCTTCAATGTTATTTAGTTTATGTGTGTTTTATTGTTGTTTCTTGCACTTTGTTATTTCATACTAGGCCTTTTAAAGAAACTTTTTCAAGACAGTAAGCAATAAGAAGTTTACTTTTCAATATACTGAGCAGTGAATTGTAAAATATATCATAAAAAGCTTATGAAAAATATATGTGCTTTAAAAACAATAATAAAACAAAAATGATACAAAATATCCACACTCCAGGACAATACATAAAATATTAATTTATTCTCAAAACCCTCCATGTGCCTTTCCCAATAACACTCTTTCCTCCTTCTTCAGGAGTAACCACGATTCTGAATTTATATTAATATCTTTCTGTTTCTACATAGTTTTAAAACTACATATGTATGTTTTATCAGTAAGGTTGCAATGAGGGAAGGAAAACCACTATACGCAAAGGAATATAAAATTTATAATAGGAAACTGGAACTTACGTAATTGTGAAATTAGGTGGGGAAGGAGAGGTCCAAAAACAATCAGAAAAATATCACTAACCATGCCTGGCTTCATTAACACATTGGTGTTTACAGGAAGTGAGGTATGTCCAGCACTGGAATGGAAGCACAATGCCTGGTGTAAACAGTCAAGGGAAGATTACCAGCTCTGTGAGTTTGCAGCCAATGTCTGGATGGAACTGGGGTTGCTATCACACAGTGGGGTTGACGTCAATAAGGAAAGCCAGAACCTCTGCTTCTGTTCGACACTGCCTTCACCCAGGATGTCCTTTACCATTAATGTCTTCTGCTGTATTTTAAATCTCATGAAAAGTTTTATTGTGTCTCACCTTTACCCAACACAACACAAAGCAGGGATATGTGGAAAATATCGGAAAATCACCAGAAACACGTATGTGTTACTAAACAACACATTGTACAGTTTTGTCTGTTTTTAAACTTTAAATAAATGAAGCTATACAGAATGATTTCTGTGACTCACTTCTGTTGTTCAAAATTGTATTGGAGGTTCACTCATATTTTTATTGTGTATTCTATTTTTCTATTTTTTTAATATGCCACAAAACTTGATCTCTTTTTTTTTGAGACAGAGTTTTGCTCTTGTTGCCCAGGCTGGAGTGCAGTGGCATGATCTCAGCTCACTGTAACCTCTGCCTCCCGGTTCAAGTGATTCTCCTGCCTCAGCCTCCCAAGCAGCTGGGATTACACGAAAACTTTCTGTTTTTATTGGTCATTCCGAACAACGTTACTATAGACATGTAAGTACACTTTTCCTGGTGCACACATGCAAGAAATCAGAGGAAATGATAAATCATAAGGTAGTCACATGGTGAGCTTCACTAGGAAACTGTAACCTGATTGTCAAAATAATTAAATGAATCTACACATCCCTTGCAGTGGATAAGAGTTCTATTTGCTCCAAATTGACCCCCTGACAATTAATATAGACCTACTCTTAATTACCACCTACCTGGTGATTGTGAAATGATATTTTAATTGATACTAAGTTTCATTTTCTAATGACTACTAAAGGTTTTACAACATCACATACATTAATGGATTCTTAGTGTTTCCACCTTTTTTAAATTCCTATTTACATATTTACTTATGTTTGTCTACTAATCATATTTGCTATTTGTTCAATTTTAATGTTAGTATTCTACTTGATTTGTAGAATATATTTATATATTTTTCATTTTATTTATTTTTTTTCTTCATATATATGTGTGTAGTTTTAGGTTTATGCTGTTCTTAAGTTTATTGAAGACTTCCATCAGACACCTAATCTCACAATTATTTATTGTGGTAATATTTATGTTAACTATAAATATAAAGATAGTTTACATATGTAGTTTCTAATTTTTGTTTCTAGTAATTTCTACTGTGAGGTCATAAACTTCATTTTCTAAATTGCCTTATACAGTTTTTGTTTAGTTTTATTTTAGTTTTGCTTTTTCTTTGTATTTCTTCTTATGTCTGTTTCTAGGAATATGGCCTTTTCATCTAAATATTAAATGTTGTTGCCATAAGCATGCTTATTATATTTGTTATTATCAGTATTTGTATACCATTGCATTATTAACATTGTTTGTATTTCCTGTCATTTTTCTTTTCCTGTTTTTGTTTTGTTTTGTTTTGTTTTGGGGACAGAGTTTCGCTCTGTCGCCCAGGCTGGAGGGAAATGGTGCGATCTCGGCTTACTGCAACCTCCGCCTCCTGGGTTCAAGCCATTATCCTGCCTCAGCGTCTGGAGTAGCTGGGATTACAGGCGGTCTCCACCACGCCAGGCTAATTTCTGTATTTTTAGTAGAGATGGGGTTTCACCATGTTAGCCAGGCTGGTGTTGAACTCCTGACGTCAGGTGGTCCAACCGCCTCGGCCTCCCGAAGTGCTAGGATTACAGGCGGATTACAGGCGTGAGCCACCGAGCCCGGTCTCCTGTCTTTTTTCTTGATAAATTTCATTATAAGTTGTTTCAATTTTTTTTGAAAAAACAACCATTGACATTGCCAAATTTTGTATGACTTTGGGTCTAGTTCACTAATTTCTGACTATATTATTTCTTCCCTTTATTTGTGCAGAATATTTTTTACATTTTTAAAAATAATGTCCTGAGATGGATGCTTGCTCCTTAATATATAGCCATTCATCTTTTCTAATAGTCACATTAAGTATATATGTATATACACACAAAATGTATGTATATAAATATGTATATAAATTCTAATATCTCTCTAAATACAATTTACTTACATCTCTCAAGTTTTAATATAAAATATTTTTAATAATCATTACCGTATAATAGTTCTAGTTTCTTGTGTGGAAACCTTTTTGAAACAATTTTCATATACATTTAAAATTCTTGATTTTTCAAACATATGGGGATGTGTTTTTGTTTTGTTGTTGATTTGGGTGTTAATTGTATTATCAAAATCATATATCACTTTGATATATGATTTTAATCTTTAATTTCTTATAAGGTAAAGTTTATGGCTTAGCACCAGTCAACCTTTGTAAACGTTCCACATGGGCTTATAAAACTAAAATATAAAATAAAATACAGTTCTGCTTTTGTTGTGTTCCTAGTTCTACATGTGTCATTTACATGAAATTTGTTAATCCTGCTATTCACATTTTGTATACCTTTACTTATTTTTTGGCCTGCTTGTTCTACCTGTAAATAAGGATCAACAAATATGTTAGGACATATCTATTAAAATCTTATGCTATGATGTTGTTTATTTTGCCTTGTAGTTCAGGTTTATTTCTGGTTCACCTTTTCTTTCAGAGTACAGCACCCTCTGGCCTTAATTTATTATGATGACAATTTCCTATTATATTTCTTCACTTGTGTGGATTTGGGCTTATATATCTACTCACCTTTACTGATGGGAATATTAAACAAAAAGCTTGCATTTGCAGGGATTAATAAATATTTTCAAGAAAATAGCAGCTCTGATGATGTCCTTATGTTATCTGGTTCGAATTGTCTTTTCTTTTAGAGCTTTGTAAGTTTTCATTAAACTTTTTATGCTTTTAAGTTTAATTCAAAATTTTGCTTTATTGACCTTAAAATTTCTGAACCTTAAAACTGTACATATTTTTCTATCATTAACAGTTTAAATCTGTATTAATTAATTACACATCTTCCTTACTCAGGTCTACATATAAAATTGTTAAATCATCTCATAAAAATGTGAGTTTTTTAATGCATTAAATATAATGAAAATTATGACCCTAAGAAGAAAGATAAATTATTATCAGTTATGAATGATTTAGCCGTGTTCCACAAAAGCAATATGATAAAAATAGTTATTCCTAAGAAGTCAGTAAGGTAGTCAGTTAAAAAGCAATATTTAGAAAAGCAACAGCTTTCATATATTCCAACATTCATAAATAACAATTATACCAGAAAAATACTTTTCAGTAATATATAAATATACTCATCTTTCACAATATACAAATTCTAAGGATACTATTACTTGACATAGATAGGACCTATGTGGCGACATCTACATTGTTGTGGTGAAGCATATGCGTATCATTTATCAATTTTAAGAAATCAAGGGTTGTGCCATGTTCCTGAAGGTATTTAATGACTGATGCAAATTTTTCCATTTTTCTCAATTAACTTGTAATTCTAATAAAATGTTTTTCAAAACACTAGTATTTTTCTTTTAATTGAGCAGGTGGGAGAGATTAGAAGATGCCAGCTTTCAAGAAATAATAAGGCAGTTTACAATTTCATCTGAAACCGGAAAAATAAATAGATTGCACTGAAAAGAAAACATGTAAAAATAATAATTGGAAGCACATGTATACAAGATATTTGACAATATTAGTTAAACAAAACATATGATGATTAAAGCTGTTATGTCATTTGATTACATATTGATAAAACAAGCCAAAATTATGGACATCTCTGAGATAATATGATAACAAGTGGCACAGGAAAATAATGAGAAAGAAAGATCATTAAATAAGGTGCTGGGACATTTAGCTATTTCGAAAAATAGGTACAGATCCTTATTTCTACCTGCTTCAAACTGAATTCCATATTAAACAAGGTAGAAACATACGTAGCAATCTATGGATCCTTTTAGGGATGTAAAGTTGTGTTTAAGCATTAAACGCAAGAAATAAACTATGAAGTAAAATCATTCAGCCACAGTGTCAGATATAAAGGAAACTATGAGGAATATATAATAGGTATTAATAAGGGGTGTAGACATATAACATCATAGAATTGAAATGTGCAGTGTAACAGGCAATGAAAATTCAAAAGTCATGAAAGGTCTCATTGTTAAAGGATCCAATATAATTTTAAACACCAGAGATGTGGAAGTGATTGGCAAAAGTTTTATCAAAAAATGCCAAAGAAAGAGTGCAATAAAAAGTGAAGGATGAAGAAAGAAAACAGATAATGAGTGATTTATCTTACATAATACAGATTCACAGCAGCATGAACATCAGCTGAACAGGAAATCAGGAAAAATATTAAACAGTATGGCAAATTTTATCTTTTTTTTTCTTTTTGAGATGGAGTCTAGCTCTGTTGCCCAGGCTGGAGTTCAATGGCACTATCTCGGCTCACAGCAACCTCCACCTCCTGGGTTCAAGCAATTCTCCTGCCTCAGCCTCCTGAGCAGCTGGGATTACAGGCATGTGCCATCACACCCAGCTAATTTTTCTATTTTTAGTAGAGATGGGGTTTCTCCATGTTGGTCAGGCTGGTCTCGAACTCCCGAACTCAGGTGAGCCACCCGCCTCGGCCTCCCAAAGTGCTGGGATTACAAGCGTGAGCCACCGCGCCCAGCCAAATTTTATCATTTTAATTCAAATTTATGTATTTACAAATATTGTTAACTTTTCTAGGCTTGTTTTTATTGTTCAGGGAAACATTTCACTTGGTCAATTTTTAGTCATTCATTTGAGATCACATATTTTTGAATGCCAAATAAAACATTACCTCAAATCAATATATTCAAAGAATTATAGACATACTTGTTTAGTAAGAATCCTTCTGTTAAACAAAAGACATTGCACCAGCAGCAAATTCTACAATCAACTGCTATCACAATAAACATAGCTGTCATTGATATACATAAATATATAATAGGAATATTAAGTGAAATGGCTAAAATTCTTACATATTTTCAGAGTGGCCAGTAAATTCTGAATTTTTCATCCTCTGAAGGCAACGTCCAAAATTAACATTTTCTTAAATTCAAAAACTATTTGTTTTTTACATTAAAATCACTCGTTTTTTCACTGGGTTGTAAGATGAGTTTTAGTAATTTCTAGAAAAACACTTCCGTTATTTCTATGACAAGTATGATTTGAGCTCTCTTAGTAGATTAGCATATCTTGTAATTGACCAAAAAAATACGTATTTTTTTATAGGACCAACATGGTTGTTCTGAGGTGTTTGAAGTAAATTATAAAAGGAGTTTAAGAATAAAGAACTCAGAAGTAAAGTCGTACACCTACAGCCACTTGATCTTTGACAAAGTCGACAAAAATAAGCAATGGGAAAAGGTCAATAAATGGTGCTGGAATGGCTGGCTAGCAACACTCAGAAAAAAGTAACTGCACCCCGTACCTTTCACCGCATACAAAAATTAACTCAAGATAGATTAAAAATTTACGTGTAAGATCTAAAACTATAAGAATTCTAAAAGAATAACTAGGAAATACCATTCTGGACATTGGACTCGGGAAATTGTGACTAAGTCCTGAAAAGCAATTGCAACAAAAATGAAAATTCACATGGGACCTAAGTAAACTAAAGAGCTTCTGCACAGCAAAAGAAACTATCAATAGAGTATATAGACAACCTACAGAATGGGAAGAAATATTCACAAACTATCCATCCAACACCAAGATCTAATATCCAGAATCTACGAGGAACTTAAATCAACAAGCAAAATAATAAGAACCACATTAAAAAGTGGGCAAAAGACAAAACAGACTTATCTCAAAAGAAGACAAACTCATGGCCAACAACATGAAAAAAATTTTCTACATCACTAATCATCGGAAAATGCAAGTCAAAACCATAATAAAATACCATCTCACAGCAGTCAAAATGGCTACTATTAAAAAGTCAAAAAACAACAGATGCTCACAAGGCTGTAGAGAAAAGGGAACACTTATATACCTTTGGTAGTAATGTAAATTAGCTCAACTAGTATGGAAAACAGTTTAGACATTTCTCAAATAACTTAAAACAGAGCTGCCATTTGACCCCGAAATCCTATTACTGGATAGGTAGTCAAAGTAAAATAAATCATTATACCAAAAAGAAACATCCAATTGTATGTTCACTTCAGTGTTATTTACGATAACAAAGACATGGAATCAACCTTGGTGCCCATTAACAGTGGATTGAATAAAGAAAACACGGAATACTACACAGTCATAAAAAAAACAAAATCATGTCTTTTATGGCAATATGGATGCAGCTGGAGGCCATAATCCTAAGCAAATTAATGCAGGAACAGAAAGCCATATAGTGCACCTTCTCAATTTTAAGTTGGAGCTAAACATTGGGTACTCATGAATACAAAGACGGCAATAAGAGACACTGGGGATTACTAGAGGAGAGGGTTAGGGAGAGGAGAGAGTGCTAAAAACTATTGCGTATTATGCTCAATACCTGGGTGACGGAATCACTTGTATTCCAAGCATCAGCATCATCCAATAGATCCAGGTAAAACACCTGCACATGTACCTCCTGAATTGAAAATAAAAGTTGAAAAAAATAAGAATAAAAATAAATTAAATATATAGCAGCGAAAATATAAAATGGTTGTCCATATTTTCATAGTTGTGGTATAAATTATGAAATTAGAATGTAACATTAACTTCCTAAGAGGAATGGCATATTTTGATAGGAGTATGAAGTGCGTAAAAATAGATAGATTTCTAGATATAAATATTTGGCCTTCATTTTATTTTTGCATTAGTATTAACACTAAAATATGTCTAGCTAATCATGTTTTTATGATATCTCTGATACTAACACAACAGTTACTTCTAGTCATTTTAAAAAATGAAAATAAGTAAATAGTGATCAATCAGGTTAACATTGTTACACCCTATGACAAAATTTTATAAGTAAATATCAAAAGTGAACTTGTAAATTAAGAGGATCAAGAATAAAACATTATCTTCCAGGTAAAAAGGAGTATATAAATACTTTTTTAAGCCCTGTGATCATAAGTAATAAGTGAAGATTTATGTTTTCCATCACACTGGAGATTTTACCACATAAGCTGACACTTTCAGAAGAGCAGATTCTCAGTATTCTTTCAGATGATTTCTTGAATAAAAGTTACTTAAATCAAGTAGATTAGGAAATTATGTTCACAGTGAGATGTAATTAAACTTTTAATTCTTTTTTTATTTTACAAATATGTTCCCAAATTTGTTGGAATAATTGATGTTTTGTAAAATAAAATCTAAGAAACAAAATCACATTCTTAGCGCCTACTCTTTTCTTCACTTAACATTAATCAATATCAGGCAAATATTTACACATAAATGACTGTAATAAAAATATTCCATTATTTCTACTGAAGGAATCTGTCCTTCATTGTAAATTTCTGAAAATTAATTAGATTTAATGTTACTCCTCATTTGTATCTTAGTAGTATTTATTTTTAATACAATTTTATTTCTTTGTTTTTATTTTCGTTATCAGTATTATAATATGTGATGCTGGGTTTTTTTTGTTTTTTTTGTTTTGTTTTGTTTTTTGGTTTGTTTGTTTGTTTGAAGAAAAATTTATTATTGGAAGCTGCATTCCCTGTGCAGAATGATTAAACTCTGAGAAATCTAACTCAGAATATTCAGGAGACAAAAGTATTTTAAACACTACTTTTATTTATTATTAATACTTTTTTCTTCTGTATATTAAGCCTTTATAACTGACTCTTCTTTTTCAGCTGTTAACTTCAATATCCTCCTAAATTCATATTTCCTTATCATTCATAGTGATTTAAGTTAACTGTGAGTTAGGTCTTTTATATTCCTTTTTTTATCTTTAAAGAATTTCAAGATTTTTAATCAAATGACTATCCATGTAAGAGAGCATTTTAAGCTTCTCAGTTATATTAACAAGCCTTGGGAACATTATTATTGTCACCATATATTCTAGTAAGATTCAAAGCTTGAAAATACCATTGCTCTCTGCCAAACTAAATGTAAAAAACACATTGATTGCATATTTATGTTCTGCCAGAATGGCTTTGCAAAAGAACAACCTTGTTACAAAAAAATGAACACTTTTATAATATGGCTTTTTTATAATTTCAACTTTTATTTTACATTCATGAGGTATATGTGCAGATATGATACATGCATATATTGTATGAGGCTAAGGTTTTGGATATGTATGAACTCATCATCCAGGTAGTGAGCGTGGTATCCAATAGGTAGTTTTTCAGCTTTTTCTTCCCCTCTAACAGTCCCAGTGTCTATTTTTCTGTCTTCATGTGCATGTTGTTCATGTGTACCCATGTTTAGCTCCCACTTACAAGTGGTAACATACAATATTTGGTTTTCCGTTCTTGTATTAATTTGCTTAGGATTGTGGCCTTCAGCTGCATCCATGTTTCTGCAAAGAACATTACTTTGTTCATTTTTTTATGGCTGGCTCAAACTCCTGACCTCAGGTGATCCATCCACCTCGGCCTGTTGATAGTTTCTTTGGTTGTACAGAAGCTCTTTAATTATGTCCCACTTGTCAATGTTTTTGTTGTTGTTGCAGTTGCTTTTGAGGACATAGTCATATATCCTTTCCTGAGGCCGATGTCCAGAATGGTATTTCCTAGGTTTTATTCTAGAATTTTTACATTTTATATGCTTATGTTTTACATTTAAATCTTTAATCCATCTTGAGTTAATTTCTGTGTATGGTGAAACATAAGGGTCCAGTTTTATTTATCCTCATAGGGCTAGCCAGCTATTCCAGTGCCATTTATGAAATAGGGAGACATTTCCTCATTGCTTATTTTTTTTTTTACTTTGTTTAAAATCAGATGGTTGTTGTGTGGAGCTTAAGTCTGGGGTTCTCTGTTATGCTTCACTGGTCTATATGTCTGTTTTTGTACCAGTTTCATGCTGTTTTTGTTATTGTAGCCTTACAGAATAGTTTAAAGTCAGGTAATGTAACACCTCTGACTTTATTCTTTTTGCTTAGAATTGCTTTGGTTATTCAGGCTCTTTTTGACTCTATATGAATTTTGTCATAGTTTTTTCCTAAATCTGTGAAAAATGACATTGGGCTGTGACAGAAATAGTGTTGAATTTGAAGATTGCTTTGGGCAGCATGGCCATTTTAATGATAGTGATTCTTCCAATCTATGAGCATGGAATATATTTTTATTTATTTGTGTGACCTATGATTTCTTTCAGCAGTGTTTTGTAGTTTTCCTTGTGGAGATTGTTTACTTCCTTCGTTACATGTAGTTCTAGATATTTTTGTGGCTCTTTTAAATAGGATTGGGCTCTTCATTTGGTTCTCAGCTTGATTGTTATTGATGTATAGAAATAATACTAATTTTTTATGCACTTGTTTTGTATCCTGAGACTTTACTGCAGTTGTTTATAAGTTTCAGTAGCCTTTTGGTGGAGTCTTCAGGGCTTTCTAGGTATCAAGTCATATCATCACCAAATAGAGCTAGTTTGTCATTTTTTTCTATTTGGATGCCTTTTATTTCTTTTGCTTACTGGATTAACCTGGCCAGGAATTCCAGTACTATTTTAAATAGTAATGGTGAGAGTAGGTAATCAGGTCTTGTTCCAGTTCTCAGGGGAATGTTTCCAGTTTTGCTTGTTCAGTATGATACTGGCTGTGGGTTTGTCATAGATTGCTTTTATTATGTTGAGGTATGTTCTTTCAATATCTAGTTTTTTATGAGTTTTTAACATGAAGGGAAATTGTATTTTATTTAATGCTTTTTCTTTTCTTTTTTCTTTTTTTTTTTTTTTGTTTTTGGAGTCCTGCTCTGTCGCCCAGGCTGGAGTGCAGCGCAGTGGCACAATCTTGGCTCACTGCAACCTCCACCTCCCAGGTTCAAGTGATTATCCTGCCTCAGCCTACTGAGTAATATTTAGTGCTTTTTCTGAATATATTGAAACCATCATGTGGTTTTTGTTCTTATTCTGCTTATGTGGTGAATCACAATTATTGATTTGCATATGTTGAACCACAATTACCTCCCAGGAATAAAGCTAATTGATCATGGTAAATTAACTATTTGATGCGCTACTGGATTGAGTTTGCTAGTTTTCTGTTGATGATTTTTGCATCTGTATTGATTAGAAATATTGGCCTGAAGATTTTTTGTTGTTATGTTTTTGCAATATTTTGATATCTGCATGATGCTGGATTCACAGGATAAATTAGGCATGGGTCCATTCTCAATTATTTGGAATAGTTTCAGTAGAATTTGTACCAGTTCTTTGTATAGATGATAGTTTGACTGTGAATCCATCTGGTCAAGGGCTTTTTTGTTGTTATTGTTGTTTGTTTGTTTTTTTGTTTTTGTTTTCTGTTTCAGTTTCAGAACTTGATATTGCTGTTTAGGTTTTTAATTTCTTCCTGATTCAATCTTGGGAAGTTGTGTGTTTCCAGGAATTTACCCATTTCCTCCAGATTTTCTAGTTTGTGTGCATAGGGGTCTTCATAATGATCCCTGAGGATCTTTTGATTTCCATCTCCTGTGTTGTTATTGATTTTTGTTTACATGGAACTTCTCTTTTTTTCCTTGCTAATCTAGCTAGAAGTCTATTGACCTTGTTTATCTTTTCAAAGAACTAATTTTGGTTTTGTCAATCCTTAGTAGAGATTTTTGTGTCTCAATTTCATTCAATTCCGTTCTGATTTTAGTTATTTCTTTTCTTCTACTATTTTTGGGGTTAGTTATTTCTTGTTTTTTCTTGTTTTTCTAGTTTCTCTAGGAGTGATATTAAATTGTTAATTTGAGATCTTTATAACTTCTTGATGAAGGTGTTTCACAGCATAACTTTTGTTGCATTCCAGAGATTTTGTAATATTCTACCCATACAAAACTAAAATTACAACAACGATAAGTCCCAGCTTCTCTAAATGAGAAGGAACCCGTGCAAGAATTCTGGCACCATAAAAAATGTGAGTGTTGTGACATTACCAAAGTATCATAAAACTCTCCAGCAATGGACCCTAATCAAAATGGAAACTCAGAAATAATGGATACAGAACTCAAACTATGGGTTACAAGTTAGCTCAATGAGATCTAAGACAAGGTTGAAAATGAACACAAAGAAATTTCTAAAGGAATCCAGGGAATTAAGAAAGAGATAAACATCGTAAAAAGAAATCAATCAGAGATTTTGGAATTGGTAAACTCACTGAAGAAATTTTAAAATACAGTTTGCAGTTTTGTCAATAAAGCAGACAATGCAGAAAGTATTTCAAAGCCTGAATAACAGTTTCAAAGCTTGAAATCCAGTCAGATAAATTTAAAGAAAAAGAAATTTAAAAGTAAAAACAAAGTCTTTGAGACATAGGGGATTATGTAAAGCAAACAAACCTACACATTTGTGGCACATCGGAGAGAGAAGCAGAAAAAGTAAACAGCTTAGGAAATGTATTTGAGGAAATAATTTTTTAAAAATCCTAATCTTGCTAGAGATGTAGACATTTAGATACAAGAAATCCAGATGCAAGATGCTGTGCACATTCAAGATACTGTACAAAATGAGCATCAGCAAGCCATATAGTAATCAGATTGTCCAAGGTTAATGCTAAAGAAAATATTTTGAAGGCATCTAGAGAAAAAGATCAGGTCACATACAAAGAAAATCCCACCAGGTTAACAGTAGACTTTCAGCAGAAAGCTTACAAGGCAGAAGAGATTGGAGGCCTATTTTCATCATTTTTAAATAAAAGAAATTCCAGCTAAGAATTTTATATCCCACCAAACTAAGATTCATAAGTGGAGGAGAAATAAAATTTTGCAAATAAGAAATTGCTAAGACAATTCATTACCACTAGACCAGCCTTACAAGAGATCCTTAAGGGAGCTCTAATCATGGAAACAAAAGACTGATACATGCCAGAACAAAACCCACTTGAGTATACAGCCCACAGACTCTATAAAACAGCTACATGATAAAAACTACAGGCCAACCAACTAACAATTTAATGATACAATCAAAGCCTCATATAATAAATATTAAAACTGAATCTGAACAGTCTAAATTTTCTAGTTAAAAGGCACAGAATGGTGAGTTGGATAAAAATAAATAAATAAATAAACAAGACCCACCTATCCGCTATCTTCAAGTGATTTATCTCATGTGTATTGCTACCAGTAGGCTCAAAATAAAGTGTTGGAGAAATGCAAATGAAAAACATAAAAAGAGCAAGGGTCACTGTTCTCAAATTAGACAAACCAGACTTTAACTCTTTCCCACTTTCCCTGAGAATACTTGCTGGTGGCACTTGCTGCTGCAATGTTTACCCCAAGATAACTTTGCCACGAAATACCTCACTTTTATTATTATTTTTGCGTTGCTATAGTATATTGACTTTGGAAACAAAAGATATCATTCTATTTACAACATTCTGTTTCTAGTGGTGGTATTTGCATTTACAAAATATAGTAATTCTTGATGGCTGTAAATGTCAAACCCTAGAAAAGGTAGCATTCTTACATGTGATGTTAAAGTCATTTCTGAACAGTTGTTGACTGAAGGTTCATTTGAGAAATCTGATTTTTTGAAACAGACAATTCTGATGATTCACATGATTCTGATATTAGTTCTGTTTAGAAATAACTTCAATAACAGTTTTATATTTTATTTTCACATAGAAAATCATTTAGATTTGCCTCAGCCTCAAAGAGTAGGTTTATATAAAATTAAATGAGCTCTGGCAGTGAGTTACACTTATTTTTTCTAAACAGGAAAACGGTTAAACAAACCACAGTAAAAAAGGACAAAGCCATTATAAAGTGATAAAGGAATCAATTAAGCCAGAAGACTTAACTCTTCTAAACATATATGTGCCCAATATTGGAGCATCCAGATTCATAATACAAGTTATTCTAGACCTGTGAAAAGACTAAGACAATTACACAATTAATAGTGGGGACTTCAACACTCCACTAACAGCATTAGACAGATTATTGAGGCAGAAAACTAACCCCCCAAAAATTCTGGGCTTAAATTTGACAATTGACCGATTGGACCTAAAAGATATCTACAGAACTACCCACCCACCAACCACAGAACATACATTTGTCTCATCAGCATGCAGAACATAGTCTAATATTGATCACATGCTCAGCCATAAATCGAGATTCAATAAATTTAAAAAAATCAAAATCAGACCAGCCATAATCCTGGACCACAATGGAATACAAAATAGAAATCAACACCAAAAAGATCTCTCAAAACCACACAATTATATAGAAATTCACCTCCTTGTCTCTGATTGACTTTTGGGTAAACAACAAAATTAAGCAGGAACCAAAAAAATTTGAAATTAATATGGCTTTTTTGAATTTCTGCCTATGACCCACAATTGAAAGGTTCTCTTTCAGAATGAAAACTGTTGTTAAAATGAAGGAGAGATGGTAACTCGATATATTGTTTAATTAGAAATGAATATTCTGATTAACTAATATCTAAGAATTCTAGAATAATCATTTTATTTAATAGTTCTTTCTCTATAAACTTAAGAAAATATTCACAGATAATGACAGGTGATCAGATTTCAGTGCATATTGGCACAATCAAGAAATTGTTTCTAAAACAAATTAAGCTGCCTTGGCCAACAACACATAAAATACATCCTTAGTAGTGATGTGGACTCTGGTGCCTTAATAAATTCACAAATTTATACTGATATCTGCTGACAGATATATCTAGGCTTTCACCTAGAAATGTCTACCTACAAATAGTAGAAAAGCACTCATAATACTGAACACTAATGGATTTTCTTTTATGATATAATAAAAAAATTTTAAGTGACATTGTCCTCTGAATCTTTATTGTACACTTCATATTTTCCAATCACTTCTTGTCAAGTAAAGAAAGCAAAATATAGAAATCAGATACAGATATTTACTTAAGAAATATAATATGGCAATTGGAACAGAGCTTGAGTGCATGAAACTCCTCCAAATAATAGCATATCAATCATGAGGTAGAAATGTGAGGATCAAAATTCAGAAATGCATGTGGAGGTTGAACAACCTAAAATCTTAATTTTAAGAAGAATTTTTGCCTTTACATATCAGCAGAGGTAATGGAGGTTGATTAACAGATAATCAATTTGGTAAAGTAAAGCCTACAGAGTGGGAGCTGAGGACCACAGAACGAACAAGGAGGAAAAAAAAATCAGTCATGGAGTCGTTGCCGTTCTCCCAGACAATACCCAGTGGCTGAAGGATTAAATCAATAGATCGTTTCCACTGATATAGCATGAATATTTATCCCTGCCCAAATCTCATGTTGAATTGTAATCCTCAAAGCTGGTGTTGTGGTCTTGTAGTAGGTGTTTGGATCATGAGGGTAGATCCTTCGTGGCTTGGTGCTGTCTTCCTGACACTGAGTGAGTACTTGCAAGATTCAGTCATTTAAAAGTGGATGGCACCTCCCTCCTCCTCCTCCTCTTCCCCCTCCTCCTCCTCTTCCTCTCTCTCTCTCTTTCTCTCTCTTTCTGCTGCTCTTGCCATGTAAAGTGCCTGCTACTGCTTTGCTTTTCACCATGGGCAAAAGCTCCCTGAAGCCTCCCCCAAAGCCAAGCAATGTCTATGCCATGCTTGTTCAGCCTGCAGAACCGGGAGCTAGTTAAACCTTTTTTGTTTATAAATTACCCAGTCTCAGGTATTTCTTTATAGCAATGCAAGATGGCCTAATACACTAGCATCTGGCAAAATAATGAGACTTCATCTCTACAAAGCAAAAGTGATAATAATTAAATGTTAGCTGAATGTGATGGCACATGTCTTTAATACTAGCTACTCAGGAGGTTAAGGCGAGAGAATTGCTTGAGCCCAGGAGTTTGAGGTTACAGTGAGCTAGGATCATGCCTCTCCACTCCAATGTGGGTAAAAGAGTGATACTTTGTCTCAAAAAAAAAAAAAAAAAAGAGTTGCTATGTAACAGATATAAAGTTTCAGTTATGCAAGATTAATAAATTCTAGATATCTACTCTACACCATCCTGCCTACAGTAAAATAAAAATACTATATTGTACTGCATTGTACTCTTAAAATATTGTTAAAAGAGTGTATCTCATGTTACATTTTCTTACTATGCCAAAAACAAAAGTTTAATGAGAGTTAATCTACTGAAAACATTGAATAGCACCCATTGAATGAAAGAAACAAAACCTCCCATCTTTGCATGCAGTGCAAATAGCAGATGGCTATTCCAATAAAAATGATGCTTATCATAATGATTGTGATGATCATGATGAAGCTAATATTTATTGAATGCCTGCCACATGAATGGCTTTGAGTAATAGAAATAAATTATATATTTATGTATATATATTTAATTAATTTTATATGCTTATGTTTATATTCATTTATATGAATTTAATCTTTGCAAAAAGCTAATGGAATATGCCATTTACTCATTTTATAAATCAGCAGTTACAGAAATGTAAGTTTAATAGCTACAGATTACATGATGTCATGTATAGAAAAACGTAATACTACACTGAAAAACCCCACTTAGAACTGGTAAAAAAAGAAATTCAATAATGTTGCAGAATAGAAAATCAACATACAAAAACAAGTAGTATCTGTATACACCAATAACAAACTAGCTGAAAAGAAGTTAAGATTGAAATTTAATTTATAATAGCTACAAAAATAAAATACCTAGAAATCAATTTAACCAACAAGGTGAAAGATCTCTACAAGGGAAAATGGAAAAACACTGATGAAAGAAACTGAAAACGACACACAGAAACAAATAGACATTCCATGTTGATGAATTAGAAGAATTAACCTTATTTAAATGACCACACTACCCAAAACAACTGCCAGATTTGATGCACTCTCAATCAAAATGCCAATGGAATTCTTATCAAAAATTTAAAAAGCTAAAATTTGTATAGAACCGCAAAACATCCCAAATATCCAAAAGAACAAAGCTGAGCAAAAAGAACAGAGTTGCAGGCATAATATACATTATATTCAAAATACTTCAAAATACATTATACATTAAAATACATTATATTTCAAAATACATTATAAAGCAATAGTAAACCAAACAGCATAGTACTGTTATAAAAACAGACATGGAGACTAATAGAATGGAGTAGAGAACTGTGAAGAAAGAAGGTCACATATTTACAGTTAATTGATTTTCAATCAAGGCACCAAGAACATATACTGAGGAAAGGACAGTTTCTTCAACAAATGGTGCTGGAAAAACTGAATATCCATATTCAGAAGACTGAAACTAGAACTCTGTCTTTCACCACATACAAAAATCAACTCTAAATGGAGTAAAAACTTAAATGCAAGACAAAAAAATGTAAGACAAAAAAATGTAAAACTAAACAACTGAAAGAAAACATATAGGACATTGGTTTGGGAAAATATTTTATGAGTAAGACTTCAAAACTACAGGTAACAAAGGCAAAAATAGACAATATATTAAACTAAAAAGCTTCTGCAAAGCTAAGGTGACAATCAAGAGAATGAAGAGAGGTAGCCTATAGAATAGGAGAAAATATCTGAAACTATTCATCCAACAAGGGATTAATATCTAGAATACACAATAATCTCAAATAATTCAACAACAAAAAACAAATATTCCAATTTAAAAATGGGCAAGAAATACAGATAGATATTTTTCAAAAGGAGACATGCAAATGGCCAAGCAGCATATTTGGCAATGCTCAACATCACTAATCATCAGAGAAATGCAAATAAAACCAACATTGCAGTATCTTCTCATTCCAGTCAGAATGGCTATTCTCAAAAAGACAAAAAATAACAAATTTTGGTGAGGATACAGAGAAAAGAAAACTCTTTTACATAGTGAAAATGCAAATTGGCAGAGCAATTATAAAAATAGTATGGAGGTTTCTCAAAAAACTAAAAATAGAAGTGTTATATGATCCAGCAAGTTCTCTAGTGGGTATTTATTAAAAGAAAGCAAGCAGGGAAGGAAGGAAAAGGAAGGAAGGAAATCAGTATGTCAAAGAGATATCTTTACCTCCATGTTTATTGCGGGACTATATACAATAACCAAGATATTGAATCAACTTAATTGTCCAGCAACAGATGAATGGATAAAGAAAATATGGCACATATACACACTAGAATATGATTGAGCCATTAAAAAAATCCTGTAACTCATGACAACTTGGATGAGCTTGGAGGACATTGTTAAGTGAAATAAGTCAGGCACAGAAGGATAACTATGGCATGTTCTCATTATATGTGGAAGCTAAAAAATATTGAATTTACAGAAATAAATAGTAAAATTGTAGTTATTAGAGGCTGGGAAGGGTAGGGGGCAGGCGGAGATAGGGAGAAGTTGGTTAACATAAAATTACATCTATACAGAAAGAATAAGTTCTAGTGTTCTACAGCATTATAGGATGACTATATGCATTTGTCTGTTCTCACGCTACCCAGGAAACCATTTTTTCCTTCCAGGCCTCTGGGCCTGTGATAGGAGGGGCTTCCCTGTAGGTCTCTGACATGCCCTGGAAACATTATCTCCATTGCCTTGGTGATTAACATTTGGCTCCTCGTTACTTATGCAAATTTCTGCAGCTGGCTTAAATTTCTCCCCAGAAAATGGGGTAGAATTTCTTTTCTATGGCATCAACAGGCTGCAAATTTTCCAAACTTTTATGCTCTCTGATCTCTTAAATGCTTTGCTGCTTAGAAATTTCTTCTGCCAGATACCCTAAATCACCTCTCCCCAGTTCAAAGTTCAACAGGGCAGGGGCAAAATGCTACCAGCCTCTTTGCTAAAACATAGCAAGAGTCACATTTATTCCAGTTCCCACCAAGTTCCTCATCTTGATCTGAGGCCACCTCAGCCTGAACTTCATTATTTATAGCAACATCACCCTTTGGTCCAAACCATTCAAGTTTCGAGGAAGTTCCAAATTTTCCCACATCTTCCTGTCTTCTGAGCCCTCTAAGTCTCTAGGAAGTTCTAAACTTTCCCACATTTTTCTATCTTTTTCTGAACCCTCCAAACTGTTTCAACCTCTGCCTGTTACCCAGTTCCAAGTTGCTGCCACATTTTCTGGTATCTTTGCAGCAGCACCCTGCTCTACTGGCACCAATTTACTGTATTAGTCCATTCTCATGCTGCTAATAAAGACATACCCAAGAATGGGTAATTTATAAAGGAAAAAGGCTTAATGGACTCACAGTTCAGCATGGCTGGGGAGGCCTCAGGAAACTAACAATCATGGTGGACAGGGAAGCAAACACGTGCTTCTTCATGTAGTGGCAGCAAGGAGAAGTGCCAAGCAAAAGGAAGAAAAACCCCTTATAAAACCATCAGATCTAATGTGAACTCACTATCATGAGAACAGCATGAGGGTAACCACTCCCATTATTCAACTATCTCCCACTTGGTCCTTCCCTTGACATGTGGAGTTTATGGGAACTACAATTCAAGATGAGATTTGGGTGGGGACACAGCCAAACCATGTCACTATAGTTAAGAATAATTTATTGTATTTTTTCTAATAGCTAGAAAAGATGATTTGGAATGTTTCCAACACAAAGGAATGATAAATATTTCAAGCGATGGATATACTAATTACCCTTAGTTGATCATTATATATTTTACAATGTGTTGACATATTACTCTCTACCCTATAAATACATAAAATTACAGATAAAATTTATAAAAATAAACAAACAAGAAACAGTTACACACTTTTGAGCCCATATTTGAACTCAGTCTGAACTAGAATTTTTAGTCGTAACAACTAGGCTGTAAGTAAGTAAACCAATGATATTGGTGTGCTAGTTTGGGTGTGGAAAAGAAGTACAACTCTATCCATTATTCTGTCTCCACCAATCTAATTTGCTGAATTACCAACCTTTTCCAAAAGTAAAATAAACAAACAAAAATACTAAAATAAACTCCAGTAAATGATAAAACCTTGCAAAATAAAAAAAAAATCAAAATGTCAAATCAGCCCCAATAGAAAGATGAAAATATGTAACAAAAATATTTTTAGCTCTAGTAGATAATTTAAATCAGATTAGACTTAAGACTTGTACTCTTCTTCTACAGTTGCAATAACCTTAATTTCTGAGTTGAATTTCTGAAATAATGTATTAGAAAAATAATCTTTATGTAG
Source organism: Homo sapiens (assembly GCF_000001405.40). Taxonomy (NCBI): domain Eukaryota; kingdom Metazoa; phylum Chordata; class Mammalia; order Primates; family Hominidae; genus Homo; species Homo sapiens. Next base: position 114,407,612 of record NC_000008.11, read on the forward strand.
TCAAGATCTTAATTGTCCATATTTGGGATACATCAAACCCCAAGGTTTAATATGGAACACAAATAAGTAGATTTCATTTTTGAGAAGTTATTCTAATCAAATATATCAATTAGAAAGTTAACATGAAAGCCTGAAATGCAGAGGAAATGTCTTGGATTTGGGGATTTTCTGAATGTATATGTATTTAAGCCATGTAAATGGGAAGGATCACTTGGGGAGGGAAGATATACAAAGAGTGAAGATGGTTAGGAGGCCAGGTAGAGCATATGCTAGTAGCACAATAGAGAAAGGGCCTGAGAAGTCATCAGAACACAGGAATACACAGTGCACCAGAAGAAAGACAGGTACGATGTCTTTAAAAGGAAGAAGAGGACAACCATGCCAATTGAGGCTGAAAGGTTGAAGAAGAAAATAAATAGAAGTTTTCATTGCATGTGATGAAATAAAAATCATTTGTACATGGGTAAGTGTAGTTTCTGTTATATGTTAGAAGTGGAAGCAACCATCCAGTGGTAATTATTCTGACTTTTAACATGATGTATACATTTATATCTAAGCACTCATCAATTCCTACTGTATGCATCTCTTAAATATTTAATAAGTCAATAATTTCCATCTCTGCTACCAGTGCCTTCATTCAGATCCACATCCAACAACATGAAGATACTCTGGCACTTTCTTAATTTTTAAACCATGTTCCAGTCTTGCCTTCCTTTAACATAATCTCTGGATAATTATCAGTGATCTTTCTTACACTAATACACTGATATAATCTATTATGCAAGCATAATCAATGCCTGTAGAACAAAAGTCATGCTCCCTAATGGCACATTATTGCTGCTATCTTCTGGCCTCTCAACCTCTCTATCATCATAACTGTGCATGTTTGTTCTGCCTTACAATTTTCAGGTCAAACAACCATTGTATTTTTTTGCACACCAGGCTGTTTCTCCCTGATATGTCTTTGCTCATGGGGGCCATTTACATAGACTATCTTCACCCCTTTCTTTACTCACTACTTACCTTTTACACTTGAACTGATACTTAAAGAATTAGTTGTGTTCCTTATAAAAGCCAATCTTTCCTCAAATCTTCGTCTACAAAACTGTTCTTTAATGGTATTTTCTGTAAATCTCTGTCATTGAAAATAAGCGAGAGAATTTGATTGCTTTTAGTTCCTTTATCTCATTCCTTGAGTGCATAGCTATTGATTTGTTTGTCTTCCATCACTAGTATAGTGCCAAAACGTATCAGGAGCTCAACAAATATTGAGTGATAAATGAGTAAATAATAATTGCCCCATTTGGGGGTGGTATATAACAAAAGCCTAGAGACGTTATTTAGGATAGAATTTAAAATGGTGAGGCATGAGGAATAAAGAGAACAAAAGCAATGCAAAAGAAATTTCATACATCCCCAATATATTTATGAGTTGCTGTAGTAATGTTAACACGATTTTACATTGATGGTTATTCTTCCTACTTCCTTTTAAGCAGTTTATGAACATAATCAAATGTTTTTGATTTACAAACCGAATCAAATGTCCATTGCCTTAAATAACTAGAAAAAAGAGAATCAATACACTTGAATTTCTATCATTTCAGATAGATATGAAAAACTATGCACTTTAATGCCTTTCATATATAAAATAATATGACCCAATTTATTTGTATTCTACTCAGTAAATTCAATTATACATAATAAAGGGAATGTAAATAGCTTTTCAAATGGTTTATTTTAGATCTGAGTTATAATTGAATAAATAAAAATTGTATTTTTCTTGTCTACCTTATGATTTTCTATCTTGAAATCGTTTCTTATACACATCCTTTCAATTCAAGTTAATTACTTATTTTATTATAGTGAACATTTGATTCAGTTTCTATTTCACTAAGACAATTTCAATAAAAGTAAAAAACATAGATTGTCTTGCCAAGCATGAATCCAGCCTATTATACAGAACATTTCTATGAAGCCAATATTCAAAAGGAAGTAAAAATTGCGTAGTTTGTTCATGATACTGTATGTGTTTTCATTACAGTGCAAGCGAATTTCTCTCTCAAGTATTTGGAGGTTAATGGTCCTGAAAGTACGTATGAGAAGAAACATTCTGACAATTTCAGAAGCCAGGAGACTATTTAGAACAAGATAAATAAAGTACTAAAAATCATTGCTGCTGTTCAATATTTGTGGCTTTCAATATACAATCAATTTTATTATCAAAATTATAATATGTCCAACTGGCCATTGCTTCCTTCATTTTATTGCCTATAAGAATTTTACACATCTTCTTCCTAAATTAGAAAATAATAATAATTAATAAAAGTTGTTCGTTATTAAGGCAAGAGTCCTTTTCCAGCCATATTTTAACTGGTAAATATGTAATGCTTATATATCATTCTTCTAAGTGCATAGATATTATTTAGCTTTAATATAAATCATGTTTCATTCACATTCAAGAGACTTATTTAGATACACCAGCTTTCCCCTTAAATACAGCATAGCTTTAGAATTAATAGTCTAGATATTTTTCAGGTAAGAAATACCTATTTAGACAAAAACAAGGTAAAGTTCAAGATTATATAGAAAGAATATGAAGTCCAATTGCATCCCTTATTTACTGAATATTTTAGCTTCCTTAACTGGGAGTAGTCACATAAAATACTTTGTGTAGATATATATTTTTGTAATTTATTTTGTGGAAATAAAGTAAAAGTAAAATTGCTGAGTCAAATAACAAGCAGGTGTGTTATTTCCTGAAAAACTAGTAAATGGTTTTCAAATTGGTTGTATCATGTTACATTTGCACGATCAATATGTAAACATTCTAGTTGCTTCACATCTTTAGCATTTAATATTGTCCTTTTTTATAGTTAATACAGTTATTGGATCTATAGTGGCATTTCTTTGTTATTTTCATTTGCATTATTTACTGACATATGAGACTGAGCATCTTTCGTTTGGATATTGGCCTTTGAACCATCTTTTTTTAGAGACATGTGTGCCCAAATTATTGTCCATTTTTATTAATTGCCTGGTGTTTATTGTGTTCTGAGAGTTCTTTTTAAACTCTGGATGTAAGACTTCAATCATGCACTATGTTTTAAAATATTTTTTCCAGTCTGTTGATTACTTTTTTCATTTATTTAAGAAGGTACATTAAAGAGGTAAAGAGCAAAAGTTTGAATTTGACAAAAATTAATATATCAATGTTTAATTTGGGAGAGTTGTATTTTTTATATCCTACTACTTACAGAAGAAATCTTTCCTAAGCCAAGGTCATACGTATTTATCCTATGTTTAATTCTAGAAATTTTACAGTTTTTCTTACATTTTTTTTTGTCTTTTACAGACAGGCTTTCACTCTGTTGTCCACTCAGGAGTGCAGTAGCATAATCGTTGATCACTGCAGTCTCCAAATCCTGGACTCAGCTCAAGTGATCCTTTCACCTCAGTCCCCTGAGTAACTAGGACTGCATGCATGTGCGACTGCACCCAGCTAATTTTTTGTACAGTCCCACTATGTTGCCCAGGCTTGTCTCAAATTACTGGCCTCAAATAATCCTTCCATCTTGGCCCTCCAAAGTACTTGTATTACAAGCATCAGCTTCTAGTTTTAAGCTTTGCATTTAAGTCCGTGATTCATTTTGAGTTAATTTTTACAGATGTTTTGACCTATGGATCAAAGTTCATCGACTGCAGAAGGATATCCTTTTCTCCCAGCTTAATCTGTGGAAAAGATTCCATTCATAGACACAGATAAACGTAAAGAAAAACAACCCAACAACCCAAACCTTACTTCCAAATAGCGAAAGGATTTTCTTGAACCCTCTGGGTAACTGAGGTCACAAGGCAACCAACTGGACACAGATCTAAGGGGAGAGAGCTCCTAGAAGGAGAGAGGAGATACAAGCACAGGCTTACTTGGGAAAGATGCAGGGAGAGACCAGAAAGAAGAGTCCTGCAGATTTGTGAAGGCCAAAACTTGAAGATGATAAACACAGCAAGTTCTCACTCTCACTCTCACTCTCTTGCAGGCATTTTCTCGATTATCACCACTGGTTCTTCAAGAAAAGTTGGGAAAAGTACTTCTACTCATGGAGCAGATCCAGTGAAAGGAAATAGCAGCAGCTGCAGTAGAAGCAGAATATTACACCTAATTCCTTCCATTAAGTAGGAGAGAAAACTAGTTGCAGCTAGCGGAAGGGGAAAAAAGAAACACACACACACACACACACACACACACACACACACACATACAGCTGTCCTTCTAAGAGAGATCAGGAAAATAGCCTGATCTCAGAAACATGCCAGGGAAGGGGTAGGAGCAATGTGAAGGCCACATTCAGGAGTTTTAGGGACACAGTGATGGCCTGTGACTGAGCCTACCTATTCTGATAGGTAATGCCACCATTCCCCAACGCCAGTTCCTGCCATAGATACAAGGCTGGAAATTATCAAATAATATACAACTCGGCACAGGCAGACCCTTTCTGAAGTGAAGACTAAACAGAACACTTAAAATGAAGGATGGAAAAGAACTCACTGGTGAACCATCTCTGCCGTTAACATAAATTATTGCTAGAGGTAACCGAAGCCTATGTTTCACTGATAGTAATAGAGCAACAACAAGTGTTACATCCAGCCCACCATCTAATTAGGTTAACTCAAAGCCCCACAACAAAGACTTAGCAAAAGGAAAGATGTGGCCAATCAAGGCATTAAGAGTATTTACACAGGCCAGGCACAGTGGCTCACACCTGTAATCCCAGTACTTTGGGAAGCCTAGGTGGGCAGATCGCTTCAGCTCAGGAGTTTGAGACAGACTAACCTGGACAACATGGGAAAAACCGTCTTTACAAAAAATACAAAATATTAGCCAGGCTTGGTGGTGGCTTGCTGGTATTCCCAGCTACTCTGGGGGCTGAGGTTGCGGGATCGCCTGAGCCTGGGAGGTGAAGGTTGCAGGGAGCCGAGATCGAGCCACTGAGCTCCAGCCTGGTTTGATAGAGTGAGACTCTGTTACACACACACACACACACACACATCACTTTCTAACAGCCTACATAAGATGTTTGGTTTTCAACAACGACAACAAAATGATGAGGCATACATACATGTAAAAAAAAATAAGCAACAGAACCCTAAGAAACAAAGCAATCATCAGAACAGTATTCAGATAGGACATAAATAATGGAACAATGGAACAATTCAAGGCTGCGGTGAGCTGAGATCGTGCCTCTGCTCTCCAGCCTAGGCAACAGCACCAGAAAACCCTGTTTCAAAACAAAACAAAACAAACAAACAAACAAACAAAAAAGTTTGACCAGAATCTTAAAATAATTATAATTAAAATACTAAAGGAGTTAGTGAAAAATATAGACAACATTCAGTCGAGGTAAAACTTGAATGATTCAGCAAAGTAATTTAAGCAAGGAAATGAAAATCATTAAAAAAAAGCATCTAAAGAAAGTTCTAGGAAAGGAAAACACAGTATCGGTGTCCTGCAAAAATGACTTTAAATAAAGCATTTCACAAATAGCAACATTGATAGTTATTTATCCTCTTATTTACTCCACAAGAAATTGTAAGGCGAGGTATTAAGGCGAAAAGAATATACTAGTTAAAAAGTTGGATGTACCCAAATAAATGAAAAGCACAGGAAATAAAATATGTACAGGTAAATTAGGATTCATATCTTTTCTTATTTTTAATTAGACCAAAAAATATTTGACTGTATGAAGCAAAAGTGGTAACACTATATTATGCTATTGTAGCATTCGTAAAAGTATTCTATGGCACTAATAGCACAAAGAATGGGAATTAAAAATACAGTGTTGTAACTGTAAATACATTACACATGAAATGGTATACTATTATTTGAAGGTGGAATTGAATTATTTATGGATGTATATTTTAAATCCTTAAGCCCTAAAATATTTTAGGAAAGGGTAATCTAAGTAATAAGTCCATAGTTAAGATAAAATTGAATCTTAAAAAAATGCTGAATTAACCTAAGACAATTTTTTAAAAGGAAAAATAAAGAAAAGGGAATAAAGAAAAAAAACAAACAAAAAACTACTAGAAAGAAGGAAGGTTTTCATCCAGTTATAACAATAATCACATTAATTCTAAGTAGTTTAAAAACACCAGAGTTTATCATATTGGGTCATTGATTTGAGACCTTTTCTAATATGTGTTTAGTTACATAAATTGCCCCGTGCCTACTGTTTTGTCAGCATCCAACAAATTTGATATACCTTGATTTCCATTTTATTTCAGTTCAACATACTCTGTTGATTTTTACCAACCCAAGCAAAAGTTAGATTATTTTTTATTTCTAAATATTTCAGGATTTTATAAACTTTCTAAATCTTTCTATGCATTTCTAATTTGATTCCCTTGTGCACAGAAAACATAGTTTGCATTGTTTTTATCCTTTTGAATGTGTTGAAACATTTTGTTTTCCAAAACACAGTCAATCTAGGTGAATGTTTAGGGTGCACTTTAAAACAATGTATATCTGGTTGTTGTTTGTTTCTAAAATGTCTTATCAGGTAAAATTTGTCTATAAAGTTGTTCAAGTTTTCTATACATAAGCTTGTTTAGGTAATGTGTCATCTTTGTGTGTGTGTGTGTTTCTGTGTGTGTGTGTGTGTGTCTGTGAAGTTAACACTTTGGTTATATCTGAGGAGGAAAATAAGAATGGTGATAAAGATGAACATGGGAGGTTGCTTGGTTTTGTATCTATTTTGTGACATGAGTGAGTGGGTGTAGAGGTGTTCCTTTTGTAGCAATGCACTGAGTTCCTCATGTATTTTAATATGATTTTCTGCATACATTTAATATGCAACTCAAAGCATTTCAAAATAATAAAAGACATTTTACACATATACAGATATATTTTACAAATAAACAGCTATGTAAGAATGTTCCTTTTTATTTCTTACATGGAAACATACCTGCATCATGTACCTCACATTTTTCATTTTTATATAAAACAATATTGTATTAGTCCATTTTCATACTGCTATGAGGAAATACCCAAGACTGGGTAATTTATAAAGAAAAAGAGGTTAATGGACTCATGGTTCCATATGGCTGAGGAGGCCTCAGAATCATGGTGGAAGGCAAAGGAGGAGCAAAGGCATGTCTTACATGGCAGCAGGCAAGAGGATGTGTGCAGGGGAACTGCCCTTTATAAAACCATCAGATCTCATGAGATGCAGTCACTATCATGAAAACAGCATGGGAAAAACCTGCCCTATGATTCAATTACCTCCTATCGGGTCTCTACCACAACACATGGGGATTATGGGAGCTACAATTCAAGATGAGATTTGGGTGGGGACACAGCCAAACTATATCATTCCACCCCTGGCCCCTCCCAAATCTCATGACCTCATATTTCAAAACCAATTATGCCTTCCCAACAGTCCTCCAAAGTCGTGACTCATTTCAGCATTAACTCAAAGTCCACAGTCCAAAGTCTCATCCAAGACAAGGCAAGTTCCTTCCGCCTATAAGCCTGTAAGTTCAAAAGAAAGTTAGTTACTTCCTAGATACAGTGGAGGTACAGGCACTGGGTAAATACTCCTGTTCCAAATGGGAGAAATTAAACAAAACTAAGGGGCTACAAGCTCCATGCAAGTCTAAAATCCAATAAGGCGGTCATTAAAGCTTAAAGTTCCAAAATGATCTTTGACTCCATAGCTCATATCCAAGTCACACTGATGCAAGAGGTGGGTTCCCACGGCCTTGGCAGCTCTGGCTCTGTGGCTTTGCAGGGTACTGGCTCCCTCCTGTTGCTTTAATGGGCTTTCATTTTGTGTCTGTGGCTTTTCCAGGCAAATGGTGCAAGCTCTCAGTGGATCTACCATTCTGAGGTCTGGAGAAGAGTGGCCCTTTTCTCACAGCTCCACTAGGCAGTGCCCCAGTGGGGACTCTGTGTGGGGGCTCCAACCCCACATTTCCCTTCTGCACTGCCCTAGCAGATATTTTCCATGAGTGCCCTGCCCCTGAAGCAAACTTCTGCCTGGACATTCAGGCATTTCTATACATCCTGTGAAATCTAGATGGAGGTTCCATAACCTAAATTCTTTACTTCTGTTCACCCACAGGCCCAACACCACATGGAAGCCTCTAAGGCCTGGGGCTTGCACCCTCTGAAGCAACAACCTGAACTAAACCTTGGCCCCCTTTAGCCACAGCTGGGAAGCAGGGCACCAAGTCCTGAGACTGAACAAAGCAACAAAGCCTTGGGCCCAGCCCACCAAGCCATTTTTTTACTCTAGACTTTCAGGTCTGTGATGGGGGGTACTGCAGTGAATCAATTTTTGTCTTTTTAGTAGACACAGGGTGTCGCCATGTTGGCGAGGCTGGTCTCAAACTCCTGACTTAAGGTGCTCCATTTGCCTTGGCCTCCCGAAGTATAAATTTTTAGTTTTTTGAGGAACTGCCAAGTTGTTTTACATAATGGTTGTACTTATTTATATTTCCACCAACATTGTACAAGTGTTTCTTTTTCTCCATATCCTTGTCAGCATTTGTTATTGCCTGTCTTTTGGATATAATCCATTTTAACTGGATTAAGATGATATCTCATTGTAGTTTTGATTTACATTTCTCTGATGATCAATGATGTTGAGGACCTTTTCATATGCTTGTTTGCCCTTTGTATGACTTCTTTTGAGAAATGTCTATTGAAATAATTTGCCTATTTTGGATCAAATTATTACGTTTTTTTTCTATAAAGTTGTCTGAGCTCCTTATATAGTCTTGTTATTAATCCCTTGTCAGATGGGTAGTTTGCAAATATTTTGTCCTAGTCCGTGAGTTTTTTCTTCACATTGTTGACTGTATCTTTTAATGTGCAGTAGCTTTTTAACTTGATGTGATCCCATTTGTCCATTTCAGATTTGGTTGCCTATGCTATTGGGGTCAAGAAATTTTTTCTAGATCAATGTCCTAGACATTTTCTCAATGTCTTCTTATAGTAGTTTCATAGCTTGAGATTTTAGATTTAAGTCTTTAATTCATTTTGTTTTGATTTTCGTACATGAGGAGAGATGGGGATCTAGTTTCATTCTTCCACATATGGATATCCACTTTTCCCAGCATCATTTATTAAAGAGACTGTCTTTTCTTCAGTGTATGTTCTTGATACCTTTACAATGATTTCCTATTCATTCATCAATGTGTAAAAAAATACAACTGACCCTTGAACAATGCAGACATTGGGGCACTGACTCCCACCCATATAGTCCAAAATCCAAGTATAAGTTTTAGCTATCAAAAAATGTAACAACTGTACTAATAGACTACTCTTGACCTGAAGCCTTACCAATGACATAGTCAATTAACACATATTTTGGATATTTATTATATACTGTAGACTTACAGTAAAGTAAGCTACAGAAAGTAAACTTGATTAAGAAAATCACAAGGAAAATATATTTACACTTAATTAAATGTACGTGGATCATCATAAATGTCTTCATCGTCATCATCTTCGTGTTGAGTAGACTGCAGAGAGGGATTGGACTTACTGTCTCAAGGGTGACAGAGGCAATAGAAAATCTGCATATAAGTGGACCCACACAGTTGAAACCCATGTTGTTTCCAGGGCCAACTGTATAACTGTATACAGCATATTCATGTGGAACAAAATACCAATCTGTGACCAACACAAATAAATTCTTAATTCACATGCTTACTTGAAGTTTTTTGTTTGTTTGTTAAGATGGAGTCTCGCTCTGTCACCCATGCTGGAGTGCAGTGGCACGATCTCTGCTCACTGCAACCTCTGCCTCCCAGGTTCCAGTTATTCTCCTGCCTCAGTCTCCTGAGTAGCTGAGATTACAAGCACGTGCCACCACAGCCAGCTAAGTTTTGTATTTTTAGGAGAGACGGGGTTTTGCCATGTTGGCCAGGCTGGTCTTGCACTCCTGACCTCAAGCAATCCACTCACCTCAGCCTCCCAAAGTGCTGGGATTACAGGTGTGAGCCACCACGCCTGGCCTGAAGTTTTTTTGTTATTGTATGTACTTGGATAAGTAACAAAACTAAATTGCTCGATTTTTAATAAAGCTAAACATAAACGTATTTTTAATATGCTTAACATACAAAATCCTTGCTGTTGTAAAGGCTAGGGACAATAGTAATAAAAAAATTAACAACAAACAGCAGCAACATCCATTATTTCACGGAGTGTAAGTCATGACTAATTAATGTTTATATAGAAATTGATATGATTTAAGATGCTATTTAGTTTCCCAGAAGCATTGGCAGAATAACATGCTAAGGAAAAGATTCATAATTAATAAAAATACTATATGAACAGAGAGTAAGATACAAGTTTGTTTTTTTAATGAGGTCTAAATGAAAGGGGAAATAATATCCTTCTTGCTTTCACATACAAAAACATTTTGGATCCTATTTGTTGGGGTTATATATTTTGTAATATTAAATGCTGGATTGAATGCAATTAAATTTTACCATGAAAAAGTTAAATATTGCTTATTATATACAATTAAACTATTGCTCAAATATGTTCAGAAGTAAAGCTATAAAATCATAAAGGAGCAGGGATTAGATCAGCATATGCTTTAATCATTATTGAGCCCTACTTGTTGGCAGAATTGTTCAATAATAGCAATATCTAGAATTTTGTGTAAATTAGTGTGTTTACTATACTGTAGTTCAGTGTCAAATATGACAGGAGTTAAAAGTTAAAAATAGATTTAATAAGAATAGTGAAATTTTATGTACATAGGATTATATTTATTGGAAAAAAATCCCCATTTTACCTATACTTGCTACTACCTAATTAGACTGCTCTACATTTCTATCACACTTCAACAGTAAATAAATAGAATAGCATACGTTATAAGTTCAAATCAGTATTGTCATCGCCACATGGCACATACTCAAAAGTTGACAACACAATCAGAAATAAAACTAACCTCAGCAAATGCAAAACAACCAAAATCATACCAAGCACATTCTCAGACCACAGTACACACAAAAAAAGTCAATGCTAAAAAATCACTGTAAACCGTGCAATTACATGGAAATTAAACAACCTCTTCCTGAATGACTTTTGGGTAAGTAATAAAATTAAAGCAGAAATCAAGAAGTTCTTTGAAACTAATGAGAACAAAGATACAAAATGCCAGAATATCTGGAACACACCTAATGCAGTGTTAAGAGGGAAATCTATGGCACTGAATGGCCACATTAAAAAGTTAGAAATATCTCATATTAACAACCTAATATTATAACTGAAAGAATTAAAGAAGCAAAATAAAATCAATGGCTAGCAGAAGAAAATCCATAACCAAAATCAGAGCTGAACTGAAGGAGATTAAGACACAAAAAAAGCCATTCAAAAAATCAACAAATCCAGGAATATTTTTTGAAAAAAAAAATAATAATAAGATACGTTGCTAGATAGATCACTAAAGAGAAAAAGACAGAATATGCAAATAAACAACAAAGAGGATGTTACCACAGGCCTCACAGAAATAAAAATAACCATCAGAAATTATCATGAACACCTCTATGCACACAAACTAGAAAGCCTAGAAGACTGGATAAATTCGTAGACATATAAACCTTCCCAACACTGAAACAGGAAGAAATTGATTCCCTGAACAGACCCATAACACTCAAAAATTGAATCCGTAATAAATAGTCTGCCAACGAAAATAGCCCAGGACCAGACAGATTCACAGTCAAATTCTACCAGACGTACAAAGTGAGCTAGTACCATTTCTACTAAAACTATTCCCCCAAAATGAGGAGAAAGGACTTCTCCCTAACTCATTCTATGAGGCTAGTATCATCCTGATACCAAAACCTGGCAGAAACACAACAAAAATAAAATTTCAGGCCAATTTCCTTTATAAACATTGATGCAAAAACTCTCAACAAAATACTGGCAAACCAAATCCAGCAGCACAACAAAAAGCTAATCCACCACAATCAAGCGGGCTTCATCCCTTCGATGCAAGGTTGGTTCAACATATGCAAAGCAATAAATGTGATTTATTACATAAACAGAACTAAAGACAAAAACCCATGATTATCTCAGTAGATTTAAAAAAAGCTTTTGATAAAATTCAATATCCCTTCATGTTAAAAACTCTCAATAAACTAGGTATTGAAGAAACACACCTCAAAATAATGAGTCATCTGTGACAAAACCACAGCCAACATTATACTGAATGGGCAAAAGCTGGAAGCATTCCCCTTGAAAACAGACACAAGTCAAGGATGTCCTCTCTCACCACTCTTTTTCAACATAGTATTGGAAGTCCTGGCCAGAGCAATCAGGCAAAAGAAAGAAAGGCATCCAAATAGGAAGAGAGGAAGTTAAACTATTCATTTGCAGATGACAAAATTCTATATCTAGAAAATCCCATAATTTTGGCCCAAAAGCTCCTTCAGCATCTGATAAACAGCTTCAGCAAAGTTTCAGAATGCAGTATCAATGGACAAAAATAATTAGCATTCCTATACACCTACAACAGCCAAACCGAGAGTCAAATCAGGAATGCAATCTTATTCAAAATTGCCACACACAAAAATAAAATATCTAGGAAGACAGCTAACCAGGGAGGTGAAAGGCCTCTATAATGAGAATTACAAAGCACTACTCAAAGAAATCAGAAATGATACCAACAAATGGAAAGACATTCCTTGCATATGAATGGGAAGAATCAACATTTTTAAAATGGCTATCCTACTCAAAACAATTTACAGTTTCAATCCTATTTCTATCAAAATACCAATGACATTCTTCACAGAACTAGAAAAAAATATTTTAAAATTCACAGGAAACCAAAAAAGAGCCCAAATAGCCAAGGAAATCATCAGCTAAAAGAACAAAGCTAGAGACATCATATTACCTGACTTCAAATGATACTACAGGGCTACAGTAATCAAAACAGCATGGTACTGGTACAAAAACAGACAACACATAGACCAATGGAACAGAGTAGTGAGCCTGGAAATATGGCCCCACAACTACAGCCATCTGATCTTTAACAAAAGGGACAAAAACAAGAAATAGAGAAAGGACTCCCTATTCAATAAATGGTGCTGGAATAGCTGGCTAGCCACATGCAGAAGATTGAAACCGGATCTTTTTCTTATACCATGTACAAAAACTAACTCAAGATGGATTAAAGACTTAAACAAAAAACCCCAAACTATAAAAATTCTGGAAGACTACTATCCCAGACATAGGAATGAGCAAAGATTTAATGACCAAGATGCCAAAGCAGTTGCAACAAAAACAAACAACGACAAATCGTATCTAATTAAACATTATAGCTTCTGCATAGTAAAAGAAACTACCAACAGCATAAACAGACAACCTACAGAATAGGAGAAAATATTTGCAAACTTTGCATCTGACAAAGTCTAATATCCAGTATCTCAAGGAGTTTAAACAAGTTTACAAGAAAAGAAAGAAAAGAATCCCATTTAAAAATGGTCAAAGGACATGAACAGACACTTTTCAAAAAAAGATATACATGTGGCCTACAAATATATGAAAAAAAGCTCAATATTGGAGAAATGCAAATCAAAACCACAATGAAATATCATCTTATACCAGTCAGAATGGCGATTAGCAAAAGGTCAAAAAATAACAGATGCTGGCTAGGTTGCAGAGAAAAGGGAAAACTTATACATTGTTGGGAGTGTAAATTAGTTCAACCATTGTAGGAAGCAGTGTGGTGGTTTCTTAAAGTGCTAAAAAACAGAATTACCATTTGACCCAGCAGTCCTATTACTAGGTATATACCCAAAGGAATATAAGTCATTCTACCATACATATACATGCACATGAATGTTCATTGCAGTAATATTCACAATACCAAGGACATGGAACCAACCTGAATGTTCATCAATGACAAATTGGATAAAGAAAATGTGGCACATGTACACCATGGAATACTATGTAAACATAAAACAAGAACAAGATCATGTCTTCTGAGGAAATATGTATGGAGTTAGAGGCCATTATCCTTATCAAACTAAGGAAGGAACAGAAAATCAAATACCTCATGTTCTCACTTATAAGTGAGAGCTTAATTATGAGAACATATAGACAGAAAGAAAGGAACAACAGACCCTGGGGCCTACTTGAGAGTGAAGAGTGGGAGGAGGGAGAGGATCAGAAAAAATAGCTATTGGATACTAGACTCAGTAGCTGGGTGACAAAATAATCCGTATAACAAAACCCTGTGACATGAGTTTACCTATATAAAAAACCTGCACACATACCCCAGATCCTAAAATAAAAGTTTAGAAAAATAAAAACTAATAGTCTGGGTGAAGTGGCTCACGCACGCAATACCAGTATCCTGGGAGGCTGAGGCGGGTGGATCACTTGAGCCCAGGAGTTTGGGACCAGCCTGTGCAACATAGCGAAACCCCTTATTTACAAAAAACACAAAAGTTAGCTGGGCATGGTGGTGCTCAGCTGTAGCCACACCTACTCAGGAGGCTGGGGTGGGAGCATCACCTGAGCTCGGGGAGGTCAAGGCTGCAGTGAACCTTGATCAAGCCACTGCACTCCAGCGTGGGCAACAGAGTGAGACCCTGTCTTAAAAAGAAAAAAAAAGGGACCACAGGGACAAGGAAAAATAAAAATTTGTATATGCACCCTAACTTACATATACTTAATTATTATAACATTAAAATGAAAACATGTCACTAGTGTGCTTTTTATTTTACAGGTGCAATTACACTTTCACTAATGAACAAGATACTGATTGTGGCAACAAAGCCTATATTACAATAAACAATGCTTATTTTATGTTTCATGCTTGTTTCTTTTCATGTTGCATTGGATTTGTTTAGATCACCACCAAATACCACACCACAGGAACTCTAATCCCAATCTTTCTAGTTCCAACTTTAGTGCCACGTTTTCCAGCATCATCAAACATCATCAGGAGGCCTATGGTTCTCTCCTGTGTTTCCAAAGGATTTAATTGGGCTTGTTACTTGGACATGCCTCTGCTATGTTACCTGCTGCCCTGTATTCTGATGTATCTGTGTCTGCTCTCGTTCCTGTTAATCACGGACTTCCTTGAAAGTAGGATCATGCCTGCGTCATGTTCACATCTCTTACTATATCTAACATGGTGCACAGCTCTTTGTGGATATTCTTATTGGATGCCTAAAAGACTAACTAAATTACATGGATTGAAATCAGGTAAGGAGAATTTGCATCAACCATTTTATATATTACTTATTATCAGGATTCTTTCCAACAAACAAAAAAGGTTCATTTGCTGGTGCTGATTTATTGTGTAGTTTCACAATCTTTGGCAGCTACATATAATTTGTTTATTTTTTTAGCTGCTGTCCTTAAAAAATGTGTCATGGTTATATGGCAAATAAGTTTGCTTTTTCCTCTGGTATCTTTTCAGCTTTATTGGAGTATAATTTTTCAACAATAAACTACACATTTAAAAGTGCAGTTGTTCAAACTTACTGTTCGTATTCAGACTTGCCTATCCTTTCTTTATCAGTGTCCAACAGGCTATTAATCCTAACCAGAAGGATTTTCATTACAAATACTACAGATTTGTCTTTACAAGCTGGTGTCTTTTCCTTGATTCACATCTCAGGAAAAAACACCTTAAGTCTTTCATTTTCATGTAAGATATTAGCTCTATTGTTCTTTACATGATCATGATCAGTTGAGGAAGTTTTGTGATATTTATAGACTGCTGTTGAGTTTTTCTCATTAATCCATCTTAGATTTTGTCAAATGCATTTTCTGCATCAATTGATGTGATCATACTCATTTTCTTTAGCTTGCTGATAATGTGAATTATATTGTTTGATTTGCAAATGTTGAACCAGGCTTACACACCTGGAATAAATCCCAATTGATGGTGGTGTATAATTCTTTTCAGATATTGTTACTTTCCATTTGATAGATTTTGTTGAGGACATTTGCACCTATTTTCAAGAGAGATGTTCTTCTATAGTTTTCTATTTTTTCATGTCTTTGTTTGTCTTTGGTATTACAGTAATTCTGGCCTCAGATAATGAGTTAGGAAGTATTTTCTCTGATTCCATTTGCTAAAAGAATTTGTGAATAATTGATATTAATTCTTCTTTGAATGTTTTGTGGAATTTGCCAGTGAAACCATCTGAGCTCATTTGAAACTAAGAGAGCCGTCAGTTTCTGGAAGTTTATTAATTTTTGATTCAATTTATTTATTAGATTTAGGTCTATTCAGATTATTTCTTTTTGTATAAGATTTTGTAGTTTATATCCTTCAGGGAATTGGTTCATTATATTGAATTTTTGAATATGTAAGAACAGAGTTGTTCATGCTTGCTTATTTTTCCTTTTAATATCTGTGGAATGAACCATAAAAATATTTTATTTTTCATTAACATTTTTTTTCTGTACTCTTCCTTTTAGAAGTAGATCCCAGTCTAGCCTACATTGCTTTTCTTCTAAAAACCTACATATCCAGTAATATATTGGTGGCATTTAGACCTGGGCCAGTTTTTGGTTATTTGAAATTGTGTATAATAAAAAGTTTTTTGTTTAAATAAAATCTTTAAAAAAAAATGCCACTTTCCTGTCTAAGGTATTTTCAATGTTTCCACTCTCATTAGAATAAATGTCACCTTATTTACATCATCTTACAACATCTGGCTGTGGCTTATTGCTACACCCTTATCTTAAGCTTTTCTTTCCCTTCTTCACCATGACCAGATATTGTTGCCATTATTATTATTATTTTTTGTAATTCACATTTATGATCCACATATATACTGCCTTATCTGCCTGGAAAGCATTCAGTCATTTACATTTTACCAATTACTCTTTATATTCTTCAATTTCTTATTTAATATACTTCTTACTATGATTACTGTCTTTGACCCCAGTAAACTGGGTTTCTTGTGATGAACATATATAGAAGTCATTACTTCCACTTTCAACTACATATGAGAATTATAATTATTCAATTTGTTTCTTAATTATGCTTTTTATTATTTTTAGTATTTCATTAATTTGTTCTTATTGTCTACTTTAGTATCTGGAACTAAATGTGCACTCAATGAATCTTCTTTGACGGAATTAATTAAATAATCATTGGCAAGAGTCTTATGGCTATTTTGACCTAATGGATCATGTCAATGATAAGCTAAAGCTAATACTCAATTATTAGTATTTATTTCTATTATCTTCATAAAGACACTGGCTTGTTTTTCCCAAAACAAAGATGGTAATTTTCTACTTCATTCTTTTGGAATGAAAAGAGGTAGTTCTCTCTTTTCTTTCTAGATTTTGTAGCTAGCTGTTTGCTTTGAAGATTGTGTATAATATTGTTTTAAATTTATTTTTCACAATCACTACGGTGTTCTTTATTACTTGACAAATACTTGTAGATATGCACAAGCCTATTAAAATGAGTAAATTTAAATAGTTCTGGACTTTTTTATGATTGTATTAAAATGTCACATATGGTTATATCTATTTTCTAAACAACATCTGCTTTTAATTCTTGGGGATTTTACACAGACACATAAACACACAAAAATATGTATTTGGACTTGCTAATACTATACTATTTGCACCAAACTCTCACTTTTTTTGAAAATTGCTGAATTATTATTTGCTGAAATAAACTTCAAATCAAAAAAGTGTTTTACAAATATACAATTACTATAAGAAGAGGAGGAAACATTCAAAGGAGAGATGTGTGACAGCAAGACCTGACACCAGTGAGCACTGTGCTGTGGGGGAGGGGAGACAGTCCAGGTGACACAAGGATATGCCTGGTTAACATCTGATATGTTTACACCATCTGCTCTCTCAGGTTTCCATTGTCTCTGAGGCACAGGAAGTAATGCAAAGTTATACAAGATCACTTAGTTCTTTGGCAAAGTCATTTAAAGGAAAATTTTATGTAAGCAATAATATTTATTTTATAATACAGAATTGTTTAATGTTAAGAAACTTTCAGCCATGAACTGGTGGTATTATTTGCAGGCACATATTCTCCTGTGGAAGTCCAGGCATTTAAAACATCATATTCTTCACATATTTAAATCACATACGGGTGTTTAAATCAGCCACTTTGTGCAAATTTACTTAGCCATTTTTTAATTTATGTAAATTGATGACCTTTCCTTGGCCTTATTATTGGTATTATTACCTCTGATAGTTAATTCATCAAGCTCTACAATGCATGCTTCATAAGGACACAAACATAACATTTTTTATTCATCTTTGTATTTCCATTCATTGCATAGCAGCTAACATGAGAGAGGACCTTGATACAATTTTATGATAAATGTTAAGCTGTCTGACAAATGACACGGTTATATAAAATTGCCCAGTCATTACTGGCACACACACACGCATGCACACATATATATATGCGTGTGTGTGCGCACATGAATATATAATGCACACACTCATGTGTGTGAATATTTTGAAATATACAATATATTTTTAAACATTATCAAATATTGTTTATATATAAGTATGTAAATATACCCATTTGGAAATTACATGTGTGTGAGCCTGTGTATGGGTATACATGTGATCATATACATGTGCATATATATGTGTGTGTGTGTATGAATATATATATACGGAGAGGGAGAGCTAATTCGTTTGCAAAATTGCTGAAAATCACCAAATATTTCAAATATTTTAACAAAATTCTTTCTTATTTTAGTATTTTTAAAGTTTCAAAATAAAACACACACACATCTATAATTCTGTACTTCTTACTGTCCTGACAATGTGGTTACTTTATCTGGAAACAAAATTCATCACTTTTTTATTACTAAAATGTCAGCTCACAAATAGCAACACTTCCCATGATCTTAAGTTTCCATTTCTCTGTTATGCTTTAGTTAAGCACTTGTCAATGCTTTTGTTGAATTCTGCATCATATTGAGAAATTTCTTCCCTACAGACTGGAATTGAATGCTTATTCTCAAATTGAGCTTCTTTTAATGTTTCCAGACTTCTAATTGCTGGCAAAAGAAACTTGAAAATAAGGAAAGTAGAATTGCCTTCTTAGAAGCTGAACTGGTAAATTCACACACAATAAATACAATAAAGTTTCAATGAGGATACTCCAGGAGGATTCCTGTACATGTTTACTGAAATGCTTTTGAATCTCTGAATACCAACAATGCAAGGGGAAGCATAACATAATCTTGTTACAGGTAGAATTTGAATGTAATTTATGTTTAGTAAATGAAAACAAATCAGTTGCTTTTAAAAAATAATGTGTGTGTATATATATATATATACACACACACACACATACACACACACAAAAGAAGAAAGTTCAAAGAATCAGAAGTGACATCAGTTGTGCAACGGTGACAGCTACTGATTCTCAGGAATCTGAATTTTCTGTGAGGAGGCAGTGTGCTATTTTGTAGTACCCAAATTATCCATTCAACGTCTCTGTAGAATGAATGATAGATTTTGAAAATAGTCCAAACCAACAGCAACTGTGATTACTAACTTGGTTTACTACTGCATGTGCCTTGCTGACAAAAAAAAAAAAATGAGATGTTTTCTATGGGAGATGTGAGCATTTTGAACATTATAAAACTATGCTATGAAAAGGCATTGTAATAAAACACACTTCCCAAATAAACAAAAAAATTATAAAACTCCCATTGTCAAATAAAATAAATTGAAACATCTTCCAGAGTAAAGTAATAATTTCTTAGTCTTGAATTCTGAGAACAATCTTCAGTAATATCATTCAGATTCATACCTTTTTATTTACTTATTATGTAAGAATGAAGCTTGAAGAATTATGAGAAATAAATTATTAAAATATCAAAAAAGGGAGGAGATAATGAAATTAAGGTGCTTTATAATCTTAGCTGTTTCTGGGTCATGGCTAGATTACTAACTTAAATTTTTTAAATACACATTTTATATTGGAATATTTTTGATTTATAGATTTCTGCAGATCATAGAGAACATTTCCATACATTACTACTGAGTTTCAGTATCCCTTAGTATTATCATGTTATATTACTGCAGTACCTTTCTCAAAACTAAAAAATCCATTTGTTGTTTTAGCATTAAATATACTTTGGACTTTATCTAATTTTCCCCAGTTTTTTTCAATAAACCTGTTTTCTGTTCCATGATTATATGCAAGATAATACAGCCCATTCTGTTTTTTATGTCCCTTTAGTGTTCTTTGGTCTGTGACATTTTCCCTATCTTTCTTAATACAGAAATTTAAAAAAATGGTAAATACAATAAACACATAGCAAAGGCAAGTAGATTAACCAAATTATTTGATATTTTAAAGTAAAGCCAAGGAGAGAGAGAGAAAAATAACATACACAGAATATATAATATGAAAATCAATAGTAAAATGATGGATAGAATCCAAAATATGTCAGGATTAACATTAAATATAAATAGACTAAATATTCCTGGGAATTATTAAATATTCACAAATTAAAATTTTAAAAATGCATTACAGGATACAGTAGACACACAATTATGCAGGCTATGATAGACTGTAAATAAAAGAATGAAAAAAGCATATCATATAAATATCAATAAAAAAGAAACTGGTCTAGTTTTATAAATATCAGACAAAGGTAACAAATGAAGGAACATTATAATAAAGAGAAACATTACAAAATGCTTATAATGTTTTTCCACTTAGGTAATAAAACAATACTTAATTTGTTTGCATTTAATAACACAGCTTCAAAATATAACATAAAAATTGACAGAATTAAAACAGATAAACTCCAAATCATAGCAGGAGATTTTCATAATACCTCTGTGAATACCAGATAAAATAGGCAGAGAAAGTATGAATAATTTTATAGAATATTTAACTAAAATTATTAACAACTTAACTATATCCTTTTTTGTATACACATATAAAACCCACACATATCTATTCACTTCACCTAAAAATATAAAAATACATATTTTGAAGTCGCATGTTTACCAAAATTATTCATATTTTGGGCTATAATATAAAGCCTCGAAAGTTTTCAAGAATTAGTAAGTTATTCAGGTCATATTCTCTATTTCAGTGGAATTAAGACAGTAATGAATAAAAATAATAATTAAATATTAGGAAATGCTGAGATCTTAATAACTTAAGCAATGCATTGTAAAATTACTAGTGGGTCAAATAACAAATCAATTGAAGTTAGGAAACAGTTTGAAGTTAATACTGAAAGTATGACATATTAAAAATTCTGGGATCCTGCTAAAGCCATACTTAATAGACTTTTAAATCTTAAATGAATCTACTAGAAAAAGAAAGGGTAAAATTAATTATTTAAAAGTTCACTTCAAAAAGAGAAAATTTCCACAAATTAATCCTATCCAAGTGATAGAAAATGAAAAGACAAAAAGAGATTAATGAATTAGAAACTTAAAATACTATAGAGCTACAAAATTAAAAACTAGTACTTTGGAAAACCTAATGAAATGCTAGAAAAATTGAGATTTTCAAGGTAGAAATAGCACACAGTAATAGTACTAGGAATAAAACTAGTGTCATCACATGGATCATGGATACATTTTTAAATATAATAATGAATATACTAATAAATATTTGAAGAAAATTATATTCAGATAAAAATTTTAAAGTCCCTAGAATAATGTAAATTATCATACATTATTCCAAAAAAGGGAAAAGAAGCAAGTCCTACTCGTTATGAAAGCAGCATATCTTTTATAGCAAAATCAAGGATATTATAAGAAAGGTATATTAAAACCTAATAGTCTTTCTGAAAATAAATGAAAGCTTAAAATATTAATGAGCCAAATGTAAAGATGTATAAACAGGTAAACTACATCATCATATAATCAACTTTATTCTAAGAAAACAAACCTGGTTTAATATTTAAACATAAATAAATGAAATTGACATCTTTAACAGACAAAGGAAGAGGAAAAATCTATCTTCTTCCCAAAGGCATTGAAAATATATTTTCAAGAACTCAATATCCAATAATAATGATGATGGTAAATGTTAGCAAACTAAGAAAAAGAGGAAAGTTAGTAGTAAGATAAATAGTGAAATTTGAATCACTTATTGAATGCCTGGTGTCAATTACTAAATTATGGTAACTGAAATCCACATATATCACAACCATGGAAAGTGAAGATTGTAAAAACATCATGTTAGAAGTGAATAGAAATTTTGAGTAGAAATTATGTCAAAAAGATGAGACATATCTTATGTCAAAGAAAACGCTTTAATAAAAATGTAACTTATTTCATTTTAATCAGGAGATATTTTTTATGCCACAAAAACCCTTTTGAATATTTGACATCGCTTCAAACATTTCCATTTTATCCTCTAATGGGTGAGGCCAGTAAGGAAGGACAAAAGTGTAGTGAGACCAGGAGAAAAATTATCTTTTTATTTGAAGTATGTATTATTTAGTAAAAAGTTAAAACAATTCAGCAAAAATGTAAAACTGCATGTTCAAGATGCCTATGGACATTTGCTTTGTGAGTGTTATTATGAGAAAAAAGGCATTCATTTTGATGACTCCATCGGTTCAGCATGATATGAAATGAGAGTGTTTATCAATTCATAGTATTTTTAAATAGAAATCTTATTGAGATTGAAATCGGCAGATGAAAGCAAGAAATAAAAAGGTTTTCTCATTAGACCATGAAATGAAATAAATTCAACATAAACATATAAAACATTCAAACTGTAAAGAATAATTATTTGATAAATTGTTTTCAAGTTTGTTCATGAGCATATTATATTATTTCAGTTTACTGAGCAGTTCTTTTTTTATCTCAGAGCATATGAATATTTACTTTTATACACCCTAGATGCAAACTTGTCTTGCCTAAATAAAATTTTGAGGAAAAAAACCTCTGATCGAGTAGTTACTTATTATTTAGTAATGAAAGCATACATTTATTGAAATCAGATGTTTTAAATTTTAATTTAATGTTATTAGTTGATCTGTGATTTAATGAAATATTATTTCAAAAATAAAAATTCAGTAATTAAATTAGTATGTTCTTTAAACAATGCAATTTTTTAAAAAAAATCTTGAATTTACAACTAACTTTACCTCTGCCATTCTTAACATGACTTCAAATCTGATTACATTGACAAGTGACAATGTCCTAATAAATGCCTTGGATTCCCTTTTGTAAAACAATACTAAATATAAATTTTCCATGAATAAATGCCAACTATGCTGGAGAATTTTTATAAAATATTAAGAAATGTTAGTATCTTTAAGGGATAATCAATAGAAGACTAGTTCTCAATTAACTATAATATGGTTGAGACATAGCACATATAGCAATGTGCAGGGTTTGGATTAATGACAAAGGCCAGATAATCTACTAAGAATTAATTCAACAAATATTTATTTAGAACCCAGTATATGTGATGTAACTGAGTTATGTGCTAAAGGCATGAAAGCATTGAACAAATGAAACCAAATGACAACACAAGAACAATGAAAATCATTGCCTGATCTTCAAGTCTTTTGTAGTACACTAGGAGACCATACAAGGATGCAAATGGCTAGAATATAAGATAAAATGCAATATGCAATATGAAAAGTATAATATAATAGTTCTGGGACTTCAGAATTGATTGATCCATCTAGGTTCTTAAGATTTGGGAAAAGAAACATAGACAAAGGGACAAAAAACTTACAGGTTTTGTCTTTTGGCAGCTTTGATATTGAATCCCAGCTCTTAAAATATATGTCTACTATATTTTATCATCCTTATATTTCCTTCAAAATTGCCAATATTGTCTCCATCTACTCTTAAGTTTTAAGTCCATTTTGCTTTAATTTTCTTTTAATTTATGTTACTTGGATATCTTGCCTAAGGGATTTCCTTCTTACTATTTTAGCATAGGGATAAAAAATTTAATGACATGAAAAATTAACTCACATTTATAATACAAAAGACTTCTCATTTCCAAAGACAGTCTACAAAGACGTGAAGTGATTCCAGGGGATTTTGCTTAGGTTATGCTGACAGACTTGGTGTAAACACCCATGATATTTCAACTGGGAGAGATCTTTAAGTCAAGGAATATAATGGCATGTTAGTCTATGCACACAATATGCAATTTCTAGCACATACCAGGCATTTGCTTCAAAGGACTCTTGAATATCCCTGCCTGAGCAGTCTGAAATTATTGGCCATTTCTAAATGATGTTTATCCTTAATTTGGAAGGGAAAAAATGGATTAAAACCGTCATTTAAATAACAAGACAACATGAGGCAAATTATTTTCCACCTGAGATAATTTATATCTCTTCTGGCAAATTAGATGATGAAATGAATATATAATATATTATTCAAAAACTTTGTATATCTTTATACTACTAGAAAGTTCTCATGCTTGCCACTTAGTAGTATTTCACTTAGGAAATAAAGGATGCTCACATTTCAATCCAAATGAAAAATGAAATATGATTTGAGATCCACAGTGACAATCATTTTGAGTTTAAAAGAGGGAAAAAAAGAAAAGTCACTTTTTCTCTAAGAAAATGGTGGCCAGATTATATCTCCAGAGAACATTTAAGGCAAACTTTTTTTAAATTAACTCTATGAATGAAAGGTATCTTCATCAAAAGAAAGTCAAGAAACCAAACGAGCTAGTATGTGAGGCTGATTTAGTTTCATTGGGGTAGGAGAACTGTTTGAGCTTTGTTGGAAAACTTTTAAAGAAAGTCTGGGTCAGACTTCTGAATCTTTCACCTATGACATTAAAAATATGATCAATTATTTACGTGGGGCTCAGTGAGGAGAGTAAAATCTCTTTTGACTTTTGGCCAGACACTTAATACTCATTACTTTTCAGAAGTTTTGACTTTATCCAGTAAATAATAAATAAATATAAAGCTGTTTAAGGTTTCTGCTTTCACATTTATTTTTTCATATTTTAAAATTAAATATATTTAAGAAAACAGCTGACACTGTATTGATAAGTGAATTAGCAAAAATAGAAATTTCACATTCCAAAGAAAATTAGTTTTTATTATTTTGAATACTTTTATGTATATTTTTATGACTATTAATAGTAGCTCAGAATTATATAGCATCTTGAGAGTGCACAAATGTTTTGCATAGTTTAATTTCAAATCTCATAAATAAACCATATTGAGGGAATATTCATCATTTTAGGTCAGAAGACACTGAACCCTGAGAAACAATTCATTGTCTGAACTCCTCCCATCTCTGGAAAAGGCTCTGCAAATAGTTTCCACCAGTCAACGACCTAGAACACTAGGAATTAGATGCTGCATCTAATTCCTTGAGGACCTGGATAAAACAAAAGGCAGAGGGAAGCTGGTTTCTCTCTTTGTTCTGGAGCTGGGACACTGATCTTCCCCTTCCTTTGGACATCAGAAGTTTAGGTTCTAATGTTTTCACACTCAGCAACATATACCAGCGTCTCCTCTTGTTCTCAGACCTTTGGTTACACACCATGGCTCCCCTGGTCCTCAGGCTTTATAGTTTAGACTAAATTACCACCCCAGCTTTTCCATTTCTCCAGATTGTGGAGGGTATGTCATGGGACTTCTCAACTCTGTAATCACATGCACCAATTCCCATAATAAGTCCTCTTGTTTATCTATGTATCTATACATTAGTAGTGTTTCTCTGAAGAACCCTGACTTAGCACAAGGATCTACAAAAAAAGACATCGTGGATTCTCAATAAGAATGAAAGAAAACTCGTAATTCGAGTCTTAATAATAACACTAATTTAAATGTCAAAATATAAATAATATAATCTAAATAGTAATATACAGTGTAATTAACAAATGGACAATTGTATGTATTACCTACAATCTGGATATTCATTAAAAAATCAAAACTTTCCTTGAACAATTGGGTTGTCAACCTAATAGATATGTGTCCATAGCTGTAGAGTGTGTGTATATATGTGTGTGTCTTTACATACATGGATAAATGTATATAAGTACATAAAAATGCATATAAGTGAATTTACTAAAATTATCTACAATTTTCATTGTTGTAAATTCATATTTTATGAAATTTCTCATAGTATATCAAGAACATTTTTAATAAATGCATTTTTTTCAAAACCATGTGAAACAATCTTTCCTGTAAGTTTAATCGTGAGCTAAAGAGTTATTTTATATTCTATTCTATAACCATAAGTCTTTTCAAAACAGAATATCAAAGGAATGACTTTTTTTAACAAACAGCAGAAATTTGCTTTTAAGATAAGTGGTAAAATACACTAAAGACAAGACGATCTAAATGGTTAATATTCTGTATTCTAACAGCTCTGTAGCAAATGATCTCATATAATTTTGAAACATTTTCAGCTTTTATAGTGTGAAATCCAGTTAAGAGTTTTCATTCTCAAAAATGCTATATCAGCAGTCTTCTCTTTCCTCAGTATTTTTAATACTATCATGCATCAAATAATATATACAAGTGCCTTTATTTGTAGCTAAAGCAAACTTGTCATATTCAGGGTATATAATATTTTAGTTCTAATTTCTATATGCTTAGCATAATTGTTATCCTGTCATTTTTACCTAGGTAATTAAGCCCTTAAAACAAAATGTGTTTGAACATCGAGGAAGACCCAGCTGAAGATGCTGGGTTCCATGTGTTTTTCATGGATAGCTGAATTTTCCCATACGTATACAAATGTTTTTAAGACATTAAAAGCTAAATGTATTTTTACTTGCTTGAACTGAATTTTCCTGTCAAGTAGACAGGCCAGGAGACTGGGACCAATTTAAGAATTAGGTTAAACTGTTAGCTTCTCAGCTTAGACAAACTGAAAACCCAAAGGAATCAAAGAAACCCATAAGACTCTAAACTTATAACTGATTTGTGTAAGATATAGCAGAAAAGTAAAACAAAACAAAATGAAAATCTACCATCCAAGACAGAGAATATTTATAACTTAGTTATATCGTGCATCATATGGTAACAGTTTTTGTCTTGCACAAGCCTCTAGAGACATAGGTGTCTAAAACATTGGCCAATGGATTAGCAGTCTTCTGAGGATAATTCTTCATGAGAACCTGTATAAACTAAGGAGAAATCTTCCTTTGAAAGCAATGCAAGTCCTGTGTGGCAGTTGCTTTGGCCCTAGTCAGGTAGTAATTATAGTAATTATGATAATTACAATTATAAATAATTATAATAAATGAACTTCAGTGTTACAATAAGTACATGGATATAAAGCCAAAACTTACATTTTTTTCCAAGGGCTTATATTAAATAATATTAGATCCAC
Organism: Homo sapiens; assembly: GCF_000001405.40. Taxonomy (NCBI): domain Eukaryota; kingdom Metazoa; phylum Chordata; class Mammalia; order Primates; family Hominidae; genus Homo; species Homo sapiens. The sequence continues at coordinate 114,434,919 of NC_000008.11, forward strand.
ACCTATTATTACATTAAACAATATGTGACAAAGTATACTCTTCTGAATCTTTATTGAACAATACAAGGATGAAACATTTAAAAATAAAATAACAATTTAGCTGTTTGCACCAGCAAATGCTTGCCCCTGGAAGAGAAGATTACACACCATGTTGAACGGTTCAGGACTCATCTCAAGATCTTCTACTAGCTATGCCAACCAGTACAAAGTGATTGTCATAAAATTGGTCCATACCCAACCTGTTCCCCACTTTGCAAGACACAGATCAAAAACAACACAGCTGAAGACAAAATCCTGTAAACATCCTTGCTTTATTCTTTTACCTTGACATATGACAGGAGTGAAAAAAATAGTTTCCGTGATTCAAAAGTTAAAGACTTTATTCAGCTGATGTGCATCAGGAAGCAGCTGAAGGCCAAATACAAATAACCCCTGAGTCAAAGCAGTACTGTGGATTTACATAGTTAGAAAAGAGAAGCATGTGTCTTTATGTTTTAGCTGAAAAGCACTTTTCCTTATACTCTACTGCTACAAAACCTATGGTTATAAAAGTTGAAAATTGTTTTGGGTTTTCATGCCTATTAGTAAGGATTGTTGGTGCAATCCCATTCAGGAAACTCTCAGAACAATTATTTTGATAACTATTTTTGCAAACTTTATAATTTTTAAAAGTTCAGAAGAAGCATAGATAACAGAAAAAATGAAGAGAAAAAAAGAGAAGAATAAAAAAATTACAAGGAGGTAAAGATTAAGGCAAGGGAAATTGGGGATTGTTTTTAATCCTTTTACAGACACTACTAACACCCTGTAAAGATAGTGTTTCCTTTTACTACAATAAGTCTAACACTTAGCTTTGCTTGATTAATACATTCTTCTGATGTTCCTCTGGAAAGTTGACATTTGACAGCATAAAATTTTGGAAAGTTAATAAGTAAGGGAAGAAATATGACAATTAGAAAAGTAGCTTGTGTAGAAATTTGAATTTTTAACTGCATATTAAAAGTTTTTATGTGTTAAGGAAATTGAGAAAATTGAAGATACAGCATAGAAAATATGGTCAGGTGTAGTTTCCCAGTGGGGATAACACAGCAGAAACACATTTCCCTGCTGCTCTGCTCTAAATACAACCAACTGTACTGGAAACAATTCAACATACAATCATGAAAGGACTCTGAAATATGGAAAGAAGAAGGTGTGGGATGGTTATAAACCTCAGGACTTCAAGAACAATATTATGAGGAGTTCCTAGGGTTTTATCTGTCATATAATCTGGACTGGGTATTAGAGAGATCTGCAGTTAGAAGCCCCTACATGCATAGACAAGGAGAAAAAAAAATGAAAGCAAGAAAAGCTCACTATATCTGTTTAGAAGACTTTAGAAAAGGAAGCCCAAGAAGGACTTAATGGGAAAACCAATGCCCAGTGACTGCATCGGGCCTCATTTGCCTGCAGCAATGGCAGAAGCAAAGTTTTAGGGACCAAATCCACATCTAGCTTCAACAGCAGACCGGAGCTGCCTATAGCAGAGGCTACAGCAGATACCAGGCAGACCAACCCACTTCATGCTTCACATACACTGCCACAATTGTCCTATTTGCTTATAGCAGTGGCCACAGTGAAAAACACCTGCTGTCAGCATCAGACTCCTTCACATTTCTAGCACCAGAAGGATCAGTGTCTTATAGCTCTTCATACAGTAGCAGAATGTGACTTAGATCCTGTCTCCTAATCCTCCAGACAACAGCAAAGAGCTACACAGACATAGTTGCTGAACCTCCATCAAGCAGCAGAATATCATTCAGGGCATGTGTCTCCTAGCTTCTACCCAAGGACAGACAGCAAACCAGACGTGGTGTCTCAGAGGCAAAGGAATATTAAGATACTTATCTTTATTTCCCCTTCTTTTCTGAAAGATATTTTCACTGGATCAAGACTCTCTTTTAATAATTATTTTTACTAAATTCTTTTTATAAATGTTATGCTACTTCCTCTGGCCTCAGCGATTTTAGATGAGAAATGCACTGTCACTTGAATTGGTGTTTCCCTTTAGTAATACATTTTTTTCTTCTACTTGATTTCAAGTTTTTTTCTTTGTATTTTTATTTTATTTTTATTTTTTGAGGCAGAGTCTTGCTCTGTTGCCCAGGCTGGAATGCAGTGGTGTGATCTTGGCTCACTGAGACCTCCACCTCCTGGGTTCAAGAGATTCTCCTTCCTCAGCCTCCTGAGTAGCTGGGACTACAGGTGCGCACCACCACACCTGGTTAATGTTTGTATTTTTAGTAGAGATGGGGTTTCACCACGTTGGCCAGGCTGGTTTTGAACTCCTCACCTCAAATGATCTACCCACCTCGGCCTCCCAAAGTGCTGGGATTACAGGCTTGAGCCACTGTGCCTGGCCTGTATTTTTTTCTAAAGTTTATTTATTGTGTTTCTTGGTAAAGCTTTCTTTGGATACCTCCTATTTATCATTCACTCAGCCTCTTAAATTGATAGACTTATAAGCCTTTTGCCAAATTTGGTAAGTAGTCAACCATTATTTCTTTGAGTATTTTTCAACCTCACATTCTTTCACCTACCCTTTTGGGTCTCTGATAATACAAACATTGGAACTGTTATTTTGTCACAGCTCCCTAAAATTTTGTTCTTTTTTTTCCAGTTTACTTTCTGTTTTTCAGATTAGAAATATTCTATTCATCTCAAGCACACTAAATCTATCTTCTGTCATCTCTAGTCTACTAATAGGCTCAGTGAGTTTTTCATTTTTATTATTAATTTTTTTTCAGTGATATGATTTCCATATGGTTGTTGCTTTAATAACTTTTATTTCTTTCCTAAAATTTTCCAAGGAAATATATAATTACTTTTTCAAGCACCTTTACAGTGTTTGATAGAAAATCTTTGTCAGAGAGTTCCGACATCTGATTCATGTTAGTAATAACTTTAGTTAATTGTCTTTTCTCATTCCTATTGTATTTCTCCTTGTTCTTCATATGATGAATAATTTTTGGTTGTGTTACCAATAATTTAGATATCTCATTAGTAGGCAATCTTATTTAAATTTTCTTTTTTATCATTTGGCCCCTCTAGCATGTATGTATGTTCTGACCTAGTCTGTGAGCTATTGTTACAAAGACAATTTAGTTTTCTTATCCCTTGTAATGCTGCTCTAGGCTTTTTTCTTTTTTTTTTAATTTTATTATTATTATACTTTAAGTTTTAGGGTACATGTGCACAACGTGCAGGTTTGTTACATATGTATACATGTGCCATGTTGGTGTGCTGCACCCATTAACTCGTCATTTAGCATTAGGTATATCTCCTAATGCTATCGCTCCCCCCTCCCCCCACCCCACAATGAGAACACATGGACACAGGAAGGGGAACATCACACACTGGGGACTGTTGTGGGGCTTTGTTCTTATGCTTCCACTGGAGCTCCTATTGTATTTATGCTACTGCCCCGCCATGGGGGCAGAAGACATTTCCTTGGGCCTCTGAGGGTTTTTAGATGAGGGATAGGGAATGCTAGACATGTGTAATGGAGAATGTTTTCACTGGTCTCTTTTATCACCACTTGGTGTCACTAGGCTATCCACTCTATCCCTCTTGTCCCTAGGGGAGGAAAGCACTTACTTGAGTTGCCTTCTACTCCAGGGTGAAGGTTCAAGGGTTACAGGGTCCCAAGTGGTTTTCTGACACTGAGTGGAGGGTTCTAAAGAATCCAGCCTGCTTCACACTAAGTCGAGGGTTAAGAGACACCAGGCCTGGTTTGCTGTCTGCCCTTGGGCAGCGGCGAGGAGACACATGCCCTGAATGATCTTCTGCTGCTTGATGGAGGTTCAGGAACTACTTAGTCTGTGTGGCTCTTTGCTGTTGTCTGGAGGACTAGCAGACAGGATCTGAGTCACATTCTGCTACTGTATGAAGACCTGTAAGACACTGATCCTTCTGGTGCTAGAAGTGTGAAGGAGTCTGATGCTTACAGCGGGCGTTTTTCACTATGGACACTGCTATAAGCAAATAAGACAATTGTTGCAGTGCATGTGAAGCATGAAGTGAGTTGGTCTGCCTGGTATCTTCTGTAGCCTCTGCTATAGGCAGCTCAGGTCTGCTGTTGAAGCTAGATGTGGATTTGGTCCCTAAAACTTTGCTTCTGCCATTGCTGCAGGCAGATGAGGCCCACTGCAGCCACTCGGCATTGGTCTTCCCACTAACTTTCTCCTGGGCTTCCTTTATTCCAGTCCTCTGGACAGATAGAGTGAGCTTTTCTTGTTTTCATTTTTTGTTTTTCTTTTTGTCTATTCATGCTGGTGCTTCTAACTTCAGATCTTTCTAGTACCCAGTCCAGATTTATGACAGCTAAAAAAGAAAGTCCTAGGGACTCCCCATGGTGGTGTTTCTGAATATTACTGAGTAGGCTCTCTGACCATAATGAAGTCAAACTAGAGGTAAATAGCAGAACAACAACAGGAAAACATTCAAGATCTTAGAAATTAAACCATATACTTTCAAAACAATATAAGAGTAACAGGATAATCATAAATAAAGATTTTTAATGCACATATTACTGAATCAAATAAAATATGTCATATAAAATATGTGTGATATAGCTAACACAATGCTCAGAGAAAATTTTCTAACACTAAATGCTTACACTAGAAAAGAGCAAAAGTATCAAATCAATGGGTTTATTTTCTACCTCATGAACCAGAAGAAAGAAAGCAAAATAAACCTGAAGCAAGGTAAAGGAAAGGAATAATGTAGACAGCATAAATTAATAAAATTACAAATATAGAAAGTCATGATACAAACAAAAGAAAGAAAAGCAAAAAAAAAAAGAAAAATTAAAATGGCAAATTTAAGCCTGATATGGTTTGCCCACGTCCCCACCCAAATCTCAACTTGAATTTTATCCCCCAGAATTCCCACATGATGTGGGAGGGACCCATGGGGTGGTAACTGAATCATGGAGGCCAGTCTTTCCTGTGCCATTCTCATGATAGTAAGTCTCATGAGATCTAATGAGTTTATCAGGGGTTTCTGCTTTTGCATCTTCACCATTTTTCTCTTACCATGGACATGTAAGAAGTGACTTTTGCCTCCTGTCATGATCCCGAGACTTCCCCAGCCATGTGGAAGTGTAAGTTCAATTAAACCTCTTTTTCTTCACAGTCTCAGGTATGTCTTTATCAGCAGTGTGAAAACGGACTAATACAAAGCTATATATATATATATATATATATATATATATATATATATATATATTTTAAAATTAGTGAAAGGCCAGCAAAAAAAGAAGAAGAAGAAAGAGAAGGAGAAGGAGAGACAAATTAGGTGTGTTCATTGTTGCTTCCTAGAGCCTCTCCCACCCCCACATGTACTCCTGTGGTGCCATGGGAAATAGTGCTTGTTCATAGGGAACGGAATTTATTTTGCTTTGCTTCCATAGAGACAAGATGGTGGACTAGACACGCCGGGGGGTGCTGCTCCCACCAAGAAAGACCAAATTATTGAGTAAACCACCATATTTTAATCAGACTTTCAGAGAGAAAACACTGAGAATGGATGGAGAGGCAATGCTAAAGCTGAAGACTGAAGAAGGAGGAAGCTGGAAATCCTCCAGGGGGTACATGAACTTTAGGGCTAGGTCCCCAGCAGAGAAGCTCCTGGGAAAGGGGTGAGTGAGGGATAGCTCATTCTCACCATGGACCTCCGGGATCCTAGTTACAGAGGAACCCATGTTCCTCATGGATTTGTGAGCTGAGAGGGTCATCTCAGGGAGCAGACACAGCCCTTCACTTGTCGTGGAGCCTGGGAGATTTTTGTGCCCTGGGTAGATGAAGCAGAGAGCAGCCATAGATGTCCATCCTCCAGGGGTCCCCATATACCTCTAGGAGGTGCTAGCCACAGCTGACCTGTGAGACGGGAGAGAGTGGGGCCCGTTTCACCACAGGACTGGGTTGCACTTCTTCTGCAAACCCTTCTGCCCACCAGCCCCTCCCGGGGCCCATGCTTAGCTGCCCCACAGGAGCAGTTGCACAGCCTGCCTCCACAACCTAGCCTCAGTGTGTTGCTCCACCTGAGTACTTTACTGGTGACACGGGGGCACATCAGATCCCCCAGTACAACCTTGAGCTGCTGGAAGTTCAAGTGCCTTTAGGGCTAGGGCACACAACTTCAGAGTACAACCAAGATCTATAGCAGGCACTCAAGCATGGGAGGAGTCCCCACCTTCAGAGCACTGAGAGGGGTGAGATGTGCAGGTTCCTGGGCTGGAGCGAGAGCAGGGCATGCCTCCCTCCTCAGAGTCAGTTCAGAAAGGGTGTGGCATATCTCACTGCTATGCCTCTGCTCCAGGAAGCCCCATCACCCAGAACACCTAACAAAAGAAGCACGGGTACAGCGCCAGCAATCAGAGGAGGCTCCCCCAAGGTCCAAAATGAACCTGGTGATAGGATCATCTCTCTCCACCCCCTACAGCAGAGCATGCTTGTGAATTTGAGGAAGTACAAAAGAGCCCTGTAGCTGGGTATTAGCCTAGCTACAGGCCATCAATCTTAAGCATCATCTGCTGGATCACAGCCCAAATCATAACACCAAAATTATTTTGATAATATATACATCTGTGAAACAAAGCACAATAATTCACTCACATGTAAATGTCTTAGAGCCTCTGAAAGAGCCCAGAAATGAAGCCAACTGACTGTATTCACCTTACACAACAGTAAAAGGAACATCAACCCTCCCAGATAAGAATCAATGCAAGAACTCTGGCAATTCAAAAAGCCAGAGTGTCTCCTTACCTCCAAACAAGTCCCAAGCAATAGTTCTTAACCAGTCTGAAATGACTGAAATAATAGACACAGAATTCAGAATTCGAATGGCAAGGAAGCAGATCAAGATTCAGAAGAAAGCTGAAACTCAACCCAAGGAATCCAGGAATACAGTAAAACAATCCAAGAGCTGAAAGATGACGTATTTCAAGAAAGAACCAAACTAAATTTCTAGAACTTAAAAAGTCATTATAAGAATTTTATAATACAGTCAAAGTATTAACAGCAGAATAGACCAAGCTGAGGAAAACATTCTCAGAGCTCAAAGAGTGGATCTTTAAATCAACTCGGACAGACAAAAATAAAGAAAAAAGAATTTTAAAAAAATGAACAAAACTACCAAAAAAATGAGATTATATAAAGAGATTAAATATATGAATGATTGGCATTCCTGAGAGAGGAGAATAAGTAATTTGGAAAATATATTTGGAGATACAGTCCATAAAAATTTCCCTAATCTTGCTAGAGAGGTTGACTAGAAAATCCAAGAAATACAGAGAACCCTGGCTAAATAGTATACAAGACAACCACGCCCAAGGCACGTGTTCATCAGATTCACCAAGGTCAATGCAAAAGAAAAAATTTTAAAGGCAGCTAGAGAGAAAGGTCAAGTCACATAGACAGTGAACACATTAGGCTAGCAGCACACTTCTCAGCAAAAAACATTACAAGCCAGAAGAGATTGGGGGCCTATTTTCAGTATCCTTAAAGAAGAGAAATTCCAACCAAGAATTTCATATCCTGACAATCTAAGCTTCATAAGTAAAGTAGTAAAAATTTTTTTAAGACAAGCTAATGCCAAGGGAATTCATTTCAAACAGAAAAGTCTTAAAGAGGTCCTTAAGGGAGGGCTGAACATGAAATCAAAAGAACAACATCTGCTACCACAAAAACACACTTAAGCACATAGCACACAGACACTATAAAGCAATCACACAGTCAAGTCTATATAATAACCAGCTAACGGCAAAATGACAGGATAAAAATCACACATAACAATACTAACCTTGAATGGAAATGGACTAATTGTCCCACTTAAAAGACAGAGTGACAACCTGAAAAGAAAAAAAGAAAAAGAAAAAACAAGACCCAACCATCTGTTTTCCTCAGCAGACCCAGCTCACTTCTAACAACACCCACAGGCTCAAAGTAAAGGGTTAAAGAAAGATCTACCAAGCAAATGGAAAGAAAAAAAAGTAGGAGTTGCTATTCTCATATTACATAAAACAGATTTTAAACTAATAAAAATAAAGAAGGACAATGAAGAGCATTGTATAATGTTAAAGCATACAATACAAGAAGAAGACTTAAGTGTCTTAAGTATATATGCACCTACCATTGGAGCAATCAGCTTTATAAAACAAGTTCTTGGTCTATAAAGAGACTTAGGCAACCACACAGTAATAGTGAGAGACTTCAACACCCCACTGACAGCATTAGATCTTCAAGACAGAAAGCTAACAAAGAATCTCTGGACCTAAACTGTTCTCTTAATCAACTGTGCCTCATAGACACCTATAAAACACTACAGGCAACAACCACAGAATATACAATCTTCTAATCTGCACATGGAACATATCCTAAGATCGACCACATGCTCCATCATAAAGCAAGTTTCAATAATTTTTTAAAATAAAATTATTCTAAGCATACTCTTGAACCACAGTACAATAAAAGTAGAAATAAAAATCAAGAAGATCTCTCAAAACTAAACAAATACATGGAAATTAAGCAACTTGCTCCTGAAGAACTCCTGGGTGAACATTAAAATAAAGCCAGGAATTTTTTTAAAAATTTGAAGCTAATGAAAGTAGGATACAATTTACCAAAATATCTGGGATACAGCTAAAGAATGTTAAAAAGAAAATTTATTGCCCTAAATGTCTTCACCAAAAAGTTAGAAACATCTCAATTTCTTAATAATCTGATGTTGCAACTAAAGAAACAAGAAAAAAAACCTACCAAGAAGCTAATAGAATAAAAAAAATACTCATAATTAGATAACTTGATAAAATTGGATGCCAAAATCCATACAAAGTATCAATGAAACAAAGGATAGGTTTTTCAAAACAAAAACTAAAACAAGATTGATAGAGTGCTAGCTAGATTAACAAAGAAAAAAATGAGAAGATACAAATAAATACATCAGAAATGACCAAGACAGCATTACAACTAATACCACAGAAATACAAAAGCTTCTCAGAGAATACTATAAGTAACTCTATGCGCACAAATCAGAAATTCCAAAAAAAAAAAAGGAATTACTAGAAATATACAATCTTCCACAATTGAATCATGAAGAGATAGAAACTTTGAATAGACCAATATGGGGCTCTGAAATTGAATCAGTAATTAATAATAATAATAATAATATTAATAATAATAATAATAAAATCCTACCAACCAAAAAAGCCTGGGCTAGAGGGACTCATAGATAAATCCAATCAGACATAAAAAGAACTGGTACAAATCCTACTGAAACTATTCCCAAAATTCAAGGAGGTGGTGCTCCTATCTAACTCATTTCATGAAGCCAGCACTAGCCTAATAAAAAATCTAGCAGAGACATGACAAAGAAAGAAACCTTCAAGACAATATCCCTGATAAACACAGACACAAAAATCCTCAACAAAATTCTAGCAAACCAAAAGCAGCAGCACATCAGAAAGTTAATTCCCAAATAGGCTTTATTCCTGGGATGCAAGGTTGGTTTAATATACAGAAATCAATAAATGTGATTCACTAAACAGAATTAAAAACAAAAACCATATGATGATGTCAGCAGATGCAGAAAAAGCTTTTGATAAAATCTAACATCTTTTTATGATAAAAACTATCAAGAAGCTAGGCACTAAACGAACATACCTTAAAATAATAAGAGCTATCTATAACAAACCCACAGTCAACATCATATTGAATGGTCAAAAACTGGAACCTTTTTGAGAACTGCAACAAGACAAGAGTGCCTACTCTCACTGTTCCTATTTAACATAGTACTGGTTCTAACCAGAGCAATCAGAGGAGAGAAAGAATCAAAGGCACCCTAATAAGAAAATAACTCAAACTGTCTCTCTTCACTAGTGATATAATTCTATACCTAGAAAACTCTAAAGAATCCAGCAAAAGGCCCTTAGAACTGGTGAAAAACTTCAGGGATGTTTAAGGATACAAAATCAATGTACAGAAATTACTAGCATTTCTATATACCAATAATGTCCAGTGTGAGAGTCAAATCAAGAACACCATCCTATTTACAATAGCCAAAAAGAAGAATAAGTACTTAGGAATACAGCTAACTAAGGAGGTAAAATATCTCTACAAGAAGAACTAAAAACACTGCTGAAGAAGATGAGACATGACACAAAGAAATGAAATGAAAAAAAAAAAATCTCATGCTCATGGATTGTAAGAATCAATATTGTGAAAAGGCCCTACTGGCCAAAACACTAGTCCTATCAAACTTCCAATGACATTCTTCACAGAATTAAGAAAAACTATTCTAAAATTCACATGGAATCAAAAAATGCCTGAATAGTCAAAACAATCCTAAGCAAAAAGAACAAAGCCAGAGGCATCACACTACCCAACTTGAAACTGTACTGTACGGCTACAGAAACCAAACATCATGCATCTGGTACAAAAACAAACACACAGACCAAGACAACAGAATATAAAACTTGGAAATAAAGCCACACACCAACAAACATCTGATCTTTGATTTTTGACAAGGCTGACAAAAACAATAAATGGGGAAAAGACTCCCTATTCAATAAATGGTGCTGGGATAACTGGCTAGCCATACACAGGATATTGAAACTGGACTCTTTCTTTACACCACATGCAAAAATTAACTCAAGATGCATTAATATTTAAATATAATATCTCAAACTATAAAAAATCCTAGAAGAAAACCTAGGAAATACCCATCTCAACATTGGTCTTGGTAAAGAATTTTTAACTATGTCACCAAAATCAATTGCAACAAAAACAAAAATTGACAAGTGAAACCTAATTCAACTTAATAGCTTCTGCAGAGCAAAAGAAACTATCAACAGAGTAAACAGACAATCTACAGAATGGGAGAAAATATTCACACACTATGCATCCAGCAAAGGTCTAATACACAGAATCCATAAGGAACTTAAATCAATTAGCAAAAAGCAAATAATCCCATTAAAAATGGGCAAGTGACATGAACAGACACTTCTCAAAGGAAGACATACAAGCAGTCAACAAATACATTTGTTTGTTTTCATCATTACTTCTCGTCAGAGAAATGCAAATCAAAACTACAATGAGATACCATGTCACATTAGCCAGAATGGCTATTATTAAAAGTCAAAAAGATAACTGATGCTCACAAGGTGGTAGAGAAAAAAGGAAGGCTTATACACTGTTGGTGGTAGAGAAAAAAGGAAGGCTTATACACTGTTGGTGGCACATAAATTCATTCACTCACTATGGAAAGCAGTTTGGAGATTTCCCAAAGAACTTAAAACAGAATTCAATTTGACACATCAATGCCATTATGTGGTGCATATCAAAAGGAAAATAGATTATACCAAAAGGATATATGCTTTTGTATGTTCATCACTGTGCTATTCACAATAGCAAAGATGTGGAATCAACTTAGTTGTCCATCAGTGGCCAACTGCATAAAGAAAATGTAAATATACATCATGGGATACTATGCAGCCATGACAAAAGAATGAAATCATGTCCTTTGCTGCAACATGGATTGTTAGTTATTATGCCTTTAGATTGCAGTATGAAGGCCATAATCCTAAGTGAATTAATGCAGGAACAGAGAGCCAAATACCACGTGTTCTCCCTTATAAGTGGGAGCTAAACATTGACCACAGATGGATATAAACATGTGAAAAATGGATACTGCAGGCTACTAAAGGAAGAAGAAACCAAGACAGCCATGGTTTGAAAACCTACTTGATGGGTTTCACTATTTGATTTTCAAATGTTGAACTAACCCTACTACCTGGAAAAATCTTGCTTGGTCAATAAATTACTGAATCAATTTGTCAATATTTTGTTGAGAATGCTCACATGTATTCTCACTACTTGGATACAATATACCCATGTAACAAACCTGCACGTATACCTCTTGTATCTAAACTAAAAGTTAAAATTGCAAAAAAGACAAATTACTAATATCAAGTATAAACAAAAATATTGTTATATATACTTTATTCATTTAAAGAATAAGAATACTGTAAATTACTTTATGCTCATCCATTCAAAAACTTAGAAAATATGGAACAATTCTTTCAAAAAACACAAACTAACCAAACCTAATTGAGATAGGCAATTTGAATACTTCTATAACCATAGAAAGAATTAAATTTATAATTAAGTTCCTGGTCATGCCTAAGCTGCTGCACTGGAGAATTTCATCAAACATTTAAGGAAGAACTAATACCAATATTATACAATCTGTAACAGAAAATAGAAGAGGAAGGCATATCCCCCAACTTATTTTATGGGACTCATATTATTCCTATGCCAAAAATAGACAAACAAAACCCATACAAAAAATAAAATACAGGCCTGTATTTCTCATAATTATACATGTGAGCATTCTCAACAAAATATTGACAAATTGATTCAGTAATTTATTGACCAAGCAAGATTTTTCCAGGTAGTAGGGTTGGTTCAGCATTTGAAAATCAAATAATGTAATCCATCATGTCAATAGACCAAAAGAGAAAAATCACATAATTATATCAATTGGCAAAGCACATATAAAATTGTGAGTATCAGAAATACACAAAGAAACTCTGAAAAGTAGACAGCAAAAAACAAACACTCCAACTATAAAATGGGCAAAAGACATAAACAGATATTTCACAAATAAGAATATAAAGATGGCAAAGCAGCACATATAAATATAATATCTTTATCCATTAGGTAACTGAAAATTAAAACTACAATGAGATATCACAATACATCTATCACAATGGCTAATATAAAAGCACCACCAAATGCTTATAAGAATTTGTGCAAATGGGATTAGTCATATATTGTTAATGGGTATATAAAATGGTACTGTCACTCTGTAAAGCAATTTGATAATTTCTTAATAATTAAAAAAATCATGCAATTAATAAGACCTAGTAGTTGCATTCATGTACATTTGTCCCAGGACAATTGAAAATTATGTTTACAATAAAATCTGTGTGTACATAAATGTTTGTAACATCTTTGTCATAATAGGTCCAAACTGGAAACAACACAAATGTTATTCTTGGGCATTTGGATATATACATGGTTACATGGATATATGGTTAAACAAACTGTATTATACCCATATCCTAGAATACTACTCAGCAATAAAAGAGAATAAACAACTGAACACATGCTACAATTTGGATGAACCTTCAGGGAATTATGCAGAGTGTAAACAAGCCAGTCCCCAAAATTATTAACTGTATTGTTTCCTTAATATAATATTCTTGACATGACAAAATTATAGAAATTGAGAATGGATTATTATCTGTGGTGTAATTGGTTGTGATTATGAAAGAGCTGTGGAAGGGATCCTTGTAGCAATGGAACTATTGTGTACTTTGACCCCTGTAATTTATATAAGCCTACACATGTGATAAATCATATAGAACTAAAATCACACAGACACACATGAATAAATACAGGTACAATCAAATATATCTGAGTAATATTAGTGGATTCTATCAATGGAATATATTGGTAGTGATATTGTATACCATAGTTTTACAAGATATCATTTGGGAAATTGAGCAAGATGAACATAGAATCTCCTTGTGTTTTTTATTCTGTACATGTATATACAATTATTTCAAAATTAAAAAGTCTATTTTAAAAAATCTGTGCCAGTATTCAGGGAAATGCTTTACATGAACAGTGCGTACAATGCCTAAATAATTAAGAATGAGGGTTGCAGATTATATTAACATGGTAGATTGTGTCTGTTGAGTTAGGAACTGTGAAGGTCTGAGCCTTTGCTGTACTTGCAAAGACATAAGACTAGAAACACAAACACTGTATTACTTATGGCAGAAGTGGCAGTCAGAATATAATCAGTCCTAGATCCCCAATCCGTGATCCTCTTGCAATGTTATAAAAAGTGTTAAATGTTACCCATACATGCAGTGGTAAGTATTATAGAAGAGGAAATCTGAAATTAGGATCTGGTTCTGATGTCACATAAGGGCTTCTGGTGTCTGGTCCATTCTTCCTTCTAGGGGGAAAAAATGGGAATTTATCTTTAGTCTTCAATCCTCTTTGAGAAGAGGAGGGTAAATTTATTATCCTGAAATGACTTTGGAGACGGGAAAATACTTTCATTATGATACTGTTCAGAAAATAAGCCTACCCACAAACTAGAAGGGAGACACTATTTCTTGTGTCCAAGAATGTTTATTATGCTAATTTCCTTTAAAAAGTGGTCAGTGCCCTTTGCTCAGCAAATCTATACAGCAATATGACATGCTCGTGGAGATTTGTTCCCTAGCATGAGACAGATTATTAGAAAGCATAAAAAGAGTTTACACTTCATCCTATTATCCATCCTTTCGACTCATATTTGTCCCATGATAGAATTATTTATTGAGTACTTACCTTTCAGATATTTTTGTCATTTTGGGATAAAATTAAAATGTTCATGGCTTTATAGAACCAAGATTGTATTTGGTAATAAAGACAGATAACAAAAAGTACAGCATATAAATAAGGGCTAATATAGACATAAATATATAGAGAATTTTCATAGTAACCCTAAGGTATTTAATTTTTCAGAAGAGAGAAGGCAAGAATATGTGACGCAAGATGGCAACAATAGACCTGGGGACTAATAAAGAGAAGAGGGAGAGAGGAGGGCAAGCGTTAAAAAACTTACTGTTGAGTGCTATGCTCACTATCTGGATGACAAGATCATTTGTATCCCAAACCTAAGCATCATGCATTATACCCATGTAACAATCCTGCACATGTACCCCTTGAATCTGAAAGAAAAGTTGACTTTAAAAAAATTAGTTAGACAACAGTAACAACAATCTAGTTCTGGGCTAAAAAGTGCCTTAAAAATAATGGTCTTGGAGAAAAGTGAAGATATTCAAGAAGGTATTCTTTTTTTTTTTTTTTTTTTTTTTTTTTAAGAATATTTGAAAAGGTTCTTTTCAAGCTCCACTGATTGACAGCTGTGGTTGCCTAGAGACTAAGAACACTTAATGAGTTTCCATTGTTCGGTAATCATGCCTGATTGTATCTCAGACAGATTAGAGATAGGTTGAGCATTCAGTGATAGAAACACATAATATGCAGGGGTATCAGGTGCCCACAATTCCTACTTCCCCCTTAAGGCTTGGGAAAAAAGTCTCTCCCCCCTTAAGGCTTGAAAAAGAATTGGAAACATACTAATGGGATGGGTGATGAGAAAATTTAGCCACTCAGTAGCACAGTAGTACCCTCTTTAACTGGAGAACATACCTTCCAAGACCCTCAGTAGATGCTTGAAAATGAAGTTGGTACCAAATCTTATATATGCCAGGTTTTTACCTGTATTACATGCCAATAATAAATGTTATTTTATTATTGATTTAATTTATAAATGTTATGTGAGTATGGTCTCTCTCAAAATATCTTATTGTACTGTATTCACCATTCTTGTGATGATACAAATTGATAAAATGTCAACATGATGAGATGAGGTAAGGTGAACGACACAGGCATTGTGACATACTACAGAAAATACATAAGAAGGAGGAATCATCTGCTTTGGGTAATCCTGGAACAGCAAGCCATAATGTTGATGATTGGATGCCAGGAGCAGATGATGTCAATGACAAATAGAGTATGCAGTCTGGATACCCCGGACAAAGGGATGAGTTATGTCCCAGGCAGGACAGATAAGGATGGGTATGCAGTTTCATTGTGCTACTCAGAACAGTGTGCAATTTAAAACCTATGAATTACATATTTCTGGGAATTTCCATTTAATATTTTCAGACCCTGGTTGATTGAGGATAACTGAAACTGTGGAAATAAAAATACTTATAAAGGGAGATTACCATATTAGCTTTACTAGTCTTATCAAAATTAGTTTTGATAAATTACTGTGTCAAGAAAAGGTAATTTAGAGAAGCTTAGAGTGTGCATACATTTTTCCAGGAGAACATATAACAGAACAAAAATGAAAATAGACTATTAGTACAGGTTATTTGCAGGTTATTTGCAAGAATAATAGATAAAAACATGAAGAACTTGATGTTTATGTAGGCTGTACATATTTTAGTGTTTATTTACACCAAGAAATGATAACTACTTGAGGTGATGGATATTCTAAATATGATGACTTGATCATGACACGATCATGACACATTGTATGTTTGTGCCAAAATATCACATATATCCCATAAATAAATGCTATTATGTATTAATGAAAATAATTTGTAAAAGAGTGCTTAACTGTCTAACAAAATAAACATTCTGACAAGCACTTTATGTTTGATAGTAAACTATACGATTGCTTCCAGCCAAATCTAAAATTTTCATCAAACTACAGCTTTCAATCCACACTAATAATTTAATTAAAACATAATAGAAAACCCAGACATCTGTGCTATGAGGCATGGAAAAGTCTCTCCTAGAAACAGGGTCACAAGCAGGCCATTCTGTAGACGGCCTCTGGTAAACTAGTAAGAGTTACTTCTGGTCAGATGTCATCCTGTGCATGATTGATGGGCTTAGGTATAATTTAATATAATTTTTTCTATTGCCATAACCTTTATATAAGCATAGAATTAACTACTCTGTAAAAGTAATTTAGAGTATTTTGAAGATTTTCTGCATTGTCAGATATTGAAGCTGTTTCTAAATTTTTATCTTATAAATAAATGATGAAATGAGTATCTTAGTGCTTAAGTATGCTGGATATCAGGGCTTATTTCACGAAGAGTGAACTATGGTATGTAAAATTATGTGCAAATGTTTTGAGGTGATGTTTTCAAAATTATTAGTATTTTTTTCCTGCTTTATTCACTGCAATTCAGACTATTTCTTGTTTGATGAAAATATTTAGCTACTGTACAAACACATTAAAGGGAAAGATAAAGGAAATATGCAGTGACACAGCTTATGACATCATCTCTAGCTTATAGAAACACTAAATGCCACAAGTACATGAATTGTTGCACTATGGCAGGGGTTGGCAAACTCTTTCAATGAAGGTCCATATTGTAAAAGTTTTAGGCAGTGCGGAACATACAATCTCCTTTGCAACTACTAC
This sequence comes from Homo sapiens, assembly GCF_000001405.40. Lineage (NCBI taxonomy): Eukaryota > Metazoa > Chordata > Mammalia > Primates > Hominidae > Homo > Homo sapiens. Next base: position 114,452,031 of record NC_000008.11, read on the forward strand.
TCTGCTCTTGTAGTATGAAGTCAGCTACAGACCATACGCAAAGGAATTACATAGTGTGTTCCAATTACACATTTTTAGGCATTTGTTTGATTAAATCTGTTTTAATGTACAGCTTTATGATTAACACCAAGGTTTAAGAATTTGGATTTTTGATAATCAATCTGTACTTTTTTGTGAATTTATTCCGTAATTTCAAATTTTTATTTTTATTCTTCGCTCTTTTACCATACTGGCAATTTAATAATTATTTGATTGGTCAACTATGTTATAAAAATGAAGGCTTATGTTGTCTAGTTTAGAAAAAAACTGACAAGTTATTTTCTTAATTTCATGATTCATATACTGTCACATCACAGAGAACAGGCAATGGCTGGAGTTGGTATGGGTTGGAAGGAAACTTTTGATGATTGCTGTTATTATGTTTGTTTTCTTAGTTTTTGTTTTCTGCCTTTATTTTTTATTATATATGCTGCAATATTAATTGATGTTTTTGACTATCACCCAGAAAGTGTGGAGAACAAACAATGTAAGAAAGTGGGATGCCAAATGCCTTGCCCATGCTGCTCCAGATCTTCACTTAGTGTTTATGAAAAGTTTCCATAGGCTATGATTTGTTTGCATTTCTCTCTCTAGCCCACATCCTCTCTAGGTAACATTCTTTTACTATCTCATTGCTATACACACTGAAGAAAATTCACTATCTTGTTATCTGAAGGTGTAATCACTGGTCTTCTTTAAACTAGGTATTTGAGGTACTGGATATATCAACCTATATGAATTCAGTCTACTGCCCTAAAAATGTGGGACTGTGTTTTTATTCCCTCTCCAAGTTAATGAGTGAAAAAATATGTAAATAAATTTGGAAAAGTCTTGAGACGTCTCTGAGGCCATTATTTGCAAGGGAGAATTCAAGAGCTAAGGGCATGTGGCATGAAGCCCCATCCACTCTTCTTTAACTCAGGAAATTCAATAAGGAGAGAATGTGACTCTGAGCAAAATATGGAAGGTGTGATGTTGGGTGGTATTCTTCAAGTACTCTTGCTGTAATTGATCATGATGTATCTAAAGACATTGTGTTTGTTCATATAGGAGTAGCTATATGAATTGTAGTATGTATGTATGGTTGAATTTAAATTTCTATATCTGGATCTAACTCTGGGTGATAAAATTCAGGGGGTTTCTGTTCTTTATGAACAGAACACTTATTCAATAAATATATATTACTGCCCAGCAATATCCATGAAATTGGTTATGTTAGATTGTGCTGTCCAATTCTTTCAGTAAAAATAGCATGATATTTTGTGTCATAATGACCAGACTTTAAACCTCACTCTGACCAAGTTGACCTGAATGTTCACCTCAGCTTGTCTTAACTTTGGACAGGCTTCTTCCTGACTCCAAGTCCCTGACTTTCCTTTTCTTAGAGCATTTACTTTAGAAAACTTGCCATTGTAAATTATTTCTCTGTCCTTTGAGATGTAAATTTTTAAAAAGCCTCTTACAAGTTTTATAATCCAGGACATTCTTTTTCGATGCCCTGGGGACTCTCTCTTTGAAAGGTAAAGATTAAGGAAGACAGTGCACCCAGCTCCTAGTCTCTGTGGGTGATCAGGGGACTAACTTCAGTGGGCTCCTTGCTCCAAGTTGTAAAACCACCTCTGGCCATGAAGGTAAGAAGAGAAAGTTTAGCTTTCCTTTGGGTAAGGCCAATTAAGAAACTCAGATGACCTAGGAATCACCCACCCTAGCTCTTAAAATTCTTCCCACTCTTTGTTCCATGAAGGTGAGTTTCCAGGCTTTGTCTGTGCTCTCTCCCCTGTTGCTGGCATTTCTATCAGAATAAATTGCCGTTTGCCCATCTTGTCTGGTGTGACTTTTCTATATACTAGTTCTTTGACATGAGTTGCTAAACTTCTCTGTGTCTTGGTTTCTGCATTTGTAAAATAAAGACAGGAATCTCTATCTGACAGAATTATTGAGAGTATTCAATGAAAAAATGCATGTTAGCACATGACATGGACGTGCATTATACAATGAATAAATTCTGTTTTTTTTACACCGATCCTTCATCAGGAGAATACGCTTTAAGTGCACACTAACTGACTTTTCTAACATTGACCTTGGCTTTCTACACACATGTCCATATCAAATGTATGGAGGAATGTGTGTATCCTTTACCTGTATGCTGGATTCCCTAAACATTAACCTGAAACTATCTTACAGTTGTCTCTCTCTACTTTTATGATAATCACTGTTGAAATCTAGTCCCTAGAGAGTCTACTAAGAGAAAGAACTGCTCAAGTGAGACTCAATCCAAGGCTTCAAAAACTTACATATAATAGTGGTTGATGACAAGCATGTAAACAAATAAAAATAACGTAATGCAGAATAGAGAGCTATAAGAGAAGTACAAGGACAGGATGATAAAATGAAAATTGTCCCCTTACTACCTTTGAAATGCAAAAACAAACTTTGACTCTCGGAAAGACTTCTGCTCCATTATTTAAATTAAAAATAATGAGTTTAATTGAAACATCTGGTTTCTGAGTTTCCCATAGTAGAGAAACTTGTCCTAGCAGCCAGAACAAATTGTTCCTAAATGACCCTCTTCTGTCCTCTAGTGGTAATCTGTAGAATTACCTCATCCTCAGTTCAAGATTGACCCATCCCTTTGTTGAAAATAATTTTCCCAAATCCTGCATTTGAGGAGTAGGAATGTTGAAATATTCTCTAAGCAAACTAAGGCCACAGCAAATAATTTTATATTCTCTGAAAACATAATAAAAGTGAGTATCACCATAGACAGGCTCCACATTTATCCTTGGTTCTGTCAGTTTGACCAAAGGTAGTTACCATGTTTAACTAGGAAGAAATAATGATAATCAGACTAAAAAAGAATAAAAGAATCAAACTTAATTGACCATTTACCACATGTTAGGGACTCCATTGAATGTTTCATGTACATTCTTTCATTTAATTCTCACAAGAAACTGTGAGGTAGATACTACGGACACATTATAGATAGAGACTAAGGGTTAGAGTGGTTAAGTGTCTTTGCTCAAGATCAAACAGGCATCAAGCAAAATATTTGGTATCAAGTGAAATATATGGGATCTGGCCCAGCTGTCTGACTCCACAGCCCTTAGATTTAAGCCTTATACATTCTTCTCTACCTATTAAACTTACTGCAAATAAAATTTCCCAGGTGGCAACAAATTTCAGCCAGAATACAAATGGTATCATTTCTTTGCCCCATATTTTCTTCTATTGTCACATTTCTGTGCTATATATATCCAAATTTATTTTTAAAATGTCTAAAGAGGTTAATGTTACTTCTTCCTTTTTCATTCATACCTCAGTCCACCTTGTTCTGGATTCTGGCTTCAAACCATCCTACTGAAAATGCTTTTGTTAAGGTTACCAATGACCTGTGTCAGGTACCACGGAACAAGAATGGGGTATGTAGATCCCCACTGACTTTTACTCAAATCCTCAAAAGACTTACATCTAATAGACCACTCCCTCCTTTAAAAAAATGTTATTTTGTCTCTCATTACTTTTTTTTTTAAGTCTTTATTTTTTCTTCCTCCTCTTTCTTCCCCCTTTTCACCTTTCTCTTCATCTTCATCTCTCTGGATGCTTTTTAATTTATTTTATAGGCTCACATACTCTATTTGAATTCAGGATAAAGAACTTTTCAGCCACAATTTTTGGCTCTCTGTTTATTCCTCGATATTAAAAAAAAGTAATATCCATGTATTAAAAAATACATTTATCCAAGTGTAAAAAATATATTTATCCAGTTTACAGTCATATTTGTAAAAATACATGTATCCAGTTTACAGTCACATTTGTATCTCTAGCTAAGAAATGTTTAAAAAAGTAAAAATACATGTATCCAGTTTACAGTCACATTTGTATCTCTAGCTAAGAAATTTTCTATGAGATCCCTATCTAAGTAATTGACATCTCCTCTTCCAAGTCTCAAATTTATCTGAAACTAAATATATCCTAAATATTTATCTCGGATTTTCTCACCAAGTCAAAACATCTTTCTCCATACCTAGTACCTCACATTCTGTCTTATCGCAATAATTATCATATTTATCTAAGCTACTCTTCAAACTAGAAATGTTCGACCCATACTTTATCTCCACTTCCTTTCCCCCTTATCCCAAACATATAACCAATCAGTAATTCTGTCTCCATTCTTTTCTCCAACTCCCCATCCAACAGCATTACCCAGAAAGTGACGTCAATCTCCATACCTGCTGCAAAACCCCCAGCCCGTTCACTTGTTCCAGCCTAGCCTAATGCTGCCAGAGCGCTAAAAAAATAATAATAATAAAAATTTTAAAAGCTTCTTAATATTCTATTATTTCACTTACCTAATCAAAGTCATTTCAAGGCTTCTTATTTCACGTAGAATAAAACCTAAACCCTGCAATTGTCAGCATAATTCAGCCTCCACCCATGTTTTCTTACACTCTTCACCTTGAGCAAAACTCCAGCCACTCTCATCTCCTTTCATTTCCTCCCACACACTCTACTTCTATTTCCAACCCTGAGTTCCTGGATCCTTATATCCTAGTTGTGAGAAACAACAAAAAGCACCATGTACTGGTTTCTGTTTCAAGGCTTTTAACATGCCCTGAATAATTTTCTGCCCCCACAAAGTGTTGCCATGCAGCTACGCATACTCAGCCAATCAACACATTTACTTTTCTTGCTTTGCTATTAATTACTATATAATTTTTCCACGTCACTTACCATTTCCCACATAATATAGAAGTCTCTTGTTAACTATGTTTCACTGTTTGCACAACTTTCTTCAATGGAATGTAGACTTCATGAGGGCAAGGACCTTTGTCTTGTTCATTTGTATGACCTTCCATAATAAGGCATTGCACATAGTAGAAGCACCATCATTATTTGATCAATGAATGACAAAACGAGTGTGTTATTTTAGGAAATCTATATCATGCAAAGAAAACTTGAATGTGAACAGCATGTTTTAGCATACCCACTCAAAACCCGTCTACTTTTACTCAAATTCATTTTTTTTCCCTCTGTTTAAATAAATTGAAATTGTCTGGCATAATAAAAATTATGCTTTATTTTATTTGGCAAAATACCTGTGACAGATATGGTTATTGCTCATTTGTTACCATACTTTCCAGACATCTATTGAAAACCAAGATCTTAAAGAAAACTCAGATGCAAGTTTAAGGAGCTAATCTGAACTGTCAACACATTATTATTTTTCACTCTTATTCATGTTACTACATGAGCATATTATAAAGAGCATAAGAGAGAAAATGCTCTTATTATAAAATAAGATTTGCTAGAGCACATGTTTTTGTTCACTATGGTAACTAAATCTTCCAATATGCAGGCACTAAGTTCATGCAATTCAACTGTTTTGGAAATACTAAAATAGAAATATTTAATGTTATCAAAGTGTCTTAAAAAAAAAAAAAACCCAGCCAGTTGCCAGTTCCAGTTGCAAGAAGTTCAAGGTTGTTGATGTCTTAGAATCTGTATGTTAGTTGATAATTTAGATATATTTAACTCAATAAAGTTACCTTATTTTAGCAACCAGGAAATAAAAACAGGTCATAGGAAGGCTCTCTATTTAAAGAAGACTAAAATGTATACACCATCTTAGAATTGAGATATTTTAAATCTCTTATTCAAATAATATAATAGTGTGACATATGAATTACAAAATCAATATAAAATGCATAGTGTTATTCTGTTTTCCTTACTTTCTTACTCTAGATTACCAGAATAAATGTCCTTAAAGAGGATTTGAAGAATATATTGAAAAATTAAAGTATACGGATAAGCATATTTTTCTAAACTCATTTTAATTCTGATATCATTAATTCTTGTCTCTTTAAATGTTTTTTTACAATATGTTTATTTCCAAATATATTGCTGGCTCTGTTGTCACTTTATAATATCATGGCCTTGAGATCCCTTGTATAAACTAAGTACTTAGAAGAAAATTAATATATAGAATTCATTTTAGATTCATCTTCTCATGCTTCTATTTTTAAAATAACACTTGTTTTGTGTTATTTCCTACTCTCTTAAAATAACTATTTATGAACTAAGGAAATTGACCAATGATGGTCTTACATTAATAATTTATTTTGTTACTAACGTTCTATTGTGGTATAGTATATATTTATAAAATTCAGAAATCATAAGTCTACTGTAAAATTAATTTTTATAAAATGAACATACTTATATATTAATAACTTATGCAATACAATATTATGTTCCACACAGGAGCTCCTCTCCTTTCCCCTGAGCCCCATTCCAGTCACTGCCTGAAGGGCAATTATTTACCTGCATTTCAATCTCATGGATTAGATTTGTATTTTTAATCACTGTATGTAAATTAATCATTCAGTACAGACTCTTTTTGTCCAGCTTATTTAGTACACTATTATGGTGATGTACATCAATGTCACAGTGTGTAGCAATAGTTTATTTTAATTGTGCTGTAATAATTCATTGTAAACATATATCAAATATTTTTATCACGTTCTCTTAGTTGATATTTAAATTGTTTTTGTGTTCTGACTATTGATAACAGAGCTTCTATGGACATTACTGTACACATCTTTTGGTGAATTTATCAACATATTTCTATTGGGTATGTATTTATAAATAGAAATGCTAGACCGTAACACATGTATGTACACACCAGTAGTAGTAACTATCAAATAATTTTCCAAAATAGTTTTATCCGATTATGTAGTGTATGTAACTTCTAATTAATTAACATGCTGGCCAGTAAAAATATCATGTGTATTTAGAGCCATTCAAATTAGTGTGCAGTTTGAATGTGTATCCTTTTGTTAATTAAGTAATATTAAGTAATTGAGCAACATTTCCATTTGGCTACTTTCTTTGATGAAGTAACTTTATTGAGATTTTTGCTCATTCTTCTACTGGATTATTTGATTTTATTGATTGAATTAGAGCATACTTTTATGCTTTAAACATTATTTCATATTTATGAACATATATGTGTACATGTGTATTTGTGTGTATATACCATAAGGTATATATATGAGTGTGTGTGTGTAGAGTTTTTCCTACTCTATTCCTTGTTTTTGAATAATGAAAAAGAAAACTTTAATTTTAGTAAAAAACAGCTTGATGTTAATCTACAAAAAAAAAACTATAGTTGTTTTTAAGAACCATACTTGTCTAAGATCCATTTCAAGACACGACATTGCATTTAGTTGTCATGGCTCCTTAGTCTCTGCCAGTCTGCGACACTTTTAGTTTTTCCACATTTTTCTTGTTCTTCATAATTTTATGAATACTGTTCAAATTGGTTGTAGAATGGCCCTCAACTTGGGATTGTCTGGTATTTTTTCACTGAGAGTGTAAGGATTTCTTTGAAGAATATCCAAGGGTGAGCTGCCCTTCCGATTGCATTATATTAGAAGATTCACATTGTAAAAATGGCATCACTAGGCCGGGCGTGGTGGCTCACGCCTGTAATCCCAGCACTTTGGGAGGCCGAGGCGGGTGGATCACGAGGTCAGGAGATCGAGACCATACTGGCTAACACGGTGAAACCCCGTCTCTACTAAAAATACAAAAAAATTAGCCAGGCGTGGTGGTGGGCGCCTGTAGTCCCAGCTACTCCGGAGGCTGAGGTAGGAGAATGGCGTGAACCCGGGAGGCGGAGCTTGCAGTGAGCCGAGATCGCGTCACTGCACTCCAGCCTGGGCAACAGAGCTAGACTCCGTCTAAAAAAAGGCATCACTAAGAATGTTAACCTTGATCACTGGTTTAGGTGGCGTTTTCTGGGTTATTTCACTGTGGTTAGTATTTTTTTTTTCCTTTGTACTGTATTTCTTGTAAACAATCATTAAGTCCAGCTCACACTCAAAGAGAAGGAAATTAAGTTATATCTACTGGAGAATGGAGTATCTGAACGTATATCTATGTATAAATATGTTATTGAAATTCTACTATAATTTTTTAAATTTTCCCTAACTTATTTATTTATTCAATCATTTATTTATATACTATATACTCATCAATATCTATTTTATTTTCTGGGTTATCATTAATTACTATTATTATTAATTTTATCTCAAATTTTTCCAGTTTGGAAGCTTTTTCAGTTCGTCTCCTCTGTTCTTTTGATGTGCTTACGTTATTAATATATTTTTTACATGCTTTAATTGATTTATTTTTCTTTCTACCATTAATTTTGTGCTTTATTTGGTTCAACTTTTTCTATGTCTTCCCCTTTTTCTTTTCCTTTTTTAAAAAAATTTTGTATTCGTGGGGTAGATGTGTTTGTTACACAGGAATACTGCATAGTGGTGGAATTAGGCTTCTCATGTTACTGTCACCCAAATATTGAACATTGTATCCAACAGATAATCGCTCAACCCTCACCCCCATCTCTTCCTTCCCATTTTTGGAGTTATGAGTGTCTTTTATTTCCTTTTTTAGGTCCATGTGTACCCACTGGTTAACTTATAACTTCCATTTATAAGTGAGAATATCTGATATTTAGTATTCTTTTTCTTTTTGCCATTACAAAATGCTCTAGTTTCATATTTTATTTTCCCTGCCCTAGACCTAAAATAAGCTGTTTTTCCAAGGATCTCTGTATTATTTTTCTATAAGAATGGTATTTAGGAACCAATATCTGGGTTGTGCTAATAGCTATTGCTGTGTCACTGCTGACAGGTATCCTCAGTAGAAAGAGCAAGGAAATATATGTACGTATGCCAACTCATGTGTATTTACTTACAGTCATATAAAGAATAATACATATAGCCAAATAAATCAGATATAAAATGATTAATCATATATAATATCTATGACTATCAATATTTATCAATCTCAGTGTATATATGGTAAAGTAAATAAGAGTTTATGCTGATATTTGTGACTAACACCACAGGGTTCATTCTGGCTTTTTCCTTTGCTTGCTTCTTACGCTGTGAGAAGCTTCACTCATTATCTACCATTAATTTACTTATTTGTTCAATCCCCCAATACAAAGAAATCTAGTATGTCAAGTAGTTTCAGAATTGCTAAACCAAGATCTTCCAGGAGTTTATTTCAGCAACTTTTCTTGGTGTCTCTGTTCTCTGATGTGTTATGGCTTTGTTGACTATCTGACCTCTTTTGGATTTTAGAGCGAGTGTATGATGAAGATCTCTTTCAGTTGTTCACATCTAAACTGGAAATTTATGTTTTTTTATTTTTATATGAATAATTAACCCATAATTTTCAGCCATTTTCCTTTTATCATATATATTTAAGGCTACTCTCTTAAGTACCACTGTCTCTATCCTAGTTTTAGTAAGCACTTTTTTTTCCAGTTTTAGAATTCTACAGTTTCTTTCTTTCTTTCTTTCTTTCTTTCTTTCTTTCTTTCTTTCTTTCTTTCTTTCTTTCTTTTTTTTTAAATATTTAAGTTCTGGGATACATGTGCAGAACATGGTGGTGTGTTACATAGGTATACATGGGCCATGGTGGTTTGCTGCACCTATCAACCCGTCATCTACATTAGGTATTTCTACTAATTCTATCCCTCCCCTAGTCCCCCACCCCCTGACAGGCCCAGGTGTGTGATGTTCCCCTACCAGTGTCCATGTGTTCTCATTGTTCGACTCCCACTTATGAGTGAGAACATGTGATGTTTGGTTTTCTGTTCCTGTGTTAGTTTTCTGAGAATGATGGTTTCCAGCTTCATCCATGTCGCTGTGAAGGACATTAACTCATCCTTTTATATGGCCGCATAGTATTCCATGGTGTATATGTGCCACATTTTCTTTAGCAATTGTTTCTGATTATTAAAATAAAACTATACTTTTATTGGTATTATGTGGAGTTATTATACCATAGGCTGTGCATAAACATACATATTAAAACTCAATCTTATGTACATTTCTAGTTATCTTTGTGTTACATTCAGTATAAGTTCACAAGGTAGGTAGTGCAAATGAGCAGAAAAACATTTCCATACATTGATAATCATGATTGTCAAAAGACAAAAACTATTTGCAGTGTCGCATTGTGGTTAGGAATTAATTTTAGAGACAGATCATTTGAGTTTAAATCTTAGGTTTAATTTTATTGTCCCACCTACTAGCTATGAGATACAGGGCAATTACTTAACTTCTCTGATCCCCGAATTTCTGATCTCCAAAATTTAGGTAGGAGAAATACTTAACTCATTGGGCTGTTATGAAGTTTAAATGGGTTATTATTTTAAAAATATCTTAAAATCATTCACTGAAGATACCAAGTATTATATGTGTCTTAAATTAATTTTAAATTCTAAGAAAAATAATATGTAAGTATTACATAAGAGTAAATTTCCTTGGGTAGCTTGAAAAATTTTTGAAGATGACTCCTCTACATTTTGGACATTTTACAAGAGTCATACTTTGTTTTATTAGAATAATAAAGGAAACACTAGAATTTGCCAGCTGCTTGCGATCAAAGAATATATTTTGGTTGATTACAATCTTTCGATTTTTATCTCTATATTTTGATGTAGTTTACGCTGAGTTTTGTGTTTTATGTGCTTGAAAAGTGTTTATTGCATATTCATGGTAAAAGCTCTGTGTATATTAAAAGGTAAATTTTATTAGTAACATTGCAAGCTCATTTATATTTTTACTGACATTTCTGCAAATTCTGTGTACCTCTAATAGGAGTGTTTAAATCACCTTATATAGTAATTTTTTCTTTTCTTCTTTTTAATTAACTTTTGCTTTATTGTTGTTTGCTTTATATACTTGGAAACAAGCTATTAAATGCAGAAATTTTAGAATGGATGGAGTAAATCTTTCAACAATATAAATAATCTTCTTAATCTCTAGTGATTAAATTTCCTTGGTATGTCTTATATAGTATCATAATATAGATATATTAACCTTCTTTTGGATAATTAATTTCAATTATTTTTATCTTAATTTTTTTGCATGCCACATCTTTTGTATTGATTATGCACAGTCTACACTTGAGTATTATTTATTTAGCAATTTGATTGTAACTAGAGTATTTCATGCATTTATACTTACTCTAGTCTTTAACTTATTAAGTGCTTTAAATTTGTGCCACCTGATTTTTATACATGCTTTCTCATTTCTTGAATATTTTGAATAATTATTTTGAAATTTCCTGTTTTTCTTGTGTTTAGTAATTTTCTAGAAATTAAAATTTTTAACCTTATTTTAGCAAATACAAATATTAATTGGCAATTTTACACTTGTCAACAGAAAATATCAGAGACCTAGGATACTTTAACTCTCTAATCTGATTCTGTTCCTTTCAATGCCCTATACGCTGCCCCCTTTTTTTTTTTTTTTTTTTTTTTTAGGCAGAGTCTCAGTCTGTTGCTCAGGAGGCTGGAGTGCAGTGGCACCATCTCAGCTCACTGCAACCTCCACCTCCCAGGTTCAAGCAATTCTCATGCCTCAGCCTCCCTAGTAGCTGGGACGAGAGGCACAAGCCACCATGCCTGGCTGATTTTTGTATTTTTAGTACACACAGGGTTTCACCATGTTGGCCAAGCTAGTCTCGAACTCCTGACCTCAAATGATCTGTGTGCCTTGGCCTCCCAAAGTGGTGGGAATACAGGCGTGAGGCACCGCGCCAGGCATTCTGCACTCTTCAGCCAATTCCCTTTGATTCATTAAGGATGGTACAGTCCGCAAGATGAATGTTACTATGTTGACTACATAAACATACACGTACAAACTGCCTCAAGCTCATTAATACATTGCTACTTCTAGCAACATAATACTTTTTTTAATCAAAGTAGCAAAACAAAACAAAAATATAAATCCTTCATGTGTGAACTCAATTTTTAGTATTACATACTCTATATTAGAATATTGAATTATATATTTATTATATAATATATAATAAAAGAGAGATAATTTTAACACCATATTGTACTATAGTTTGGTTTTTCCAAGAAACTTTTCTTTTCCAATTTATGTTATTAGTACTATTCTCTCCATTTCACTCAGAATTCACATTTGATACCTCTAATCCTCAATACCTTGCACCTAAGGAAGTGGTGAAATTCTTCTAGGTTAACTATTATTTATTTGTCAAAATTTTTTTTCTATTAATTTGTTCCCAGTCTTCCTTTGTTCAAAAGTTGAATTTGTTTTTGCA